>NC_000001.11:218809587-219434587 GCF_000001405.40 Homo sapiens | reverse complement strand
AGGAAGCTTCAGTAAGAAGACAATAATTTCATAGAAATGCATTAGCTTGGGGAGTCCAACTGCTGTTCTTGCACCTAAGAAATTCAGAGGAGAGCTCTTTGCTTCCTTGCTCATTCCAGTGGTTAGGAGTCAGGCCTTGTCCCAGAATGTTCAGGTTGATGCTTACCATTTAAGCCTTAAGTTAATCCGTTGAAGCTCCAGGCCTTTTATGGGATTCACAAGAATAAACAGCATTTAACTATAGATTCTCAAAGGTCAAATCTTCAACCTAAATCTGAGGATTCAAAGCATTGTTCACTCTAATAATTCTGCTAGTTCCCAACTTCACACAAACCATTTATTTCAGAATGTAAACCTTGAATAATCTTTTCTTACTTGTAGTTTTGTGGTCATTTAGAAAACAGCAATACTCTATTTTAATTGGAACTAAGTGACAAAAATAAGCCACTTCATTAGTTTTCTAGATAACGGTAAAATGTAAGAACAAAAAGCCACTTCTTTTTCCACGTGGTATTTTACAGTGACTTTTTTTTTTCTTTTTACTGCATTTTAAAATTCTACTGGAGGCATTTCTCGGAAACTTTCTCTTACTTGTTAATGAATCATCCCCTTTGAGAATCAGCAGGTGATTTCAGGAGCCCAGGTGTGAATAATTGATTTAAGGTCGACCTTGTGGGTGGAGCCAATGTTTACCAAGTGCATTCATTCGACAAACAATTGATGAACACCAAATTAGAGTTCAATTCCAGATAACAAAAACCAGTTGAACTAATTTCATCAGAAAGCTACTTAATAGGGGTAATTAGGTGCTTACAAAATAGAAGGGCTGGAAGCCCAGGATCTAGGCTGACACCCATGTAGCTAGACCCTGGAAACTGGGATTCCAGCTGCACAGAACAGCCAAGTGTGTTCATGACTGTGCTTGTTTGTCAGCAGGAGCATGGCCCTGCCTTGTGATACTGTGTTTTTCAGCTCTCACGTGGCTGAGTCTGTTTGGAGAAGTTGGTTCAAGATGCAGCTTGACTCTCAGGGAGTCTGAATAACTACCCTTAATATTGTTAGCTTTCTGGTCTCCAGCACACAGTATGATTTTCTGGAAGAAGGATTTAATGTAGTTAAATATGCCAACGTGTAATATCTGATGTACATTTCTACCCTGCTTGGGATACAAAATAAATAAAAGCCAGTTTCTGTCTGTAAGGAGTGTACAGTTTAGTAAGAAGACAGACTCCTGAACAAAGATGTATACTTCAATGTTGCCAGCCCAGGATTAGAGATGGGTATTAAGAGGACCTCTGATGAGTGATATTTTGCATCTGGTGCAGGACAGTTCCCTAGGTGGCCTTGGACCAAACCAGTCCTCCCGCTTTCTCACTTGTAGTTTTAAGAATAACTAGAATGTGCTGGGAATGCAACATCCCGAGATAAGGCCTAGGCTCTGTTCCAGTCCCCGCTAGAAACAGGATGTCCTTCAGCACATTAATCCAGCAGGTCATGTTATCCCTGGAGTAGAAAACCCAGAGACGGCTACTTTCCAGGGTCCTGCATCTGGGGTGCAAGTGAGGCACACGCAGATGAGACTCCACCTGCCCTGGGCAGCTTTCCTGAGCCTTGAGAAACCAGCTCACCATGAATCCAAGGTGTCTGCTGTTCCTTGCCACCATTTCATGGAACCTGTTGTATGTGTGAGTATTCTCTCTTACCGGAGCAAGTAGTCAAAGTGCAGCCCAAGATGCAGTGGGCTGAAGTAACCAGTGCATAGTGAGCCTGCTTCTCACTGGGATTTGATTAATCATTTGAAAATGCATTATTCTAAGTGCTTAACTTTAAAAGGGAAAATATTCTACTATGAACGTGGACTCCCTAAAACAACAGATTAAGGGAAGGCTGAAAGTGATGACCCCTTTAATTCCTGCTTTCCCAAGGAGACCCTCTGATTCCCTGTGTGGTCCTTCCATTTCCCCTTCAGGAGGCTGAATGCCATCGTGTCCACTTATTTAGGCAAAGGAGATGAATGGGTTGCTTGGCTGCGGTTAGTCATCAGGCCACTGGCAGAGTAGACTGGCACACGGAAATCCTGAAGCTGAATTCACTGTTACCTTTTGAGTCACTGTTACCCACCCACCCCAGACTTCCTCCCACCCCTAGTCTGAACCTGGATCCTATTCAAAGATGTTTTCCCATCTCTTTCCACTTACCTTCTGAATTCATTTTGGAGGAATGTACCAAGATCCTTTGAATCCTCCAGGAATGTTGAACTCAGTGAAAAGTGATGTGGTTAAGAAAGCAAATAATATGCTGAAAGATGTTCATTGGAAGTGGCTAGGGACATCAAAGAAATTGATGAATCTGCATTTCAAAAAGCCAGCAGGGGGTAACATTTCAGCTTACCTCATATTTCTCCTGCTTCTAAATTGGCTATTTACTGCCCATGAAGTTTCTTCCTTCCCATCAGGGCAGAATACTAATATAGTTAGCCCCAGGAAAGAGATGTCTGGAAATGGTATTGTCTTCTTAAATCAAAGCAGCTGAAAGAAATTTGTCTCTTTTATTAACAATGAAATATAGTTGCTATCAATGAGCATCTACTGTATTTCAGGCACTGTACTTAAACACTCTACATGCATTATGCCATTTAATCCTCAATCGTATTGCTGAGATCGATAATATCATTGACCCTATTGTATAGTTTGGGAAAAGGAGGGTAGCGAGATTAGGAAAATCGCCCAACTTGGCAACTGCTGGAGCAAGGATTTGAGCTCTGTTGACCATATTGATCACTATATGATGTTGTCTCATTGCCTTTAAACAACACTAGGGTTGGGTTAGGGTAGCAGAGGATGTATATAATAACACACACTGTTTAGTGAGAGTAATTTTCCAGAACAAGCAAGAAAGGAGAAATGCTTCAATAATCTTCTGAAGTTTAGTTTCCATGGACAGTTATGGATTGCTAAGAAATTGTCAATAAAGGTAAGGGCCACGGAAGAAGCAGAAATAAGCTGCACAGGCCAGGCACTGTGCCATGTCAGTGGCAGAGCCACACCGTCACCTTCATCAGAGCCCAAGGTCTGAAGACACTGAAAAGAAGATCTGGCCACCAAATGCCCTCAACAAGGGGTTGTCCAGACCCTGCTTCAACATTGTCAGCAGCAGGGCATGCTCCACCTCAGCAGACAGCCACTTTTGTTTTCAAGTAACTCTCTAATTGCAAAAAATGTACTTTGTATTCATCCAAATCGGTGTCCAGGTAGCATTCACAAGTATTTGGGAGGCAGAGGCAGGAGGATTCCTAGAGGACAGGAGTTCGTATCCTCTGAAAACATGTAGAATAAATCCAACTCCTTTCCCATATGATAGTTCTTTGGATATTCAAAGCCCTTCCCCACACACCCAGCTGGCTTCTTAACCATCCTTCATACTGTGTGGATTTGAACCATTCTCCATTGCAGTCTTTCTCCTTTAGGCACATTATAGTTTTGCGAAAAGTATTTTGTTAGGTGAAGTACACAAAATTAAATAAGGCATGTTTAGTGTCTTTAAGTATCTCTTAAAGACAATTGTATGAGATTAACTATTGTCAAAAGCCCCCTTAAAAACTCTTCCGAGGTTCTGAGCATGGGTGGGTCATGTCTGTAATCCCCACACTTCGGGAGGCCAAGGCAGGAGGATCATTTGAGGCCAGGAGTTTGAGACCAGCCTGGGCAATATAGTGAGACCCCATCTCTACCAATAAATTAATAAAAATTAAATTAAAAAACTACACCTAGATATAGACCATTTGAAGAGTTCAGAGTGGAACTATGATGTCCCTACCTTGGACAGTATACCTCCTTTAAGGAGACCTAAGTTTACATTAGCATTTGGAGTTGTGTTGAGTCAACTAAGCCTCTAAGTGTTTTTCACACTGACAGCTGCTAAGCCACAAACCAAGGGCAATCACTACAGAGACATGGAATAAGAAAGAATGAGTGTTTTCCAGGCTTTCTCTCCCATTTAGTGATTTGTGTTCGCACTACCTATTCATTCATTACTTTACTTACTTGCTCATCCCACAAACATTTACTGAATACTTAAGTCTGTCTAATTATGCATAACATACTTGGGTGGCCTGAATGGGAAAGAAATATCAGACATTACTTCCTGCCTTTAAAGAGACCTATAATTTAGCTAGGGAGGGAAAAAGAAAAATAACTACAAAACGAAGTAACCTCTCAAAGCATCACATAATGGAAAAAACACAGAATTGAATCTGGAACCTGGGTTATAGAAAAGAGCTTTTTTTTTTTTTTTTTTTTTTGAGCTAGGATCTTGTCTATCACCCAGGTTGGAGTGCAAGATCACAACTCTCTGTAGCCTTGACATCCTGGGCTTAAGGCAATCCTCCCACCTCAGCCTCTGGAGTAGCTAAGACTACAGGCACACACCATCACATCCAGCTAATTTTTCTAGTTTTGGTAAAGATGAGGTTTTACCATGTTGCCCAGGCTAGTCTCATACTCCTGTGTTCAAGCGATCTGCCTGCCTGGGCCTCCCGAAGTGCTCTGATTACAGGTGTGAGCCACTGTGTCTGACCTAGACAAGAGCACTGACTAAAGATAATCACATTTACTCTCTAGATCTCAGTTATCTCATTTAAATAATGAGACACCTGGACTTTTGGGGTTCTTTCTATTTCTAAGGATCTGTGCTTCCAAGTGCAAGATAACTGTAAGCTTCTTGAGGGCAGGGATCATACTTCATGTACAACTGAATTTCCCATTAAATTTGTTACAGTTTTAACTCATAATATCACACAATACATATTTATTGAATGGTCTAATGAATTCAGATTAAATTGGCTTCAGCTTGGGATACAAAATGGCTCCCCAGGGCAATGGGAAAATAGGCCTGGGAATTTCTTTCTTATTTATTTATTTTTTTATTTTTTTGAGACAGGGTCTCACTCTGCCACCCAGGCTGGACTGCAGTGGTGCCATCATAGCTCACCACATCCTCAACCTCCTGGGTTCAAACACTCCTCTCGCCTCAGCCCCCCAAGTGGTGGAACCACAGGTGTGTGCCACCATGGGTGGCTAATTTTTAAATTTTTTGTAGAGACAGGGTCTTACTTAGTTGCCCAAGCTGGTCTTGAACTCCTGTCCTCTAGGAATCCTCCTGCCTCTGCCTCCCAAAGAGCTGGGACTACAGGCATGAGCCACTGCGCCCTGCTGGAATTCTCACCCCGACTGTCACTGGGTGATATCATGAAGTGATGGTCCAAGGAGAGGTATATGCAGTCTTGATGCTCAAGAACAGAGATGACTCATATATTCTCACATATGCCATAATTAGTGGATGAGATCCGAATTACGAGCTGGCTACATACTGCCTCCTATTCCTCCTCGAGTTTCCTGCTCTCTCCTTCTTTAGGTATTTCCAGCTCTGAAAAGCCTGTTTTACTTCATTCTCTTACCAAAGAGTTTGGTGACACAAAATGAAAAGTTTGATGGACAATCTGGAAGAGTCCCACTAAGCAACACAAGAAATACGCTCTCACAAAGGTAAGGTAGGCACAATTCTCAGCAAATCTGGTCTAGATAAGGCCATATTTCTGAGTATGAAAACATACGCACACACGTGCATGCACACACCACACACAGATGCACACACAATTTTTACACAGTCACCCTGCTATAATAGTCTGTACCCAGCTAAGGATCCATGCATAAGAAGGAAGGCTATGATAAAAGTATGGGCAGAATTTTGGGAGAGAAATGAAAACGTACTGCCAAGAGAAAAGGAATGACATGCCAGGTGGAGAGAAAGAAAAAAGGCACATGCTGTTTGAAAAATGCGTTTGAAAAAAATTACTTGTGTGTGGAAGGGGGATGATGATTGTTTGAATATTAAGCTGTTGAATTCTAATTCGATATAAGAGAGAGCCACTACAGGATTGTAAGCTGCTGTCAGATCCTGTGTGCCACATATTGTAGTTATTTGTGCCCATTTCCAATGTCCTTATTAAATTGTAAGCTCTTTAAGGTCAGGGGCTGGGTTTTGTAGATTGCACTGAAAAAAATACAGGAAGTAGAAGGACTGGCAAAGGACCAGTCTCATTAATTCTGGTGGTGATGAAAGGGCACTTTTCTACAACACTTTAACTGATGAGCTACGCTGTTGCTGAGAATAAAGACTGTTATAAGTGTTACTTAAAGTAGCTACTTAACATTTACAAACTTTCGGTTTTGAAAATAAATTAGACTTTGGGAGTCATGTTTCCCTGGCAAAACTCGAGTTCCACTAGAATCTGTGTGAGAGACTGAGAAATAAAAGCTCATGAAACTTTGGAAACACTTATGCAAATGGCATTTTGATGAGATAACTGTAAGTAGATCAGGAACACATGGATTAAATCTTCCACTGAATACCCACTGCTTGGGGGAGTAAAGGTCCAGCATTGTTGCCATCATGGAGTTTGGGTTTTGCTGAACTCCTTATCTTTGGAAAATCAGTTTGACTGTCATCAGATGTATGCAGCTGTGGGTTTTTCTCAGATCTGCTTTATGGTTTTATGGCTTTCAGAGTGAAGCCAAAAGTCTTCCAACAGTCATGGCAAGATGAAGGCCTGGAAATCTTTGAAAGCATGTTCCCAGGCAGACCCATCATGGTCACTGCTTTTTATAGTTGGTACCTGCCTAAAGGCCAAAGTTACAAGAAAAACTAATTTGGGAGTTTGTGTTTAGAGATTGCCCTGGGTCACAAACTTTGCTGGGATCTCTTAAATGGAAAACTTGGCCATTTCTGGTTTCCCTACAAATTTAAACTACAATTTAAATGGAAAACAAAACTCTCAGAAATTTCTGATCTCATGAACACAAGAGACTCTTGTAATGCTGTTTCTCATCTCAGAGGAGAAACAATCATGGAAAAGAATGAAGCAGAGCTTGGAGGTTGATGAGGTCCTCCTCCAACCATGCCTCTCTAACACTGGCAGTTTCACAATGACAATCAGAGTCACTGTCATACTTTTGTAGAGAGGTTGGAGGTGAAGCAAAGGCCAGGCAACTTCTAACTTTCATATTTTTAAATTGCAAAGCAGCCTCAGTGAAGATAGTACATTTTACATTTAAGAAAGCAATGTTCAATTTGCACACACAGGATGACTGCATATACAATATACATTTCTATAAAGTGTGTGCATATAAAATTCAAAAGCTCACACACAAAGCAACCTGATATTTTCAAAAGGAGTAACCCATAAATTCATATTTATGTTCTCTCTAGACCTATTCATGTTTTCCATGTTTCAAATATGACTGAACCTGACATATATAAGGTAAGAAAGTCTTTTTCATTTGAGTTCCACATTTTTACACTTTAATAAATGGATGCAAAATTTGATACATAACATGTTGAAGGCAGTTTTGGCCACATTGATGAAGATTTTTTACTAATAGGACAAAGAATGTCTAGAAAGTCCATAGGACCACATGGGAAATCTTAAAATTTGCAGATGCTTAACACTTATTTGCATAAAGCTGATACTTATTTTTAAATATGAAGCATATTATTATAATATGGGGCTAGGAGGTAGTAGAATGAAGTGATCTGATTCACAGTTTTGTTCCTTCCTAGCCATATTGCCTTTGGGCAAGATAATCAGCACCTTTCTTCATTTGTGAAATAAGGATATAAAAGTACCTACCTGGGCTGGCGTGGTGGCTCACGCCTGTAATCCCAGCACTTTGGGAGGCCAAGGAGGGCAGATCACCTGAAGTCAGGAGATCGAGACCAGCCTGGCCAACATGGCAAAAACCCGTCTCTACTAAAAATATAAAAACTAGCTGGGTGTGGTGGCTCGCACCTACGGTCCCAGCTACTCAGGAGGCTGAGGCACTTGAATTGCTTGAACCTGGGAGGCAGAGGTTGCAGTGAGCTGAGATCATGCTACTGCATTGCAGCCTGGGTGACAAAGTGAGACTCTGTCTCAAGAAAAAAAAAAAAGTACCTACCTGATGGGTTGCTGTGGTAATTATGTGAGATATAAAATATGTTGGAGTCTTAGAAACATGCTTCAGCTAATAAATGTTGGCCCTTACTGCCTCTAATATCAATAATCCTGCTGCTGCCACCACTGTGACATGGCAACAGCTAGTACTTTAAAAACACCTACCACAGAAGCAAAATCTCAGTCATACAATTTTTTTTCCTATGAAACTTCTCTAATGTAAATAGTACATTTCTGAGGAACAGAATTGAAAGCCAATAACACTGAGAGGACAAAGTGAGAAGAACATTAAAAAAACCACTAATGACATAAACTGTTAGATGGCAGAATCCTTTTCTAATTTTCCTTTAGGACAGATTCACCAGGTAGTTTTGTCAGAAGCTTAGATGTATATGAATGGTCATCTTAGGTTTCACCTTTTGTCTCAGCTTCTCTGCAAACAAGCCCAAATTACCCATGGCCCAAACCAAACGTATACACACTCATTTATAAGACTCAGTTGTCAGTTATGTTAAGTTCATTTTCCCATGCTGAGCCCTGAAAGCTTCTTGTGAAGTCTCTACCGTGTGGATCTTACACCTGCACATAACTAGGAAAACAATTTTTAGTTGGTTCTTTAGAACAACAGCGAGGAGAAAAACTCTTCAACAATGGAAGCAGATCTCAAGAGCTACAGAACTTTCCTGAAATGGTAAACATATTACTTGTCTGAGTTAAAAACTTTTTTTTTCTCTTTGTAGGCTACCTGAATTTAGGCAATCCACCATATAGCTCAAGCGTAATGACATACTTAGATAGAATATGGTATCTTTGTATGGTATGACCAGAATGGTAGCAGAATTAACTATAGGATAATAAATGCATTTGATCACTAAAAGTACAAATTTCATGAGCCACTTTGAATGCAGCATTCCCTATGGCCAGGTCCTATACTAAATTCTTTACATGTAATTTCTCCTTGAAGCTTGAAAACAACTCAGTGAGGTTGATGCTACTATTATTGTCCCTGTTCTACAAGTGAGGCAATTGAGGATTAACAAATTTCGGTGGCTTAAGTCTATCAAGGGAGCTGGATGTTACACTAACAATCACACAGAAAAATATATGATTTTAAACTATGTTAACTTTATAGTTAGAGCCAGTAGAGGATAGAAGTGAAGAATCAGGATCTGGCACCTTACTGCTTATATTTTGAATCAAAGCTCTGCCACTAATTAGCTGTGAACTTGGGCAAATCACTAAGCCTGTGCCTCATCTGTAACATGGGATACTAATGGTGCTATGGTCCGAGTGTTTATGTCTCCCCCAAATTCATATGTTGAAATCCTCATTCCCAAGGTGATGTTATTAGAGGTAGAGCCTTGAGAGGTGATTAAGTCATGAAAGTGGACTCCTTATAAATGGGAGGCCTGAAAGGAGCCCCTTGCCCCTTGCACCCTGTGAACACAGTGAGAAAATGCCCTTTATGAACCAGGAAACAAGCCCTCACTAGAGTCTATCAGTGCCTTTGTTTTGGACTTCCCAGCCATCAGAACAATGAGAAATAAATTTATATTGTTGATAAACTACCCAGTCTATGACATTTTGTTATTGTAGTTTGAACGGTTAAGACAAATAGTAACAATTACTGTACGGATTAAGTTAGTTAATATATTTTGAGTGCTTATAAGAATACCCACAACAAGTCCTCAATACATGTTAGCTATATTTTTATTCTTCTCTTATATATAAGAAAAAACAGGGATAGAGAGGTCAAAGTAACTTTGCCATAGGGGTAAAAAGCAAATCTCGAATGTGTCCAAGTCATATCCTAAAACCTACTGCCTTTAGTTATCTTTCTCCCTAAATGTCAGTCCCAACTAAGGGGAGAGGTGGTCCTGCTGGACAAAGCAGGAAGAAAGGGCCGTGATGAGATGGAGAAGCAGTGTGGTGGCCTCTGCTGCAATGAATGGAGGGATGATGATGTTGGTATGAGGATGTCATCAGGACATGTGTTATTTCTGGATGGAGAAATGAGGGAAGATGTCCTCCTCTGATTCTTCACTATCCTCTGACAATCTCGTTGTTGTTCCATGCCCGGTTCCATCCATCTGAAATGGTCCAGGGCACAAAATATACCCAGTTATGATTGTGAACAATTGATCTGGCAGCTACATAGCTAATGTGATGTGGTTTTCAGTCCTCCAACTTGAGCTCACAAGGAGTCTCAGATATTGAATGACTACTTTCTTGACCAAATTTAGATTACTTTAAGCCATTTGAAATTTGATTTTAGAAAGTGTCATATCAGAGCCTAATATATTTGACTTTCTCCTAGAATGATGTCCTGATTAACCTAGAGTGTCAATGCTAAGTTTATAGTTTTATTTAATTAGATGAGTCTTTAAGCCAGAATTAACTGGATTGAAATTCTTTTACGTAAGTCTACCTTCCCTCACAAATTTTCAGAAATGAACTTTTTTCTCTATGCAATTTTTTCTAGTAAATCTAGTTCAATATACAGTGATCTTAATTATTTTCTGTATAAATGTGCCTAATAGTATATTTTATAATATAGTATATTATAATATATATCATATACAGTAAATTATATACTATAGTGTATAGTGATATATACTATACACTGCATTTATAATATAGTACATAATAAAGAATGGTATATACTTTACAAGAGATTGCCTTGGATGAGATTTATTTGTCTTCTACTTTAAACCTTTATAAAACCTCTAAGGATCCAGAAGGGAGAGAGAAAAAGACGGAAAATATTTCTATTTTCCATAACACCTCACATTTATTTTCTACCACTTACTAAGTATAGTGTCTGAGTGATGCTGCTAAAACTCTCTGAGCTTCAGATTTTCATTTGTAACATGCTTTGATATCCTTTCAGGGTTATTGTGAGGTTCTAATTAAAGAATATTCAAATAATCTCTCCATAAACTCCATATAATTGTATAAAAGTGACTATCATTAATGTATACCTAGTAAACAAGTAAATATACAATGCAATGAAGTTGTCTCATTGGACAATTAGAATTCAGTCTTAGTGTTTGGAAAATGACATAGAACCTGGATGTAATAGGTTATTAGGGTTTTATATATCTCACTCAAAAATTCATTTATGTACTTGGTATTTGCCTGTGTTCAATCTACTGCTCAAAGCCCAGTGAATCACCATAGCAAAACGAAACACATTCACCCTCTTCAAGGAGCTTATTAGGAAAGCACAGACACATAACCATAACACAGAGTTGAATGTCACTAACACTGGGACATGATGGGCTGAAGACCAAAATGTCTATGGACATTTTGGGTGGAGATATCGGCCAGTAGATTACTTCCAGTTGGTAAGAGCAGAAAGCCAGAAAGTCCAAGAACACTGTATGAAGAAGAAAGGTTTTCCTCAGCCCTGAGTAATGATGTGTTGTACATGTGGCTGCTAGAAGTAAGGTGTGAAGAGAGGATGAGTGAGTAGAGAGGGGTGTTCTAGGCAAAATGAACTCTGTGAGCAAAAACATCAAGGTGGGAAAAATTTAGACTGCTGTTTCTCAAAGTATGGTCAGGGGTTTTCCTGCTTCGTGAATGATGAACAATTGCATGCTCCGTCATGGGTTCTTGTGGGAAGGAGGGATGTGCAAGCTCATGGATTTTCATTTTTATAATGACTAAGAACAAACCATTACCAACTGAGTAAGTGAATGACCAAAGATGACTAATATTTGGTACACATACAGCAACATTTATGTTACTAGAATTTTCATAGGTCTGTAACTCCATATCCTAAGAAGTCTGAGTAGCAAGATCAAGTTTCTGCTGTCTTTTCACACACACAGATAGTTAAAAGCCTGCTCCCCAAGCATCCAACCAACGATTTTATCCAGAAGCAAAATAGTTATTTATGCCTCTTGAATATTATTTTAAGTTGATCCTGGCTTTCAGTTTTTGCTCTCCCATTATTAATTATTTTAAGATGTACTCTTTTTTTTATTCCTGCATAATGGTTGGGCTCAAGCTATTTTCACAGCTACTATATTTTTCTGTATATCTTATCATCAGGGTATTTTCTTCTGGACAAAGAGTATAGGTGATATAAATGATGCTATGTACCCTTTGTCCTGCCATAATCTCTCTCTCCTGCTCTGTGCATGGCATTTGTTTTAATACCCTCCTCTGCCACCCTTGGGAAGTCCTATCTTTCAGGAAGGAAGCTGATGTGAAGGAAAAATACAAAGTTCCTGGTTCTGTAGATCAGGGGCTGGTTAATTATGACCCAAAAGCCAAATCCAGCCTGCAACCTGTTTATGTAGATAAAGTTTTATTGGAACACAGTTATTTCCATTCATTTATACATGATCTGTGGTTGCTATTGCACTACAATGACAGAATTAAGTAATTCCAACAAAGTTTCAGAAATCTTAACAATTTACTAATTGCCCTTTTACAGAAAACATCTTCTAACTCCTGTTCACCATGGTACTAATAACTATTTTCCAAATGGAAACCTTGGGAAAAAATGGTATGTGGTGTTTCTTAAGAGATCAACCAGCGTAGGTTGTGTTAACTTCAAAGCTTAGAGTGACTGACCACTTTTGGAAGGACAGTGTTATAAACTCCTCTGTCATCCTGAAAGGGCACAATCAAATTTTTGTTGGTGAAAGAGAAATACACAAAATGCGAATGATTGCTTGATGAATAATAACAAAGAGTAACCACCTAAAAAACGTTAAAGTAATCCTTTAACTTCGTAAGGTTTTCCAATTCTTTCAATATTCTTTATTTAATTATTTTTAGTCACTCTCTAAATCTACCTTTTTTTCCGAGAAACTAGCTCATCCTGAAGCTCCCCTCACCCTCCTGCTATCCTCCTTCTCCTTTTATTCCTCCTCATCTTCTGTTTTGTCACACATCCATCTCATGGCACTACTTATATATCTTGTAGGATAATAGAATCTCTAGATGTTTTTCAATGGCTTTGAGGATGAACAAACATCTTTGGAATCAGTGCTCAAATTTGAGTTTTATCAGCAGAATATTATGTAATTAATATGATGAACACAGCATAAGCATTGCTCACTTTCAACAGTAAAAATATCTTAAACTCAACAACCTTGTGAATAATCTATCTGAGATTTGAGGAAGTTGAATAGCCTCCTCAGGTGCTTGTAAATGGTAGAATTGGCTATGAATGCAACTTCGGCTGACCCTCCAGGGTTCTCAGATAGGGTCTTCATGTTGTTCTCTCATGATCTGGTTTTCCTATAGTGAAGTCAATGACTTTTACCCTGAAAAACATGATGGGCCACTGGATTGGATAGCTAAAAATTCATTTTGTATTTATGTCACTTAACTCTGACAGTTCTGTAGCTGGATTGATTAGATGTCCCAACTAGTTAATAAATTGGGCCTAACTCTTTATGTCAAAATCATTATTAAAAGGTTACACTCAGTTCACCAAAGTTGTGAAATATTTCAGGTCATACTGGGAGGCATTTCTGGTTTATTGGCCATGTCAAATCTCAAGCAAATTGTTTACTTCTCACTTGAATTTTTATTTAAAAATCCAAATTTCACAACTGGTTCAGATTTCCCAGGAGTATTTGCTTAAAGTAGACTCCATTTAGAAATAACTGATATATTTCCAAATTAAAAGAACTAAGATGTAAGAATAAAAATTTCAGAATGGACTTAAATTACTGTTTTGAAAGAGCATGCTACATCTACTTATATGAAATTCACCTTTAAAAGTAATCCCTGAAGCTTAGAAAGCCAGAATTTATAGTAATGGGGTAGTTAGAAAAAAATTTTAAAAGATGCCATAGTAAGAAAAAATAAGTGGTTCTAATTATTATGCCTTTGTTTCTCCTGAAATGTGTTTTTCCATGATACTTCAATATTTATCTTGCAGGTGGTCAGCAATTTTATTACAAATGACAAATCCACTCATACAATGGCAGCATTACCAAATTATAAAACAAGTCACTGGAGAAAAAAAAAATTAGGCTATGTGTACGCTGCTCATGGGATTTGCAAAACCATCAGTGTATGAGCTGCTCTGAACTAAACGTTTGACTACAAAATTAAGGGGAATGAGTGGGTGATTTCTACTTTCCAAGGACAGCTTCCACCACTAGTTTACAAGCATATGGTAACTGAGAATATTCTTGATATTGCAATACAACGATGATCTTTTCTTAGGATTATGAAAAGGTAGAGGATGCAATCAAAATAGAGTGCAAATTATTCGGGTTAATATTTAAATTATAACCTTGGCTCACACAGCAGTATCCCCTCAAACCTTTTATTTGGTGAAATTAAATCTTGAATACTGTAATTCTGAATTTTCTGAATTTCAACAAGACTTTTCTGAAGCCTTTGGGGTAACAAATTAATATTTAACACTGTGAGTGACTTTCATCTATTACTTGGCATGGCTGTTCTTGGAGTTCACAAGTCAATTCCTTTCCTCAGGGGCTTTGCCCCAAGTCTTCCTGCCAAGATCTATGGTTCTTTCCCTGCTGAAAGTTACTCCTCTGTGAACTTTGCCCAAGTTCTGTAGATAATAAAGAATCAGGAAGAAGTGAAGATAGTTGTTCCCTTTCCCAAGCAAGGGGACCTGGTCCCTGTGGTTTTGGCACCAGCTTCAGGCCTACCAGGTAGTGCTCATGAGGATTTAGCATAGAAATTAAGAACTCTGACTACCACTTTTAGACTTTGGGAAGCTAGCTGTACACATATTTCCTTCCAGAGGCGCCTTAATTATACAATGAAGCCAAGATACTCCAGGTTGTTTACCTGTATCTGCCTTAATCTGCTATTGTTGGTGATGTCCTGGGACACCTGTGCAGAGGCTGGACCCCCTACCCCCACAGTCAGGACATAACAGGAGAGAACACCGCCCAGCCTCAGAGGGGAAACAGCCATAAACATCCCCTTGGTCCAGCTAATAATGTGTAAGCTAATGATGTGGAAGCTAAAGCACATTTGTCTCTCTCTCTCTCTCTCTGTGTGTGTGTGTGTGTGTGTGTGTGTGTGTGTGTGTGTGTGTGTGTTGGGCTAGGGCTCAGAAACCCAAAGAGGAACCAGAGCATGCACCAACTCTGATCTCTGAAGAGCACAAGCCAAATCATCAGCATTCCTTTTTCTCAATAATCAGGAAGAGGAGGTATCAAGGCCAGAATTTTCATTGAGAGATGATTGCCTGGCTCTGGTGTGGCTGACTACTCACCCATCATAGTCCTGAGAACTCTCTCCTGATCGCTGGCACAGGGACTCTGATGATGCAGAGACATGGCTGTAGAATTGGTTGAGGACCAACTGAACTTTCTGCCAGTTTTAAAATCCCTAAACAGTGGGAAGATGGTTTGGCAGTTTCTTAACAAAACTAAACATACTCTTAGCACATGAGCCAGCAATCACAATCACTCTTCTTGATACTTACCCTAAGGGGTTGAGAACTTATGTCCACACAGAAACCTGCCCATGGATGTTCACAGCAGCTTCAATTATAATTGCCAAAACTTGGAAGCCACCAAGGTGTCCTTCAGTAAGTGAATGGATACATAAACTGAAGTACATCCAGACAATGGAATATTATTCAGTGCTAAAAGGAAATGAGCTATCAAGCCAAGAAAAAAGAATGGGGAAAACATAAATGCATATTACTGAATAAAAGAAGCCAATTTGAAAAGGCTCCATGCTGTATGATTCCAACTATATGACATTCTAGCAAAGGCAAACTTTTTTAGAGATAATAAAATGATCCTGGGTTGCCAGGGGTGAGAGGAGATGGAGAGAGGAATGAACAGGCAGAGCACATAGGATTTTTGGAGCAGTGAAACTACTTTATATGTTACTATAATGATAGATGCATGGCATTAAACATTTGTCCAAACCCATAGGAAGTACAACACCAAGAGTGAATGCTAATGTAAACTGTGGATTTTGGGTGATATTGATGGATCAATGCAGGCTCAGCAGTCGTAACAAATGTACTACTCTGGTGGAGGTTGATAGCTGGGGAGGCTGAGCATGTGTAGAGGCAGGAAGTATAATGGAACTCTCTGTACTATCTGTTTGGTTTTGCTGTTAACCCAACACTGCTCTAAAAAATAGTCTGTTTTAAAATTTTTAGTCTTTAAACACAGAGTGAGGCAGAACCACTAGGATGGGCTAGAATCAGTGCTGGGAGGACTGGGAAGTTTCAAGTTTTCATTGGGCCTAGAGCCTAATGGAAATATCCACACGGGTAGGGTGGCTTTGTGTGTGGGAATTGCTACCCTTTATCTTTTATTTGTGAATGAGAGTTGTCCAACTCTGGACAGAGACCTAGGGTCCGTCCTCTCAGTGGGGGACATTGAAATGGGAAGTACATTCTCTTGGCTGAAACGAATTTACAAGCAAAGAAAATGGCAGGATAACTTTTTTCGAGGTTTTAACTTGTGGTTTGATCCCATTGTTTTTTTTTCTGATTCCAAATAGGTAAACCAGGCATTTTAGATTTTCATGTCCCAAAAATTCCTGCAGGAGAGAACGCAGTAGCTGATGAAATCAGGTCCTACTTGTTTTGTCAGCTGCAATTACTTAATTAAACCTATTAAGTATCCTGGGCAGGGGGAAGTTAAGGAAGAATATCCAAGAGCCAGTTGAAAAATGGAATTCTTGATATAGTAAGGGAGGAAAGGTCATGGCGCCCACTCAGTATCAGCACCTTGGTCCATTAAGCACTGCCCCATGGCAGTAGCCTGGATGCAGGGCAAGGCCCAGAGGGATGACTGCCCGACATGCCTTGGAAGGCTGCACTTTGCCGTATGATTCCTTGGCAGAGATTCCCTTGTTCCAATTATGGGACTGAGGTGGCAAAGCCACTGGTCATGAAAAGACTCTGCAGGATGGGACAAAGGACACACATTCCTAGTGTCCAGAAAGGAGTATTTAAAACTCTCAAGACTTTTATCAGACCCAGTAATAACTGAGATTGAACTGATTCAGGATTAGATTCACATTTATTTAGAAAAAAATATATACTATTTATAATGCATCAGTGGTTCTGGTTGCAAATTCTCATCCATAACATCTGCCTATACCATGGACAACCTTTTACAGAATGTTACACAGGGCCATTCCTTAGAATGATAGCCCTCAAAGATCTCAATTTTAAATGATCTTTGCTACCCGTGCATGACAAATGAGTCCATTGCCATTTTAAAAAACTATTTGCAGCTTTAACATAGACTGTTTTTCAAGTTTCTATTTTTCCTATCAAAGTTTTAAATTTTAGAGTATTGATTCAGTCCAATAATAATGATATTAGTAGTCAAGGTGGTTATACTAATAAGGCTGGCTCACAAAACAAAAACAATAGAAGACAATAGAAAAATTTCCTATACCAATGAATTCCAAATAATGTATGTAGACTCACTGCCCTCAAAGAGTAGAGAATAACTTCACTCCTTAAGTGTGGGCTGTGCACAGTAACTTCTTTCAAAGGATATAGTTTGGAAAGGGGGAAAAAAAGAGTAATATTTTGTCCAGAAATCTGATTGACACTATCTCAGCTATGTGTGCAGGTTAATAGTAATAAGTGACAAATCAATTTGGTAGTGCATGCTTTTAGTATAATGAGCTGAAAATGGCACTTTGCCTCTGTAGCCTTCTTCTTAAAATCCATAAGCCCAGGCTAATTGAGGTAAGAGACCAGCAGGACTTGTTTTCTGGTCACAACCTTGTGGACCAAAATAGGATCTGGTCCAGACAGGATGAAGAGAAAAAACCAGCAGCAACCAGCAGATGGCGACAAAAGGGATCCATAATTGCCCTTACTGCTCACTAGCATAAGGCACTCACACCAGTGCAATGACAGTTTACAAATGCCATGGCAATGACCTGGAAGTTACCACCCCTTTCTGTGAACACAATCCAGAAGTTATGGCCCCTTCCCTACAAAGTTCTAAATGACCCACCCCTCAATTTGCATTGATCAACCTCTTAATTTGCATACAATTAAAAGTGGGTTCACATGAGTATAAATAGAGTTGCAAAAAGCCCATATGTTGCTGACTCTGGGTGCAGTGTCTTTGAGTTGGCCCTACTCTACAAGGAGCAGTACCCTTCAATAGAAGATTGCTGTCTAACACCACCACCTCACTCTTGAATTCTTTACTAGGCAAAGCCAAGAACTCTCCTGGGCTGAGATCTGCCTGTCCTGCACCAAAATCATGAGAAAAACATTGGGCAAATCCCAGGTGAGGGACATTCTACAAAAATCCCTGAGCAGTACTCCTCAAAACTGTCATGGTCCTCAGAAACAAGGAAGGTCTGAGAAACTGTCACAACCAAGAGGAGTGTAAGGAGACAATAATTAAACCTATGTGGTATCCTGGAACAGAAAAAGAACATTAGGTAAAAACTAAGCATATCTGAATAAAATAAAAATTTTAGTTAATTATTAATATTGGTTCATTAGTTGTGACAAATGTACATTAATAACATGTTATTAGTAATAATAGGAGAAATTGAGTGTGGAGTATATGGGAACTCTATCATCTTCTCAGCTTTTCTGTAAATCTAAAACTACCTCAAAATTTTATTTTAAAAAATAGCAGAATTCATCAGAGCAAAATTCACCTGTCAAAACTGACGAAAAATGACTGTTGCCTTTAAAAGAAGAGAGAAGCGCTATGTGAAGACAGGCACACTGGGAGAAGACCATGCGGTGACAGGAAGAGATTGAAGTGATTCAGCTGCAAGCCAAGGGGCACTCAAGATTACTGGCCACTACCAAAATCTAGGAAGAGGCAGGGAAAGAATCTACTTCAAGTTCCAGAGGGAACATGGCCCTGCTGACAACTTGCCTTTGAATTTTTAAGACCCTAGAACTGGGAGACAAAAGATTTCTATTGTTTTAAGCCACACAGTTTATGCCATGGCAATGACCCGGAAGTTACTGACCCTTTCCTAGAAAGTTCTAAATAACTTGTCCCTCAATTTCCATTGAAGTGCAAGAGTTCATATTTCTCAAGTGTATGTGCTCACTAGTATTTTGCTTTGGTACCCTAAGAAACTAGTGCAAATGCTTGGTTTATGATGGCAATGTAAACCTCCGGTCACTGCAGAACTCAGTAGTGATTCTGCCTGTGATGGTGATTGATGATATTTTCACCTGAATAATTTTATACACTTGCCTTTCAGAATGTATCACTGCATTATTTATTCTTTTAAGTCCTCACACTTTTCATGAAAACATCTCTTCCAGGGATTTCTTCCTCTTGCTTCAATCTGGACAGTTTCCTCTGTAAACCTGCTCTACAGTCACCCCAGGACTCAGTTTCACTGATTTTGTGGGGGTTGAAACCACTGTTTCCTGGGTTCTATGTCTTTTTCTATTATTGTTTTTCTCTTTTGCTGGTACAAGTCTTCCAATAATTTCCTAACCAAGAGTGGTGACAGATAAAAGACTTTTGAAGTCTTTTCTCCCTAGGCATGTTGCATTGATGTTGCTGGTGAGAAGGCTGTTGGCATTCTTCTATTTATATGTCCTGTTTTTATTATTTTACTTTGGACATCTTTCCATTATTCTTGGTGTATTGAAGTATTGTAATAATGTGCCTTGCTGTGGTTATTTTTCTATTCATATGCTGGATACAACAAAGGTCTTTCAGCCTAGAGATGAGTGTTCTTTAATTCTGGGTCCCCCTGGTTTCTCATGCTGCTAATATTCATAGCGGTAGGACCCTTGCCTACCATAGCCTCAGTGCCTAGCACAGAACCCTCAGAATACTCAGCATTCATTAAATAATTATGGAATAAAGATGGAATCTGGAAAGAAAGGACTGTAGTGACTTTTGAATTGGTCCTTCAGATTTCTCTAAAGTTTTAATTCTGACAAGAAAACAAGAACAAATAGTGAAGCCCAGACTTGGAAAAAGTGACCTAGTCAGTACATGTATTAAAACCACGAAATAAAAGCGAGGAGGAGTCATATAAACTTAGGTAATGTAGTTCCAAAAGAGAAAAGCAAAATTTACTTCCACTAGAAGTGAAAATAGCTGACTTATTGATCACTTTCTTTTAAAATGAATACCATTGTCCCATGTTACAGTTGACTAAACTAAGGCTCAGAATGTTCAAATAACAACTAGGAAATGGCAGAGCTGGAATTTAAGTCCGGATATTTGCTCATTTATTTAACAAATATTTACTGAGGCTCCATTGAGTGCCAGTCAGTGTGCTAAAGCTATTGTAACTCTCAAACTCATGCCCTTTTCTTTATCCCTAATGTCACCAAGCAGTGCAAGTAACGGGAACTGGTATAGCTTAGTTACATAAAGTAATATAGGATTGGGTACCCATAAAGAGATAAAACTAAAACTTAATGCTGGCATTTATTGCAAAATGTAGGAGCAACAATCAAACCGAAATTCAGTGATAATGGGAAAAATCGAAAGGGCTAAGGAAATCTGGTCATTCTAGTTAGGGTCTTATCCAAACCCTGCTGCATTCATCCTTCCCCCTCAGCCATCCATCCTTCCCTCTGCATTCAACAATGCACTCAGTGGTGTCTGGGGGGCATATTAAAGATACTGAGAACTACTCAGTAAATGAAAATTGTATATATGGTTTTTAACTTATTTCTCAAGTGTATTTGCTTGCAGAAGTCTTTACCGTTTTTACAGATCACAATTTATATTATACTATAAACTTGTTTTGCAGAACACACTCTGGAAAGTATTCTTCTACCAAAGGTTACATAATATGATTGGATTGTGGGCTTGTGAGAACAGGGCTTGTGCTTCCAGTGCCTAGCACGTGGCCTGTGCCTGATCAGTTCTCAGTAACAAGTGAATTAATGAATGTGAGAATTGTGAGCACTTTGGCAGGGCTAATGGATATAAGTGGTTTTTATTTTTGTTTCTTTGTTTGCTTATTTTAAAGGGTAGGGAGCTGTCACAGAGCCCTTCAAATGACAACAGACAGCTGCTTACTTTCCCTAGTGCAAGCACTCAGGAAGAATTAGATTACATTCTCCTTCTTTGGGGGGTAACTTTTCTCTCAGGCCTCAGAGGTAATTCCAGCCACTAAAATAAATAGGAATTTCCCTTTCCCTACCAAAAGATATTAGGAGTTATCTGATTCTTAAAACACTGCTTTTGAAAGTAGCTATCCCAAATGGATTGAATTTGGAAGGTGTTTTGTTTATCTGGTACATGGATCAGTGGCAGTCCGAAAAGCCCATATGAAAGAAGATGAGGATCCCTTATCTGGATGGAATTTAATTAAAAATAAACAAAAAGATGGCTACCATTTTAGGATAGCATAGCCTCTTATGGCAATTTAATTTCCTTTCAAGAAAGAAGATGATATAAAATCTTTTCAGATGCCAGTGTAGTAAGGCATATTCTAAATCACATTATTATTCCCATGGGTGCTTCCTCTAGCCCCAACCTTCCATTTTTTTTTTCTTTGTCAAGAAATTTTTCTTCAACACATGAGTTCCATTAGCTGACTCAGTTACATCCTGCCTAGTATCTCTAAGTAGTTAATTTTGACCACACTAAGAGATGGAACTCTAAACCAACAATTCCAAAAATAGTTTCTTTGAAAACAAAGATGCAATCACAAATAGATTGGATTGAAAAGTCTCTTGATAATGTCTTATAGGGTTCCTTTTAAAAAAAGCAAATGTAATGAGCCAACTCATCATACCAGAGGTCTCATGAAGCAAACCAAAAAAATGCATTTATCTCTTTCGTTGTACTTAATGTAAATTCTTAGCGTGGAGACTTCATTTTGATTTGTCTTTGTTGTGCATCTTGCCTGTGTCGGTAACATTGGACTTACATGGCAGGCTCCCAAAGGACACTTCTCATTTCATATCACCATACAAGTGATAAGTAACAGTGTTCTTAGAGATGAGCTTTTCAATTAGAGGAGGTTCTATATGAATGTGAGAAAGGATATGGATTCTTCATGGTCATTTTAAAGACATTTTGAGGCACCTTCCTTTTATTCTCTCTGAGCAATAATAGCAGACATTTACCCATTAATGGAGCTTTTGCTGTGTGACAGGTATCATGCTATGCATCTGACTCACAGTATACCATTTACTCTTGATTATAAACTGTGAGGTACACACTATAGTTTCTACTATTTTAAAAATAGTAAAAACAATAGTATGTTTTGTAGAAATAGCATGATGGAGGGGTTATCGCCCAAAGTCATGAAGTTAAGGGAGGAAGTGCCAACATTAAACCAAGAAGAGAAACCACCAAATAAGGCTTGGTGCAGTGGCTCATACCTGTAATCTCAGCACTTTGGGAGGCCAAGGCAGGAGGATCATTGAGATCAGGAGTTTGAAACCAGCCTGGGCAACACAGTGAGATTGAGTCTCTACAAAAAATTAGCTGGGTATGGTGGTGTGTACCTGTTGGGGGGCTGAGACAAGAGGATCCCTTGAGCCCAGGAGTTTGAGGCTGCGGTGAGATAAGAAGGTGCCATCTCATTCTAGCCTGCCTGACAGAGTGACAGCTTGTCTCTTAAAACGACAACAACAAACAAACAAAAAAATGAAATAGGGAGTCTCTAACACTATACACAATACTTCTCCTAAGCACATTCCATTTGCAATATTATTCTAAATGTCATCCTCCAAATCTCTTGTAGAACGCAAAAGATTCTTCAAAATCAAACTGTGTCCGGAATTGGTGGGTTCTTGGTCTCACTGACTTCAAGAATGAAGCCACGGACCCTGGCGGTGAGTGTTACAGCTCTTAAGGTGGCGTTTCTGGAGTCTGTCCCTTCTGATGTTCAGATGTGTTCGGAGTTTCTTCCTTCTGGTGGGTTCGTGGTCTCGCTGGCTCAGGAGTGAAGCTGCAGATCTTCACGGTGAGTGTTACAGCTCGTAAAAGCAGCGTGGACCCAAAAACTGAGCAGTAGCAAGATTTATTGCAGAGCGAAAGAATAAAGCTTCCACAGTGGGGAAGGGGACCCGAGCGGGTTGCCAATGCTGGCTCGGGCAGCCTGCTTTTTATTCTCTTATCTGGCCCCACCCACATCCTGCTGATTGGTAGAGCCGAGTGGCCTGTTTTGTCAGGGCGCTTATTGGTGCGTTTACAATCCCTGAGCTAGATACAAAGGTTCTCCACCTCCCCATCAGATTAGTTAGATACAGAGTTTCCACACACAGGTTCTCCAAGGCCCCACCAGAGCAGCTAGATACAGTGTTGATTGGTGCATTCACAAACCCTGAGCTAGACACAGGGTGCTGATTGGTGTATTTACAAACCTTGAGCTAGATACAGAGTGCTGATTGGTGTCTTTACAATCCCTGAGCTAGACATAAAGACTCTCCACGTCCTCACCAGAGCAGCTAGATACAGAGTGTCGATTGGTGCACTGACAAACCTTGAGCTAAACACAGGGTGCTGATTGGTGTATTTACAATCCCTGAGCTAGATATAAAGACTCTCCACGTCCCCACCAGACTCAGGAGCCCAGCTGGCTTCACCTAGTGGATCCGGCACCGGGGCTGCAGGTGGAGCTGCCTGCCAGTCCTGTGCCGTGCGCTCGCATTCCTCAGCCCTTGGGTGGTTGATGGGACTGGGCGCCATGGAGCAGGGGGTGGCGCTCGTCGGGGAGGCTCGGGCCACACAGGAGCCCATGGAGTGGGTGGGAGGCTCAGGCATGGTGGGCTGCAGGTCCCGAGCCCTGCCCCGTGGGAAGGCAGCCAAGGCCCGGCGAGAAATCGAGCGCAGCGCCGGTGGGCCAGCACTGCTGGGGGACTCAGTACACCCTCCACAGCCACTGGCCCGGGTGCTAAGTCCCCCATTGCCCGGGGCCAGCAGGGCTGGCTGGCTGCTCCGAGTGCGGGGCCCACCAAGCCCACGCCCACCAGGAACTCCAGCTGGCCCGCAAGTGCCGCACACAGCCCCGGTTCCCGCTCTTGCCTCTCCCTCCACACCTCCCTGCAAGCTGAGGGAGTGGGCTCCGGCCTTGGCCAGCCCAGAAAGGGGTTCCCACAGTGCAGTAGGGGACTGAAGGGCTCCTCAAATGCCACCAAGTGGGAGCCCAGGCAGGGGAGGTGCTGAGAGCAAGCGAGGGCTCTGAGGACTGCCAGCACGCTGTCACCTCTCAAAACCAAACAAAACAAATTAGGTGTCATATTTTAAAAGGTGCCACTACATTCTGTAGGCCCCTGAAACAGGTGCTGCGTGCAGAATCACAGCAAAAAAATCCCATCTATTTTCTAAAATTAAACTACGTTCTGTTTAATAACTAGCATATAAGAAATAAAAGGTTAAATGATTTCTTATCGAATTTGTTTTTTCCTCTACAGGTTGCTAGTAACACAATAATAAAGCTGCTTTATTTTCCAGTGAAGATGTATGTGATAGGGAGTGGAGGAAGAAAAAGGCCAGAAAATTCCATAGTTAGCAAATATACCTTTCTTACTTAAAATTCTTTTTCCAATGTGAGCCTTCTAAAGAGTTACTGAGAAATTAGGTGAGCTCACCTCATTTAATGCAATAGATATGTTTCTGAAAAATAAGCAATACATAGGACATTGGCCAATTAAGAATTCTGATGAAGAAGAATTTTCACATCCGAAAGAGTAAAAATGAAAAACGGTACAAATGTAGTGGCTTTTAAATTTCAAAACAAATTATTTTGATAAGATAAATATTCCTCTCATAAAGTGAAAATGGAAGAGACTGCTTGCTGGGTGTTCGTCAAAATGGAGTTAGATGGTCTGTCCCAGACTCCCCTGTTGTTAGTTCTGAGAACAGAAGTAATGGTGCTTCTTCAGGACTGGCTCATAGAAACCTGCCGTGTTCAGCCCCCACAATCCTCTCCCTTCTGCTGGCTGGAAACAAATGACAACGAAGCCTCACGTCTTGGAGAAACCACACTGCTGAGGAACTCAAGTCCTAGAAGAACCATTTGAAGAGACCCATCTCACTAAAGAAAATCACACAAGCAAGAAGTAAACTTCATTGTATCTATGTATTTAATTGTCATAACAGTCTACCTTAACTGATACAGCAAAAATTCGCTCCTTTTCTGGACACCCAGTTTCAAAATCTCAGTGTCATTTTTTACTTCTCTCTTTTCAGGTTGTTTAATATAATAAAATTTGTGTGTGTGTGTGTGTGTGTGTGACAAGGTCTTGCTCTGTTGCCCAGGCTGGAGTGCAATGGCACGCTCCCAGCCCACTACAGCCTTGACCTCCAAGCTCAAGTGTTCCTCCCACCTCAGCCTCCAGAGTAACTGGGACTACAGGCATGGGCCACCACACCCGGCTAATTTTTGTACTTTTTGTAGAGACAGGGTTTCACCATGTTGCCCAGGCTGGTCTTGAACCCCTGGGCTCAAGCGATCTGCCCATCTCCACCTCCCAAAATTCTAGGATTACAGGCGTGAGCCACTACACCCAACCATTTTATTTTTAAAAGTTTTCTTTGCAATATTGCTCACATTGTTTCCTTCCTTTTTATTCTTATTGTCACTCCCAAGTTCAGGCTTTTACCTCTTTTATTTGAAGTATTAAAGTATACTTCTAAGTCATTTCTGTGGCTTAAATTTATTTAATCCACTCCATCCTGCATCCTACCAACACAATAACATTGTTTCATCATTTCAAATTGAAATCGAAACTCTCCAAAGCTTTCCTACTGCTGAATGGATAAAAACACAAAATCCTCAATAGAGAATTCACTTTCTGGAGCCAACTTACCTTTCCAAATATTTCCCATTATTCCCTAAGAGAATCCTCCTGACATACTCACTGTTTTTCATATACACTAGACCTTTTCTCAACCACCTATTTGTCCACACATTTTTCTTCCAGCTAGAATATTATTTTCCCTTTCTCACTTCTGAAAGTCTTACCTGTCATTCATGGTTCATCTCAAGCTCAATCTTCTCCTTGAAACCTTTAAGCATACCCTCCTGGAAAGTTATCTCCCTCACCTCGAACCACCCCCCCAGCCCCTGCCAGAATCTCCTATAGGGCTGATTGTTTATCCTGCTTATTATATATTTATAAAACACTCCACTGAGTTATTAATTACCTTTTCCTTGACTGTGAAAACATGACTCTGGCTTCAAGGTAGGACCATTTTTTCTCTAACACTGTGTCTCATACACTTCAGCACAAGCTCTTAGTGGCCTGTGCATTCAACTCCCATGCATAGCCACTTCCTCCAGGCAAACCCCACAGCCAGCATCCAAATTTTAAAAGGGGTTCTGTCATCAACCCAAAGTTTCTTCTCTCTCAAGGAACCTAGATTTAGAAGTTGAGTCTAGGCCACCTGTCTAAGATACAGTAGTTAATTTAACATATTTTATTGCTCTCAACATCACAGAGAAAGAGCCTTACTGCAGATCTCATTCTTTCCTTCAAAGCCAGTTTGCCCATTCCTCTTCAGAAACCTTTAAGAGTGGTTATTGGGAGAGATGATAAGACTCCATCTGCTTAAGGAGTCCCTCTAACCCAGAATAGTAGATGTAAACACCTGACATGTTGTTATAGAGTGAATGTTTGTGTTCCCCTCCAATCCATATGTTGAAATTCCAAGCCCCAATGTGTTCGCATTGGGAGGTGAGGCCTTTGGGAGGTAAATAGATCATGAAGGTGAAGTCTTCATGAATGGATTAGTGTCCTTATAAAAGAGACCCCAGAGAGCTCTCTCATCCTGTTTCTGCCATGTGAGGACACAGCAAGAAGTTGGTCATCTGCAACCTGAAGTGGCTCCTCCCCAGAAACTGAATCTGCTGGGGTCTTAATGGTGGGCTTCCCAGCCTCCAGAATTATGAGTGTAAATGTTTGTTGTTTAAGCTACCCAGTCTAGGGTAGTTTGCTATACTACCCCAAACTGACTAAGATACATATGTTTGTCATCCACTCAGTTGTTTTCCTAAAATAAATGAAGTCAGCTCCAAAGATGAATTTTCATCTCTTTTTGTAGAGATGGGTGCTATTATGCTTTTTAATGAACGTTTATTCACAAATAAAAACAAAACATACCTCTCACATCCTCAGAGCAAATACTTACAGTAACATACATTGATGCTCACAAGCTCATTACATTTCATGTTTACTATTCATTGATAACATTACATTTATTATTATCACATAAACCATACCTCCTGTTTATGAAGCACTTATGGTGTTTTAGTCAATGTTATGGTACCTGCTATATATGGTCTCTAATTTTATTTTAACTTCCTATAGTAAACAATATTAGGTGCTAACTCAATAGTCATTTTCTAACCTGATTTTTCCTTGCAAACAGAACCCCAAATTTGTTTGGAGAGAAATGTGTCCAAATCCAAACAAAGCATCACCATTTCTTTGAACCATCATAAGGATCTAATCATTTTTTTTGTTTTCCTAGCCTCCCTCTAGCCAGAGATACTGGGTAACACAGTTCTGGCTGAGAAGACAAGAGAAGAAATCTGCTAAGCATTTCTGGAAAAAGTTTTGATTTGCTGATGAAAGGGAACAGACATACTGGTTGCCTTCCTTTTCCCTTTCAGCTGCCTAGTCGCCATTTTGCAATGTGAAACAACATCATTAAGGAAAGATCAAAACAATTGCAGAGATGTCAACCATCATGCCTTTGAATTCATGCTCACAGTTGTCTGCCTCCAGATTCAGTTATATTTGAGGTACTCTTTGAGTTAAGATCCTTCTCATTTTATACCACTTGCAGCTGAACACACTCCCCACTAATTTACCTTGTAAGGTGAATTTCACTTAAAGGAAGAACACATAAGTCAGGGAATGACACATAATAGTAAATGCAGGGTTTTTTTTTCTATTTATGATATAGATTTATACAACTGCTATGTTCTTGACATTGTACCAATTTCAAGGTACAAATAAGACATAATCCCTAAAAGCATGGGTTACAAAATCTGGGTTCAGCATAGGGTTTCATGATAAACAAACAAACACAAATTGTTTTTTATTGTATTTCCTTCTTCTTCACATCTTGTGAATCTAAGAAAAATATCAGAATGTTCGTTTCAGCTCAATTTTTGAAGAGTACAATCTCTAAGTAAAAAGAAACTGTAAATGTTTATAAATGTAACTAGAGCCTAGTAGAAAATAAAGCCATGCAAGTGTGTTTAGGTCCTAATCTTATTAACCAGATTAGTGACACACAGTCTGCCCAAAGTTAATGAAAGCAGTGAGGTTCTTTGACTTCAGTAGATACACACCTGAACCACAGAGATAAACTTGCTTCAAACCTGTGCGATATGTTTTTCTAAGCATAAAATTGAGCATGATAGCTCCAATTTCAGTCTCAGTTTCAAAGCTTCCCTTTCCCGAATAAGAGGCAAACTGTCACATTAAATTTAGCGAATTAAAATCAGTTAACTTGAAAAGCTCTTGGCCCCAATGCAGAGAAAATTGTTTGCATAATAATAACTTATTTCCTTTTTTAAAAGGCGGACTTCTGCCTGAATGCTTCTATAAACTTTTAAGAAAATGGGATTCTCAAATCTCAAGCGTATTGGGTTGCAGTTGGCACTTGAAGCTGGGGACATGCAGAGCTGGCTAATGTCAGCAGCTGTAGGACTGTCAAGAAAAATAGGTGGAAGGGACACTTTTATTATAAGTAGACTTGCAAGGCATTCCAACTTTCAGCTGCTCAACCCAGTATACCAAACACCTCTGACTACCTCAAGTGTGGCCTTGCTGAGTGCTTCCATATTTAGGGGTTATTAGACAGGACTGAAGCAAGTGACCTCTAATGAGGAAGCAATCAGGGCAGGCTCTGACCCTCCTCAGAGGTACTGTAATGAACTGGCCTTGGAAGGTCTTTGATGCTGCCTTTGCATACTGTATATGAGCTTTCTGCTCAGTCATTTCCTCTGCGCTCTGGTAGCACAGCATGAAGCCTGCTATTAGAAAAAAGGTTTATTGCTACCTTGCAAACATTTATTGGGTAATATCTAAAACATGGTGTCAAGTTATAGTAATGCGCTGTTCTGGGAAACTTTTTGAGAATTTTAGTGTTTCAGAAGATGGTCCTTTGAGAATTCTTCTGTTTCAGAAATGAAAAGTGGTAGATATATACGTGTGTGTGTATAATATGCTCATGTATCCTCTGATTACTTGCCAGAGATGTACCATTTTTCTTTCAAGGGAAACATCTATTCCTAAGATAGATTATTCTTGAAATTTTCAAAGAGTATGCCTCAGAGAACAAATATACAAATTTACCATTTGTCTGCAGATATTATTTGCCTGTGTTTATGCTAGGTCACTGACACCACACACATTTTAATCCCCAAGGGAATTTATTTGGTGGTGTTATCTACTCAACCAAGCTGAAGCTTATCTAGTTCACAAGAAAATAGTCAATATGAGCTCCATGCAGACTTATGCTGTTAATGCAGAAGAGGGAAAGAGAATTTACCTTTAACTGTTATGATGAAAATGTGTACAATGACACTTAACTATGGCATGCAAATCCTCTTTTCCTCCCCCACAGGTATCTGGAAAGTACCTTATACAGCTAGGTGCTTAGAAAATGTTTATTGATTAAATAGATGATGATTAACAGATTAATAAAAGGTGAAAGTTACTATCTATGCATTTTTTTCCAGTTTGATGTTCAAAAACTTACCAATGGATGGGGAGTTGCTTTTCATAAACAATTTATAAAGCACTGTCCTGGATGAAATTGTAAAAAGGACGTGGTGTCAAAGATGACTCAGTGGAGTTGAGGTGAAAAATGTGTAATGAGCAAATCATGGTAATTGGGATATCCATCACCTCAAACCCTTATCATGTCTTTGTGTTGAGGACATTTCAAATCTTCCCTTCCAGCTATTTTGAAATATACAACAAATTATTGTTAAGTGTAGCCACCCTAGTGTGCTACTGTACACTAGGACTTACTTATTCCTTCTATCTAACTGTATTTTTGAACCCATGAACCAACATCTCTTTGATTTCCAGCCTGGGCTTTGGTGTCCCTTTTTTTGTGTGTTTTCATAGGGCCCTATATTTATATTATTTGGGCTCAACACATTGCAAAACTGCAGAGGAGTTTACTATTATGCACATTATTATTCTATATTCTGTCACTCTAAGAAACAATAAGTGACCATCTGAAGAGACCATCTTCTAGCACCAAAATATTTAAAGATGATTAAGAATAAGACAAGGGTCTCCTTATTTACAAAATGACATAATTGAAAGGACTAGATTATTAGCAACCCCTCTGGAAAAGGATTACTCTTTTGGATTTTAATTACATAACTAATATATCAACTGAAGTGCTATGCCCTGACGTGTGCTCCCCTCAGCTTCACGATCCATATGTTGAAACCCAACCCCTTAATGTGATGGCATTTGGAGATGGGGCTTTGGAGATATTAGTTAGGTTTAGATAAGGTCATGAGAATGGGGCTCTTATGATGAGATGAGCACCTTCATAAAAAGAGACACGAGGTATTTCTCTTTTCTCTCTTCTCTCTCTCCCTCTTTCCCTCCCTCCCTCTCTCCTCCTTCTCTGTCTTCCTCCTTTATGTGAGGACATAGCCAGAAGGCAGCTGTGTCTGCAAGCCAGGAAGAAAGCCCTCACCAGGAATCAACTATATCAGCACCTTGATCTTGAACTTCTATCCTTAGAACAGAGAGAAAATGAATTTCTATTCTTGAAGCCACCCAGCCTACGGTATTTTGTTATGGCAGTCAAGCTGAATAAGATATATATCTACACTGAGACCATTAAAAGTAGTTCCTGATTGGCAGAAAGGTTGTATATATAAATGGCTCATTGAAAGTTCTCACTGCATGGATGAGAAATCTCAGATTGAGGTTCTTAAATTTTGAAAAATAGAAATAAAGGAATTAACGCAACAGTCTTCTAATCTTTCTGCCTTCAGTTTTTGCTCCCTTTGACTATTCTCTGTACACTGCATCCAGAGGTTATATTTTGACAGGGAAATTCAAATGATGTATATTATTTTTCTACTCAAAATCTCCCCACTGGCACCCTATTGTCCTAAAGCATAAACTGCTATTGCAGTCAATTCACCTGAAATAAGCTCTCTTCCTGCCGCGTCTTTTACATAGATTGTTTACTCCTCTTGTGATCCCAGTTCCCTGCTTCTCCCTCTCCTCCACACTTTTCAATAATTAAATTATACTCAGCGTTCAGAATTCAGTCAGGATATCCTACCTTCTTTGGTCAGCCCCCCAGGGTTTTCTGAAAGCTGGGAAGAGGCCCTCTTCTGCAATCCCCATGCACTGTAGACACATCCCCTTTAGGTCCCTATGTTGTGAGTGACTGTTTTCTTGTCTGTCTCTGCCACTATATTATGCACTCTTAGAAGGCAAGGACTACTTCTCTTCATTGTATACCTAGAACTTAACCCAAAAACTGGCATGTGCATGCACCCAAGTTTTCACTGAGAAAATAATTGCATGAGTCACTTGCTTTCCAGGTCTTTCTGACTACTATGATGGTGATGACTTGTAGTCACAACATGAAATTGGTTTCTGCCCCTGAGGATTGTATCTCTCTACTTTGCATGACCCCTAGATTTCAATCCCTCTTTATTCTCTCCTGATCCTTGGGTTCCAGTAATTCTCTGGGTTTCAAATATAAGCACAGTGTGAGGAGCTCTTCATTCTTGACAGAACTTTCAGGCAAGAAAGAAATAGATTCCTGGGAATATCTATATTCCCTCTGGCCCTATTCCTTACTCCCAAAACATAATAACCCTTTTCTTAGGTTTTTTCTCTCTACCTTTTTACTTCTTCCTTATTCTCACGATTACATGAATTAACTGCCTACAGAGTATGAATTCAGACTGAATTAATATGTATTTATGTGACATAAAAGATCTCTTTCAGTACTTCTTAATCTTACCAAATGATGCATACTATACAATAAAAAATTGCAATTTTTTCATTAGCTTTTTTTTTTTTTTTTGGTTTCTGGTAGGGTTTTCCTTTAGTGGTATTTTAGCAAGTAATACAATCCAGTTATTTTTAAAAGTATATTAGTAGAAACTCACCAGAAGTCAATATACTGGTCCAAGAATAATTAACTGATTGACTTTATTGTTTATGAAACTTTGTAATGTTCCTTTTGATGTGAATGCTTATCTTAGGGGGAAATGCACTTTTCAAATATAAATGATCATGTTTAAACAAACTGCTTCTAGTTTCAAATATGGCACTGAAAAACAAAATAAAATAAACACTCAATTTTTATTTAAAATGGTGGGCAATTTACTTTCTTTTTTGTTTGGGATCTGATTCAAGAGCCTCAATTCAGCTTATTGCAGAACTAACTAAACTAAACCTCAAAGGAAAAATTTTAAAAATGATTTTTATAGCAATGACATCATTATATAAAATGTTGGCATTTCATATTTTCCAAACAGAAACTTGGAAATAACAGAATACAAGTTAAATAAAACAAATTGAAACTAATCCAATTCTCTGTTTTTCTTTCCCTTTTTAAAAACCAAGCTTTTTATTGCCAGCTTTTACTTTGCATAATAATATATGATGAATTGTCCAAGAAAGACCCAGTGGGTACATTTCTCTTAGAAATAAGCCTCTCTATGCAATAGGAGGCCAAGTTCTAGGGCAACATACTTATATAATCATGTAAGATTTTCCTTATTGCTAACAATTGACCAACCTGGGCATTTGTCAAATATGTAAACACATGGAGGTCACTGGTCACCAGAGGATTGAAAACACAAATCACTCTATTCATATCCATCCCTAGTTCTAGAAAAACAATACCAAATTAAAGCATATATCCTACTAGCAATAGGACTAGCAAAATTATTTTGGTATACCAGAGCTACATGTTATACATTTTGCTACTTATGGATTTAATTACTCAGGATAATTATACACATGGCTACAACTGTAAACTTTATAATATTTTGCTGGCATACCTTCCAAAAGAGTTTGAAAAGCTATGAATTTAATTCTATATTTGCATTTGACATATAAAGTACTTCATTGTAATTTGAAATAGTAGTCAAAGATATAATTTTCATTATAAATATTACTATTTTATAATTTTATAAAATTTATCACAAAAATTGAAACACTTTTATAAATAGATATCAAATAGAAAAATAAAAATATTATTGAAAATGTATCTCTTGATAGATGTATGGGATTTCCTTTCCCCAATTATTCACTAACACATGAATGAATATGTTTTATTGCAAGAAGGAGGCAGGGTTAAGTGGCAATTAAAAAAAGAAAAGGCATTAGGCTACTACCTAGCATGGGGCTTATAAACATTATTAAGAATTTTTGTTAAGAGCATTACTTACAGGAGAATTTATCATTTATTTGTAAGTTTTGCCAAATAAATAAACAGTATTAATCAACATACAGTAGTGATAAATTAGCAGATCAAAAATTGATGAGAGCAATTTGTGAAAAAATTATTGAAAATGTTTTTGGAGCCTGAATAAATAATTAGAAAAAACAAAATGTTAACTAACCCCACTATATATTTCTTTTATCTAAAAATGTAATATTGATTTATAAGAAATAATAATAAAACTTCTAATCTCTTCTTAAAATCATGTAAAATATACAACTGAGATATAGACTGAGATACAAGGTAATTGAGAATATTCATCAAACCCTTTTTTATTGGATATGGGAAAAATAAAGAGATGGTGTGTTTTGCAGTAGAGTGAAATTTTCCAGCATGCTTTTTAATAAACTTTGAATATTCCAATCATTAGATAGATAGCTAGATAGGCAGACAGATAGATAGATAGATGATAGACAGGCCGGGTGCAGTGGCTCATGCCTATAATCCCGGCACTCTAGGAGGTTGAGGCAGGTGGATAACTTGAGGTCAGGAGTTCAAGACCAGCCTGGCCAAAATGGTGAAACCCCACCCTGTCTGTACTAATAATACAAAAATTAGCTGGGTGTGGTGGTGACCACCTGTAATCCCAGCTACTCGAGAGGCTAGATACAAGAATCATTTGAACCTGGGAGACAGAGGTTGCAGTGAGCTGAGATCGTTCCACTGCATTCCAGCCTGGGCAACACAGCAAGACTCTGTCTCAAAAAAAAAAAAAAGATAGATAGACAGATAGATAGATAGATAGGGCACACAGCTTTGCCATGAGTTTACTGCCTGGGTGAAATCAGGCATTGGAGGCTACAGAATTTCTTATTGATGATATTTGCTTTGCTTCCATAGATTTATCACTCTGGGTGACACATTCTTTAACAATAGTTGTAGTATGAAAAAGGAGATATTTAAACAAAAATTTACATTGAGAAAGGGCAAGATGGCCAACTAGATGCTGCCACATGGAACAGCTGCCACCAAAGGGCTGAGACAACTGGTGCACTCCTAACAGATCTTCATCAGGAAGGCACTGAGAGTGGTCAGAGGGAAGATGCAGAAGCTGGGCTGAAGGGGAAGGAAGCTGGGAACCCCGCACGACGATACTGTGCATCAGGACTCATTCCTGGTCCCCAGTGACTCTGGGGAAATAGGTGAGTGGAACTGGCAAGAAGCAACATGCTCTTACCTTGGACCTCTGGAATCCCTGCAGGAAGAGACCCCTTGACCACCACAGACACTCCAGTTGGCAGGGAGAGCTGCTTAGAGAAGTGGTAGGGTCAGCAAGCCAGCTGATGTAGAGACCAGCGGGTTTGGTGTGGGAGCATCTGTAGCAGAGCATGGCTAGGGATGGCCAAACCCCTGGGCTTAACTTGCTCCAATAGGAGACTTTAACCCTAGCAGAACTGTCGGACCTGAACTCTACTGGGCAGTCTTGCTCATCAGATGGGGCTGGTCTGACCGACCTGAGCACCCCTTAGTCCTGGCCTCTCCTGGGACCCCACCTTGTCTGTGTTTGTGTGCAGAGCAGCCTCGGGTGCCTGGGGGCCCACATTATAGCTCCTGGGCTGGCATACCATAGTACCTGATCAGTGGAGAGCTCCATCAGGGTGGCCCCCATAGCCATGCACCAACCCCCCTGCTCCCTCTTACACTGCAGCTTTGCTGGGCCCCACAGCAAATCCCCACATTGCTTCGCCAGCGCATGGGTAGATTTTGCCTTCCTTGCTCCACCAGCATGTGTGACTGGATGCACCCTGACCTGCCACTTCTGTGGCAGGAGTGCAGTCCATCCCCCTTATCCTGGCAACTGCCATTGCAATTAGACCCTTGTTTGGCACAGAGCCACACCCCCACCAGTGCCCTGGCCTTGCACCAACACTGCCATGGGAGTGAAACTAGGTACAGAGAACAGTGGACCCTCCCTGGACCTGAGTCACCACCCCTGTCTGTAGTACACTGAGAATGCACACAGACCTGTGCCCACCAGTGCCCCAACCCTGTGCCAATGCCTCTACCAGTGTGACTGTGTGCACAGTCACTGGGAGGCCCCCCCGCCCCAGCTCACTGAGCCATGTTGCTTCCACCACTGTGGTGAACACCCACATGGAGGCAGGCACCCCCACACCCACTAGCACCCTGCTGCAGCCAACAAGGGTGCCCCTCCCTGCACTGCTACTGCTGCTGCTGCTGGCATGTGCAAATGAGGACGGATCACACTGTCACTGCACTATGAAATGCTTTGGCTGACACCATCCATTGGAGTGTAGTGACTAGCAGTCTGGGAGCACCTCAGGCCACTCAGCACAGTGGATTCCTAACATCAAGAGGCCAGAAAACAAAGACAGGGCACAATAAAAGTCATCCAGAGTTAGAGCATGCAGTCCAGGAGTTGGGAACTCAGCACTGGCCCCCTAAAATCTTTCAGAAACTAAGCCAGTTGGATGAATTCACCTTATACCATAATCAAACCCTCGAGGTCATCGAATAGGATAATAGAAAAACAATTCAAAGGTTAACAACTTCAAAGACTGAAGGAACATCAGCCCTTAAAGATGAGAAAGGACCAGTGCAAGAACTCTGACAACTCAAAAAGCCAAAGTGCCTTCATTCCTCCAAATGACCACACCATCTCCTCAGCAAGGGTCTGAACTGTGCTGAGGTGGCTGAAATGACCAAAATAGAATTCAGAATATGGATAGGAATGAAGGTGATTGAGATGCAGGAGTACATTGAAACCCAACCCAAGGAAGCTAAAAATCACAATAAAATGATGCGGGAGCTGACAGACAAAGTAGCCAGTATAGAAAAGAATGTAACCAACCTGTAGTGCTAAAAAACTCATGGCAAGAATTTCATAATACAATCACAAGTATTAGTAGCAGAATAGACTAAGTGGAGGAAAGAATCTCAGAGCCTGAAGACTGTCTTTCTGAAATATGACAGTCAGACAAGAATAGAGAAAAAAAGAATAAAAGGGAATGAACAAAACCTCTGAGAAATAAGAACTCATGTAAAGAAACCAAATCTGTGACTCATTTGTGTCCCTGAAAGAGATAAGGAGAGAATAAGCAACTTGCAAAACATATTTCAGGATATCATCCATGACAACTTCAACAACCTAGCTAGAGAGACCAGGAATTAAAATTCAGGAAATGCAGTGAACTTCAAAGCTACTTCACAAGAAGATGATCCCCAAGATACATAATCATCAGATTCTCCAAGGTCAAAATAAAAGTAAAAATATGAAAGGTAGCTAAAGAGAAGGGGCAGCTCATCTACAAAGGGAAGCCCATCCAACTAACAGCAGACCTCTCAGCAGAAACCTTACAAGTCAGAAGAGACTGGGGAGCAATATGCAACATTTTTAAAGAAGAAAAAACGAGCCAGAATTTCCTATCTGGCCAAACTAAGATTCATAAGCAAAGAAGAAATAAAATCCTTTTCAAACAAGCAAATGCTGAGGGAATTTGTTACCACCAGACCTGCCTTTCAAGAGCTTCTGAAGAAGCACTAAATATAGAAAGGAAAGATTGTTACCAGCCACTATAAAAACACAAATAAATACATGAACCAGTGACACCATAAAGCAACCACATAAACAAGTCTGCATAATAACCAGTTAACATCATGATGGCAGGATCAAATCCACACATATCAATACTAACCTTGAATGTAAACAAGCTAATGCCCCAATTAAAGGGCACAGAGTGGCAAACTGGTGCACAAAGAGCTGGTACAATTCCTACTGAAATTATTCTAAAAAAAACTGAGGAGAAAGAATTCCTCCCTAACTCATCCTATGAGGTCAGCATCACCCTGATACCTAGCAATGACAAAGCAACAAAAAAAGAAACCTTCAGGCCAATATCCTTTATGAACATTGATGCAAAAATCCTCTACAAAAAATTGGCAAACTGAATCTAGCAGCACATCAAAAAGATTACCCACCATGATGAAGTAGGGTTTATCCCTGGAATACAAGGTTGGTTCAACCTATGCAAATCAATAAATGTGATTCATCACATAAACATAGCTAAAGACAAAAACCACATGATTATCTCAACAGATGTAGAAAAGGCCTTAAATAAAATTCAACACTTCTTCATGTTAAAAACTCTCAATAAACTAGGTATTGAAGAAACACACCTCAAAATAATAACAGCCATCTATGACAAATCCATAGCCAACATCATACTAAATGGGCAAAACCTGGAAGCACTCCCTTTGAAAACAGGCACAAGACAAGGATGCCCTCTCTCACCACTCCTACTCAACATAGTATTGGAAGTCCTAGCCAGAGCAATCAGCAAGAGAAAGAAATAAAGGCATCCAAGTAGGAAGAGAGGAAGTCAAACTATCCCTGTTTACAAATGACATGATTCCATATCTACATGTCCAAATTCCACAGTCTCGGCCCAAAAGCTCCTCCAGATGATAAACAACTTTATCCAAATCAGTGCACAAAAATCACTAGGATTCCTAAACACCAACAAGTCAAGGGGGGAGCAAAATCAGAACACAATTTCATTCAAAATTGCCACACATACTTAAGTAAAATACCTAGGAATACAGTTAACCAGGGAGATGAAAGATCTCTACAAGGAGAACTACAAAACACTGCTCAAAATAAAAAGAAAATCAGAAAAGACACTAACAAACGGAAAAATATTCTATGACCACAGATAGGAAGAATTAGTATTGTTAAAATGGCCATACTGCCCAGAGCAATTTATGGATTCAATACCAATGACATTCTTCATAGAACTAGAAAAACCTGTTTTAAAATTCATATGGAACCAAAAGAGAACCTGAATAGTGAAAGCAATCCTAAACCAAAAGAACAAAACTGGAGGCATCACATTATGCAATTTCAAACTATACTACAAGACTACAGTAATCAAACCAGCATGATACTGGTACAAAAAGAGGTACATAGACCAATGGAACAGAATAGAGAGCCCAGAAATAAGGCCACACATCTACAACTGTCTTATCTTCGACAAAGAAGACAAAAAACATCAATGGGGGAAAAAGACACCTTATTCAATAAATGATGCTGGGATAACTGACTAGCCATATGCAGAAGATTGAAATTGGACTCCTTCTTTTTTTTTTTTTTTTTGAGATGGAGTCTTGCTCTGTCACCCAGGCTAGAGTACAGTGGTGCAATCTCGGCTCACTGCAAGCTCTACCTCCCAGGTTCACGCCATTCTTCTGCCTCAGCCTCCCAAGTAGCTGGGACTACAGGTGCCCGCCACCATGCCCGGCTAATTTTTTGTATTTTTAGTAGAGACGGGGTTCCACTGTGTTAGCCAGGATGGTCTCGATCTCCTGAGCTCGTGATCCGCCTGCCTCGGCCTCCCAAAGTGCTGGGATTACAGGTGTGAGCCACCGCATCCAGCCAAAACTGGACCCCTTCCTTACACCATATGTAAAAATCAACTCAAGATGGATCAAGGACTTAAATGTAAAACCCAAAATTATAAAAATCCTGGAAGACCACCTAGGCAATACCATCTTGGATGTAGGAACAGCTAAAGATTTCATGACAAAGACTCCAAAAGCAATTGCAACAAAAGCAAAAATCGACAAATAGGACCAAATTAAACTTAAGAGCTTCTACACAGTAAAAGAAACCATCAACATCTTAAACAGACAACCTACAGAATGAGAGGAAATTTTTGCCAACTATACATTTGACAGAGGTCTAATATCCAGCATTTATAAGGAACTTAAATATACAAGAGAAAAACAACCCCACTAAAAAGTGGGCAAAGGACATAAACACACTTTCCAAAAGAAGACATACATGTAGCCAACAAGCATATGAGAAAAAAAACACAATATCACTGATCATTAGAGAAATGCAAATCAAAACCACAATAAGATACCCTCTCACACCAGTCAGAATGGCTATTTGAAAAAAGTAAAAACATAACAGGTCCTGACAAGGTTGCCTAGAAAAAGAAATGCTTATAGACTGTTAGTGAGAGTGTAAAATAGTTCAACCATTATGGAAAACAATTTGGCGATTTCTCAAAGACCTAAAAACAAAACTACCATTTGACCCAGCAATCCCATTACTGGGTATATACCCAAAGGACTATAAGTGGCTATCTCATAAAGACACATGCACACATATGTTCACTGCAGCACTATTCACAGTAGCAAAGACATTAAATCAGTTTATATGACCCTCAGTGGTAGAGTAGATGAAGAAAATATGGTACGTATACAACATGAAGTGCAGCCATAAAAAGAATGAGATCATGCCTTTGCAGAAACATGAATGAGCTAGAGGCCATTATCCTTAGCAAACTAATGCGGGAACAGAAAGTCGAATACCACATGTTCTCACTTATAAGTGGAAGCTAAATGATTAGAACACATGAACACATAATGGGGAACAACAGACACTGAGGCCTATTGAAGGGTGGAGGGTGGGAAGAGGGAGAGTATCAGGAAAAATAACTGATGAGTACTAGGCTTAATGCCTGGGTGATGAAATAATCTATATAACAAACCCCTGTGACATACATTACCTATATAACAAACCTGCACATATACCCCTGGACTTAAAATAAAAGCTAAAAGAAAGAAACATTATACTAAATGAAATAAACCAGTCACAAAAGGAAAAATATTGTATGATGTCACATGTATGTGGTACCCAGTGTAATTAATTCACAGAGACAGAAAGTAGAATGGTAGCTGCCAGGGGTTAGGAGAAGGGGTGATGGGGAGTTCTGGTTTAATGGGTACACAAGTTCCATTTGGAAGATGAAAGAATTTTGTGAGTGGATGATGGTGATAGCGGCATAACCATGTGAATCTCTTTAATGCCACTGAACTGTACACTTAATAAAGTATTATGTATCTACAAAAATAAAAGGCTGGTACTCTTTAAAAAGTTAAGATTTTTTGTGATGCCACTATGTAATTGTACAAATATTTGAATTCATAACATTTTGAATTCATAAGATTTCAACAAAGGCTTAAAAAACACCTTTAAATAACTTTTATCTAGACAAAATTATTCCTTCTTTTAACAAAAACATATCCTCATATCTCATGTTACTTTTACACTTGTATTCAGAATTGCTTATCTTATATCTAGTAGTTTTAATTAAATATATTAATTGTAATTTTAACTCTTTGTAACCATAAATTTTCATGAGAAATGTAGGAAGTAAGCAATTTTAATTAATACATATATACAAATAAGCAATTTTAATTAATACATATATACAAAAACATAAAAACATTTTATAATTTTTAGAAACACAAGTTTTTTTCTAGTAGAACATATTTTTCATGTGAATCAGTATTTACTAGCAAACCCAAATATCTTTAGTCTTTTTATAAATTTTAAAAAGCCAAAAGTGACAAACTTGAACCTATGTTTAGTGATCAATGTTTCAGTATTTTATCTTACTTAGAAGCAACTTGGACATGTCATGATTGTCTATTGCCCGATTTAACATAATATGACTTATGATTTTAAATTACTGAAAAACAGTTTTGAAATGACATTTATTTGTAAGCAACTATCTCATTTCCATTTACCCAGTTTACTCATTATTAACAGTTATATTTGAGTTGCTCATGGAAAACAAAGTTAGCCACTTAAGTTATTTATTTATTTATTTTTGAGAAAGCAAAGCCAGGCTAACCCTGCATCAGCCAGTCTTGTCTTAACCAAGGCATTTGGAATACTGGACACAGGTATCCTCCCCAGTGTCTTCCTACCCCCAAAGTCACCCTGGGTGTCATGTGCCTATGTGGCATCCAGGGTGGCTATGAAGGGCAGGGCATATCTGGATCCTGTGTTTACATATGAGGTACAGAGCCCAGGACAGAGGACAGAACTATGAAGATAATGCCTGGAGGATCTGACCTCTTCCAGTATGACCAGCAGATAGAGCTGGGCCAAAGACAAGGCCATTTTGGGCTTGAATCTGCCTTGCACCTGGTGGCCCAGGTACTATGGACATTGATATGTCCCCAGGCCTCTTCATGGCCATCTGTTCAGACTCCAGAATCCAGAGGCTCAAAACCAAAGACATAATCCCGCCATAAGATATGTGCAAGGCTTTAGGGGAGCCCAGTAACCAACCCTTACAGCTTTAGCTCAGAAAAATTAAGCAAGTATCAAAAATATCACAGAAGCAACAGTTTTATGACCTTAAAATATCTAGCAGAGAAAGTATAAATCTGTCTGACCAATAGACCCAAGCAAAAATACCTAAATTAAATTCTGAGGACATTCTTATTTTATTTTTCCAACAATTTAAAAACTAGCTTTATTTTTCAAAGATTATCTTAGATTATATAAAAGGTATCTGAGTTAGTTTTATTTTATTTATATAGATATTTTATCTCCAAGAAAGATCTTGGGAATATTGTTTATTATCAGAGATCAATTTTATGGAGGCTGTGGGCTCAATTTTAGCTCTGAATGTTTCCAAAGTTCATCTGGGTAAATAAAATATCTATTTCTGTTAAAACTTGATTTTATAAGGAAATACATGGATGAGGATAGAAGAAAATTAAGAAGTCTGTTTAAAATAACCAGCTGAATATCATAAAGCCTTATTTTGGAGATTAATTTTATTTAGGTGACTTTTAACATCTGTTTCTTAACTGTATTGCTGAGCTCAAGGTGGGGCTCCCATAGCTTCCAAGTACGCATACGACACCTATCAAGAGTCAGGTCATGTTTACAGCTCCAAGATTCCCTTGCCCATCATAGCTAATGACTTTTCTTACACCAAATTGCCACTTACTGTCAGTTTCTGTTAGACTCAAGCAGAAATCTGAGACTTAAAATTTTAAATATACAAACAAATGAGGAGGATGGAAGGCTGGATTTTGCCTACTGTAGTAATAACCTTTCATTGCAACCACTGTCATTTACTTTAAAATTACAGCTCTTGCCAGTGACTCATTAGTTCCTGCACATCGAGGATCAAGTGTTGGCTCACAGTATAAAGTGACTCTTGGTATCCCCAAAAGACAAAGCGATCAGGGATCTCAATGTAAAAGACAGCAGCACCTCTGACCTGAGAGGAACCTACTCACGACTCTTGGGGCTCCCTGAGGAAGACAGATGACCCCAAACAGGGGAGTCTGAGATGCTTTTTTTGTGTTTCTCAAGGGGTTTCAGTGCTGCTAGAAGGCCTCCCTAGGTACCTTTATGGGATAGCCAGAACACTGATGCTTTGTCTTAGTAATTTTATATCCAGTGACCACCAAATGAAGGAGGTAGAGGCTTGAATGGGGAACATATCAATGATTAAAGAGAACTGGATGGACAATCAAATGTGTCAAAAGGAAAGAGGTGCAGAAGTTAATAAAAGTGCAAGTCTTAGAGAAGCCAGTTTGGGGAGATCTTAAACTTCCCAAAATGCCAGTGAAGTTCTAGTTGGTAGGGGTTTGAGAAAAAAGAGTTCAATAGACTGAGGAGTTCCCAAGAGTAGAAACAAAATTCAACAGAAAGAAATAGAGTGGCTTTAAAAATATATAGCTTGAATATCAGTTCCTATTGTGCTGACTTTTTATCACAGAACTCTTAAAAAAATCTTCTCAAATCTCTCATTATCAGATTTCAGTGAGACAAAGAGAAAATAGTCCTGGCTTAATTTTTTTTTTTCAAGCTAAATGTATCTACCAATTGACTCAGAACCAAAACCAATAAGCCTCCTTTGGTTAACCAAAAATGCATGAGATGTCTCCAAAGAGGTGTGAAGACACAATCTTCTCAGAATCAAACAGCCTCCAAAGACAACTAAAAGCAAGGAAGATTTAGACAATGTCTTGAGAGATGGCAACAGTCTGTATTTTAACTTTTTATGATGGTCCCCCACAACCTTTTGCTTGGCTGTCTGCATATGCAGGCTTGACAATCTGCATGCCTGTGACAGGTGGCAAGCTGAGCCAAGTTCTCAGGTCACAAAATGAGACAAACAGGAAAACGATAGCAGTCCATGGAGGAGAAAGGATCAATAGCAAATGGGTACCCACAAATGTACACAAGAGTCACAATCCAAGCAAATAATATGCTTTTGCCAAACTGAATTTGGAAAGGAAGAAATAAAGACAAATTTTTACCTTTTATTCTTGACCAGGCACTGCAGGTAGAGGGCTGAGAAAACTGACTTCGGTAAAAGATTTTAACCTTTTGTTGTTGGCTTTTTGTCAGTTGTCCCAAGACTTTATTTGTAGGCTCTGGAATGCATCAGGTGTTTCAGTCATCCCATTCTTGTTACAAGAACTGTAGAGATTGAAAAGGGGTGATACATTTTCTCCCCATTATAAAATGAGGTGCAGAAGTTAATATAAGTGCAAGTCTTAGGCCAGTTTGGGGAGATCTTAAACTTCTCAAAATGCCAATGAAGTTGCCACCCCTATAACAAAAGACAGCTAAAAAGATAAAAAGGTAACAAATTTATTAAGGTGCATAATGCATGCAAGTCATATAAATAAATATGAAAAACTCAAGAAAAGGGCCAGATGGTTAATGCTTAAATGCCCTCTTCATTGGGAAGGGGAAATATGCAGAGATGTAAATAAATGAGCAAAAAGACCTAACAGGTTTGTAAATGATTCTCTTGATGCTGAACGGGATCAAAGGACAAACAATAGCTTGTGGACAAATTATGGAAAGGGCAAGAATAGAACTGCATTGTCGGCAAAGGTCGTCATATTATGCAGATACAATTCCCTAGCTAATCTTATGGAACTGCCCTCAGAAGAATAGATGGAAAATCTGTCTGGTTGTGATGATGACTCCCAGTCCCTTCTCTTCTCTGGTAGTTAATCTTCCTTGGTTATTTAATGAGATTTTTAGAGAGGGGATTTTAAGACAATTGCATTTCTTTTAGAAGAAGTTTTCTCTGTCTGATAAAGGAACTTCCAGAGAGAGCCCCTCCTGGTGCTCTGGAAAAGAAAAAGGATCAGAGAGATAGGAAGGCAGGGAGAGACTTTGAGGCTGCTTGTTTAGTATAGCATGTCAAAGCGCCATATTTGGAGGCTTCATTTTCTGAGCCTCAACCCCACTTCTGTCATTTACACAGTGTAGTCAGTATTTTCCTGTTTAGCTTCCAGGCTTATGGGAGACAAAATGAAGCCTAGAGACTACAAAGCATTTTGTGACACATAGAACAAGAACCAAATGTAAAAATTGTCCAATCCAATACTAATTTACTGATGAGAAAGTGGCAATTCGGGAGCATTAAGTGAATGAACTAAAATCAAATGATAAACAAGTATACAGATATTGAGGTCTTCTAATTTCTAGTTCAATAATTTTCAATCTATGCAAATCTGGCTTTCTACAGTGGAAAATATTGCTATTAATTTTATTGCAAATATTGCCTTTATCATCCATTCTTGATAATTATATATTAGGTTGGCACAAAAGTAATTGCGATTTTTGCCACTAAAAGTAATGGCAAAAACCGAAATTACTTTCACGCCAACCTAATATAACTGACTCAGAGAGACTATGGATGGCAAACATCAGTTATACATGGTAGATTACAGTTCTTCATTGGTATTAATCTAGCTAATGATGAAGTTCAGGACATGACAACCCAAAACATTCTGCTTTAGCATAAGGGTTATTCTGAGCCGATTACTTTGGCAAATAGCCAGCCCAGGAAAATCTCTGAAGACAAGAGTAAAATTTTCCCCTTTTAAGGGGCAATTTACATTTATAAAGGCAATCTTCATTTGTAAGGGTGTCTCCTTCTCTGCACCAGGAAGAGAAATATAACTTTAAATCTCCATCTACAACTCTTATCAATGGAGAAGGCACAAACTTCAGTCTGAATAACAAACTCCACCCTTGTTTAAGATGCTTTTCCTGGCCATTTCCTCATACTCAGGCCTTCCCCATACTCTTGTGTTTGCTTCAGCAAATCCAATGGAATCTTTGAAACTAGAAAAGACATGTATCAAATAAGCCACTTTATATTTATTCCAGGAAAAGTCTGACAAATGCATGTTAGTAATGACTTGAAATCTCACCTTTACATATTTCCTGCATGTCTGAATTATTAACAAAGATAGAGCCAGAATGAAAAAGAATGAATAAAATTCAATATTTTCAATCATATTCTTTCATTTGAGAATACATTTTATACCAAATGCATTTAAAATCAGATTTATGGCCTACTTAAATAGTGAAAATAATATTTTAAATGTGTAAAGAAACTCTTTCTCCTGGATAGATATGTGAAGAGAAAAATGTCAGGTGTGGAGTAGCTGTGTATTCTAGTCCACAATCCTATTAAGAAGTTGCAAACCACATAATGAGTTAAGGAAAAACTATTAAAAATTAGAGATATTTTGAATAAAGGAGTAGTCTCATCAAGTAATAATGAACATACTCCTTATTTGAGAAAAGAGAAATGTTTGTCAATACATCTCTATAAAACCTAGATTTTCCCTTAATGTTCATCAACACCTGCAGGGAAGCCAATGACATTTTGTGCTTTTTTTGTTTTTACTGATATTTATTTATTTATGATCTTATGTTCCAGAGCATTCAAGGAGACAAACGGTGTAGTAGACAACTTTTGGGGTATTTGCAGTATTCAATGCCTCACCCACAACCCACACAAACATCTTGCTGACAGAATCGAACCCTTCCAGTCACAGCTGATTGAAAGAGGTGTCCCACTAGTTTTGCCCAGTGATAGACAGTCCTCTCTCTCTTTTTAGAGTTTGGAATTGGATAAGGAATATTAGACTCTACTAGTCCTGTGAACTGAAAACACATAAACTCCAGAGCTATAATAACAACCTGTAACTTATGCGTGGAGGCAGAGGAATAAGTGTACAAGGAAACGTGAATGAAACCAAAACATGGAGAGACTTAAAATGAGAGAGAGGGAGAGAGAGAGAGATCCTGCCATTGGGATCTCTGAGAAAGTCTGTATTTTTAATAGTAATTTTCTTCCCTGATTGCATGGTCTTGCCAAGAAAACACTCTCCATATGAGGAAGCATTGAATTTTTTCACTCAACAAATATTTCCTGAATGCTTACTATGTCTAAGGCACTGTGCTATGTGCAGGGCATGAGCAAATGGACAAGGTAGACATGATATGGAGCTCATAAACTGAAAGACTGAAATTAATGGGGTAATTAGTGGAGGAGGTAAAACATTTGCTGTGGACATAATAATAACACCACCTGATCCAGCCTAGAGGTATTGGGAAAGCTTTTCATGAGGTAGTGGTGTTTAGGCTAAGGCTGATGGAGAAAAGTACAGAAATAGCAAGCATCACCTGTGTGTGAATTAGAACCGAATCTAGGTCATTTTTCAACTGTAAATACCAAATACTTCTGGGAAAGAAGCATATTAAACCATTCTGTTTCCACTCATAAATTTTCACAGGTAATTTAGACAGTTAGAAGAACAAAGAAAGAAAACCAAGAGTGGGAATGTCATTTAAAATGAAAGTGAAGAGCAACAGACATATTCCCCACCATCACATCCCAGTGATTCATGATTCTAAGCATCTGTGAATTTTTTCCAAACTCAGAATTTAAAGCAACATTTCAGGTGTTGAAGACAACCTTCGTAAAAATAATTTGACCTCAGGAGAGTTATTATCTCTATGTTGGATGAACGAAAATTATAGAAAACTGAAGCTTGCCACATGGGATACAGAGCAAGAATTAGATTTCATCTTAAGGGGAACTGGCTTCAACTTGATAAATCAGCTAATCAAAGGTCTTGGTTAAATTTTAGTTTCCTTATCAACTGAAAGCAAGGCTTTTCAGAGCACACCATCTGTGTAAACACAGCAGTTACAGGTGAGGGGAGACAGCTTCCTCTCTGGGCAAGAGTCTTTGTTTAATTTCTTTCCTTTTAATTATGGCTCAGTTAAAGGACATGTACATATAAAATTTTTCTACCTACATTTTATTTTAACAAAAATGAGACTTATAGCTTTAAAATGCAATATGAACATTAATAATTAGGTAGGTAAGTGTAGTCAGAGAGCATGCCAGGCAGGAGCAGCTGAATGAAGACCCCAAGGCAGGAAAGAATGTAAAATGTTATATTTGGACAGAGGAGCATGTGGGGGAGAAGGGGAAGAGAGACTGGAGAGATAAGCAGTGTCCAGATTATGCAGGATTTTGAGACCATAAAAAGAATATGGAAATTTATCATAACAGTCATCAAAGATTTAAAGCAGAGAAATGGTATGATCAGGTCTGCATTGTTAAAATAGTGGATTAGGGGATAGATACAGGAATATTTGTTAGAAAGTGATAGCACTGGTTTGTATGGCTTGGGTTAGGCTAGTGATGATGGTTAAAATAGATAGAGGGAATAAATTTGAAAGCAATATCAGAGGTGGAATTTATTGACTTGATGATTATGCGTCCCAAGAAGGAGGAAAATTCAAAAAGATGGTCGTGTTTGTAGGTTGTCATTTGCTTTGATTAGAAACACAAGAAAGGGGGCAGATTTGGGTTAAGTTCACTTCTGTTTCTATTGAGCTTGAAGCTCTTATGAGACATCTAAAAGGAAGAGTCTAAGAAAGAAGATCTGGGTACAATTTTTAATTTAACATTTATTAGTATATATCCTTGAGATGTCTTAAGATTGTACAAAGTCAGAAGAGAAGAGGCCTCAAGTTGATCCAAGGTTTAAAGGTCCAGTATAGGGGGAAATTAACAAAGGAGACTAAAAAGCAACAACCAGGAAAGAGAAGAGAGCCACTGGGAGAACTCTGGCTATATGGCCACACATTTCTAAATAATTCCTGGCAACTTAGGAGGAATCTCCAATTCCTCTTCAAATTTCAGGGAAATATATTGGTTATGATAAATCAGCCATCAGTCAGTCATACAGCTAGTTTTCTGACGGAATAGTGTTAGAATAATGGTTCACTTTCTCTTAATGCAGAACCCTCTCTTCTCTACAGTAATCCAAAGGCCATTGTTTACTGGTTCTACCCAAAGATTTGTCAGAATGTCAAGGAAAGGGTGTAACACTCTGGAAGAATAGAAATGTTAAATGGCAACTGGCAGAGGAGGTAGGCTTCCCATTTTACATTTGAGCTAGAGAAATACACCCAGAAAGCTCTGCCGTCTCCCCTCTGTTGCCCAGTGGTAATGTGAGATGACTGAATTTTTCACCTTTCCAGGCAAAGCTCCGGACATTGCATGCTTGGAGTCCCCCATCCACTAGAGGGCTCTCACCACACAGGTGATAGTTTGGAGGTCTCAGGGCCTACAACAATGTGTTTCAAAGGCTATCTGTGAAACTAGTGTAATTTTGTACAGTTCAGTCATACAATAGAGTTAGTGTTAGAAACACTGACTGAGAAAAAAAATAGATGAAGCAATTATATTTCTCTCTGCTTGGAAGTCTTTTCCCAACTGTATGTAATTTATACAGGTTGGCAACCTACAAAATTCTTTGTTAGCAAATTACAGCGTGCAATTACATCTTAACTCTGTTTATCTTTATTTCTTTACCCTCTTGTTCCTTCAAATAATTTCATCCTTTCCCCCTTCTTTTTAAAGCTTGCAAAGAGAAAAAAGAAATTAAACTAATGCAGAATATGGGAAGCTTTCCTCTTTATTGCCCTTCCCCTTGCCCTACTGGTCTACCCCAAACACTTTTTTCTACAAGCTTCTTAACAAATATAGACATAATATAAAATTATTTTTAGAGTCCAAAATGAGGACTCGTGCTATAACAGTGGAACACTGCTTTAAAAGTGACATATATTATCACATATATTGTGCTCAAATACCTCAAGGATAGGCCAACTATTTCTAAATGCATTAGATTTTGAACCCATCTGTTGCAAACTTTTGAACAATTTTTTGAGTGGCTTTGGGATTCAGACTAAGGTATTGGGCTGGAGGAACTGCAAGAAGCAGCCCTGGAGTTTAGCCTTCCACTCTATCTCAGAACTGAACCTATTGGAATCATGCCATGGTATTCCTGGGTATAGAAGTTCGATTCTGGCAGAGTTTTTTTCTTTGCCCAATGGAAGGTGTATTCTCCAGGCATAGAGTGCTTTCTTTTCAAAATGAGTTGATTCTGCCTTGTATCTAAAATGTTTAAAATCCCCAGCAGATCTCTGGAGGGCATATTTACAGCCAACTTATAGGTTTACTGACCTCCCCCACCACCACCTGCAGAACATTACTGGGAGAAAAAGCCCACCAATAGTCAAGTCATATAGTCTGGACGATCCAAGATCCGTAGAGTCTTATTTGGACCTGTTGTACAACCAAAAGTATGTGGGAGTAGAGAATTACTACGCAGTCTCTTTCCTCATTTGTTGGCAATGAAACAGAATCACAGTAATTATATCAGAATGCTCTGTAGTCTCTGGATGAGCTATATATATTTCTGTTTGATGAATTTCTCCTTATTTTATCAATGCCAGGTTATTTAGGAATGCTGCTTCTGTATATGTCATTTCCATACATATTTTATGACAATAAAACAGATCAAACAATACAAATAAATTCGACTGATTTGTGTTTATTAAACTCCTTACAACATGTGGTATTATACTATACTTGACAGCACTTTAAATATTCAGAAAATGTGTTTCATGTACTTTTTTTGATCAAAGATCATAATCAGACATCCGACCTAATTTGTGGATTTTATTCTATACATTTTAATTCAATCAATTGACATTACCTTTGATCTGAGATGATTCTACACTAAACAAGAATATATAAACAGAGGGATCAAATATCTTCACCTAAAAACCACTGCTGGAATGCCTCCCAAATGCTTCTTGATTGCCAACAGAGGTATCATTCAAATGTAGTTTGAGGGACATGATGGAGAAGAGCATTTGCTATAATTGAAACTGCAAGTGGTTATTCTTTGTTAATTACAGTGCAAATACAGAATTTTAAAAACTGGCAAGAGTATCACCTCTCAACAGTTTCCTTTACCCATTAGAAGCTTTGCCATTAGGATAATGGGTGTCTAAGGAAGATTTTTCTATTTTGCCCTATCTGTTTTACTGCTCTTCCTTTTCCCATAAATGAATCACAAGAATTTGGAATCACTGGTAAAGATGAAAATGGATGTTCGCATTTCTAACTTTGACCTCACTTCTTCACAGAGTTTTGTTCATTTTCAAGTGAAACTTGTCTTATAAGACATATGGGCTGTGAAGGAGAGGAAAACAGTAGGGAAGGAGAGGGGAAGGTTGGCTGGGAAGAGGAGGGGAGTGGTGAGATACCATCCCAAGAAGCCTTTTTACTTGAAGAAAATGCTATAGCCCTAACAGAAAATGAACTATATGTAAACAGAAATGACATCATAAATCACTTCTCTTTTCAGTAACGTCCAAAGCTGCAAGGTCTGTCTGCCTCTATCTATTCTAAATCAAGCTCACGTTGAATATTCCACTTGCTTTCTCTGCCAAAGAGAGAGAATCTCACGATAAATACACACTGATTTGGTCAGTGGAATATATGCTACTATGAAAGTTGAGACAGTTTGAGCAGTAATGAACTCTGGAGTTATGCCATTTATAGTTCTTTGTGTTTTTATTAAATATTATGCATGGGTTCTTGTATTTGTTTCAATATAATGTTATGGTGAACTACTGACTGAATGTATCTGTTTGCCATGTGGGTTATAGGCATCTGTTGAATATTAGGGAATGTAATTCAAGTGATTTGCCAAGAGCTCCATCAGAGATGTGGCCTGTGCATATTTCTGAGTTGAGAACACCACCTGAAGTATATTGACCTGTGGTAGTGCAGTGATACATCTGAGCCAGGAAGCACAATGACCAGCCCAATTAGTTAAAGTGTCATAAATATGCCACTACATTTCTCATTTATCACAAGTCCAATACAATTTCTTATATTTCACTTTCAAAGCTTTGAAATATCAACTCAAACTATCTGTGGATTTGGTGCTTTTCATATCTTAGGACCAAAGGGACTGACTTGAGTTTTGAGTAGAATATAAAGTGAAGAAGTAAATGTTCTTAGGACAAGTGAATATGCTTTAGTGGGAATGATCTGTAATTCAAGACTTTCCTAGACTAGAAAACAATAGTATGATAGTCTGGAAATTGACATGAGGTCTACATGGAACCACGTAGTGAGCAGCTATTGTTGTTTTGTTGTTGGTTTTTGACTTCATGAACAGTCCAGATCACTTTTCTAGACACATAATTTAAGAAATCTACATATAATTTGTTGATTTCATGTTTTTATAATACTATCAGATAGATGCAACTATTAACTGATCCGGACAGAAAAAATATTGCACCGAGTAGGTGGGCATTTTTATGCCATCTTTGTTTGGAGTTGGCCATATTTTTTGAAAAAAAAAACAAAACAAAACTTTTTTTAATGTAAATGTTTTCTATTTCTCTGATTTGTAGCTGGGCGTAAATACAAGTTATAAAAATCATGTTTTAAAAATGAAATTTAATTTTTATGTGGTTTTCTGCCTGGGTGGTTTATTTAAGCATTATGTGGAATGAGATGGTGGGTAGTTTTAAAGTATAAGGGTATTTAAAAATATGTGGCAACTTGGGCTGGGTGCAGTGGCTCATGCCTGTAATTCCAGCACTTTGGGAGGCCAAGGCTGGTGGATCACGAGGTCAGGAGATCGAGACCGTCCTGGCTAACACGGTGAAACCCTGTCTCTACTGAAAATCCAAAAAAAGGTTAGCCGGGCGCAGTGGTGGGCGCCTGTAGTCCCAGCTACTCAGGAGGCTGAGGCAGGAGAATGACGTGACCCCGGGAGGTGGAGCTTGCAGTGAGCCAAGATTGCGCCACTGCATTCCAGCCTGGGTGACAGAGCAAGACCCTATCTCAAAAAACAAACAAACAACAAAAAAAGTGGCAACTTGGAATGCAGTTTGCAATGAGGAAAAGCTTTTCTTCACCATGAGTCTAGCTTTCCCTGCCATGAAGAGTGGCCACAGATTGAGACTTTCCAGTTCTTTCCTGACTCTGTAGAACTTTGTATTCATTTTGAAGGAAACACTGAGATGTAGAGTCAGATTCTTCATCCAGAGAGGGCAACCTTATACAAAATTGTGAAGTGGACTTCATATACTCAGACTGCTTTCCTCCCTGACTGTGTCTCTTTTTTGCACCAACACACCCTGGACAATAGGCACCTCATGTGCCAGTAAGGTATTCTTGTCAGAAAGGAAAGATCATCTAAACATCCATTCCTAGCTAAGCCAGTGCAGGCTAGATCTGTTTACCTTTTCCTAGCAGAGAAGAAAGGAGTGGGGAGCTGCCTAGAAGAGGGCAATCCATACAGATCCATACAGACCATGTGATTTCCTGTACCATAGCTCGTATTGTACTGTGTTGTCTTTTCCCTGATGAACTGTGGCCTCTTCATGTGTTGAATCCATGACTTAATCTTTTTTGTATCTTTAGTATCAGCACATGATCAAGATTAAAGTGGGACTCCATTAGTATTTGAATGAATGAATGAATGAATGATGCATAATATTAATTTCAGATATAAATCTTCTTAGTCCTTCTCAAATGCCTTTAAAAGGGCACTCTCCTATTTTGTGTTCTGCATGCAACCCTCCCTGTCATTCCAATGTGAGGACTCAGCAGAATCCATATCACTAAGCCACCTATGGCCCACTCTATTTTCCTGGCCCAGGGAAAGAATGTGTCAGGAATGTGAAGAAACTATTTTCTATTTTGTCCCCACTAAGAGCGTATATATGAGTTTTCTCTTGGATAGAAAATAGAGACCTTATGTGAGTCTACATGACAGCCAAGAAATTGTTGTGAAGAAAATGGGCTGATTGGGCTTGTGTTAGTCCATTCTCATGTTGCTAATAAAGACCTACTTGAGACTGGGTAATTTATAAAGGAAGAAGGTTGAATGGACTCACAGTTTCGCACAGCTGGGGAGGGCTCACAATCATGGCAAAAGATGGAGGAAGAGGAAAGGGACTTCTTACATGGCAGCAGGCAAGAGAGCATGTGCAGGAGTGCCCCCTTTATAAAACCATCGGATCTCATGAGACTTATTCACTATCACAGGAACAGCATGCGAAAACCCACCCCATGATTCATTTACCTCCCACCCGGTCCCTCTCATGATGCGTGGGAATTATGGGAGCTACAATTCAAGATGAGATTTGGGTGGGGACACAGCTAAACCATATCAGAGCTGATGCTGGGTTCTCATGTCTTCATCTTCTACAGTTTATTACTTTTGTTTCCTCTTTGATCTGACATTTGTTTCTTGTCATACAGAGCAAGGGTTGGCAAACTATGGCCCCTGGGTCAAATTCAGCCTGGTGCCTGTTTTTGCATAAATACAATTTTATTAGAACACAGCCTCTCCCATTTGTTTTCTCACTAGGACCAACAGGGCCGAGTATTTGTGACAGACACCCCATATGCTCACAAAGAGTAAGATATTTACTTTATGGTCTTTTATATAAAAAGTTTGCCAACTCCTGAAATATAGCAAATACGGTATCAAGATATTTATATTGCCTTTTGACTTCTTTAACCAGATCAAGGAAGATTTCAGACCATTGTGCAATGCTCAGACAGCCCATGATCAAATCCTAGTTTCACCTTCGAGGCAAGTTACAGCGGCATCTGTGGAAATACCTGCTTAGACCTTCTCCAAGAAAACCTGCCACAAGGGCATAGTTGGCTGACAGCTTCGAATCCAGCACCAGGCTGGTGTCAAGATCACACTTCCCTTGGGATGCTCCCAGCAATGACTGTACATGACAAGACTAATGGTGCCAACACAGCCCTCCCTCCCCAGGACTCTTCCAATGAGCATGTTTGTTTGGGGACTCCCATTGGCTTGTGTAAAGCTACGCCAACTGTGCCGTGGTCTGGGGCTGTTTCTATTCATCCTTCCTTCCCTCTCTCCTTTTACAGCGTCCCACCCACACCATGGTCTGAAGATTCTCCCTGACGACTCCTGCTCCCTTTCTTTTAGTTTTCACAGGCATTTATTCGATAAATCTCTTGCAGTTCTAAGCCTGTTTCAGATTCTTCTCCTCACAAGACCCCAACTGACACATTATTTAACTCCTCTGGGCTTTAATTTCCTCCTTATAAAAGGATGCTAAAGATGATAACTATATCATAGAGTTTCTGTAAGGATGAAGTAAGTATGGTAGACAATATTTTTGGCATTGTTTGGTACAGTTCGTGGTGTCCATCCACATATACCCTTTACTGCCATGGCCTTTGGGATGGCCCCCAGCCAGTTCCTGCCTTTTGGGCCTCCTTCCTGCCTCTTCTTCACCACATTATGACTGCTCACTGAACCTTGTGCCCGTGGGCATGTTTTCTTCTCCTTTAAGCTTCTTTAAAAATTAACAATAGGTCTTTTCAGTGAGTGATTACAGCAACAGCATCCTGAAAGAACTGACATGTATGAAATAATTTCTTACTTGTATAGCATGCACTTCCATTAAGGTAGTCTCAAACAATTATCTGTCCAAATGAATAATAAAATGGAATGTAAAGGGACTTCTCATCCCACTCACCATTATTAATATTATTATTTTTTCTTTCTAAGACATAGAAATCACTGCATAGAGGGCAAAATAATTTAGGTCCAAAAATGCAGTCCTGTCCTGGAACTCCTGAGAATGACTTTGATGAGACATTTCCTGAGACCCAACAGAGACCCTCCTGAGCCTATCATGAATGTCCTTAAGCTTGTCATTTCAAAGTAGTAAAAACTCTATGCCCCCTTTAGAGCTAACTGCAGCAAAAACTGCTTGAAGTCTTGCCAAAAAGTGATTGAATAACTTAAGCAAGTGAAGAGACAGTTTGCTTCTCCCACACTGGGACAATGTACATCTGGTCTGAGGTGGCAGAAGCAGTGCTGTTCCAGGAGTTCTGCTTCCACCTTTCCCTCCTCGACCCCAAGGATGAAAGATTATTCTTGGGTTATGCCTTTGTATCCTACATTTTGCCTAAGGCTACTCAGCAACCAAGTTGGAGCAATGACATTGCTGATGGTTGGTCAAAAGTTTGAAAAATAGTGAATTAGAGGTTAACAGAAGTCACCAAAATCCCCTTAGGACATTTGTTGCAGACATACTTATGATTTACTGGCAAATATTACGGTTAAACTTAAAGTATAGGACAAACATACATAATATATATATAGAGAGAAATGTTAAAATGAAATATATTCTATGTTGCTAGTTGGCCTCCAAGCAAAAATTGAAATAGTATGAATTATGAATTTGTGTTTTCCTTTAACAGATCAGCATTTAATGGTGAACAAGCTCTCCCCCTTGGTAAAGTGATTACTGGGCATTGGCTTGTCAAAACTACTTACTGCATGAGTTCAGAACTCAAAAGCTCTATTAAAGTTCCAATTAAAAATATATTGTCTATTGTCTATCTTTACTCTCCTCCACCTCCCCTCAGCCTTTATAACCCTTTGGGTCTCTGCTGACCAAAAGGCCCTTGTGTATATTCTTAAATATTCATGCTAAAGCACTCCATGTCTCATTATGCCCTCAGTGATTTCCAAGAGCAGCAGTGGGCTTCATCATTTAGCCTCTGGGTCTCTGAGTATGTAGCTTCCTCGGATGGAGAACCTTCTCTCCACCTCCCCTGACCCCCATTTTCTTTTTACTCCCATCCCTACTCACCTCCACTACCTTTGCTTGAATAACAATTTTTAATTTCCTTGCTGATATGGTTTGGCTGTGTCCTCACCCAAATCTCATCTTGAATTGTAGTTCCCATAATCCCCATGTGTCGTGGGAGGTAATTTAATCATGGGGATGGTTATCCTTATGGTGTTCTCATGATGGTGAGTGAGTTCTAATGAGATCTGATGGTTTTATAAGGGGCTTTTCCCCTTTTGCTCACTCTTCTCCTTGATGCCACCATGTGAAGAAAGATGTGTTTGCTTCCCCTTCTGCCATGACTGTAGCTTTTCTGAGGCTTCCCCAGCCATGCTCAACTGTGAGTCAATTAAACCTTTTCCCTTTATGAATTCCCCTGTCTCAGGTATGTCTTTATGAGCAGCGTGAGAACAGACTAATACACTTGTCCTTCCTGACTTCATCCAGCTAACACTTTTCTTGAGAACTGTTTTGGACCCTTTTTGCATGAAGCAGAGATCTCATTTGGTCTACACCAGAGGTCAGCAACCTATGGCCAAATCCTCCTCACCATCTGTTTTTGAAAGTGAAGTTTTATTGGAACATAGACATCCCCATTAGTTTATGTATTGCCTATTTCTGCTTTGTTGCTACAGTTGCAGAATTGAATTAGTTCAGACAGAGACCACATGGCAAAGCCACAATATTTACTCTCTGGCCCTTTATAGAAAATGTTTGGCTATCTGTGGCCTACACCTTTAGGAAGCTGGGTGTCTTTGAGTTTGGAACTTCATATGAAAAATTACGAATTTGTGATAGAGAACAAGATGTAAGAGTCGGGTCATTAAAATTTTAACTTTGCAGTTTCTTTAAATAAAAAGAAAAATTATTACTTAAATAATGTAATTTATAATAATTTGATTTACAATAAATATTTTAGATAAGTATCCATTATATAGAATCAGCCAAATACTAATTAAAGAAGAGGCAATCTCCAGCTTTTATTTCTACAGGTGAGTCCTTTTGTAAAAAAATAAACTAAAGGTATGTGGGGGCATTTAAAAATTGTTCAAGTATACTTTTTTACTGTGACAAAATATAAATAATGTAACATAAAATTGACCATTTTAACAATTTTTAAGTATCTAGTTCAGTGACATTAAATACATTCACATTGTTGTGCAAGCATCACCACCATCCAACTCCAGAAGATTTTTATCTTCTCAAACTGAAACTCTATACCCATTAAACACTAACTCCCCATTCCTCACTCTCTCTAGTCCCTAGAAACAGCCATTCTTGTCTCTGGCTTCAAGAATTTGAGTACTCTAGATACTTTGTATAAGTGAAACCATACAGTATTTGTCCTTTTGTAACTGGCTTATTTTACTTAGCATAATAATGTCTTCATCATTTACCCATATTGTATTATGTGTCAGAATTTCTTTTGGATGAAGGCTGAATAATATCATATTATATTTATATACCACATTGTGTTTGCCCACTCATCTGTCTGTGGACACTTTGGGTTGATTTTGCCTGGTAGCTATTATGAATAATGCTTCTACGAACATGGGTGTACAAATATTTCTTTGAGACACTGCCTTCAATTCTTTGGGGTATATACCCAGAAGTGGAATTGCTGGGCCAGATAGTAATTTTCTGTTTAATTTTTTGAGGAACCACCATACTGTTTTCCATAGCAGCTGTACCATTTTATATTTGTACTAGCAGTGTACAGAGATTCTGATTTCCCCACACCCTTGCCAAAATTTGTTGTATGTTTTGTTGTTGTAGTTGTGTCTGTGTTGCTAATTGCCCATTCTAATGATCGTGAAGTGATATCTCATTGTGGTTTTGATTTGCATTTCCATAATGATTAGCAATGTTAAGCACCTTTTTATGTGCTTATTGACAATTTGCATGTATTTTTTAGAGAAATATATATCCTTACCCTTTGCCCATTTTTAAATCAGGTTGTTAGTTGTTTTCTTGTTGGGTTTTAGGGGTTCTTTACATATTATGGATGCCAACCTCTACTCAAACATACAATTTTGTGCTATTCCATGACTTGTCTTTTCACTCTGTTGATAGTATCTTTCAATGCACAAAAGTTTTCAACAGTAATTCAATTGCCAATTTTTTTGTTTCCGTTGTTTTTGGTGTCATATTCAAGAAATCACTGCTAAGGTATGTCATAAAATTTCCTCCCAATATTTTCTTCTAAGGGTTTTATAATTTTTGCTTTTATATTTGTCTTTAATCCATTTTGAGTTAATTTTTGTGTATGATGTAAGATAAAGGTTCAACTTTATTCTTTTGCAAGTGGATATATAGTTTTTAAACACCATTTGTTGAAGAAACTGCCATTTTTTTCCCCATTAAGTGGTCTTAGCATCCTTCTCAAAAATCATTTGAACATATATTTCTGGACTCTCTGCTTTATTTCACTGGTCTATATGTCCATCTTTACGTGATAAAATATACATAACATGACATATTTTACCAGTACCACACTATTTTGATTAATGTAGGTTTGTAGTAAGTTAGAAAATCAGGAAGCATAGGCCAGGTGCAGTGGCTCACGGCTGTAATCCCAGCACTTTGGGAGGCCGAGGCGGGTGAATCATGAGGTCAGGAGATCAAGACCATCCTGGCTAACATGGAGAAACCCCGTCTCTACTAAAAGTACAAAAAGTTAGCTGGGCGTGGTGGCGGGCGCCTGTAGTCCCAGCTACTCGGGAGGCTAAGGCAGGATAATGGCATGAACCCGGGAGGTGGAGCTTGCAGTGAGCTGAGATCGCGCCACTGTACTCCAGCCTGGACGACAGAGCGAGACTCTGCCCCCACGCCAAAAAAAAAAAAAAAAATCAGGAAGCATAAAAACTCCAATTTGGTTTTTCTTTTTCAAGATTGCTGTGGTTATTTGGGATGCTTTAGATTCCACATGAATTTTAGGATAAATGTTTATGTATCTGTAAAAAATGTCATTGTTTCAACTATATTCTTCTGAGACATTTGCTACATAAACCAAAACCTATCCTCTTTTCTCTTTCCCACTGTTGTTACTTGAGCTTCTTCTATTTGTTCCTTTTTTTTTTTTTTTTTTTTTTTTTAGAAGGAGTTTTGCTCTTGTTGCTCAGGCTGGAGTGCAGTGCTGCGATCCTGGCTCGAGTGCAGTGCTGCGATCCTGGCTCACTGCAACCTCCGCCTCCCGGGTTCAAGCAATTCTCCTGCCTCAGCCTCCTGAGTAGCTGGGATTGCAGGCATGCGCCACCACGCCCAGCTAATTTTGTATTTTTAGTAGAGACGGGGTTTCTCCATGTTGGTCAGGTTGGTCTCAAACTCCTGACCTAAGGTGATCTGCCTGCCTTGGCCTCCCAAAGTGCTGGGATTACAGATGTGAGCCACCATGCCCGGCCTCTTTTGCCGTACCAAAGTAATGCTTTTTTAATCTGTCTACTGTATTCCCTGTGCTTTGTCCCTTCTAAATTAGATTGGTTGACAACAGCTATTAGGCTGGCATTACTTTCCTTGAACAGCTATGTAATGGTAGTAGGTCTGTTGCCTGATGCGCACAGCAAGTAAATACGTGGAGATACTGGGATGCAGCAAAGAAAGAGGTTTAATTGTATGCTGCTGAATAAGGAGATGGAAGGGAACCTCAAATCCATCCCCCCAAGTAATTTGGGGCTGGGTTTTAAAGAGTTTTGGAGTGGGCTGAATCATGGAGATTGTTGACTGGTTGGAGAGCTCAGGGTGAAGTCATGGAACGGGGAAATGAAGAAACTGTATTCTCATGCTGATTCTATTCATCTGTGGCATTTTCAAGCTGGTTAATGTCAGCTGTTTTGCCGGAATTTGGGATGTGAAAAACATCTTAAGTAATCCTTAAACAAAATCCTTAAGATTCTAATGTCAGAGATTATGTCTATAGGAACAATGAGATGCAAATCAATTCTTAAACAGTCTCATGATCCTAATGTTAGAAATCCTGTCTATAGGAACAATGAGGATGTAAATAGTCAGTATCTAGTGATTTTTGGTTACAAAGAAGTGGGTTAAGGTGCAGCCTGATTAATGCTTAACTATAACAATATTTCTGTCCAGAATTCTTGTTAATCATGGGAGGATGGTTTCAGCTATTTCACAGTAAGATCAAATATCACTCTTTGGAAGTTTTTGCCTCCTTTCTGTTCAAGGACACCATAGGTCCCAGGCACTGGACGTCTCTGTGGGCTGCCAGGATGGGTCATCAGAAACGCTCACCCACGGCTGATATAAATATGGTCATATGGTTAATAATGCTTGTTTGTAGCTGGTAAGAACACAGCTGGAGAACATAAAGATTCAGCCGTTCTCTGCCAATTGGATTTTAATGACCAAACCACAAAAGTTTGGACTATTTAAATAAGACAAATGGAAGAAAAATCCAATATCCATACCGCCCCCACCAAAAAAAAAAAAAAATCCACACAAAACCATGTGATTTGTAATCTGCAGAACTGTAAAACCAATGTTATATTTGAGTAGAAAAAAGTGGAAACTTCTTGGATATGCACAGCAGCCACTATTTGGAGTTTCAGTATTTGACCCAATAAACTGTATGATTAAAAATTTGCAGGCAGAAATCTCTTCCTTTTTCCTTTTGGAGGTTTGGTTTGGTTTTATTTTTTTAGCTGTCTTCCAAAAGGAATTCCAAAGGTTTTTGTGTTTTTTTTTTTGTTTTTTTTTTTTTTTTTTGACAATTTTATCATTTCTGACTTAAGCCTGCTGCAAATCTCTTTGAAACAACTAGGCCCAAGGGTGGCTCAGGCAACTGCCTGAATTCCACACAAATGTAAAAAGTCTCTTCCATTTTGAGTGCTGTACTTCGCTATAATAGAATCCAGATGCTTAAACCATTCAAAGATTACCTTTTACAGTGTGAACAGAAGCATGAATGTAAGTGTTATGTTAAAATGTAGTTAGATTCCAATTGTTACTAAGCTTTTTGAGTGCGACTTCTGAAGGAGAGTTGAGGCAGAGAAGCCTAGGAAAAAGAGAACTAAAAAAATGGGCCTGGGAATGTCTTATCATGTAATCACTGGAGAGAGTCATAATTAGATTAAGCTGCTGCAGAGTGTACATAATTAACAGCAGAAGAGACCAAGACACCCCTTTTGAGACTGGGGTAATAACTCAGCAAGCAGGAGCTAGATTTCTCCTCCATGTAATTTGAAAGGAAATCCCATTATGATGTGAAACTGAGCCCCGACAACTCAATATACTGCGTTAGCTACCACGACTATCTTGACTTCACAAGGAAGTGATGGGAGCGGTTTCCTACTGTGTCTTACATGTGCATGTAGTGCAGGTGAGCTCCCAAAACCTTGTTTTATACCATTTATTGTAGAAAATGCTGCACATCCCCTGCTTTCATATGTATGTTCAGTCATAGCTACATGTACGCACACCAATGTGGACTAACACTAAACTGTTATGTTGGAATAAATGACTCATTTTTTTCAGCCACCAGCATGCCTGATGGTTAAACAATAGACCAGTCTAATATTTGCATGGCACAAACAGCTAAGTTATTTTTGCCTTTAGGACAATGTTGGGGCACTGCTTACAAATTCTTAGTGATCAATCTCTGAATGTTTGAGCCAATTGCTTTCCTGGAGAAAAATAATGTAGAACAATTTATTTATTTTTTTTTTTGAGAAGGGGTCTCACTGTGTAGCCCAGGCTGGAGTGCAGTAGCATGATCACGGTACATTGCAGCCTCTACCTCCCAGGCTCAGGTGATCCTCCCACCTCAGCCTCCCGGGTAGCTGGGATTATAGGGGCATATCACCATGCTTGGCCAATTTTTTTTGTATTTTTTTGTAGAGGCAGGGTTTCACCATGTTGCCCAGGTTAGTCTTGAATTCCTGAGCTCAAACAATCCACCTGCCTTGGCCTCCCAAATTGCCGGGATTACAGGTGTGAGCCAGCAGGCCAGGGCCAATTTTTATCATTTTATATTTTCAGGCACCACCAAAAGACATTTACTATACATCAGCACTGTGTGTGAAACTTTTTTTGTTATCTCAGAATTCAGAGTTCGCATTAGAACCCAAAGGTGAAAAGTCCTACTGAAGGTCAAAAAAGGGGGCTTTCTGAATTAAGAGTTTTTTGCCGAGATCTCAATTACTTCACCTATGGGTCTTGGCCTCCTCACTTGGAAAATGAGAAAACTGAACATGATTTTTAAGGTCTTCTCTGATTCTAACATTTTAGAGGTTCTAAAATCCTCAAATCAGGGCTGACCCTTTGCATAAGAAGGGAAGTGTTTTATTTATTTATTTGTTTAATAAATATGATTGCAAAGGTTTCCTGTCTCAGAATCTTTGTGCTCTTATCACCTTGCATGCTGGATTGCCTACCTGAATTTTTGCCAGGAGGGTAGTCCTTTGGAATAAGACAGTAATTGTGTTTTCAGATTTTATTGAAAACAAAATTTTCTATGTGAGGTGAAGGTGTAGCAATAAGCCATTCTTTCCTGGTAATTTATTCACATGGAACTAGATCCCCAGATAATAGAACTGAGGGACCAGGGGAAGGGGTGTTCAAGGAACAGGGATAGGCTAGAAGGTACTTGAAGGGAAGTCTGATGATTTCAGACAGTGGGTTAGGAAGACCCTGGGAAAGTGGAGTACATTGAAATTATTATTATGTTAAAAGAAAAACCTTAGACAAATTAAATTTAACAGAGATTAGTTGAACAAAGAAAATTTGCAAATTGGGCAGTCCCAGAATCACAGCTGATTCAGAAACACTCTAGTGCTGCTGCATAGTAAAAGACTTGTGTACAGACAAAGGAAAGTGACATACAGAGAATGGAAGTGAGGGAAACAATTGGATTGGTTACAGCTTGGCGTTTGTCTTCTTTGGACCTAGTTTGAGCAGTTGGCCACCTTTGATTGGCCAAAACTCAAAACTCGGTGATTGGCACAAGAGTAAGTTACAGTCTGTTTACACATCTAGTTATGTTATAAATATGTACAGAGAAACTTTTGGCCAAACTTAAGATATGTAGGGAGGTAGCCTTAGGTGAACTTAGCTTAACAATTATTATGCTGAGACATTGCAAGTTTAATAATTTCCATCCAAAGACACCAAGCATTACTGACAGAATATTGTTCATTAGTCAATGACTCTGTCTTGTTCACAGAAAGAGCATAAGAAATTTATATCCCTGACCCCCCAGGAGGGCAATGCTTCCTTTGATATGATTATCTCTGTGCTATCTGAAGAAGTCTGTTCATTCCTAAGGGACACCAAAAACAAGGACTTGGTGGGGACCAGAACATGATGTAGGAGCAAACAACTGGGATCTATGCATCCTGCCTCTTTTTAGTGCCTTTGAGTGGTGACTCCAAGGAATGCATACCCACAGTTTAGTACTAGAAGGAAGGTAGAGCTTAGGAAACCAATATTTCGTGACAAATATCTGCCTGCCAATAATGATTCTAGGTGTTTTGGTTGTAAGCAGTTAAGGTTCAGAGAAATAAGTAATATAACTACGATGATATGGCCAGAAACAGATAGGACCAAGAATCAATCAAGTCATCTACTCATGCATATAGAAATGAAGGTTGTATGGAGAGGAATTACTTTATACTTCTTCTCATTGCTAGAAGCCTGAGTGACCCAGGAGATAGAAGGGTTACTGTCTCAGCGCAATCTCCTTTATTGGTGCTCTATCTTAAGTGCGTGTATGAAAAGCTAATGAGGGCCTCCTTTATTAGTGCAGAAGCCCAATTTCTTGGGGTGATTATGTCCTATGAAAGGGCCCAGAAAGACTGCCAGGGCATTGGAAATTATTGCTTTCTGAACTCCATATAGCTATGGCATTCCTTTTCAAAAGCACATGTCTGAGAGGTTGTTCATGTTCTCAAAAGTGTGATACCAGCTTAGACTCAAGACTTTTCACAGTCTGGCCCCAAACCAACAGCTAAATCTTATCCCCAGCCTTCTATCTCCCGAAGTTGTTTGGTGGTGCTTGATGCAGTTAGCACTTTCCTGCTTCCTCATGGATCAAAAGGCTTAATCTGTGAGCCCACAGTCTTCTGAAGGAGGAGACTCAATATCTCTACCTTCCTGTCTCCAATTTTGTATAATCATTCTGTTTCTGGGTTTTGGGAATGCAGAATCGAGATATAGGGAGAGAAGCAAGTGCATGTGTGGAAGAAAAGGGGATAAAGAGGAAGGTCTGAGTCACCTCAATCATGGGCCACGAGAAAAGAAAGCACAGGTGAAGAGGGTCAATATTCACAGGCTTGCAGTGAGAGGGCACAGAGAAAGCAGAAGAGGGAGAGCAGGGTGAAATAAATGGAGAGGTGGGAGATCAGTCTTCTCAGATCGGAGAATCAGTTTCTTCAAGTTGTAGGAAGCTGGAAAACTGGACACCCCAGGGTATTTTTTACAAGAGTTGCTGTGTACAATGTGCTTAGATCTTCATTAATGTTTTTGAAGAGCTGCAAGTCAAAAAGGCAATTCTTGCTTCTATCATGCCCCTCTGAGTGTGGCTCATCCCAGGACGGAGCCACAGAGTCACAGCTGGCCATTGCTTATGCTCCAACTCTACCTTAAACACTCTTCTTTTTTTGTCCTAGGCAATAAGTTGCTTTCCCTTCAAGGACAAACTCAAAGGTGATTTCCTTGGAGAAGTTTGCACAGCATTATCCTACCTGAGTCCAAAGCAATAGACTTCCCTAATCACTCCAGAAGCACTTTTAAAATGACCTCAGTTCTAATTCGTATCACAGTCTGGCACATTGTGTATGAGGATACATTTATCCTTGTCATATATCTAGCTTGGTCATGTTTGTATCCCTAGCATCTAGCAAGGTGCCTTACATGGTGCATATGACCAGGACATATTGCACAGAGTAGAATGAATTCAGATGCAGTCTGGTCCTAATCAATCCAAATATCCAAGTTTGTACTGTATACTGGCCTTGATTCATTATCATTCACGTACAAGGCTTAAAATATTTTACACAACTGGCCAGGATCAGTGGCTCACGCCCATAATCCCAGCACTCTGGGACGCTAAGGCAGGCGGATTACAAGGTCAGGAGTTTGAGACCAGCTTGGCCAATATGGTGAAACCCTGCCTCTACTAAAAATACAAAAAAATTAGCAGGTCATGGTGATGCATGCCTGTAATCCCAGCTACTTGGGAGGCTGAGGCAGGAGAATTGCTTGAACCTGGGAGGTGGAGGTTGCAGTGAGCCAAGATCATGCCACTGCACTCCAGCCTGGGTGACAGAGCGAGACTCTGTCTCAAAAAACACAAACAAAAAATATTTTACACAACTAGAATAAAGGGTGTTAGTAAAATTCTACTTTTTTCCTTCATTTTATACACAAGATGACAGATGCTGATGTGACAATTTATAAGTCTGAAGTAGTCTTTTTTATTGTCTCTGGTCTGTTTCATACATGTCTGAGCCTGTTATGTGGGAGAGCTATATAAAGGAAACAAAAAATATTTAAAAGATATCATCCCATTTTATTTGGTTTCATTATTAAGAAGATTTGTATACCCACCCCTGTTCAAAGTTAAATGAGCTTGCTCAAATCCTTTGGGCACTTAACTGGAATATAAATAAAGAAGGAACACTCTCTCTGTTCTTGTTGGAAAAAATATTCGTGTAGTGCCAGGTTTGTGATAGTAAAATCAAGTGATTCATCAGCTCATTCATAGTTACTGCTACCCAAACTCTGCTTTTAGTTTAATGGTGTAGATAGTTCAGAACTGTTACAGTTTGAATTGTACATAGTAAAATCAAGTGATTTATCAGATCACTATACTTACTGCTACCCAAACTCTGCTTTTACTTTAATGGTGTAGATAGTTCAGAATTGTTACAGTTTGAATTATACACACGATTGCTTCAATTCTATGCTTTATTTTGGATGACAGAAAACCTTGTTTTTGACACCACAGCAGACACTGTTGGTGGCTTAGTCAATGGCCTTATCTCCATTTTTCTCTGGCTGACAGAGCCCTCCTTCGCTGTGTTTTTGCTTGGGAATCTACATTTCTTCCCTGAGATTACGAAAGTAGTGACTACCTCCAGTTCCAAGAGTAAATTCAAATTGCATATGCCAGAAATTATTGGCTTCAGCATAGGTTATGGATGTTATTCTGGCCAAGGAGATACAGGAAACTGTCTTATGGGGGCTACCTAGGAAATATCACCCTTAGTCCTAAGTTAAAAATAAAAATGATGAAAAGAAGAAACTACCTGTCTCTACACATTGTAGTGCCTGTTTGTAGTTGTGGTTTTTGGGACTACCAAAGAATAAAGCTGACATGCTGAAAATGAGAGCACAGAAAGGTAAGAAGAAACTGAATCCTTGGTATTGTCCTTGAGCCCCTGAATTATGCATTCCAAGTCACTCTACCTTAGTATTAAAATGCTACCTGAAATAAAGAATACCTTCCTTGTCAAAGACAAATGAGATAGATTTTTACTTTTTTTTGTTATTTGCTACTAAAGGTAAAATAACTCATCTAGAGAAAGAAGAATATAAAGGAGTAGCAATACATAGTTCTTACTTCAGCTTATACTTTAATTGGAGAGAGCAAATCCACATAGGAAATGACCAAAAAAAAAAAAAAATTGTAAAGCCATAGATCAAGTCGAGGTTCTTAACCATTTTTGTCCAGCAGAATGAGGTACAAGTCTGGGGAAGTGGATGGCCCCCTTTGCAGACAAATATTTTTAATGAACAAAAGTAAAATACACAGGATCACAAAAAGAACTGGTTATACTTTAAACATTACCTCAGGTTAGGAACTCTAGAAAGCTCCATAATTAAATACAACACTAAGCATTCTTTTTCATGGCATTAGGCTCTCAGAGTCAACACGGCTTATGTACTCAAGCCCAATGCCAGCTTGTTCACGGGCTACAAAGTGAAAAGTTCAATTAGATAAATTATCTTATATTTTAATCCTTTTCCCAATTGCCTAGAGAATACTCGATGATGGCCTCAAAGAGTGTGTTTATGTAAAATTAAATGAGTGTTGGCAGTGTTGGCACTTTTTTTTTTCTAAATGGAAAAAGGGGTTAATTTTATGCTCTTTGAGGCTGAACCAAATCTGACTTATTTTAAATGTGAAAATAAAATATAAAAATGGTTTTTGGAGTTATTTCTAAACAGAACTACCATCAGAATCATCTGAATCATCAGAATTGTTTATTTCAGAAAAATCGGATTCATCAAACTAATTTTTGGCTAACAACTTTGAGAACAACGTCAACATCACACGTAGGAATGCCATGTTTTTTAGGATTTGACATTTTCAATTTAAGAACTACTATTAAATATATTTTGTAAATGGAAATACCACTACTAAAATCAGAGTGCTATAAATAGAATGATGCCTTTTGTTTACTTGTTTCCAAAGTTGATATACTAGACTAATGTGAAAATAATAATAAAAGCGAGATATTTCGTGGCAAAGTTATCTCGGGGTAAATGCTGCTGCTGCAAGCACCGCAGGCAAGTAGTCCTGGGGCAAGTGGGAAAAGGGTTAAACACTGTTAATAATAAAGTTTAACTTAAAAATAACCTGAATTTAATCAAGTTATTTTCCTATGTGGGCTCTACCAAAGTTGTGACCAAGGGATAAAAAATCATTTAATTTTTTTCATTTTTCTGGAAGTAAAGACATTCACAAACAGAAGAAGGGATATGATATTGCACACTACTCTTCACTTTAACTGACGCAGTGGTGGAGCAGTGGACTAGAGTGTATAATTGGTCCTAAGTATATGTTATCCTTTTCTTTCATTCACGAGGCCCATCCATACAGTTTTCCTCCCCTGTGCTCTCTCTGTGGTAAGAATATGCTTCCTGCTCCAGCAACATCAGGTTTGGCCATGTAACTTGATTTGGCCCCAATGTGAGCAGAAATGATGTGTACGTTTTCACAGCTAAAGCTTTAGAACAAGTATGGTGGTTCCACCATCATTCTTTTCTTTCTGACATGAAAATGGCATGTACCAAATAGAGGTCATCTCTTTAGCCTGGATCCCAGACAATGAAGACAGATGGAACAGAAACTGTTCTATAGTAATAAGTCACACGAGCAAGGAATACACTTTTGTATGTAAGCCACTTAGAATTCGGAGTGTTTTTTAATTAGTGAAACATAACCCAGTGAAAAATAATAAATGTAAGTTGATATTTATGGGCAAACATTCTTATTTCTTCATAATTATCCTTGTTTCTGTAACCAGATGATCTTTGTCACATTTCCAGCTCCATTTAATGTTAGACTTATTTCTCTTAAAATTCAGTGCATATTGGATATTTAAACATTCATTATCATTTGCAATTATTTTTGTAAGATATTTTGTTTCTTCTTGGGGCAGGTTAGTGAGTTTTGCAGTAGTGATCATTGTCAGATAAGATATGAGTGAATGGGAAATTATTCACATCGTTAGGTAGCTCACTCCCACTATAGCAACATGATGTAGACTCAGCCTGAAGTCAAAATGTCTGGATGAGGCCTTTTCAGTTGTAGAATTAGCTAACCAGAACTGAGATAAGGTCCAATACACAAAATCAAACATCTGGATTAAAATTTAAAAGATAGTCAATCATCTTGATATTTTTTATTGTCAACACACTCAACCTTCAGATATTGAATAGATGGTCTTAGTCATGTTGGCTGAAAGTTTATGGCTTCACTAGATCACAGCTGAGGCTCCCAGAGAAGCCATAAAGACAAAGCTAACAGTTTTCTAAGAGTAGGGACAGGTTTTTATGTCAAAATTTCAGTGCTGTCCTGGGAGGTGTTGGACCCGATTCCCATATATCATGGTCACATCTGTGCTTCTGACTTATATGATAGTCTTTCCTTTATGACTAAACATAAAAGGAATTTTGGTTTTGTGGAATACTGTCAAGAAAAGTGAAGAGGGGGTCTGGTCTGGCACCATTCCCAGGTCTAAACTTTGTAGAGGTATCCAGGGAAGAGCTGTTATTAATTGACATTGACAGTCAAATGAAATGGGTCAACTCCTGGTGATCCAAGGCTATTCATGCAAGTCCCACAAAACTCAGGTTCTCCTTTTCCTTTTGTTTGAAGCCTTCCTTTGGGTTGTTTTGGTTTTTACTAACATTTCTACCAGAAAAACAGAAAGTGTATTGCCAACTTTGTTAAGTGGCTCAGAAAATAAATTAGCATGGAGGATGCTAAACCATTGAGATATGAAGATTATAAATTAATCCACATATGAAAGTGTACATATCATTAAGCATTGGCTGAAAATCACTTAAATGGAGATCCAGTCGACCTCCTTTCACCTTGTCTAACTGAGGATCACTTACTGATCCTTTAAAAAAAAGATTCTAGAATCACCTCCTTGTGAATCCTTTCCAATACCTCTTAGTCAGTTGATTTATCCCTCTTCTGGACTATCTTAGCACTTTGTACATATCTTCATCATACCTTTGCTGCAGCACTGTTGTATTGTGCTGCTATGCTTTCAAATATAGGATATATCAATAGTATGACAAAATAATTAAAAAAATCTGATGTAACTATCAGATTTTCCACCAAACACAAGGAAAAGAATCCAAATAGGTCGTTTAAATACTTCCGAATAAAGAAACACAGTTTAACTAAATTTTTAATCTTCTGACCTATCAGGTGATTGTATCATAGTGGTTTCATAAAGACTTAGCTCAAATAGGCAAGTAACTTGACTTTTGATGGAGTGTATAAAAATGATATCCTGATTATCTAGAAGTTTAAAATTAAAGACTCACTATATTTTATGTAATTCCAATACAAATTCACTTATTAATAAATCCAAATACAGACTGTTTGATTCTTCTGCAGAAGTGATATATTTCTTTATTTTATTTAAATCTCAGATTATCTGTTTATTTCCCCAAAAAATATTTATTGAATCTCTCCTCTGTGCCTGCCACACTATGGAGTTTGCATTCTATTAATGGAAAACAAACTAAAAAGTAATCACAAAGTCAAGATCGGATAGTGATGAAGTCTCTGAAGAGACTACAAACAACAAGATGCGAAAAAGAGTGGGGAGTAGTGGCTACATTAGAGAGATTAATCAGGAAAGGCATATTCTGGAGTGATACAAAGGAGCCAGCTATGGAAACTCAAGATCAAAGGCTAGAACGCAAAGGTCAAAATGCAGGAAACAGAGTGTATTAGAGAAATGGAAAATAGGCAGATTTTGGGAGTTAAGATGATTTTGACTACAAGTAACAGAACACTCAACTCACTCGACACATTTAAATACACACATGTACATATACACAGTAAGGAGCATAGATTATCATACTTAAGAAAGTAGAGCTAGACTTGGGTTATTGCGTTGTTCAATGACATTATGAAGAATTGGAGTCCTTTCAATATTTCATGCACCATATTCAGCCTGTCATCTTTGTCCTTTGGCTAGATCCCCTCAGGGTCCCAAGATAAATTAATAGTTCTAGCTGGTCATCACATGCAGAACAGGGATGTTTTGCTGAAGAAGAGATTATCTCTGCTTCTTTCTTTCTTTTTTAAGTGGGAGAACTTTTCAAGAAGCCTTCAGCAGACTTCCCCTGTGGCTCACTGCATAGAATCATACCACATTTCAGGGCCTAAGAAAATTACTTTCCAGGAGCCTGGAATTACCATGATGAGTTTGCTTCAGTCAGAATTTTCCCCACTAAACTGTGTATATCCAGATATTACCTTCACTGAGTACTGAGTATGAGAAGAAAGTTAGACTTTTGCTAGTAAAGAAGAAAGGCAGCCTGGGCCTGGGTTGCCAACCATCAGAGTCTGCCTCAGCAGGTCAGTGTGGCTAGAATTATGTGAATGAGAGAATGAGTGGTTCAAAATGACTTTGAAGTGGTAGACAAGGATCAGTCTATTTAGGGCCTTCTAGGTTCTGGGAAGAAGAATAAGTTTTACCTACTTTAAGTAAAATGGAAAGCCACTGGACAAAAATAACATGATCAGGTTTACAGTTTTACAAGTTCCTCTGCAGATCAGCACTGTTTAATACAAATATGATGTAAGCTACATAGATAATTTTCTGTTTTTAATAGCTATGTCAAAAAAAGGTAAAAGAAAATGGTGAAAATATTTTAATATGTTGTATTTAACCCATATCCCCAAATGTTATCATTTCAACATTTAATCAATATAAAAAATCTATAAAATATTTTACGTACTGTGTTTGGTATTAACTCTTCAAAATCTAGTGTTTACTAGGCATATTTCAAGTGCTAAATAGTGGCTGGTTTATTAGACAGTGCAAGAGTAGATAATTGATTATGAAGAGGAAAGAGAGGAAGCAGGGAATAGACATTCCTAGCAACAGTTTCAGTGACCTGGAAGATTAACTTACTTAAATACTTCCCCTCACAATAGTGCTGGATAAATTTTATTTTTAAACCTTTTTGGCCACGTTTTTAATTCTTACATAGGTAGGCTTGTTTGGTTTGTGTAGCCTTTGATTTTTAAAAACAATGAAGACGGTGGTATTGTGTAGGCACAATCGGAGTTCTACAATGAAGTGTGTTAAAAGGAAAAACATATATAGCAATAAAAAGTTTCTTTGTTATTTTTTTTTTTGCATTCATCCATCTATCCCCTTCCTGCCTGACCTCATGCCTGAGCAATCACAATAGCCTCTTGAATAAATTTTCCTGAGTCTAGTGTTTGTTTCCTTCCTCTAACCTCTCCTGAGTATGACTGGTTGATCTCCCTAAAATAAAACTTTGGTGTTACTCCTCTTACTAAAATAGAACAAAACTCACTACTTGTACAATAAAACTTAGCTTTTTCACCAGGACTGCAAACGTCTTACACTATATCACTTTTCAACCATGGCTTTCATTGTTCCCTATACTCCGCTTTCATTTGGTCCAAATCTAACTACTTGCCATTTCCTGCAGGTACGTTGAGATTTGCCACTTCCGTACCCCATTCTGGGGTTCCTGCTTCCATTTGTCCTCCTGTGGCAAGTTTACTTTATCCTTCAAGGCTCTGCTTAAAGATTATTTTCCTTTATTACTAACATAAGAAATACTGTCTGCACCTTGGAAATCGTTGAGTTCTTCATTTACACAACTTTTGCACGTTTTAAAATGCTTAACCTATTCCAGAAACTCTGATAAGTTCTTTCCATGGGTTATCTCACTTTAAACTCTCAGCTGAAGGAGAGGAGTACTCTATTATTCCTATTTGACAAAGGAGCAAACGGGTCTTCAAGAGGTTATTTGTCTAAGATCACACAATTAGTAAATGGCAGAAATCATAGGAAGCCTAATTGCCTTTATGTCCAAAATGTCTATATCATTTTCATCCATATCACACAGTCAATGGGCTTGGAGTAGAGGTCTATACACCATTTCCTTGCTGGGTTACCTCGGACAAGTTGTTTCACATCTTTGGGTGTCAGAATAAGAAGATTTAGTAAAAGTTCTTGGAGTCCTCTTCCTAACATTCTATTAATCTATCAAAACGCAGAGGAGAGAGAACTTTCAAGAGGATTAACATTTAATTTTGGTATTCCCCAGTATGTTGCTGGTTTGAGAAAACTGGCCCAAACAGGGGGACAAAGCCAAGCATGCTGATCTTTCCAAATGCAGGAGAGATTAAATGTTTTAGAAGGGTATGATCTTACTTCTCAGAAATATAAAAATTGACACAGAAAGACAGCATTTGCCAAAACAGAATGTTTTTAAAATCAGAAGTTCTCTCCAAGCTCAATCCCTCTAAGACTCAAGTTCTTTTACCCCTCACTTTTGTCATGAATAATGTGAATAATAATTTTCTCTTAATAACACCTTTCTTCTGGAGGTCATCGTGTGTTACTATTTGAAAAGCAACTTTTCCTGTTTCTAAGAAATAAGGCCTCACTGAAAAAGCTCCTTGGACTTCTTGGACATCGGATCAACCTTTCTTGTGCACATATTTTAAAAATATGTGGCTAAGTGGAGTGTGAAGGAGCCCAAAGCCTGGATTTAGAGCCTGAGAAAAAAAGTGCAAGGTAAAGCACATTCCTACATTCTCTGAGCTCTCCACACTGAGAAATAGCTTGGGTTGTGCAGCAAACTGAAACACAGATGCACACACTCCCTAGCAAATATAGCTGTTCCAATAGGTGGTTTGAAAGAAAGATCTACCTTAATATTTATATCCAGTTAGGCTCTTGAAGTGAAAGGAAACACATCTGACAGATAAACTACACTATGAGGGACCTAGAACAGGTCTGAAAGAATCAACTAGTCCATTCCCCACCTCTGCTCAAATCTTTACAGTCCTTCGGTAAAAGAACATAGGGCATACATAGCCCACCAGCTTATTCTCTAACCTGTGCAACTTGTTCTCTAACTTGTTCTGTTAACCTGTGCAAAACAGACTTTTTGCTGGTCTCCCACTGTAGTAGGAATCAGATAATACACTCCTGTGTGCACATGCAAACACACATTTTACACACATCTCAAGACAAGCTGTTATGAGAGAAACATGTCTTTTTTGAGTATTTTGTTGTGTGTGAAGAAAGAAAAATTTGGATTTTAGTGTTAAAGAGTCTTCATAACTAGAACATTTCCCTTCTTTTTTATTATAAATTCTCATTTTGTATTTTAATCACTTTTGCTTTGTTTCTATTGATGAGGCAGAAAGAACATGGTAAGAAGCAGCTCTTCTCCAGTAGAGAAGTCCACCCAGATACTGGTAGTGGTGTGTTCCTTTTCCACAAGAGTTCTCTCCTGTCACCATCAGGGAGCATGCTTTTGAAACTGGCTCATTATGCCTTCATGGGAAGAGGTCCAGGGGTCTGGTTTTATTAGAAGTGGTATGAACTGAGCAGCAAGTGTCCTCTTACATCTCCCTTTCCTACCCTGACAAACATACCCGTGAGCACACATGTGCATATGTGCAAACACACATATGCACAGACACACACAAATCCTTTTCATTCTGGCCCTTTCATTTACTCTACAAATGTAACTGAGTTTACTCTCTACCAGGGACTTTTCTGCAAGTTGGAATATGAAGAAGAATAAAAATAATTATGGTCTTTTCTCTCATAGGAACTTACGCTTTCATATGGGAGGCAGATCTTTGTCAAATGACTACTCCGATGTCTACGAGTACGAATTTCAATAAAGATTTTGAAGGCAAGCCTGAGAGTGCTATCAATCTGAAGAGAACTATGGCAACCTCCAAGAAGAGATGGTCTCATCAATAAATTCTGGACAAATAAAGAGGGATAACTAAAATTTATCACCAAGAAGTTCTCCCGATGCAAGGCATCCAGTTCCATGCTAAAAGCATACCGAACTTGGAAGGACTTTAGATAAGCTTTCAAGGTTCTAAACTTCAACCTGGTGTGGTTTGCAGTTTCTCTGTTGCTAGGTACAGCTCTTGCTGGCTACAGTCCATTCTGCATAATGCTCTCTTGGATTTTCTTAACATGTGGAGAGACAGGTTGATAATCCTGACTGAATTTCCCAAAGTTACTGATTTGTGCTGTTTCGGGATACATGAAAGTTCTGATTGAGACTTACAAGACCTTGGGCAAACAAAGATGGCTGACTATTAGAGGGAGGAAATTTTGATGCAGCTGCCTGTGTAGATACCCACATACTTCCCTTTCTATGCATTATATAACCGGATGTCATGCCCCATTCCAGTCTTGTGGACTTTTCATAACCAGTCTTTTTATGTGTTGTGTGTAAAGTTTGAAATAAAGCTGGCTTTGACTACCATGCCATAGAAATGATGGTTTTGATTCCAGGTGTGTCAGGTAATAGAAAATTTTGGACTTGCATTTTTTCTTTACAATCAGTTTATATCCCTTCAGTGACATTTTCATTACCTTTGTGTGTCTGTTTGTAGATTTTTTTCTCTGCATAAGTAGACAGATGTTATTTGCTATGCACTCCATGTTTATTTTAAGAAATTGGATCATTAAATCCACATCTCATGTTTTAGCAAATGACCTTCAAGTATAAAATGAGGTGAGGGCTGTTATTTTTAAGAAGAAAGGAAAGCTTTGTGAAAGACCATGGTGAGTGAATTTTGCTGTATCTGCTTCTGTTTTCTCCATTGTTCACAAGAAAACCGCTTGTCTGATCTCCAAAGTAATGGTTGTTTTATGCTCTAAAAGAGCTCAAGCCCCCAAATAATGAGGCTGATGTAACACTGGGAATAGTCAAAGGGGATAAATCCCTGATGTAAGAAAACACAGTTTGCTTTGTATGTTCTTTAAGAGTTGAACACTGAAGTGATCCTGGAGGTATTTGCTGCACTGCTGAGGTAAGCACAATGCTTTAAAATGGTCTGTGACACCCGCAGCAACATTAGTAATTAGCCAGAAATGTAAATGGTAGGTCAGCAAATCTCTTTATCATATTAAGAGTGATTTTAATTGCCAGGAATTTGTTTGCTTTTTTCATACTCTTAAGTATGATGTAAGGTTTCTACAGCTGGAAAAAAACAACTTGTTTCCTCACTTATATAGAGTTTGTAGTGTTGTCTGGGCTTTGGATTTTGTTTTCTAGTAAACTTATGTCTCTATAAATTGTCTTAATCAATAAAATCCTCATCTTGCAACTACTGGGAAGGCCTAGTGGTACTGCTACTGAATCTTGTGGGCATGTTCAGTAAGTGATAACCTCTGTCTCAACTGGGGCCTGAAATAGGATGGCCCAGATGACCGCACACACACACACACACGCACACACACACGCACTATAATTATGTATAATACAGCAATAATACTTGATATGATTTGGCTCTGTGTCCCCACCAAAATCTCATTTCAGCTGTAATCCCTACATGTTGAGGAAGGGACCTGGTGGGAGGTGATTGGATCATAGGGAGGTTTCCCCCATGCTGTTCTCCTGATAGTGAATGAGTTCTCATGAGATCTGATGGGTTTATAAGGGGTGCTTCCCCCTTTGCTCTCACTCTTTCGCCTGCCACCCTGTAAGATGTGCCTGCTTCCCCTTCTGCCATGATTATAAGTTTCCTGAGGCCTCCCCAGCCTGGTGGAACTGTGAGCCAATTAAACCTCTTTTCTTTATAAATTACCCAGTCTCGGGCAGTTCTTTATAGTGCTGTGAAAATGAACTAATACAATGATTGTTATTTCACTTAAATAGTATACATGCATAGTCGTTTCAGAATTAACTAGGATTCCCATAGAAAACAATTTTATCAACTAGAGTACAGTACTTGTGCAGTTTCTTTGGACTTTAGTTTCACAGAGTTCACTCATTTCCAAAGTTACTTAGTCAGCAACTTTCCCTTCTGCCCCTTTAGTGAGGTTACTTCATATTTTGTAATATAGTTAGAAGATTTTGTAGCATTCTGGATGCAATCCTGAAATCTCTGAACCTTCTAAATGATTTTTTTAGAATTTTCAAACACTGAAGTCCACTCTTGGTGTCATGAAGTTTCATGAGTTTTGTCAATAGCATCATGTCATGTATCCACCATTAAAGTATGACGCAGAATACTTCCACCACCCCAAAATGTCTCCTGTGTGGACGGCAAACACTGACCTGCTTACTGCCTCTACAGTTTTGTGTTTATCAGAATGCCATATAAAAAGAACATATAATATGTAGCCTTTGCAGACTAGCTTCTTTCATTTGGCATTACGCATTTAAGATCTATCCATGTCTTTGCTTGGTTTGATAGCTAACTTATTTTATTGCTGAATAGTATTCCATTGTATGCATGTACCAAAATTTGCTTATTTATTCACATCTTTGTTGCTTCCAGTTTTTGGCAGTTATAAACAAAGCTATTATGAACATTTGCATTCAGATCTTGTGTAGGCACAAGTTTTCAAATTAGTTGGGTAAATACCTACCAATATGATTGCTAGATTATACGGCAAGACCATGTTCAGTTTTATAAGACATCACCAAACTGCTGCTCAAAATGGTGCCTTGGGTCCACTTGGTGAGAATAAAATCTCCACTTTCATTCCCATCAACAATGAATGAGAATTTCTTTTGCTACACATCTTTGACAGCAATTGATAATTAGCCATTCTAGTAGTGAGTATGGTATCTCATTTTGTTTTAATTTCCTTAATGATGTGTGATGTGAAGCATATGTTCATATGCTATTTGTCATCCATATATTTCTTTTGTTTTTTTAAATTATGTTCCTTGTTTTCTTACTGTTGATTTCATGTCTTTCTAGTATTATTTATGGTGAAATGGGAAGCATACATAAAATGTTGTTGCCACATATTGAAGTACAACGTTTGTCTTAAGCCAAAGAACTTGTGGAATTGAGTTGCAAGCTGAAATAACTGCTTTTTTTTCTGAGAACACCAGCTTTACTTGGGAATAAAATACACTGATGAAAAAATTGGCACATTTGGCTATTATTTTCTCAAAAATTAACAAAGAGAACCTATAACTTCAAGAAATCAACTGAAATTTTTTTCCCAATAATAACATTTGGACATTCAAGTGAAAATTCAAGTGACATTCAAGTGAAAATTAAAATTTTGGAAAACTTTATGTGCCACAGTTGGCTTGAAAACTCACTTCTTAAAGACCTTTGCTGATGACATTGACGGTGATATTAACAAGTATAATTATAATATAATGTGTCCACATTCAGAATTGCTGCTTAATTCAATGAACCAAAATGTTCCAAATGACAAATATATGTTCCTGCAAAATCATGTATGACTAAAAGGTTTATTAAAACACAAAATATATTAGTGGGTTTTAATGTAATTAGTTTTTAAAAAGTTCATGAATATGGCTTCAGACTTCATATTGCAAGTAATTTTTGAAACAACTACTACTTTTCAAATTCTGGCATAGTGTCAAAGAAAACGATCTACAATTACCTTTAAATGTTACCAAGACTACAAATCTTTGTGAGGCTGGATTTTCTTCATATATACTTCCCCCAAAGCAATGTAGAGCAACAGACTGAATGCATCTATTAAAAATATTTTAATGGTAATAGGCAATGGATTAATTTTTAAATTGATAAATATTTGTAAAAATTCTATTTTCCCTTTTGTTGTTGTTGTTGAGACGGCATATCACTCTGTTGCCCAGGCTGGAGTGCAATGGTGTGATCTCAACTCACTGCGACCTCCGCCTCCCGGGTTCAAGCGATTCTCCTGCCTCAGCCTCCCAAGTAGCTGGGACTACAGGTGCGCATCACCATGCCCAGCTAATTTTTGTATTTTTAGTAGAGACAGGGTTTCATCTTGTTGGCCAGGATGGTTTTGATATCTTGACCTCATGATCCGCCCACCTCGGCCTCCCAAAGTGCTGGGATTACAGGCATGAGCCACCATGCCTGGCCCCAGATTTCCCTTTTTTAAACCATTCAATCATTTTATTTATTTATTTAAATTTTCTTTTAGAGAAAACCTGCTTACATGGACCTTTTATTGCTGGATTTTCATCTAACAATTTTATTTTGTTTTTATTTATTAAATTCTCAGTTTTAACTTCATATGGGGTAAATACGACAGATACAATGCACATAAACAAAAACCTGTTAGAGTTGTCAAGAATTTTTAATAGTATAAAGAAGGCTTGAGATGAAACATTTTGATAGCATTATTCTAAGCTCTACTTCAGCATTGTTCCATATATTTATTTTCATTCAATTCAAAATATTTTCTAATTTTCTTTCTGATTTTTTGTCCTATTTATTTAGAAGTATGTAGTTTAGCTTCCAAATATCTAAGGTTTTTTTTCAGGTATCTTTCTGCTTTTGATTTCTAATTTAATACCATTGTGGTCAGAAAACATACTCTGGTTTCAATTCTTTTAAATTTATTGAGACATATTTTATGGCCTTCCATATGGTCTATCTTGGTGAATTTTCCGTGTACTCTTGTAAGAGGTATATTTGCGATTTCATGTATAAAGTTCTATAAATGTCTTCTTGATTGATTCTTTTGTTATTATTTAATGTTTTTCTGTATCTCTGGTAATATTCCTTACTCTGATGTCTACTTCTTCTAAAATAATAAAGCTAGTTAGCCAGGTCTTGATTTGTTTTTTTTGATACAGAATGACAATCTTTGCCTTTTAACAGAGTGTGTAATGCATTTATATTTAAATAATTGTTGCTAAGATTTTGTTTATTTACTTTATCTCTTCTGTTCAGTGTTCCCTTTTTATTTTATTTTTCTCTCTTTTGGGATTGCTTGCTTGTTTTTAGTTTCCCTTTTATCTCCTTTATTTGCTTATCCGTGAATATATCTTTGTATGTTGTTTATTTTGTTTTGTTTTGTTTATGGTGGTTATCGTAGGCTGTGCTGTCCAATGCAGTAGCCACTAGCCATATCAGTTCCTTAATTCAATTCCTTAGTTACGCAGGCCATATTTCAAGTGCTTGTTAGCCTAGTGTGGCTAAGGACTACTGTGTTGGTTATGTAGAGAACACGTCCATCATTGCAGAAAGATTTATTAGATAGCTCTGCTCTATGGCTCACAGTATGCATCTTTAGATTTAACACAGTCTACATTCAGATAACATTATCATCTTCAATTAAGAACCTTAAGAAAATATTCATCTATTTTTCCACTCCTGTCCTTTGTGTTCTTGTCATACATTTTATTTCTGCTTATGTTTAAGTCCCCATAATACAATATTATTTTGACTTTAAATAGTCAAATATCTTTTTAAAAATTAATGAGAAAAAAGTATTTTATATTTAATCTACTTACTCTATGTAGTACTCTTCAATTTTTTTTATAAATTTGAGTTTTATCTATAATTGGTTTCCTTAGCCTGAAAACTATCCTTTAACAACTCTTTTAGTTTATGTCTATTAATTACAAATAATATTAGCTTTAATTTGTTTAAAAAATATGAGGCATTCTTATCTTTGTTAGCCAGTACATAATGCGTTGTTTTCCTATAGCTACTTTTTACATTTCTTTCTTTGTTATTTGCTTTTTGCCATTTGATTATAGTGTGCCTTGGTGTTGTTTGCTTTGGTTATACATTGCTTTAGGTTAATTGATCTTTTTTGATCTGCGACTTACTGCTTTAATCAAATTTGAATTTTTGACCAGGCATGGTGGCTCACGCCAATAATCCCAGCACTTTGGGAGGCTGAGGTAGGCAGATTACTTGAGGTCAGGAGTTCGAGACCAGTCTGGCCATCATGGTGAAGCTCGTCTCTACTAAAAATACAAAAATTAGCCAAGCTTGGTGGCGAGTGCCTGTAATCCCAGCCACTCAGGAGACTCAGTCAGAAGAATCAGTTGAACCTGGGAGGTGGAGGTTCCAGTGAGCTAAGATTGCGCCACTGCACTCTAGCCTGGGCGACAGAGCAAGACTGCATCTCAATTTAAAAAAAAGTGGAACTTTTGCCATTTTTTTCTTTAAGTATCTTTCCTTCCACTTCTTTGCTTGTGAGACTGTATGATAGACTTGATATTATCCATTGGTTCACTGATGCTCTATTCATCTCTTCTCTCTTTCTTCTCTGTACTTCAGTTTGGACTGTTTCTACTTCCATGTTTACAAGTTCCTTGATCTTAACTTCTTCAGTGTCTAATCTGTTATTATGTACACACAGTGATTGTTCTAAATTTCAAATATCTATTTCAGTTCCAGAGATTTTTTTTTATAATTTCCATGTCTCTTTATTATATTCATGTTTTCATTTAGCTCTTAAACATTTATAATAGTGATTTTCAAGTTTTTGTTTGTTAATTTCAATTTCTCGGTCATATTTTGATGTATTTCTATTGGGTAAAGTTTCCCCTGTTTATGGGTCATATTTTCCTGTTTCTTCGCATCTAGAAATGTTTGATCAGATGCTAGACATAATGATTTTTGTGTTGTCCAGTGTGTGAATTCTGTTTTCTTTCTTTAAAGAGGATTGAATTTTATTTGAGTAGGCAGTTAAGTTACATGGGCTATTAGCTGCTTTATCCTTTCATGCTTATTTTAAAGCTTCACTCTGGTGTGTCTAACATAGCTTTCCTTTAGAGCTAGTTTAGTTTACTCCTGAGGTCCTGTCCTCCTATCAAATGCCTTTGATGTTCTAGAAAGTGTCTACATTCCAGTTGGTGAAAGCACAAACCTTTTCCAGCACTGTGCCACTTTTAGAAATGGCTGAGCTCCCCAACAGTTTATCTGTCTCCAATAGTTGTCCTTCCCCAGGACTCATGGTTTCTCACTGTGTCTATGGCATGTAAACCTGGCATTCAAGTAAACACTGAAGGAACCATTATGTAGAATCTAGTGCTCTGTCTTTGCATAGTTACCTCCTATCTGGTATTGTGCTTCACAAATTCCCATGGTTTCAGCCTCTCTGAGCACCAATCTGCCTTCTTAGCTCAATGAGACCAACATGATCTGCTTTGATTGCTCCTTCCTGTGCCAGGATCTAGTAAATGCCTCCAGGCAAAAATCTGAGGTGATAGAAAGGCTTACATCCTCGGTTTCACTTCTCCTAAACATTACATTCTTGTGCTGACAGCTTTTCAATGTCTTAAAATTGTCTCATAATTTAGTCCGGTTTTGTAGCTGCTTGCAGCAGGAGGGCTAGTAGGTACCAGTTACGCATGACAGTTGGAATCAGAAGTCAACGTTTAGTTTTGACACTATAGAAAATAAGAAATAATTGAATGTTTTTGAGCAAAAGGATAGCATGGTAAATATTTTATTTGAGAAGAATCAGTACTGAGAAAGACAGATTATATGGTAGACTAACTAGGACCAGAAAAACCATCCAGGGAGTAGTAAGCCAAACACTGGATGAACAGAGCCTAAGCTGGGCTAGTGGTGATGCAATGAACATGCAGCTACCTTGAGGGGAAACTTTGTCTCTAGGCTTATTGTTCAGCAGAAATTGGGTTGGGGAAGGTATGCCTATTAAATCGTTCCTGGAAGGACACTTGAAGAAAGGAAAAGTACTAATAAATGGTAACCTTTACTGAACGCCTACTATATTCTTAATGTTTTCATATTTCATTTTATTTATTCCTCAATATAATCCTGTGGATATTTTATTTATTTATTTATTTATTTATTTGAGACGGAGTCTCCTCCGTCACCCAGGCTGGAGTGCAGTGGCGCGATCTCGGCTTACTGCAAGCTCCACCTCCCGGGTTCACGCCATTCTCCTGCCTCAGCCTTCCCAGTAGCTGAGACTACAGGCGCCCGCCACCGCGCCCGGCTAATTTTTTGTATTTTTAGTAGAGACGGGGTTTCACCGTGGTCTCGATCTCCTGACCTCGTGATCCTCTCGCCTCGGCCTCCCAAAGTGCTGGGATTACAGGCGTGAGCCACCGCGCCTGGCCCCCTGTGGATGTTATTATCCCCAATTTATAGGTGAAGAGACTGAGGCTCAAAGAGGTGAAGTCACTGAGCTAAGTAAAATCAGTTGGAAATGATAGAGTCAGCCTTCAATTTCAGATCTGGTTGTCTGCAGACCTTAAGCTCTTTCCTTAATCATGCTTCCTCTATAGAGTGGAGCAGATGTAGCTCTTAGAAGCCATAGTTATATCAATGGAAAAATATTAGCAACATTAAAAATAGAATTTACAAAAATCTAACATGCTGTGCCTAGAATTAGAATTAGAAGTTACAAAGCCCTGAAATCTCTGACAAATCTCCACCAAAGTGGAATTTGGAGGTGACTTTTTGCCATCTACATGACAGACTGGCAGTTTATAAATATTTTAGCTTAATTCCAACTACCAGATAATTTCCCATTGCCAATGGCACATTCCTAGGTGAAGTGTCTATGGTTTATTCATTCAATGCCCTAATTAATTGTTTGTATTTGTTTACTAAGAGTCTTAGTGCATCAAAAACATCTTCTGTTTTGCTTTAAAACACTGTGAATAACTTTGGGAATAAAATAGAAAATGTAGGCATGATTTGCTACTTTCCCAGATTCAGCAACAACTTCTTGATGTGTTTTTATTTCCCTTATAAGAACATTCGCCATCAATGAAATGGATAGGCTGGGGATAAAGTGAACATAAGGGCATTCTCGGTGAAGTATTTGGTTATTATCAGACATAAGCCAGTGGCATTCATGACATAGACCCTGCTATTTTAATGCTAGACAGGTAATTGGATGATCCTCATGAGAGTGGGTTAGTAACATTAAGTATAGAGAGATTTCTCTTTGATGATGTGCCCTCCTTAATTCCTTTCTCTCTCTGCTCTATTATTCCCTTTCCTCTTTTCTATACCACTTGTACTCCTAGGCCAGAGTAAATATTCTCATCCCAACAATGAGCTACCAGTAAGTTATTTTAACAGCAGGATATCTGCAAATGAAAAGGTCCTGAGAGAAAGTGTATATGTGTGTAAGTCTGAGAATTACTATGTATTGTCTAATCTAATAATTGTCCAATATGTTCTGTCTGAAACTGTTAATCTATTTGGCAAATACTAGATAACAATGCAAATAAGTGGGAATGATATTACAGAAGCTGCACTACAAATATAGTAGAAAGATCTTCAGAGCTTTAGGTAGTCACAGCAGAGGTTGAACAAGGCTCCTGGTCTTTTTGTTTTCTATCTATGGTTTGTTGTAATATTTCAGAGCAAGATGAACAAATACTTCAGAAAATGGCCCCTGACCCACTGGGCTCCTCACCCTCTTGCAGAAGCCCTGCCAGGAATTGGTTTCAGCAGCAAATGCCAGAAGATGGATCAAGCTCATCCCTTTCACCCCACTTAGCTGAGCTACAGATGTTATTCATATTCATCACAGTGTCCAGCTCTTTGACAAAAGTACAGAGTTCCTTGGCTCAATAAAAATCATATGTCATCGAGTTTCCTGGGTTAAGTGCATGCTACTTAGAAAAGCATTTCCCTTGGTCTATTTGTTTGATGAGATGTTTGGAGACCTCCAACATCTGCATATCGGTTGCAGCCTCCACTGTTGCCAAATGCCCTCTTGCCTCTACTTCATTCTCCAAGGTGCTCACTCACTCTGCTCAGCTCTACACTTTGCTATCTTTTGGCAATGCTCAATGTTTCCCTGAACCCAGTGAAATGTAGATATTCTCTACCAAAGTGCAGAATGCTGGGAACAGAAGGAGGAGGCAGTGTAGCTTCACACAGTTTTATTATTTCCTGCCCTTGGTCTCAATTCCAAAAGCTGAAGATTATTTCCAAATGTGCCCTGCAGCCAATCCCATCATTACACGGATATTAGGTCCTACAACCCAGCATTGTGGCTTAGGCATCTCTATGCCTCATGAGACCGTGTGTGGGTTAAGTTTTGACATTGAAAAAAAAAATAACAACCTTGTAGAACTGATTGAAAACATATACAGTGTGGCAGGGCATGCATGTGGATCTCAGGCTGTGGCTTCATCGATCTGAATGGAAAACATGAGCATCTGATGCTATAAAAAATCACTTAAAAAATAGACACCTTTTAAAATTCTTCACTCTATCCATCTCTATCCACACAAATTAATTTGAAGGTACATTAGAGTTTACAGGTTAAAATTCTGCTTTGGAAAACTATTTGTTTTTAATATGCAATGGAACCTCACTCTAATCTCAGCAGTTTGCAGTGAAATCAAAGGCATCATTGAATAATGTAATGGCTTATATTACTCCAAGAAAATCCAATTGCTAGGTAAAAAGAGTGGAGGTGAAGACATTTCTAAGATCATGTTACTATTTTTCCCTGTTATTTTAGAGATTAAAGCAAGATAAACATACACAGTGAGAGGCTTGAGTATAAGTGATGGGCAGAGTAAGATCAAGCCTGGAAGTTTTTCTTAGTCTAAATTTAAAAGGTGCTACTCTTAAGTTTATCCAATGTACCATTTTGTTTCATGACTGTGTCCTGTTGCCAGACTGATTCCCACTCTCTCCACTTTGTTTTCATGCTGCCCTCTTGATCACTACACACATGAACACACAAGCACATACACACAAACATGCATACACACATATGCACATGAGTACACATACATACATGCATGCATAGGTACACATGCACACAGGCATATGATCACATGCACGCACACTCTTTTCTTCTTTACTTGATGTTATCATCCCTGAGGAACTTTCCCTATCAGAGGATGGGCTTAGATGCCCTTATTTTATGCTTCAAATTATGCTTCATTAACAGTCTGTTCACATCTCTCTCATAGCATTTACCTCATCATACTGCCTACACCTCTTTCCTCTCCATATATCAAAGTTTTGTGAAGCTGGGGATCACATTTCACTGTGTTATCAACTTCTAGGTTAGCTCCTAACACAGAGTAGTTTCTCAGTTCATGCTGAACTGAATGAACTATATGTCTATAACCATCCTAAAAAGGATTTCTCTGGGAATACTTTCAAGAGCACTAAAATAAAGAGGGTCAAGACGTGGGGACTATCTAGGTCAATTATTTGTATGTAGTCAGTCCAGTGGTTATGAGCCAGGCTCTGAAATCAGCAGACCTGTTTTCACCTTTTCACAGTGTTGAGCAAGTTACGTAACCTCTCTAAAGCCCAATTTTCTCTTTTATGAAAAAGAAATGATGTTCCCTACTGCATGAATTGTTGTCAGTCTAAAATGAAATAATCATATGAACTACAGTAGCAGTCAATGATATAATAGCTGAGATGGTGATAGTAGAGATTGCCTTTATATTAGAGATGATGTTTTACTCCATCACCAAGATATGTAAATTCTACAAAGTGGAGATTTTTGTCTTTTTTTCATCCTTTGCCATTAGAGACAGGATGGCAAAGGAAGTTCTAGGAAGTTTCTGATATATAGCAGGCACTCAATCAATTATTTGTTGAAAAAATATGTAAATATGGGGTTTTCTCCCGGGAAAGGCAATAGATTATACAGCTTCATGCACACTCTCTGGCTCTTCTGAACATTTGCTAGACAGCTGGCTGCATATTTACCATAGACTGTACAGTAATCAAACCTGATGATTTAACTACCTAAAATTTTAGCTTATTAGGTCAAATTAGTCGAGTATATCAGTACTCAAGAAGAATGAAATGGAGAATTTAGGAGATAAAAAAAGAAGACTGAAGACATATTCTTTCTTGAAAATCTATCAGACCTGGAAGGAAAACCATGTGTGGAAGTGACCCAGAAGAAGCTGAGGAATACACAGAATGACCTGCAGAGGCCCCTTTCAGCACTAATGATCCATGAAGGAGATTTACAGACCCACACGAATTGACCCCAACCAAGCCTTGGCTTGCTACTTTGCTCCCACGTTGGCCGGTGTTCTCACTTCACTCACTACAGCAGCTCCTTCCAACCCTGCCCTGCCCTCAGTCTCTGCTGCTGGAAATGACCACTGGCCCATGGCCCAGAGGGCGTGGCTGGCACTGTGGAAGTGGGGTTTGCCTGACTTCTACATAAAGGCAGCAGCTGGGCAATACACACAACCTGAGCAGAGCTGCGTTTGTTTTATGGACAAGGCTCCCATGTGAAATTGACTTTCCCTCTTTGCTGACTTGGCCAGGTTAGCAGTGCTCACTGCTGGATCACAGGAAGCACATATTTGCTACAAAGTCTATTTGGAGACCCACATGGCCCTCAGATGAGCAATAATCCAGATTTCTTATTTTATTTTTTTTTCTTTTCCATGGGAATAAGAGCATTTCTCTGCCAAGGAACATATTTTAAGCTTTTCTTTTGGCTGCTCCTGTGGGGGAGCTCAAGGGCCTGGTGATTTTTTTTTTTTCTGTGCATCAAGGAGAATCTGGAGCCTTTTGTGAAAAAGAAGGGAAAATATGCTTCATGCACCCAATTGACCTGTCTCATCCAGTGAAAGAAGTTTTTCTGACAAAAGTTGAATTCATTATTTCTTGACAGGGATGGCAGGACATGTGAGAAGAAAGTAATGGGTTATTTGAATCATTCTAGCCACACCTCTTAATAAAAAAATAAATTATGTTGTGCAAATATTTTGTAGATCACAGCATCTATTGGCAGCTACATGCTATTTTTCCTTTTGAATAAAAGGGAAAACAAAAAGTGACAGAATCCTGGGGGGTGGTATTATTTTAGTTCTGATGAGTAACAAAGCCTGGACAGTCTTCTTTGTTTCAGGACAAGGCCCCGGTGATTGTGGAGGCATCAAGAATCCTTCTCACAGCTTTTTGCCAGTGACAAAGAAGGAAATATGGAGGGTTCTGACTTAAACAGTTCTTGTATCAAGACTACTTTTTAATGAAAGAATTTGGGGGTATTGGTTGTTAATTAGCATATGGAGCAAGGGAGAACACTGATCAACATTCAGAAGCCAAAAGCCAGACCTAGCTAAAAAGGAAAAGAAAAAGAAAAAGAATGGCCAAAAAGTGAATTAATCAAAACCCTGGGCATAGCAGCTTGTCCAGAAATAAGGATAAGAGAAAGGAAATGGAAAAGTGGTAATAAGGTAAAAAATCAAGGAGCATTTTTGAAAAATCATGGTTAATAAGAGCAAAATTGATGATGTCAGTTTAAGAGAAATGTGAATAAAACACAGAAAAGAGGCTAAAAAAGAGGAAGATTAACAAGAAGCAAAATTGAAGTACTGTCAGAGGTGCTTGTGTGGTTTAAAAACACATGTTACCTATAATAAACAAGATTTGTCAAGTCTCAAATAAAAGAAACAAAATAGGGGTTTTGGTGTTTGTTAAAATACATTTCAAATTACCTTCCCCAGGCTGAGCTCTTCTCTCTCTCTGCCCAGGTTTCAGAGAGGCAGGGCGTGCTCTTCCTGGTCTCTGTTTCCCTTCTAATCAGGTGTTTCCACCTTGGTCTCCAGCTTCTAGTTAACCTTTACTTTCTAATTTGCAACTTCTTTTTTATGGCCCCCCACTTATGGGGCTACCAGCCTATATGTGTAAATATGATCACATACACATTAAGCTCTGATTCTCCCCCAAACCTTCCACCTGTCTTCACAGGTCTCCTGGGGATGTCCTGGAAAGTTGGTTCAACACAGCGTCTCTCTGCCAGTATCCCTATCTTTTCATTCTTTTCCTGCACACATGTTTGTGTGCCAAATGGATGCTCAGTACCAAAGCCCTCTTATGAAACTGGCCCTATTTTCCCATAGAACTGATGTTTATGGCTTTTTTGAAAAAAAAAAAAAAAAATAGAAATTGACCCTCCTGGTCTTAAAAGTTGAAACTTATGTTTGTCTTATCTGAGTTCCTTTCTCAGAAAGACCCTCAGTTCTCCCAGACGGTATCAAGGAACTGACACTCCTCTTCCTTACTTGTCCCTAATTCCTGTTTCCCTAACTGACCACCTGCTTTCAGTTGGCCACCTTTCCTTCCTTACCCTTTCTAATTCCTGTTTTCCCACACATAGTCACACTCCTTCCTTGCTGTATAAACTTTCAATTTTAGTCAGTTAGAGATACAGATTTGAGACTGATCTCTCATCTCCTTGGCTGCAGCACCCCAATAAAGCCTTCTTCCCTGGCAATACTCATAGTCTCAGTGACTGGCTTTCTGTGAGGTGAGGAACAAGCCCTAGACCAAACCCCTGGTGTTTCAGTAATACCTGGACTCCCTTCTGTGGATTTTCCTAGAGGGCAGCCTTTCCTTGTACAACTCCATGTTCCAAACATTGCTGACCCTGGGGCCAGAGGAACTGATATAAATAGAATAGGATGGAAAACACATCACAGGGATAAAGGAGAACCACTCGTTGAGTGTGTGAGTATCACATTGAGGGGGTTGGAAGACAGGGACAGCATTGGAATGAAGTAGTCAAAATTTGCCTTTGAGTCAAGCCTGCTATAGCCATGTCCTGTCCATGCTTCCTTCCTTTCATTTTCCTCCCTTTTTTCAAAAACCTTCTTCTGAACAGCAGTGACCTTTCCAATATGTGTTTGGAGGAAGCAAAAGAAAGAAAGGTGAAGGGAAATGGATGGGATTGCTCTCCACCTCACCCACCCCAGATCTCCTCCTAACCTATTAGGGTTCACCTCATGCAGGCATCAAGTTAAAGTCTGTTTGTGTTCTCACCAAAACTTGCCTTAGAAATGTATTTCCAGCAGCACACATGTACATCATTTCTCTGGATATTTAATTATAACTTACAGTTTCCTAATTGCATCTTAGAATGAGAGTTAATTCATGAATCCAAAACAAAACCAAATCCCCAAAAAACTATTCATCACAAGCAGCAGCAGCTTTCTGGTAAGGGAGAGGAGAAAACAGAGGCAGCTTCATGTGGGTATATGCTTAGGATCATTGTCATTTTATCCATTAAATTACACATTCCATTAATCTTTTAGGACATCTACTCTGTGGAAGTTGCTATATGGTTACTGTGGAGAAAAATACAAGATATTAATTCTCATGAGAGTTTATTTTCTAATAGAGGTGATTAAATATGTGTACAAACATATAATAATGATAAACAAGTGATGGTTACCTGATATATTATATTTGAAGACACTCTCTAACCTATAGTTCTATAAATACAGAAAGAAATATTCCTATTTATTAATTGAAGTTTAAGCATTACAAATCATGTGCTGAAAAGAAAGTTATCATTTCTGACTATTATGATTAGGAAAAATACTGAGGACAAAATGATATGTGAGTAGAGCTTTGAGTCACATATAGGATAAATATGGGGAGGATTTTGTGGGTGGAAGATGTTAAGAAGCCATCTCAGAAAAAAAGTTCAGTAATAAGACACTGAATATGTGTGTTGGGGGAGGTTTAATGTACATATAGGATACAGCGAGTTTGGAAAGAAATGAAATATTTTCAGAAACATCTCAAAGCAAGGATTGACTGGATATTTTAATGGACTCCTTGGAACAAGTAAAATAGAAGAAGTCAAGGAGAACTCCAATCATTTTATTATAGAAACTATTTAACCATTAGGAAGTCTGGGGATGTCAAAGGGAGAGCAGGCTCAGGGGAGAAACATGAACTAGGTCCCAGACATATAGAGCTGGAGCGGTTAGGGTGGGGCAGTAATATTCAAGAGACAATGATAATTTGGGAGAGATGTCAAGAAAATGTTAAGGCTGTTGATATAAAACAGGAAGTCACTTATGCTGTGGACTTATTTAAAACCATAAGATGAAGAATTCTGATAAAATACACGTAAAATAGTTGCAAAGTATAAAAGGATAAATCCTGGGGGAAGACTCCCAGTTAGAGAATGGGAGGAGGACAAACAGTAAGTACAGGAGAGACAAAAGAGTTTGGAAAGAGAAGGGAGACGAGAATCGTGCAATGCCCAGAAGTCAAAGGAGGAGCCACTTTCAGAAAGGTAGATAGTTTGCAGTGTCAAATGCTATAAAGAATAAAAACTGGATATGGTCTGAGAAAACAATGGGGGTTCACTGGTTTCTTTGAGTGAACAACTGCAGGCAAATGGTGTAGGGGAAGACAAACTACAGTGAGTTTACCAATGAATACAGAAGTGTAGCAGCATGTTCTGTTGGAAGTTCCATAACTCAAAGAAGGACTGAGTGTTCATTTTGAGGGGGCAGCAGATCTCAGAAAAGATTTTCTCAGGATCCACAAGCCCTAGGTGGAGGGGAATCTTTCCTTAAGAAATGAGAATTCAAGTTGCTACAGAATTTAAAGGGAATTGCCTTTAAAGAAAAATCAGAGAAAGACAAGTGTGAATGGAAATACAATTAGCTGTGGAGATACCACCTTTAGGAAAGAAGAGTGACTTACTTTTCTCTACCATAAGTGGAAGAAAAAAAAAGGAATGGTTGGATAGTGGGTAGATATGCGAAGGCAAAGTCCAGAGAGAAGGAAGATGAAGGAGCTCTATAAAGAGAAGGTGAGATCACTAGATGAGAATAGCAAAAGAAGGTGCAGAATGATGACATGAGTGCCACAGAGTGAAGTAAAGCACAATGAAATAAGCCACCTAAATTTGCATCCTATAGTGAGAAATGTTCGTAGTTTATTTCATTCTGATACCAGAATTTTGAGCCATGGAGGTCTATCCCAGATCCCTATTTAGAATAGTATTGAAAATATTCTTTCAGCTGCAACATTTTGAAAGTGGTAAAAAGAGTAACTAAAAATAATTGAGCTATTACCATAAATTTAGAATAATATACAACTTATTAGAGAGTTAACCTCAGGTTAATTAAGTACAATAAGGATACATGTTAAGATCTTGCTGTTAATTTTTAGCTAGTCCTCATAGTATTTGGTCAAGATTCTAAATGAAGTCTGTGGTAAAACCATGGATCCATTTCATTCTCATCTGGATTCCTAGTTTTGAGGCATTTAGAATTTGTTGACTTTCTTTGACATGTTTCTGTGCTCTGGTTCAATGAAGGTCTCCCCTAGGACCTTGGGCTCATCTTTGTCTTATTCACTTGTATAATTTTAGCTCATCATTTTCATGAATTTTGTTTCTAATAAAGTTCATTTTATTCAAATGTATTTGCAAAATCATTGCTGATTGGGGAGGAGAAAAACAAGATCAGACAGATGTCATCACATCCATATTACAGATGCTCCAGCTTATTCCAATGGTTAAGTTGTCGGACTTGGGCTGAAGCCCAAATCCTCAAGCGCCAGATACAGAGCCCCACCTATTGACCACTATCACATCCGTGCTCCTCCCATTAAGCATCACATAACCTCATCCATGAAATAAACAATCTATTAATTAAACTTCAATAAGAAAAAAGGGACTAAATCAATCCTCTCTGTGTGATTTCGAAACAATAAACTGGAAATTGAAAATTAAACCATTTTACTTTTTGTTTTAATCTTTAAAATGCTAACCAACTTAAACTATTTAGACATTAGAAAAACAATGAGTCAACTCAGTCACTTAATAAAATAATCTAGTTTCAACACAAATCATTCCACTGGACACTTGACTGAATTTTTCATTTTTTAACCAGCAGTCTTGTCTTTATGCAGCCTTAACTTCATACAGTCAAAGAGGAATTTTTTTAAAGCAATTCAGAAAATGCAAGACTAGTGCTAAGAACTGTGAAGGGGCTGAGATTGTCCCTTACTTATAAACTAACAAATTAGGCTGCCAGTTTCATGGAGTCTGCGGAAACCACGAGACTCCTGGGTCAGAGACAATGGAGTTTGTTGCTCATAACAACAGCAGTAGCCAGAGCATCAGCACTTCCTTGTGCAGGTTCCTTGGGGCCTAATAGGGTGATGCAAAAAGGGCCCGCAAATGTAGTGGGTTGTATTAAAAGAGAGAAACCTTGAGCTAAGGGGGTCCCAAATCATTTTAAATAATCACTAAGCTTGTCTGTCTTTATCTCTGGAGGATTTACTATCTCTATCTCCCTCCTAAAGCTGTTCTATACTCAAACATCCTTAAAAAGATAACCCAGAACAAAGTCAGTCTGTGTCTCTGCTTACAAGTCATGCAAAACCTTGAGAGACTCATGGAGAATTGTTTCTCAGCAGCTAGTGGGTCAATGTAAGTTTGAAATGATTCATTATTGATACCCAGATGCAAAGGGATGACCAAGATTTAGTAAAAATTATTAACCACAAGGTGGCTATGGATAAGTTGTGATTGTTGACTGTGTTACAAAAAAAGTGCATTGAAATAAACTGATATAAATACAATGTGAGTATAATAATTTTTCTAATAAAAAGTATTGAGAATAGTCCTGTTATTCTTCCCCAGCCTGACCTTAATTTAAAACTTCTCTTCAGTAAAACAAATCTATTAGAAAGATATCAAATGCTCCTTATTGAGAAACTGTCATGGTTCAGATTTCAATCAACTTTTTATTTAAATGGCTTCTGAATCCACTTAATTTAGTTTTAAAATAAATGTAAACTTCATTTTTACTATAAATTCTACATAAATCTCAAGCAAACAGCTTGTCATTCATGCTCAGACCTATAAAAACAGGTTCTTGTAAGTCCACCTACTAGAAAAAAATGATAAGTGTATTCTTTAAAATGGTTCTTTGTGAACTTTGTTTTCATTAGATTTTTAATAATAAAAAGGCCACTTGGTTCAGGACAGAGAAGTATAATAAATGCAGCACATTAAAACAAAATAAAACATACATTACCCAACTGTCTAATATTGAATCTTACAATTTATCAAGTTGACTCAAAATAATAAACTCCACCTTGAGAAATAAAATAAAATAAAATTGAACCTTTTCTGAAAGGAGAGCCATGTTGCTTATGGAACAGCCCACATTAATATAAACTGAGAAGAAAGGAAATGTGTAAAAGTTTAGAGCTGAAGGAATTTCTGCATGTGGGTATACTGCAAGTACATGTATTCTAGAACTAGCATAATATATTGTTAAAAGTAATGAAATCTGGGAATGTGTATTCAAATTATTAACTTTATGCACTCCATGAAGTATTTGAGCTTATTTAGTGAAACATATATCAGACAAGTTGGTTATTACTAACATGACCAAAAAAGGAATAATAAACAGGCTGTGTCTTGCATACACTCCATATGCATTATAAGTCTGTGGGTTTTATGATGCATAAGCTGTTCCTATCTTTGGAATATTCAATTTGAATGGGTAGATTAGACAGATACAGATACATGCACATGGAATGTTAGTGAATAAGGCCTTGCACATTAAGATAAATGCTGAATTAGTTCAGACAAAGACTACAGCAGTTTAGAGGAAGCCCTCAGAGCTGGGAAGGGCTAGAAAAGGCTTTAACAGATAGGAGATCAGAGGTATTACTCATTGCCCTCTCTTGTTACAAAACAAATGGGTTCCTGGGTTATATAAAGAAAGGTGAAGGCAGAAAGCCCTCAGTTCTAGTTGTCGTTTCACTGATAATTTTCAGACTAGTAATAAATGATGATCCTTTTAATGTTCTCATCTCAGCCTCATAAAGTTACTCAGTGTAAATGGGAAACTCATTAGAGTTACTGAAAGAAATATATATATTTTTTAATGACCATCGATTCAACTTCGTTAAAAGCAGGGAAGAATCTGTTTAGAATTTAGATAAAAGGAAAACATTCTAAAATTAAGTGAGAAGAACAGTAAAATTCTAACTGTCAAAAGTATACGCATGGAAAACCTAACCCACCTATTATGAATAAGTAAGAAGGAGCTGGAATAAGCATTAATGTAATGTAACTTCCCCTCCCCTCACCCACACATCCATTGGTATCCCATCCTCTTAATTGGTTGGTTGTGTTCACCACTTCCATTAGATATGAACAGTTAGGACAATTCTTATTCTTTCTTGTATAATAACAGAAGCGAGATCTAGGTAGCTTAATGTGGTTTGAGCCTGGGGTTAAATCAAGAAGAGACTGTGGCACCTGTAATATTAAAGTGACCTGCTTCTATGACTTTCAAAGAACACCAGAGCTACTAAAGCTGCCCCAGACAGACTTAACTAAACTGAACATTATAACTTCTTTCCATCACTTTGTTGATACCCACAACGATAGTAATTGGTTATAAGTATTAGTTATTTTGTAAGCTGTGCATTTTGTTCAATAAATTATGTCAATTTTTATAAGATAAATATTTATATACCATACATTTTTTTCATCAGCACATAATGTTTGTAATAAATGGGTTAGGTTTTCCATGCATATACTTTTGAGAGTCTTAGAATCCTGGAGAAAACAATATAATAATTTTAAATTCCTGCATTGGAAAGGGAGAAATTGATGAACAGTACCAAAAGTCAGTGAAGAGGAAGCTCAAGTTCTTGCCAATATGTGGTGCAAAAATGCTGTGGAGTTTTTGGTTAGTCAAGTCTCTCAAGCTAGCCTTTACATATTTCAGAAAAGCCAAGTGTTTTTTTCTCCCTAATTTTTCAACCCTGATGTATTTTTGGGGAAATTTGGTCCATATGTTTCTAATTCATTTATTCCAACTCATCAAATGTTGTTTTGTAAGACTATTCATTGCCCAAAGGTTTTCTAAACAGTCTTCCAAAGACCTCTAAGCTAGAAATGGGAATAAATGCAAGTGATACCCATTGCTAAACCTAAATTTTCTTGAACCCAGTGTTAATAGAAGACTAGCATCTATTTTTAAACTTGGCAAACGATAGACACCATTCAGCTGCTGACTCAGAGTGAAACAACAGTTAGCTGCATATTTGTGTAAATTGTGTATGCAAAAGTTTTTTGTTTTTAAAAAATCCATGGAAAAGGATTTAATTCTTAATAATAATGGAGAGAACAGCAACATATTTTACTTTTTCCTAAAACTTTCTCATAGCTATTATCACCGTTGCTCCTTATTATAATACCGTGGGATAGACAAGGTAGTTACACTCATCTGCATTGCACACTTGAAGTACTTGAGGCTCAGAGAAATCAAGTAATTTTCACCATATTGCATAGGGATGTCATGGAGGAAGAGGATCTGGGACTCAGTCCTCCTAGATCTAGACTTTTGTTTTTTGGGACAAACAATGACATCTATGTCTCTCTATGACTTACGCAGGGTGAGACCATATCCTGTTTCATGGTAGCGTGGATGACCCAGTGTACAGAGCTCAATGTGGGTCTCACTAAGGGTCTTGTTAGTGCCAGGGCCAGACGTGGTATGAGTTCCTTCTTCTAGATTATCTCTGACCCTAATATAGGGTGAGGCAGCCTTACTGACCGCTGAGTAAATACACATATATATTTACACATATCTAGGCATTTGATCTGATCTAATTTGGTCTAATCAACTTACAGATTTGTTGCAAAGATTATTGCAAATATTTATTGCAAAAATTAATGTAATATATTATATTATTAAAATAATTATGTCCATGATGGCACTTAATTCATAAAACATTGAAAAAAAGATGAATATTTAGTCATCTCTACTTTACAAATAAAAATATCTAAGGCATGGAGTTACTAAACTTTCTATATTAAGTCAAGGGGAGAGCTCAGATGTGCATTTTGTAGAATTTACTGAGATGAAGCAATGTTAGGTCTACCTTTAACATTAATCATGATGTTGATGATGAAAATGGGAATTACCACTTCTGTTTTTGTTTTTTTTTTGTACCATGTGCCAGGTACATGATCTCAATTAGTTATCACAAAAGATATTGAGGTGGATATTTTCACTCTAGTTTTTAAAGATGAAGAAACTGAGGCTCAGCAAGTTTAGATATTATATCAGTTAGGTCTCTATTAGCTGCAAGTAACAGATAACCAAACCCAAACTGACTTAAGCAACAACAGAATGTTTTGATACATGTAACTGAAAACCCCATGCATATAGCTGGCTTCATGTGTGGTTTCATGCAGGGTCACAAATAACATTATCGGAATTCAGGTTTTTTCCTATTTTTTATTTTATCTATTCTTGGCCTCATTCCCAAGTTTTATAAGGAGTTATACAGTAAGCAGTAGCTCTAGATATTTTCTTGCCTAAATGGAATGCATCTATCCCTGGTTGACATTAGTCCATATTGGATTAAATGTTTCTCCCTGACAAAATTCCTAAATTAGCCCTTTGGCTTCGGTCTAGGTTGCATGCTTGCCCTTGAAACTTGGGGTAGGGTAAGTTCCATCCAAACCACGTAAAATGAGAATGAGGAAGGAGTGGTCCCTCATCAAAATTTAGGTGAACTATTACCAAAATAATAATAAACACAAACAGATTCTTAGAGGCCAAATAACTACAAATGCCCACAGCAAGTAACATGCCCAAGATGAAACAGCTAGCATGTGGCAGAGCTGGAACTCACATGTGTGTCTTTTTAATTCTGAAATTTGTTCTCTAACCTTGGGGTTGGTGATTTTTTTCTGTAGTGAGTTAATAAGTATTTTAGATTCTGCAGGCCATAAGCTGTCTGTTGCAATACACAGTTTGGTCCTTGTTATGCAAAGGCAGTCATAGACAACACAGAAACAAATAGGCATGGCTGTGTTCCGATGAAACTTCATTTACAAACACAGGTGAAGAGCCAGCTTTTGTGTGCTATGGTTTACTGATTCCTTCACCCCACTTTTAGTAATTTTGATCAGCCACAGTCTTCACATACAGAACAGAAATGGAACAGCCTCTTTGATGTGAGTAGTTGGAAAATATTTCCTAGATGAAGTACACCAGCCCATAGCTAGTGACCAGTCAAGGTGGAGTCTACTTACTTGCAAATCTCCCATGTGCTCCTGCTTTAATCAAATGAAATACAAGAAACAGAATGTATTCAAAGAGAATATTTGTTTTATGGGTTACACTATGTGTTTTATGTTCTACACTGTGTAGATATTTTCTATATCACAATATTACTATAAACCTTCTTCAGATGTTCTTATTCCCTGAATAATTTAACATCAATTTGACAATCTTTGTGCTAGATGGAATAATAGCCCTCCAAAAGATGTCTGTGTCATAATCCCCAGAACCTCTGAGTAAGTTATCTTGTATGTAAAAGGGATTTTGTATATGTGATTAAGTTAAAGATCTTAAACAAGAGAGATAATCCTGGTTGATCAGAGTGGATCCAATGCCCAATGTAATCACGAGATTTCTTAGAAAAGAGAGGCAGGATATTCAGAAGTTAAGGAGGAGAAGACAATGAGAAGATAAAAGCAGAGAATGATGTAATGCAGTCACAGGCCAAGGAATGCTAGCACCCTCTAAAAACTGGGAGAGGTAAGAAACAGGCTCCCCTGGAGCCTTCAGAAAAAACAGCCCCGCTGACAACCTGATTCCAGCCCAGTAGAACTCATTTCTTGTGATGTCATAAGTCATTAAATTTATGGTAATTTTGAAAGCAGACCTAGGAAAATAATACAGTCCTATATCTCAAAATAATATTGAGGCAGATTTCTTTTACTCTACTGAATTCAGTAGTGAAAGCACAATTAAGAAAAAAGAAACATTGCTTTCCATTTCCCAAGCTGATTGGTTATAGGTAGGTTGCACATTGCCATGAGAAAATAACATTTATGGACACTTTGATATCATTACCTCCAACAATGATTTTATGGCAATACTAGTTGTAGGAATAATAATAGTAGAAATGGCAAGTAAATTGGCTAAGGCATGTAAAGGACTTTGTACTTTTGCTGGCCCAAGGAACTCAGAAAATAGTAACAATTGTTATTATCAATAGTTGCAGTGTTCCCAATGGCAACAGTGTTGGTATTGGTATCACTGCTAGTAAAAAAAGTCACCATTTTTGAGTGCATAACATATCCCAGGTACTGTCTTAAGTATTTTTTACTCATTATCTATTTTAATCCTCACATAACACAATAAAATAGGTGTCATTATCTTGGTGAATGAAGAATGTGAATCTCTGGGAGATTAAATTATTTCCCCAATATATCATGACAAGTAAGTAGTAACAGTAGAATTAATTAAACCTTGGTATGCTCACTAATAAAATTCAGGCTTTTTGCAACAACTCAATTTTGAAGCCATCATCCCTGTGCCTCCAAAATTAGCTGGTGTAGCTAATAGAACTCTTGGTTGAGAGAAACTATATCCTTGATAAAAGGGGATATCATGGGACATCAAAGATACACTTTGTTGATGTAACACCTGTGCCAAGAGTTTTTTGTCAACACTGTTTGTGAGCAATGTTGTCAAAATGTTCTCTAGGTGACCAAACAGAAAGACATTCGACCTCTGCTGAGAATGTCTTTCTGTTTGGTCACCTAGAGAACACCCAGGTATTATTTAATGTGATAATCAGGCATCACTTGCTCTGTGAAGCCTTTCTTGACATCACCTTTTCTTGACTTCACTCTTCTATGCCCCTGCTCAAATATTTTTCTTATTAGGGTCTGTCCACAACTTACTTCGTTGTGCTAATTGGGTTTGTATCTGTCTCTCTCATAAGCTTTGTGATATCAACAAACCTGTTTATTGGCAACTGTGTATCCAGTTGTAGCACAATTCTGGGCGCATTAAAGTGTTCAGTGGATATTTAGTGATGAAGATACAAGTGAATAAATAATATGTAAATGAATAGATTAATGAATTATTTTACCATGAAGGAGCAAGGAGAGTTCTCATTCTAGAGGGAAGAGTTTTTAGTGCAGTTTTTTAAAAAATTTTATTCTGCAACACAACTACCTAAATAAGAATACAATATAAACCCCATTTTTTCTCTTACCAAATTACTGTTTCTAATTACATATCGCACTTTATGTTTCTTATAAATTCTAATGTTTTTTTTTCAGCTAAGTTAAAATGAAAGTTAAGCTTATGTGTATGTGAAGATATACCCCAGAAAAATTACATATAAATGAGAAAATGCTGTGTTCTAAAATCTGGAATATGATGCCTTTTTGAAGTAGGTCCTGATTCTTTCACTTTTGTAGTTAACTTAATAAGTAATTCAGCAGTTCTTACCCTGAAAAATATACAGAAGTGGTAACTTGAACCAATGAAATGAGTGTGAACAGGAGGGGATAGTATCGATGGAATTGATTCAAGATACACAAATACAGGTGGTAATTGAAAATAGAGCTGAGAAAACAAAATATGAGACCTAAACTAATAAAAAATTCTTCTGCTCAGTTCTCTATTAATGTAAAAATGTAGTTGGATGAAGAAAATTTGACTTGATTTATGAGAGTTTTCTGTATATGGAGGAAATGTTTTGAGAAGTGGGTTTGGAAAGAAGGTAGATGTGGTAGAGCAGAACCATGAGTGCAAGTATGGGAAAGAAGAAATTTGGGAGCACAAACAAGCATGGTAAAAATTTGGAAAACCATGCTATAAAATATACAAATTCTCCTTTTCATTTATTAGGTTTTCTGTGCCTTCCATGTTACCAAGAATGCTTTTGTGAGTGGAGTATTGGTAGGTTAATACAACAAGAGTTTAAAAGTCTAAGGTAAGGTATGCAGAGGAATAAAAAATAGTCTTCACACAGAAATGGCTAGCATAATAATAATAAGTACACAATACAAAACTTTAAGTTTTTGATTTATTCATTCTAAAAACAATTACTGGGAATCTATTTCATACTAAGGATTATATTAGATGCCGGATAAAATAGATACAAATTTTACAATTATTTCTTTATCAAAACTCAGCCATGGTGTAAAAAGTTGTTATACAAAATGCCATGCAAATGCAGATTAAACACACACACACACACACACACACACACACACACCCCTCTTCATTATGATTGGGTCAGAAAGCTGTCATTTATGCTGGAAAAGTAGGGATTTCACTGAAAGAAAAAAGGAAAATGTATTCTAGATATAGAAGAAAAAGTGGTCAATGGCCCAGGGTCATAAAAATTGGCAGAGTATTAGGGGAGGGCAAATAATCCTACAACATTAGAAGATTAAAGTATAAATGGGGAGCAGAATTGCAGTGGGAGATGAGACTGATGATCAAAGCAGTCCAACAAATTGATCAGATATTATTCTCAGTTATATCAGAAAAGAAACTCAGAGTTAAGAGGGTTGCTCAAAGTCACAAGGTTGATATAATTAAGAAATGTATTCTCTCTCCTTTTTCAAGGTTCTTTCTATTATAGTAATGTTTTCAAAACCATGATCAAAGAAGCCTTGGGATTCTATGATAGAGTTTCAGGAGCTACAAGGGAAGGTGAAGGGGAAACTGAATAAACAAGGAAGGCTTCATTTGAAGTCTTTAAATAATAGACATTTTACATTAGAAATGTTTGAAAAATGTTTTCCATCATAAAGTTGAGAGACATTGCCCTATGTCAATCTTTCTCAAGTCAATCTCATGGTTTCAAAATTAGATTGCAAAAGAATTAATAATATTACCATAAACAGAAAGAGGGCAAGTTGGCAGCTGTCTCCTGGACAAGGTGCTAGCTGGTGACATATGAGAAAGGCTGATTCAGCTGGACAGTGAGACATAGCTTAGTAAGTAGAGCTAGAATCCATTCAGGATACTATAAGAAGAAAAGCTAGACCTGAGAACGAGCTGAAGGATCAGTGATACCTAGGAGTTTTGCCTTGCTGAATAATCTGTCCTAAAACTTGTTCTTTCTGTAATTTTAAAAATTCTTATTTCTCTTATAAACATTTCTTTTAAGAACTTCAATTATCTCTTTATGTCTAAGAGAAAATCTTTCTCTTGGGTTAATAGAGAAAGGGGTTGGAAAAAGAAGGCCTACTCCAGAATGAGAGGAAGGTAGTGACCTTCCAGTTTGAGATCGGGAGCATTGGTGACACAGAAATGGAGCCCTAGACATGCAACCACCCTTACCTCTGTTCTAATATGCTTCTAAGTGCTGCCATGTATGACTGTACAAGCTGCCTACTGTGCAACTCCTGAGAGTACTATTTACATAGACTGTGATGTTAAAGGAGCTTCTTGGAATGGAGCAATGTGGGAATATTGCTATGGTAGCCAGAGTAATGGATCTTCCAAAGACATCAGTGTCCTAGTTCCTGGAATATGGGACTTTGTTGTGTTATATGGCAAAGTGAAATTAAAGTTTCAGATGGAATAAAGATTGCTAGTTAGTCATCCTTGAAATAGGGAGATTATTTTGGATTATACGAAGGGTCCCAGTCTAATCACACGTACCCTTGGCAGGGTGAGAAAATGAGACAGAAGTAGAGAAAGGATCAACTTGAAGTGTAAGAGGGACATGACCAGTCATTGCTAGCTTTGAAGATGAAAGAAGAGAGTCATAGCCAAGGAATTCAAATGGCCTTTAAAAGTGGGGAACAGCTCTTAGTTTACAGCCAGCTAGAAAACTGGGACCTAGTTTCTATACTCACAAGGTACTGAATTCTGCCAACAGCTTGAATAAACAAGAAATGGATTCTCCCCCAGAGCCTCTGATAGGTGGTAATCCTTCCATCTGGTTTAATTTGGGGGGGGGGGGCAGAAAATCAGCTAATACATTAATTTATTGAACCCCTTTCTTTAGATAATCTATCTATAGGTTTTATGCTTTAAAAAAAAACATTTAGTTGCAAAAGAATAAACTAACTCTTCTCCAAACTCATGCAGTAATAAGAAATAAGTCTTCTCTTCATCATTTTTACCAATATTCTGTGCAATAAAAGTACCATATTCCATAGAAACAATGACTCAAAATGGCAAAATGATAAAGGCCAAATAAGAATTCTTTTAGAGAAATTCCAATGAGAAGTTGTTTCAATGATCTATTGCTGCATATAAAACTACCCCAAAACTTAGTGGCTTAAAACAGTAACAATTTCATTATTTTTCAGAATTCTGTAGATCAGGAAGTCAGAAGCAACACAGCAGGGATTACTCATCTCTGCTTCATATGATATCTTCTGGGGCTGAAGAAGGCAAGATGGTCTCTTCACTCATATATCTGGCAACTCACCTGGGATGGTTTGAACAAACAGGGGTTGACTAAAACAACTCAACTAGTGTTACGTGTCTGGGGTCCAGGATCCTGCTGTTGGCTGGGCTCTTCAATTATCCTCCAGGTATCCTCTCCCTTATCCCACATCCCCAGCTCCACCTTGTCTTTTCATGTGGTGTCTCCAGCAGGGTAACCTGACTGCTTGAATGGTAGGTGGGTTTCAAGAAAGAGGGAGCAGAAGCTGCCAGTTTTCTTAAAGTCTAAGTGTGAAATGACACAACATCACTTCTGCTTCAGTCTTTTCCTTACACAAATTTACAAATCTCTGTAAAATTCTTCCTTTTCCATCTTAGTGAACCTCGGGCTAGTGTTACCACAAATAGTAACTATTAGCATTCTATGCAACCTAGCATTAATTAACAAAGATTCAGAATTCCACTGTGAAATCCCTTAGTAATGCCCCAGAAGCGGTGAGACTCTCACATGATAGCAAGGTGCAGGTAAAAGTCAAGGGAAAGATGTTGTGTGGCCTTCTTCATTACCCACAAAATTGTACCTCTCCAACGCACCACTAGCAGCTCCTTGAGTTACGGCTACAGACTGCTTTTCACCCTACTTGACATTTGACAGTGTGATAGATTGGATTGTTGGCTCCAATACCTAATCTCTCATTGTGTCCGGCCCTTGGCCTTAAGACTTTGTGGTTCTTCCCACTAGAAGTGGAGTGTACTTTATCTGTCCTTGACTTTAGACTCTTGCTTTGGCAACGGCATGTGTGCATAAATGACAGTTGCCAGTTTGGCAAATAGGCATTAGCATTGTTTGTTTTCATTTCCTCTCTTATGCTTCTGCTATTACCATGAGTTAAGTCCTGGCTGGTCCACCAGTCCAAAGAAGATGAGAAATATATAAAGTGGACCCAGTTTTAACACAAAAACGGAGCATTGCTTAGTGAAGACCAACCTGGATCAGCCAACCTCCACCTAATCTGCAGATGTGTGAATGAGAGTAATTGTTGTTTTAAGCTACTGAGTTTGGAATGGCTTATTATGCGACATTATTGTGGTAATAATTGTCTAATACACGTGGCAATACTAAATCACAACAGGAAAGTTTTTCTGTGACTTCAAGCAATGGTTGTCATGATGAAATCTGGGAGTCATAAAATCAAAGAGATCTAACCACCTAGCCAATGCCTGAGATATCTATATTACCAAGTGTTTTTCAAATCTGCCAGACTCAGTGAATTCCCAGCTTTACGGTATACTGGCAAGAGCACAAATGACAAGCCAGAAGGATGAGAAGAACATTTAATAGATGTGTTGAATCATACCTTTACATGATAGAAACTAGCTGAGAAGCCTTTACAACAGCAGGAATACTAGCCAGATTTCTGCCAGTTGCTAATATGTGACTTTGAGCAGATTTCAAAGCCAAGAGGTAGAAACAGAAACTGTGCATTATATAAACAAGGCTTGTTACCTCAGACCCAAAGAGAGCCTTGGTCAAACAACAGTCAATCAATAGTCTTCTCAGCAGGTGGATCACAGATTCATGGTGACAGATGCGAACGCAAAGAATGAGGACATACAGCTTTTATGAGACAAACATGCATATTGCTGGTCAAAGCCAATAATCTCCCTCTCTCTCAACTGTGGAGTAAGTGAAAACATTTTGATTTGGATAAAAGCAATTATTTTGTTGAATGTATTTAGAAGTACGTGTTTATAGGTGCCTTCTTTTTAGCTTAGCATACAATTGAATCAGACATTAGTTGATATTTTTAATATATCAATCATATAAAAGCATTGCTATCTACATGGAAGACAAAATAAGAATTAGTTTGAAATGTAACTTAGGTTCAACACAGAGGCCTTAAAAAGAGCTCACAATTTGATTTAAACTTTTGCTCTAGAAGCAATTAGCATCTAGACAATTAATGTGAAAATTACAGTTTCATTCATTGTCACACAGAAGATGATTATTTCATAAAGCTGAGTCTCTGTTTGGATTTAAAATATTTTTTGCTTGTAGAGCAGCATTAAATATATTGTCTGCAGTATCTCACCCTTATTCTATAGGTTATGTCAACATGAAATTCCTGAAAGTAATGTCAATGAAACATGAAATTAATTTTCTGTGGCTTACTAGCTTTTGCCAAAACAGCAGTCATTTCTTTAAAGTGGTTACTTAAAATGCAGCTATGCTCTGTCTATGGAAAGTTTAATTTTTTTTAGGACTTTGTCCTTTTATGATTACTCCTCACATGACTGAAGGATATCAAAACTCACATGCTTTTGTGACACTTGGTGCCTGAGAGATCTGTAAGCCCATTCCCCAGTGAGGATCTACAGTAAATTTTAACATTTATCTGCTGTCCTCTGCTATATAAATGGCAACTTAGTGCTTTTTATGAAGAAAGAAAGAAGGTCAAAAGATACAGTCATAAATCAGAGGGGGTGGGGGCGAGGAGGAGATTACCAAAATGCTTTGGAGGGAGACAGTTATCCTACTTGAACGCCACAGGTTCTAGAGTTTCCTGCAGCAGTCACAGCCTTTGAAACTCAAGTTCTTTCTATATGCTGTCATAGCTGACCGAGAGAAAGAAAATTGTTCATTGCATTTCCTCTTAAGACCAATCACTTCCTCTCACTCCCATTAAGCATTGTCAGAGTTGGTTGGAGAAAAATGGGTATCACCCCAATTTCAGCAATGAAGGCTCACCGGGCATTCCAGAGAAAACCCACTCATGCCTTCTTTGAAATGCATAATAAAAAGACAAAATAGACACGGCTATTTAGAATGCTTCATTTACTCAAGAAGGAAAGGATTTGTCCACATCTAAAATTTTTTGCATACCTATTTGATTAATGACTTCACAGTTGGGACCCTGGTGAAATGTTTAAGCCAGAAAGAAGGTTCCCAAGAATCTTACACTGTAAGGCATGATTGTCATTGCTAAACGTATGACAAATATTAGGTCAGGATGGAAAAAATCATATTTTATAATTCACGAATCAAAGAGCATTTATTAAGGATACAGTATGATTCAGGTATCATGTTAAGACTTTTCATATTTATGATTTTATTTATTTATCCCTTTGTCCTCATTATAAGGACAGTTCTCTTTTCATTAAGTAGAGTTAAGGAACATTCTGAGGTTACTGCTTCTAAGTGTCAAACCGAGACCAGTACTTAGACATTTTTATCCAATTACAGGTTATGGCAATGGTCAGATCAAATAATTAAGACTAATTTGAAAAGTGTTGAACTACAAAAATGGAGAAGGAACAGAAAAAAAAGAGAATAAAAGAATATTTACATTAATAAATTTACCAAATAACTTCTGCTTTGCTCCAAAAAGGATTGAAAGTTACTTATGAAAACCCCTGTGGTATAAGAAATAAAATAAATTCATTATTAGCAAGAAAAAAAGTTAATAAGGATAGAAAACAAGACACTTATTCATGAATAAAAACATTAAACATAGAACTAGTTTTGCAATTTTAGTCAATCCCAGGTATTCAAACTTAGAATGGTGGAAAGAAGAAAATAATTGCAACAAAAGTACTTTTTGTGTTGGCAAATGATGACATTAGCACTAGTAGTACAAGTGTAATTTTATAATTTTGGTTGAGGTTTCTGGCTTATTGATATAGATACTGTATATAATTTTGATTGAGGTTTATTAATGTGGCTTATTTATATAGATATTGTGCCCCAAGGTAAGGGTGGTTCCATTTGTGAGCGTGTGTATATGATAATTTATTTCTATATCAAGTATCAAAGAAAATGTGTGAGATATCAGTTATGATCTGAATGATGACTCTATCAGACAAAAGAAAAAATCCACAACTGGCCAGTATTAATGAAAAGAAATTGACAATTCTTCTGGTGTGTAGGATAATGGTGGGCACAAAGAGAAGGGAATTCTATTGAATCTTAGATCAGAATGTAGAACAACCAGGTCTAGACTGAAGGCTTACTATCATGTAGAAAGAAAATCATTCACGAAGGGTACATCACCTAGGAAGGCATGGTAACTGCAAGAACAGCTTAGGAAATTTTTCCTAGTCAGAAAGAAAAAGTGCCAAGAAAACTGGATCAGAGAGATGTGCATGAGTGAGAAACCGGAAGTATCGCCAACCCAGATGTCAGAAACTGGAGCTCAGTTTTCATGTAAGAAAGAAGCCAACAAGAGGTATGTTTCCTCAGTTGAACAAGGAAATATACAGAAAAAGTTCAAGTTGGTCTGGGTTAGAGAAGTAAGGACATTTGGGGCAAAACATGACATGTGTAAGCAAACCTTTAGATACAGACAGCAGGAAGTATAGGATAAATATTCTCGTCTTGAAAGAACAGTTTTTAGTTTAAAAATCAATTTTCCTATGTATTAGTCCATTTTCAATGTTGCTGATAAAGACATACCCAAGACTGGGTAATTTATAAAGGAAAGAGGTTTAATGGACTCAGTTTCACGTGGCTGGGGAGGTCTCAAAATCATGGTGGAAGATGAAAGGCACATCTTACATGGTGGCAGGCAAAGAGAGAATGAGAACCAAGTGAAAGGGGTTTCCCCTTATAAAACCATCAGATCTCAAGAGACGTATTTACTACTAAGAGAATAGTATGGGGAAAACTGACCCCATTATTCAATTACCTCCCATGTGGGAATTGTGGGAGCTACAGTTCAAGATGAGATTTCAGTGGGGACACAGCCAAACTATATCACACTATTCCTAGGGAATGATTATAGGGATCATCAACAACAGAATAGTTTCTTTGTTTGGTCCATTTGTCACACTAAGTCAAATAAAATTGCTGATCAGATGAAATCCACTGCCACTACCTCTCGTTCCCCTCCAAGCACCCAGTATCCCATTACTGCCTCCTGATGTTCTGAGCTGCTCCCCCATCTTCATGTGCTTCATTTCTTCAGGACCTCAATTGCCTCGCCATTTCAAATTCTTCTTGTCTTCATTTGCCTAGTCAGTGTTCTTCAACTCACTCTCAGCCTTGCAGACTGCTTGGGCCAGTAGAATACATGAGCAATTAAAGCGAGTTGTGCTGCACCCTCTAACAGCTGGGGGTGGCTAAAGCTTTTCTGCAGCTCTCCACCATAACCCCATTCCACCCAGCCCTGAGGAGGAGAAGCAGTGATGTTGGTGAAGTCAAGGCTGGCTAATGGAGAGCACATCAGTAGAAGGTGTACGATTATGGAAAACTCCTCTGCCTCCTGCTGTTTTTTTGTTTGTTTGTTTTTGTTTTTTGAGACGGGGTCTAGCTCTGTCATGAGGTGGTGTGCAGTGGTGCTATCTTGGCTCACTGCCATCTCCGCCTAATGGGTTCAAGCGATTCCCCCGCCTCAGCCTCCTGAGTAGTTGGGATTACAGGCGTGAGCCACTGCGCCCGGCCCCTGCTGTTGTTTACTGTGCTTTCTTTGCTGGCGACTTCTCAGCATTTTTCTCTTTGGGCTTTGGTTCTCCTTTTACATATTCTGTGCAGATTGTCTATTTTCTTCTTTTTCTTCCCCATAGGCTGATGCAATCCCATGCCGCAACCTGTTTGGTATCCAGAGGAAAACAGACATGGAATGAGAGGCTTAGGGGGAGCAAGAGACACTTTTTCCCCTTGACACTTTTTAAAAGGCTCCTCTTTCTTTAGCTTCTCACTGTCAAATTGATAAGACTTCAGGATTTAAGTTACTAGGGTCCACACTACAGGAAAGGCGCCAAGGAGGCTACTTAATCTAATTTGAATCAAATAGGTAGAAGGAATTTTCTTGTTGATACGGGGCCTTAGGCCACTACCCCGAGTCAAGAATCCCAGAAGGGAATTGGGGATCATGTCCTATATAGTAATAACCTCCACTGGAATTATAATAGACAACAGATACAGAATGAAGATTCAGGGTCCCAGCCATCTTTCCACCTCCTTCCTGGAGGCACAAACTAATATGACATTAAGCCCTGCCAGTATTGCAATTTTCATTCTAACCTTAAGAAAATTCTTGTGGCTGTTTAGAGACCTTTTCATTCAATGCCCCCCCACCCCCCAACCCCCCACCCACCAAAAACAAAAAACCCTCACGAACTAACAAAATGGAAATTTCAGGTTAGTAGGATCAAGATTTGGGAGTCAAAAAGCCTTTAAGGCTGGGCGTGGTGGCTCACCCCTGTAATCCCAATATTTTGAGAGGCCGAGGCAGGCGGGTCACCTGAGGTCAGGAGTTTGAGACCAGCCTGGCTAACATGGTGAAACCCCGCCTCTACTATAAATACAAAAATTAGCAGGGCATAGTGGTGGGTGCCTGTAATCCCAGCTACTCGGGAGGCTGAGGCAGGGAGAATCACTTGAACCCAGGAGGTGGAGGTTGTAGTAAGCTGAGATGAAAATCCTTTAAACCTCCCAAATTGCATCATTTAGGTGATTCCTACTTTACCTACAAATAACACCAATCCTGGATGGACATACCTTTAGGATTGTGTCATTTCTTATATTTCCCCCAAATTCTATAATCCCAAACTTCTTACAGGATTGGTCAGAAGATATGGAAACAATCACCAATGAGAGCCAACACCTCTGCTAAAACTGAGTGGATTAACAATATGTGCTAAGTGGGCTGAGGACATGACTGATTTAATTCACTCAATTAAATCAGAATTCATTCTGTTTCTCACAGGGGAAGGTGAGGTGAGAAGTGAAGTGATGAAGGAAAAAATATGTATGTGGGTGCTTAATTGACTTGTACTCATTTACAAGCTACAACCCATTGTCTTTATTCTTTTCATATGTTTTGAAACTCTTAGAAATTCTCAGAGGAACAAAGTCATATAAGTGTAAAACCATGATGATAGAGTATTGCTATTTCCCACTACTATTAAGTCTACTATAGTGGTCTTCATGAGTCAAGAAAGGGACGGTGCCATTTTTCTTTGCATGGAAATTTTCAAAACATCAGGGAAGGGGTGGTTTAGACAATGTCTCAAAATTTCTTTTTCAGGAGCTACGACTTAACAATGTTGTAGCGAAGGGGAAAGAAGAAGGGGTGGGTATAGGGAGTGAGTGAATCTATATGACAAATCTTGTAGTACAAGTGTTTGTGGTTAACTGAGAAACGCATTATGAGTCAAGCCTTTGGAAAGAGGTGAGTAATTAAAGACAAATGCTATGACATAATCATTTACACGCAGCAGAAAGATTTTAGATTAAATCTGGCCTGACCCACTGCTCGGCAAGTGTTATCATGGATTCTTGAGAGGTATTCATTTATTTACTTTCTAATTTGGCCCATATGTTTTTTTGAAAACAAAGAAGTTTATATTTCCCATAGGAACTAGCCTCAGTCTAGTGATGGTTAAGAAGGTTGGTGTATTTGGGAACACACAGATCTCCTGTGTGCACCATCAAACCCAATGAACAGCATGTCAGCTTGAAAACACCTTATTTGAAAAAAGCCAAGGAGCTTTGCTATAGCACTTTTACTGGAATACATTCTGTATTTAAGGCGGTTACTCTATGCACATTTAGATGACTCAGTGAAACATCAGTTAGAGCAATAACTTGCCACAATAACAAAAATCATATGTACTGACTTTTACTTTGCAACTCTTCAACCTGACCTCAACACACACTCACCAACACACACATACACACACACTATTTGGCTTCATCCTGTATTTCACTCACCATCCATGTCAATCTGATGTCAAGAAACCAGTTTTTGAAGCAAGAGGCAGATTTAGCCTTCTTCCTTCCTTAATCCTAACACTATAATACAAAACATGCTATGTAACTCCAGGAGATGGCTTCATGGTTATCCAATTCCTATTAAATTTTAGCTGCTGCCTTTATTAAATGCAGGAAACACGAGTGCAGAGGGGGAAGGGATAAGAGAGAGGGGCCGAGTCACTACCTTTTGTTCTTTATATTTGGATAGATGTGGAATTGTTAAGGTCAGGCTTTCTGCAGAGTGAAAGGATAGTAAGTACTGTTTGCAGAGCTGACCCAGTTCCTCCAGGCATTTCAGAACATTCTATGAAGGAGCTATACACTCGTCTTTGGAGAAAAGGAGAACTCGTGGTCACACTTATCCCTCCAAAAAGAATGAAGCTTAAAATTCAGGGCCTTTAACCCATAAGTTACAGAGTGAGAATTAAGAATCAGAAACTGGCATCTAGTTTCTTTTCAGGATAATTCTTTCCTAGTAACAACCATCTGGTCACATTCTGTTTTCTTGTAGGGTAAAGAATAAATGCACACTGCAGGAAAAAGGGGCCTTACAGTGGGTAAGAAAGAACCACCATTTGGGAACAGTACCAGAGAGAAACGCACATTTAGACTGGGTAGTGAAGAGAGCATCGGCTTACTAGTCAGTTACCATGTTCCTGGGAGCTTTGATGATCTGCCAAAACATGACAGATGTTCAGAAAGGTAAGGAGACTCAAGTCACTGCCTTTTAATTATTACTATATGGGTGGTTATGGGTGTGTGTTTTAGTATATATGCATGTGTGTGTATATTTCTTTCTCAGTGTTGATAGTATATTTCCATAAATATTGTTATACTGGGGAGATTAAAGCAACTGCAGGAATCCACTGTACTTTTTTCTAAGGTTTTTATTATTGTTTTTGCCTTTGCCCTCTTCCCTTCTAAACTGCCTCGGTTATTATTCAGGCTTATACTATACATTGTTGAACAAATGCCAGCTCTATGGAAACCACAGTTCTCCCTGTCCATGGGTCACTTTGGTACATGTTTCATTTGGAGCAGCCGTAACAGAGCCCAGCTTCAAAGGAGAGAGCTCACAACAGACGTGGGCAGGAATTTCATTATGCCACATGTGACAGGCAGGCTGCTCTGCCCATTTCAGCAATCAACAACCTTGTGGGGCACAGACAGATGAGAAGGGATACCCTACTGCTTCCCTATTTGGCTCAGCCCCTTCCTCCCTAACCTCTTTCAAACTCACCTAATGAAGGCCACATAATGAGACTTCCCTGAGAAACCAGGACTATTGACAGGAAGTCTTTACAAGGGTCTGAATCCACCCACCTCTCATTTTTCTTCCTCTTCATGAGGTCTTTTTTTCCTAGTTCATGTTAGTTTATATTTTCAGTATACTTTCAATTCCATAACTGACCTAACCTTTCCATGTGGTTGCACCTGCAGCTTTTGAAATGTGCATATGGTGACTTTTCCCCAAATGTCGCTGCATCTCAGGGAAGGGCAATTAGTTCCCATGGTTGTCCCGCTGTTTATACATTTAACAGTTCAGTTAGGTCTTGAATTGTTTAGCTAAATAGTTGTGCTTGCTTATAGAAATTAATGAACAAAACAAGGACTGGATTTCACAAGTATCTTTGAACTTCAAGTCTTGCATTTCACACCAGGAAGCCAATTTCCCACAGAACTTTCCTATTTCAACATGTAGAAACAAAGGGAAAAGCATCGCTTAAACAAACTGGCATTTAGAATCCAGCCTTAAAATCTAAAACTGAAACTAACTTAAGATTTTCTAATTTCCCTTTACTGCAGTATTTAAGCATTCAATTTTTACTTTGAACACACATTGATGCTCATGAAAGAACAGGAACAACAGAGGACTGAAAAACTGGGACAGAAAATGGGCTAAGTGAGGAAGTGAAAACACATAGGAATCTTAACCCTTCTGATTTCTTTGTTCTTAGCATCGCACAATTTAAGCTCAGAGATGACCTGTGTAAGTTATCACCTTCTTTACTTCTTAGAAGTTTCAAGTAAACAATTTCTCCTTTTTTGTTTGACTTCTGGAAGAATGCCTAAAAGCATTCAAGATATAACAATAGTTCCCAAGAAAGAAAAAATACATTTCATTATTTATATTCTATAAAATATAGAATATGTTTTATATGAGTTATCTGGTTCCAAAATCACTGTGCCTGAGTTTAATGCTTCACTAAATTGTTCGCCTCATTGTCTTCCAGAATGAATTTACTTTTGACTATTATAAACACCATGTTTATCTGTGCAAGCCAGTATATTAATCACACTGCTGCAGCTCCTACATCCCTTTTAATTAGTGTGGATACATTTATCAACTGAGCAAATGAGAGAGCTGAGAGGTTGCGTTTTAGAGTGAGCTTAAATGACAAGTATATTATAGGCAGGTTGTGTAAGCTCTGATTTTTGGGGTTTCCCAGGCAGTGATGATAAACCTGGCCATAATTGTACTGAGGGAAGTTATAAGACATTGAGGAGGTTCTAACAATGAAAACTGAAGTGAAGAATTTAGGGAAATGCCTTCTTCACAAATATTTCTAAGCCAGTTCTTGATATTCCATAAAATAAAACTAAATATAGGTGTGCTAAATATAGATGAAACTGTGCCTCCATTATGTTCCAGATTTTGTCTAGTTTTATCCAAAGCATTGGGACTCAAGTTCAGCAAGAAATTGTGCTTCCAGTTTCCAAAACTTCAAATATTTTCAGAACTGCTGCTTTGGTCTAGGGTATATTACCCAGTAAAAAAGGGTGTGCCGTTCTGTCACTCTTACTTCCCATTGTAGTTTTCTCTTTTCCTCCTCCTTATGTCTTGAAACAAATCTTAACTTTTATTCCTGGTAAATTCCAAGGAATAGCCCAAGAACCAATCTTGAGAACTTGTCAAACAAATCTGGTTTATGCTATCACTACCTCCTTATTTTGATGGTGCCACTGACCATTTTGGGGTCTTCATGCTACTAAAATGATCCCTTCCTTACACCTTTTACAAAAATTAATTCAAGATGGATTAAAGACTTAAATGTTAGACCTAAAACCATAAAAACTCTAAAAGAAAACCTAGGCAATACCATTCAGGACATAGACATGGGCAAGGACTTCATGTCTAAAACACCAAAAGCAATGGCAACAAAAGCCAAAACTGACAAATGAGATCTAATTAAACTAAAGAGCTTCTGCACAGCAGAAGAAACTACCATCAGAGTGAACAGGCAGCCTACAGAATGGGAGAAAATTTTTGCAATCTACCCATCTGACAAAGGGCTAATATCCAGAATCGACAAAGAATTTAAACAAATTTACAAGAAAAAATCAAACAACCCCATCAAAAAGTGGGTGAAGGATATGAACAGACACTTCTCAAAAGAAGACATTTATGCAGCCAACAGACACATGAAAAACTGCTCCTCATCACTGACCATCACAGAAATGCAAATCAAAACCACAATGAGATACCATCTCACACCAGTTAGAGTGGCAATCATTAAAAAATCAGGAAACAACAGGTGCTGGAGAGGATGTGGAGAAATAGGAACGCTTTTACACGGTTGGTGGGACTGTAAACTAGTTCAACCATTGTGGAAGACAGTGTGGTGATTCTTCATGGACCTAGAACTAGAAATACCATTTGACCCAGCCATCCCATTACTGGATATATACCCAAAGGATTGTAAATCATGCTGCTATAAAGACACATGCACACGTATGTTTATTGCGGCACTATTCACAATAGCAAAGACTTGGAACCAACCCAAGTGCCCATCAATGATAGACTGGATTAAGAAAATGTGGCACATATACACAATGGAATACTATGCAGCAATAAAAAAGGATGAGTTTGTTTCCTTTGTAGGGACATGGATGAAGCTGGAAACCATCATTCTCAGCAAACTATCGCAAGCACAGAAAACCAAACACCGCATGTTCTCACTCAGAGGTGGGAACTGAACAATGAGAACACTTGGACACAGGAAGGGGAACATCACACACCAGGACCTGTCGTGGGATGGGGGCAGGGGGGAGGGATAGCATTAGGAGATATACCTAATGTAAATAACGAGTTAATGGGTGCAGCACACCAACATGGCACATGTATACATAAGTAACAAACCTGCACGTTGTGCACATGTACCCTAGAACTTAAAGTATAATAATAAAATTAAATTAAATTTAAAAAAGGATCTTACTGTTTGCTTGGGTGATTAATCTTGACGATCAAGAAGAAGTTGGATTGCTGCTTCACAGTGGGGACAAGAATTATGGCTGGATTCTCGGGGATTCTGAGGGCGCCTTTTTGTGCTTCCATTCCCAGTAGCAAAAGTTAATGGAAAAATGATAGCAACCAAGAGAAGGCAGGACCAGTATAGATTGAAGGTCTGTGTCATCCCAGCAGGTAAAGAGCAAAATTAGCTGAGATGCTGAATGAAAAGAAAACATGGGACGGAGAATGGAGATAGAAATTATAAACGCTTACCTACTATGACATCCTGACCACTTACAGAAACAAGGACTGTAGCAGACATGCATATTTTCTGTCTTGCGTATTGTGTTGTGTGTTATCTGTGCTATTTTCTCCAGTTTCCTTTACCAATATTTTATGTAAGCGTTATTGTACAGTTGAATTATTTTAAAGATTAGTGTTTAGGTCACAGAATATTCAGGTGGGACTGTGACTGGATTATAAGACTAGTTAACCCCACACAGAGATGGATACTGTGCCTGTTGCTCAGGATGGATATGTTAACTATTGGGACTTGGTATCTTCCCTTTGTGAGAAGAGGATGACAGAGTTTTCATTTTATGAAGGATGGTTGTATCCTGATGTTATTGCTTTATAAAAGTTCAAACACATGTAGAAGGGGGTGAGTCAGTGTGAGTAAACAAAGAGTTGAACAGTCCTGCTTGTTACACTCTTGCCTCTTTCTCCAATTCACCATTCTGTGCTCTGCTCTGTGATGCTGGGTCTGGGACCCTGTGAAGCACATTTCTTTTTTGGCAGGTGGTTTCTGCCCATAAAGGGTACTAGAGATTGGGAAAGAGGAGTGCGGAGAAAAGGTTTGCTCCCTCCTATTTCTGCAGAATCCCCCAGAATTGGCCCTTCGCAGCATAGGTAGTTGGATTCTAGGGGATTTTGGGGGCATTATTTTGTGCTTCTTTTAGCATTTCCAGAATCAGCCTCATGGAATCCTCTCAGCAGTTCCAGTACAGCCAGGAAGCACTCCCCATTCACATCTCACAGATCTGGGTTCCAACTCGATGGGGAAGCTTCCCCAGGCACCACATTAATGGCACTCCTTCTCCACGGGTCAGAGGCTCAGCTATGGGAGGTCTTTCCTCTGAGTTTCTGAAGGGTCTACACAAGCTCTGTCCTCAGAAGTCTGAGTCCAGCTGCCCAGCAACATGCTCTGAGCTTAACTACCATCTCTTCCTTTCTCCTCCAGTCCTTACTTTCTGCAATTACTGTTTCTGTGTTACTGTTTGCTTTTTAGTTTACCAACACCTGTTTAGTTTATGCATTGCATCATATTATCTCTGTTGAAACATGGTTTCTGTTTTCTTGATTGGACCCTGCCTGAAAAAAAAGATAACTGCGATAAAGCCTTTCATTTGAAAAAGAGAAAGAATGGGAAGCAATCCCAAGGGGTCAGTGATCCAAAGCACACACCATCTTCTCCCGGAAAGAAAAACAGGGTTTCTTACCGGCAGTGGAGTAAGTTCCTTGGACAAGCCCCGTCAGCCTCCAACTCTGCACTCTGGAATATTTCCCTGCCCATTTTTCTAGGGACACATTAGGGGTCCTCTCCTTCCTCTTGGTGAGTGTTTGAGGACACGGTAATTTCATCAGGGAATGAGAGCTCCCAAGACTTCATCATTAGCCCTTATCTTTCTCTAAACACAAAATTCCCTAATGACCTTGGTCAAATTGTGATCTTTTACTTATTTAATTCCAAGGACTAGTAATCTAGTCATTATGGGTTGTGGTCTTTGAGCCTAAAATTTGGCATGGATATTTCTATTTTCTAATCAGAGAGCTTCATTCTCTTATTATTAGTATTTATTAAGTACATCCTAGGTAGTAGAAACACAACAGTAAATGACATGTAATCCTTGTTTTATACAATTCACAGTTTGGTGGAGATGAGAAAATCAGACATTTAAATTAGGCAATTCAAGTTGCAATGTGAAGAAGAGATCATGGTTTGGTGGGATGGGGGACTGTGGGGAGGGGTGGGGGTAACACAGGTGTTTGCTTAGGGTGCTAAGGGGATATTTCAGTCTTGATGAGGCAGGGAAGACTTCCTGGGAGAGTGACACTTGAGTTATTTGTAAGAAAAGGAGAAAGAGGAACACTCAAGGTGATGGAAAATTAGAGAAGCATGATAGATATTGATAATAATTGATCCACACAATTGGCCCAAGGGGAGAATCTACTTCCTTTTTTTAATCCCAGAGAAAACGAGCTCAAGCCCATACACATTAGATTAGCCCAACATTCAGTTATCTCCCACTTGCAGTTTTTCATGTTTCTGAGTTTTCTCAAACTCCAAAGGCTTGCACAATCCAACAGAAGGTCAACACTCTGACTTGAACACCCAAGAGTGAAGAGCCTGGGGTCTGATCAGTCTGCTATTGCTTTTGCTTCTTGCTGCCGCTTGGTGACACTGTTGACAACTGGACCTACAGAGTCCACAAAAGATGCTGATAGACCACAGACCTGTTGCTATGGATCTTAAAGGCTGCAAGGTCCATATCCTCAGCACAAGTCCAGTGGAGTGAAGGATGCCTAGGCTAAAAGCATGGGTCTTTTGATCTCATATAAAGTCATTCTCTGAGACGACAACTGCTGCAGGAGTATACTATCAGGATTAAACCAAGCATTTATGCCCTGCAGACCTGAAATTCCTCATCTGTTTTTTCCTTTCTAAGAATTCATACCACTAAAAGTCAAGTAGCTTATTTATTTATTTTTGATCCTGAAAATAGGTTCTTTCTACCCCCTTATTCCTGGGACAATTAGGATAACTGCATACTTTCTCATCATCACCTCATTTTCTTCAGGGTTCATATATATAACTACAAATATATATAGCCCTTTTTTGTTTGGGAACACTGTGTTCAGGGCCTAAAGATTATTTGCTTTTCTAAAGATGGTTGAAGTGACTTCCCTGTACCTCTCTCAGAAGAGAAAGAGAAAAAAAATCCAAGTTAAATATTCAACAGGACATTTACTATAGAAACACTGGAGGGGCTGAAAATAGTTCCTGTGAATGGAATATAGCTATTTAGGTGTTGAAACACGAAATAGTGAAAGATGAGACACCAGAGATACACAGGAAAGTCCTTGCTGACATGCTAAGGAGTTTGGATTTACTTCGGAAGCAATGGAGAATGCATGAAGGATTTAAGAAAATTGACATGAAGTATTTGGATTTTAGAACAGCCACTCTAGTGAGAAAAACTGATTGAAAAGGGCAAGTTTATAAAAATTGAACAACAAATTGAACCATGACCTTAAAAATTTTCCAATTTTTTAAATTATGGTAAAATACCTATAACATAAAATTGACCATCTTGGCCATTTAAAATGTACAGTTTGGTTGTATTCAATACATTAGTAATGTTGTGCATCCATCACTACCATTTCCGTAATACTTTTCACCTTTTAAAACTGAAACTTGATAGCTATTAAACTGTAACTCCCCATTTCCTCCTCCCCCCAGCCCCTAATGATCACCATTTACTTCCTGTCTCCAACATTTTGAAAACACTGAGTACCTCATATAAGTGGAATGATAAAGTATTTGCCTTTTTGCGACTGGCTTATTTCATTTAATGTAGTGTCTGCAAGATTAATCCACATTGCAGCCTATATCAGAATTTTGTTTCTTTTTAAGGCTGGATAATATTCCACTATATGTACATACCACATTTTTGCATATACATTTGACCATCAATGGACACATGGGTTGCTCTCACATTTTAGTTATTGTAAATACTGCTGCTATGGACAAACATCTCGTAACAAAGAAAATTCCTTGACCTGGAGGCCTTGCTAGTGAATTCTATCAGTCACTCAAAGAAGAATCAATATAAATCCTTCTCAAACTTTTTCAAAAAATTTAAAAGGAAAGAACACTTTCCACTCATCCTATGAAGACAGCATTGCCCTGATACTAAATCCAGACAAGACACTACAAGAAAACTACAAATCAATAATCCTTTTGAACATTGATATGAAAATCTTTAACAAAATATTAGCAAACCAAATTCAACAGCATATTAAAAGTATTATACACTATGACAAAATGAGACTTATTCCTAGAATGCAAGGATGGTTCAACTTAAAAAAGTCAATCAATGTAATATACCACATTAACAGAATGAAGAGGATGTAGAAATGGTAATTTTAATTGATGCAGAAAAAACATTTAACAAAATTCAATAATCTTTGATGATAAACACCATGATCTTAATTTTGCTAATACCAGCCTTCATCAACTGAGCTAAATAGTCATGATCAAAACCTGTAAGCGTATCTGCTTCTATAAAATAATATTAATATTATTGGATCTTTGAGATAGGTTTGTCCTTATACGTACATGTAGCTTTTCACCAAATTTTTTCTTGCCATGGGGCATTTTTTTTCCATTTAATTATAATGAGAAGTTTTCTTGAAATATTTAGCTATCCACATTGTCTTCTGAAATACAATAAAGAATTTAAATTATTCCATTAGCTTTTAGGGGATGGACTGCCCATCCCTAAGTTTTTGAAGAAAAACACCCTAACTTTTAAATGTACTTATTTCTAAAGTTTTGCTGTTTCCTTATTTGTCTCTGAAATTTTGCCAGTATCTGCTGATATTTTTGTAGTATTTATAATCACCAGAACTCCCAACAGTTCATATCCTGGAACTAAAGATGGGTGAAACCAGTTGTATTGGAGGTGGGTTGGTGAACATCTTGAACTATTTTTCAAATTGTGTTTGGGGTTCAAGGAAAACCAAAACACATTTTCATATTTTACCAAGAACTTTTTTTCCTCCTAATTTTAAAATGATGTCTATTTTAAGGGAAATTTAATCCATATGTTACTAAATTCCTTACACTTACCTCATCAAAATTTGTTTCTGTAAGAGCTATTTGATGTGCAAGAAGCCTTGGGAGTTGTTTTATGAGAGCTTTTTATGAGGAGTTTTTTTTTCTTAGAAACAGGAAGTCAAATTTTCTAGGCGAAGATTGACTCAAGTACAGCTTTTGCCAACTGTAAATTGCCTAATCAGTCAAAAGTCCTAAATTTCATAAAAATTTTTGACTTATCAAAATTTATATGAATCCTGATGATGTTACATTAATTTCTTGTATTTGCTTTTGCACATCGTCTTAACGATTCTTACAAGGTACTATTTCTATAATAACATATCACGCTTTTTAAAGGCAAAGATTTCAGTTTTAATCTAAATTTGAGATTCCCAATAATACTTAAAATATCTATTATATTTCTCATTTATGCTAAGATCTGGTTATGTTACCAACAGTAAAGCTTACAGAATCAACCCCTCCTCAAAACATACACACCCATACTCACACACACACACACAAACATCCATCCCAACATGTACACACACAAATATCAAACATATAGTTATTATTCTATTATTCAGATGCTTCTTTTAAGACACTGTTTTCCAAAGAATTTTCATTGAGTCACTTGCATCAGAATCACCTGTGGTATTTGTTAAAACGAAGATTCTAAGACCTCATCTCAGGCCTACTGAGTCAAAATCTTTGCGTTAATGGATCAATAAAGACATGCTAGCTCAAGATTCACAATATATTATCAAATGAAACAGTGTATTTAAAAACTCTCTGTCAGCCAGGCGCAGTGGCTCATGCCTGTAATCCCTGCACTTTGGGAGGCCGAGGTGGGTGGATCACGAAGTCAGGAGATCGAGACCACGGTGAAACCCCGTCTCTACTAAAAATACGAAAAATTAGCTGGGCGCGGTGGTGGTCGCCTGTAGGCCCAGCTATTAGGGAGGCTGAGGCAGGAGAACAGCCTGAACCCGGGAGGCGGAGCTTGCAGCTAGCCGAGATTGCGCCACTGCACTCCAGCCTGGGCGACAGAGCGAAACTCCATCTCAAAAAAGAAAAAAAGAAAAAGAAAAAAAATAAAAACTCTCTGTCAACCATTGCGGAAAGCAGTTTGGTGATTTCTCAAAGAGGTTAAAACAGAATTACCATTTGATACAGCAATCCCATTATTGGGTATATGCCCAAAGGAATATAAATTGTTCTACAATAAAGACATGCACATGTATATTCATCACAGCATTATTCACAATAGTAAAGACATGGAATCAGCCTAAATGCCCAATGATGGTAGATTTGATTTAAAAATGTGGTACATATGCACAATGGAATATTATGCAGTCATAAAAATAATGACGTCATGCCCTTTGAAGCAACATGGTTGGAGCTGGAGGCTGTTATCCTAAGAAAACTGACACCAGAACAGAAAACAAAATACTGCATGTTCTCACTTATAAGTGGGAGCTAAACACGGAGTGCATATGGACACAAAGAAGGGAACAACAGACACTGGGGCCCACTTGAGGGTGGAGGGTGAAAAGAGTGTGAAGATAAAAAGAACTATCTATCAGGTACTATGCTTATTATTTGGGTAACAAAATAATCTGTACATCAAACCCCTGTGACACTCAATTTACCTATGTAACAGACTTGCACATGAACCTAAAATAAAAGTTTAAAGGCCGGGTGGGTGGCTCATGCCTGTAATCCCAGCACTTTGGGAGGCCGAGGTGGGTGGATCCCTTGAGGTCAGGAGTTGGAGACCAGCCTGGCCAACATGGTGAAACCCTGTCTCTACTAAAAGTACAAAAATTAACTGAGTGTGGTGGTGGGCATCTGTAATCCCAGCTATCTGGGAGGCTGAGGCAGGAGAATCACATGAACCCGGAAGTATGTGGAGGTTGCAGTGAGCCAAGATCATGCCTCTCATCACTGTACTCCAGCCTGGGTGACAGAGTGAAACTCTATCTCAAAAAAAAAAAAAGTTTTTTTAAAAAGAAAACTCTCTGAAAACGTAAGATGCTATAAAAATTTATTTTTGAATAAATTTTCACACAGCCTTTCCCCTTCTTGCTGGAATTTGGGTATGCTGCTGAAAGAGGAGCAGCTGTCTTGTGAGTGCAAAGTCACCAACATGAGGATAAAAGCTATAACCTTAAAGGTGGCTTTTGTCACATGAGAAAAATAAAACTATTTGTTTAAGACAAACCCAATATAATCCTAAATGGTACACTGACGTTAAGTAGTTTGTTGTTGGTGACTCACAACTCAGTAGTGGCGGTAGACAGTGAACTCCTTTCCACTTGTCCAGAGCCCACATTCTTTCACTTATGACTTGTTCTATGTTATCATTTCCCAAGGGTCACAGCACATGGCTCTACACTGGATGATATAAAGGATTATAAACATGAAGAGACAGAACAACGAGATCTGCCTTCCAAAAACTTACAGATAGGCAGGCAAGATAAGGCATAGTCACAATAACCTACAATACTATAACCTATAATACTAAACAGAAAAAGAGATGTTAGAAGACAGGAATCATTGAAGTGTGACTGTATTATTAGTATCATCATTCATAATCATTGTAAGGACTATTATCGGTAGTTGTAGTCACAGTGATAAGACTTCTGGTTAGTAAGCTGTCACTTCAGTGCTTCCTCTCTACATCTCTGGAGGGCCCACCAATAGACCAGGAGAAGAGGAACTGCTACCTTCTCTAACGCAGCCTATCGCCTTCAGGTACAAATTCAGCCCAATACCACCTGAAGTCATATGCTTTGACTGTTGTTAGATTTGGGACAAAAATCCCGAGGAGCACTGAAAAAACAGACAAGGTGCCCACAAAAATGCTTTAGAAGAAAGAGGTAGAGAGCCCCTAGTTGCCTTCTCTTTCATGATAGTACTCTTGAAGCTGTGCCGATGAACTGTGCCCCAAGAAAATCTTTCTCCCATACTCAGGTTCTACTGGGCACTCCCAGCCCCAAGGGCTCCCTGGCGTGGTTTCCCCAGGGGTCTGCCTGTATCCTCATGCAGCTGCTCATTGGACACAGCCTTCACTGAGACCTCCTCAACTCCAAAAATGATGTGATATGTGTGTTTTGGTTTTGTTTTGAGGGAGAGGAGGAAAGGAGGCACAAAGAGCCTAGGACAAAGGGTGTGCTTGATCTAAAGAAACAGGGAAAGGAATACTTGAGGTCCCTGGCAAAATTTCAAAGTGAAGTTTATCCAAGCTGTCCTCTCACTCATTCCTCTACAGCCCCTGACCCTCTCCCACCTCTCTGCAGCCCTCACTTGCCCAGCTCTCCTCAGAAGTCCAGTGCCCTCCTTCCTCCTGCAATATGTCCTTCTCCTCAACTTCCCAAGGCACCAAACTTGGGAAAGCACCTTTCCCAAACTGTCCAATGCACCAGCATTCATTCTTCCTCTTTCCTTTCACATCACAAGCTTCTTCCTTTTACAGCAGCTTGGCAAGTGCTCAGAAAGCAGAATGATTAGAGTAATTCAAACAAAAATAAGAAGATTCCACTGTAACCTTCCAACGGGTTTCCTGGATCACACAATATATATTTTTAATGTATAGAATTCAAAATATTATTGGTGAAAAATTTTTATTGGTTAGCAGCAGGAAACCTGTTATTAAAAGCATTCTATGTATTTAGCCAACACTATTTTAATAGAAAGTTACATGAAATATAGAAAAGAAAAAATGCACAGCACCAGGTACAAAATCAGTGCTTAAGAAATGTTTGTTGGATTATGCGTATATTCAAATTCTCACCATTAATATCTGATGTCCTGGTGGTATAATCATGATGCATTTCTTTAACTATGAGAAAGATTAAATGTATTTAAGCCTTTTATCTTGTTTAAAATCTGTATTAGGGAACTACTATATCCAAAACACCATGCTAGGTTGTGAAAAGAGAATGATAGAAAGATGAAAAAGACATGGTGTCCACCTTAAAAAAAAAAAAAACACCTACAACATAGAAGGGAAGGCAAGCCAACGTGTAAATGACATCAAAGATTGGGATTGGTGTTGGTATGGGGGGAATAATGCTGATATTGTTCCTACCAAGAATATTTGTTCCATAGTTCCAAGCAAATATGTTCATACTGCTGACAAATGTCATTCCAGAAAAGTAGATTGATTGCTAATCAGGAATCTGTAGATTACAGCATCCAACACAGTCCATGCATGTTCACACTTCACCATTTTTCAGGTGATATTGCTGCATCTCACAATTTTTAAACTTCAAGAACATATATTGCATTTCTCACTTCCTATTTTCCATTCCATGACTGAAAGATAAAGGTTGTGGTTAAGCACAAACTCCATGTCCAGACTCAGGGAGAAAGAAAAAAAAAAAAAACTCTTAGACTAGATAACTAAGGAAAAAACATTTTCTGCAATAATTTTATATGATGAATAAGACTACAGGGTGGGTAATGTAGAATGGATAAACCAAAATGATAGAATGGATAAGCCAAAGACAATGAAAGTGAATATTTAATCTCTCTCCCTATGAGCCAGGAACTGTGCTAAATGCTTCACCTTCATCAACACTTTTCTTACTTCTCAGCAATCCTTAGACAGTGGAACTATTTTCACTTTACCAAGGAATTGGAGGCTACTAAGAGTTAAATTTTCCAAGAGAAGATAGAGAACATGTAGTTGAACTGAGATGCTAATTCAGGATTTTCTGGCAGCAAAATCCATTTTCTTAACCAGTTTCCTACATGTATTGTTCGTTTTTCCCATAGGGGTAAGGGATATACACTCATGAAAAAATGAAAATCATGAAGACAAATTTTATTTCACTTCACTTTTTTCTCAAGACTGCCATTATTTCATTTCCCCCCTACTCTATAATTCATAGCATGGCCTTTGCTTTTAGTTGATCTGAGTCACAAAATGTGCTTTGAAGTCCAAGCTTAGACAAAGTGAGATAAGGGCAGGCTCCAACCATCCTCAAAGCGTTCCCATTTTGTTTATTTTACTCACAGGCCTTGATCTTTTGATCTGTTTGTTCCTGCTTTCAGGACACTTGAGTGCTTGCTTATGGCATGTCTTCCAACTCAAATCAGCTATTCAAACCCACAAATTCCAATCTGGGCTCTTGTGAGTTAAGGTTCCCAGGTTCTTGGAAAGCCATGGGGACCTCAGATAGGGAGCAGGCAGGGCTGACTGCATGTGAGAAAATGAGGGAGTAAAAACTATTGGATTTATTATTCATCACCCCCATAAATAGGTACAATGTTTTTGTACCTTGAAAACAGTCAAAAACATTCCCTCCCTTTCAGTGTGTGTCACTTTGATCTTCTCAACAACACAGGGAGGAGTGTTATAATCTCACTTTGGTTTATAGATGAGGTAACAGACTTGGAGTGTTCACTCCATCAGTAAATAGCAAAGCTGAGGCTCAGTCTCAGATCTTCCAACCCCTAATAATATTATTTCCCAGAGAGCACACTATCACTACCTTTTAAATGCTAAATTTTATCTTCATTAAATAAGAAATGTAACCAGTTCAGTGTCAATGAGGGCAACTTAAGTAGATCAAAACTAAGACTGGGATTCCAACTCACTTACCATTTTGGTTTCTGTGACTTCTAGTCACTGACATGACAACACATGGTAGTAACTGGGTTCTAACAAGCTAAGATATAAGTCCTGTGTCTTGAGATGAATATTGTATTAGTCCATTTTCATGCTGCTGATAAAGACATACCTGAGACTGGGAAGAAAAAGAGGTTTAATTGAACTTACAGTTCCACATGGCTGGGGAGGCCTCAGAATCATGGCAGAAGGCAAAAGGCATTTCTTACATGGTGAAGGCGACAGAAAATGAGGAAGATGCAAAAGCAGAAACCCCTGATGAAATCATCAGATCTCATGAGATTTATTCACAACCACGAGAAGAGTATGGGGGACACCTCCTCCATGATTCAAATTTTCTCCCCCGGGTTCCTCCCACAACACATGGGAATTATGGGAGTACAGTTCAAGATGAGATATGGGTGGGGACACAGAGACAAAGCATATCATTCAGCCCCAGCCCCACCAAATCTCATGTCCTCACATTTCAAAACCAATTATGCCTTCCCAACAGTCCCCCAAAGTCTTAACTCATTTCAGCATTGACCCAAAAGTCCACAGTCCAAAGTCTCATCAGAGACAAGGCAAATCCCTTCTGCCTACTAGCCTGTAAAATGGAAAGCAAGCTAGTTACTTCCTAGATACAATGGGGGTACACAGGTATTGGGTAAATACAGCCATTCCAGATGGGAGAAACTGGCCATAACAAAGGGGTTTTGCAAAACAAAGGGCTCATGAAAGTCTCATGCAAGGCTCATGCAAGTCTCAAATCCAGTGGGGCAGTCAAATTTGAAAGCTCCAAAATGATCGCCCTTGACTCCAGGTCTCACATCCAGGTCAGCTGATGCAAGAGGTGGGTTCCCATGGTCTTGGGCAATTCCGCCCCTGTGGCTTTGCAGCGTGTAGCCTCCCTCCTGGCTGGTTTCACAGGCTGATGTTGAGTATCTGCAGCTTTCCCAGGTGTGCAGTGCAAGCTGCAGGTAGACCAACCATTCTGGGGTCTGGAGAACGCTGGCTCTCTTCTCACAGCTCTACTAGGCAGTGCCCCAGCAGGGACTCTGTGTGGGGGCTCCAACCCCTCATTTCCCTTCTGTACTGCTCTAGCAGAGGTTCTCTGTGAGAGCCCTACTCCTGCAGCAAACTTCTGCCTGGGCATCCAGGTGTTTCCATACATCTTCTGAAATCTAGGCAAAGGTTCCCAAAACCCAATTCTTGACTTCTGTTCACCTGCAGGCTCAAAATCATGTGGAAGCTGCCATGGCTTGAGGCTTGCACCCTCTGAAGCCTCAAACCGAGCTCTACGTTGGCGCCTTCCAGCCATGGCTGGAGCAGCTGAGACACAGGGCACCAAGTCCCTAGACTGCACACAGCATGGGGGCCCTCGGCCCTGCCAACAAGACCATTATTTCCTCCTAGACCTCTGGGTCTGTGATGGGAGAGGCTGTTGCAAAGGTCTCTGACATGCTCTGAGACATTTTTCCCATTATCTTGGGGATTAAAATTCAGCTCCTCATTACTTATGCAAATATCTGGAGCCAGCTTGAATTTCTTCTCATAAAATGGGATTTTCTTTTCTATCACATTGTCAGGCTGCAAATTTTCCAAACTTTTATATTATGCTTCCCTTTTAAAACTGAATGCCTTTAACAGCACCCAAGTCACCTCTTGAATGCTTTGCTGCTTAGAAATTTCTTCCACTAGATACCCTAAATCATCTCTCTCAAGTTCAAAGTTCCATAAATCTCTAGGGCAGGGGCCAAATGCCACCAGTCTCTTCATTAAACATAACAAGAATCACCTTTGCTCCAGTTCACAACAAGTTCCTCATATCCATCTGAGACCACCTCAGCCTGGATTTCATTGTCCATATCATTATCAGTATTTTTGTCAAAGCCATTCAACAAGTCTCTAGGAAGTTCCAAACTTTCTCACATTTTCCTGTCTGATTTCATGCTGCTGATAAAGACATACCCAAGACTGGGAAGAAAAAAGGTTTAATTGGACTTACAGTTCCATATGGCTGGGGAGCCTCAGAATCATTGTGGGAGGTGAAAGGCACTTCTTACATGGCGGCGGCAAGAAAAAATAAGGAGGAAGCAAAAGCAGAAACCGCTGATAAAACCATCAGATCTCATGAGACTTGTTCACTACCATGAGAAGAGTATGGGGAAAACTGCCTCCATGATTCAAACTATCTCCCATTGTGTCCCTCCCACAACACTTGGGGATTATAGGAGTACAATTCAGGATGAGATTTGGGTGGGGACACAGAGCCAAACCATATCAAATATTAACAATGAAATCAGATGTTATTGACATGTATCTTGTCCTCTAATGTTCTCAACTTTGCTCTAATTCTAATGATGCTGCTTATTAATTAGGCAATTTCAGCCATCAACAACTAAGGTTACAAAATAGCCACACTACCCATATCTCAGTGGCTTAACAAAATGCAAATTTATTTTTTGGTCCTATAAAATCCAAAATGAGTATTCCTAATCAGCTCTCTTCTAGTTGATGCAGGGACTTGGGTTTGGAAGAAACCATCTCACATTCCACCATCTTCAATTCATGGCTAATGTCACCACTGAACAGAAAAGAGTGTGAAATCTTGTGTGGGAGATCGTTATAAGCCACACCTAAAAGGGGTATATGTGAAGACTCAGTCACAAGCAAGACAGTCGGGAAACGCAGTCAAGCTGCATTCTAAGTAGAAAGAAGAAATGAATTTGTGACCAGCTAGTTTTCTCTGCCACATACTTCCATTGCTCAAGAGCTATTTGGAATTCCCATTTTAAAGTTACTTTCAAAGTCAGTTTATGATCCTATAAGAAAAATAAGGGATGAGATGATTATATATATATATATACATATATATATATATATATGTATGTGTATATATATCATTTGGAATACATGTGGCCAAAAATTGTATTACCAGCTTATCAACTAATGTATTCATTGAGTTTGGCCTCTGCATCAATAAGGGTTTTCCGGAGAAACAGGACCAATAGGAGATTTACTTTCTATCTCTATCTATCTGTCTGTCTGTCTGTCTGTCTATCTATCTATCTATCTATCTATCTATCTATCTATCTATATCTATCTATGCATCTGTCTATGTATCTATCTATCTATCTATCTATCTATCTATCTATCTATCTATCTATGCATCTGTCTGTCTACCTACCTACCTATATATCTTAAGGATTTGGCTCACATAATTATGGAGGATGACAAGCCCCAATATCTACATAAGCAAGCTGAAGACCTAGGAGAGGTGATGGTGTAACTCCAGTCCAAGTCTAATAGGCTGGAGACCCAGGAAGAGCCAGTGCTTTCCTTCAAGTCCAAAGGAAAAAAATATAAAAAACTTATGTCCCATGTTGATATGCAGAAGGAATTCTTTCTTACTAGACTTTATGTTCTATTAAGGTCTTCAACTAATTGGATGACACCCACCCAAATTAGGGATGGCAGTGTGCTTTACTCATTCTACTGATTCAAATGTTAATCTCATCCAGAAACTCACTCACAGACACACTAGAATAATCATAAACCAAATACCTGGGCTCCCTGTGGCTCAGTCATATTGACACAAAATTAACCATCAGAGCTCCCAATAACCTTTGGTTACTTATAAAATTTATTGTTTACAAGTTACATATCTGACAGCATTAGGAAACCAGAGAATGCAATGCATTTGTTGAAGACAATTTCCAAAGAGATTTTCCAAAAGTATTTTGGACTTGGCCTCTCAAAGTCTACACTCAAGAAGATACCATTCATATGTATATATTTATATGTTCTGTATGATTGATGTGAACTAAATTACATGTATGGAGTTCATTGTCTGTTAGAAAACGCTAGTAGTAGCTGAGACTTTCAGAGTGTCAAAGATAAGATTACTTTTCATGTAACCTGAGATAACCTGGACAAATGAAATATCTTTAATCTGGAAATGGGAGAATACTGTCAACATTCCTGGGTTAAATCATAAAATACCGCATAAACAAAATGGAAGTATTGTAGTTCAGAGTTGATAGTGATGATGAAGCTGGTGGTGTTGGAAGAAAGAGGTTGTTTTGCCAAGGACATATATGGATCCTCATTTCCCCTCCAATTTTAGATTTCTCTCAGCAGAGGAATCAGCCTTGTATTTCTTTCATATTCTCACAGCACCTGGTACAGCACCCAACACAGAGTAAGTGGTCAACAAATTTCTGTTTGTAAACGATAGGGTTTTCAACAGATACCCAATGCCCTGAATATCACTTTCTGCCATTGTGCCATTATCCTGTTCAATCAAGTTGCGTGCATCAGTTTAAGACATGCACTGTTATTTCAGTGTTTTACATCAGCCATTATAGGCTTCACAATAATTTTATGGAGTCCTTGGAAGTATCATCCAATTTTGTGACCCCAAAACATCCTTTATAGATAAATGAATAGTCTTGAGGGGGAGGCATCTTCGGCTGTTTTTTTCTTCAGTATGTCTCTTTTCTAACTTCTGCATAACTTTCCATCCAGGCTAAAGACTTATGAAAACAGCACCTTATATGCTTCCTACACCAATTACAGAGTACTCTACACCCTGAAAGAAAGGGAGTATATTTGTGTCTAGAGCTCCTGATGGGTTAACTACCCATGTTACATGTCATATCTCATCACCTGGCATTCCAGATAGTCTAACATTTTTCTTTTGTGATCTCTCCTTATAAGGCTTGTACCTTTCATCTCCACACTGTAAATTCTGGTCCTTCCCATTCCTAATTTCTTGAGCCACAGTCCATGTAAGAACAGACTGTGGTCCCCTCAGTGACATGGCACAACTTAGCCTAGTAGGTTGAGGGATATGCCGAACCAGTGAGTAATGTCTGGGAACTCTTTGGCTGACGTCCTCCTGTGCAAGGACAAATTTGCATTCTCACAAGTTCTCAGAATGTTTCTCCTTTAGGAACAATATCTGACACTGGAATTTTTGAAACCTGCAGTACTGTGTCAAGCCAAGCCTCTTTGCCGATAGGAAAAATGAAAGCCAATTTTGTTCTTCATTCCTGCGACTCGTTTATTGTGCTATGACCTTGTGTAGACTAGCCTTTAATTCCCTCAGAGATCTGTGTAGACGACTTGGCATCTCAATATGTGTTTTCATGGCAATCTAGGGTCTGGTGCCTTTCCTACCCTCCACAGCCACCATTTAGTGATCACTCCTTGGACTTCTGCCTCACTTACTTTCACTACACAATTTAGAACTTAATTATACACGACTTTATATTTTTGGACTCTTGTTTCCCAGTCTTCACTGCTAATTTGTTAAAGGAATGGATTATATTTTATGCCTCTTCTGAATCCCACCCAAAGCACCTAGCATCCTGCTCTAAGTAATCTAAGAGTCACTCACTAAATAGATGCCATGACGATGAAATCATACGAATGGCTTTTGATGACATACCAGATCTTACACATTCAAATGAATGCTTTCCTTGGCAAGACTGCCACCTGGCAGGCTACCCACATATGCCAGTGATGTTATCAATGCTCAAAATAATTTTTCAGTGACTCTGTCTGCTTGAATTAAACTGAGCATCTTGGATAATTATTTAATATTTGTTATTTAGCATCTACTATAAATGCATGGCACTGTTTTTAGTGGGTACCACAAATATATTAAGATATGATTTCCTGGTCTCAGACCTTTTGCAGTTTTATGTATAGGGTCAGAAAAGGTTGTGACAGCAATTTTACAAGGTAAAATCTGGCAAATATCATATGGGAGGTATAAAGGATTATAGGGATCAGAGAGAGAGAAGGTAATTTACAGCTGAGCCTAAAGGGGACATACATCTTCAATCTTTATGTTTGTAAATCATTGTAAATATTTATTAGATAATTGTTTTGGTCTTAAGCAACAACTAAAAACTATTTAGAACTAGTTAGGGAATAAGTTATGTAAATAATTGGGTAATACTGTTAAAAATTGCAATGGAGCAATAAATCATATCCCTAGGTTGGAAACTTGTTTTGAAGGGAACTGTTTCTTCAAACAGAAAAACATAGTAGCCACCCGAGCCAATCAGGTATCATAAGATACCTATGATGTCATTCACACCTGTCTGCCATCTAATTTTTGACCATTCATCTCCATGTGCCATTTGTATTTGTTTCCTCATTTGTAAAAGTAAAGAACATAAGCCAGACCAAAGGTTTTCAGCGGAATTATGAAAACATCCAGGAGTTATGGGCTTCCCTATGAGATTTCACTTGAATAAATATATGGCAATAAAATAGTATTTGAGAATTGCTAGACTTCATCACTGTTGAGTTCTCTCACAGCTCACATGTTCTATGATCTGCACATAGTAGATGAGCTCCAACCACCAGTAACACTGGGTGACAAGAAACAACCAATTGCCTGCTGCAGATCATCTGCTCCATGGCCAAAATGTCTTGGGGATTCCCAAGCCCCAGGCACAACCCTGCTTATCTGTCACTAGCTCTCCTGTCACCTGGTTTTATTTCCCTCAGAGTAGTCATGACTCTTAAATTATTTATTAATCTACATTTGTATTGTTTTTATTACCCACTAGACTATAAGATAATCCATGAAAGCAAAAAACTTGTCTATTTAGTTTATAGCTATGTCTTGAGTAACTAGATCAGTGCCTGGAACATTGTAAACATCCAATACATTGTTGTTGAAAACAAACGCACAAATAAATAAATGAATTGATTGATTAATTATTAATATTTCATGATTTAAGATTCAAGGGAAGACCTAGGGAAGATAATAAAATATAAAAATCAATTCAATAAAGAGATAGTGGAGCATTTTCTATACTTCTGGAAATGTGTGAGGTACTGAGAATACAGAGTGAATAGACCTATTTTTGGTGAGCTCATAGTCTATTTTGTGAAACAAAGCAGGAATGCAGGGAGGACTGTATACAGGAGAATAATAATAAAACATGACAGCATATCAAGAAAGATCTCAAAGATCCCACCAACGAGTGGTGAATGGCTAATGCATGTAATGCATTAGGCATTTAGAGGAAGCAGAGGAATTCCTGTGAGCTGGAATGACCTAGAAGATCTTCAAAGAGGAGAAAAACATCAAGAATAGAAGGATGTGAAAAAGTGGGCATCCCAGACAAAGATTGGAGGTGAAAAAGGGAAAGGGACAATCTGACTGGAGAGAAAAGAAACTAACTCTTAATGAGAACCTAAGGTGTGCCCCACACTAGGCAATGTATGTTTGGATACCTTTCTCATGTGTCCTCCACACGTTCCTGCAAGGTGAAAAATATTATGTTTATTCCATAAATGAAAAAAAATTGAGACTCAGAGAGATATGGAAACTTGCCTAGATTCACAACCTCTCTGTAGTGATGAAGCCAGGATTTGCACCCAGATCAGTTTCATTCTGAGGACCGTGCTCCTCCTACACCTCACCAACATAAGGAGCTTCTGGGCTGTGGAAAGCAGGGGTGGAGAGGGGAATAGTGAAAAATAAGGCTGAAATTAACTTACTGTTAGAATATGCTCAGGGCCTGGAGTGGTATTCTATACTATAAGACCAGTGAAGGTAATGAAAATACTTGCCCAGAAGAGTGACTCTTGGAAAATACTAATTTAGGCAATGTAATCTGAATGGATGGAGAGAGATAGAAGCAAGATCAGTTAACAGTTATTGAAGCACCTCTGAGCTGAGGTAAGTACAAATGAAGTAGAAAGAAATAAGTATAATAGATGGACCTACATTTAAGAATTGTAGAATAATAGGATCATCACAGGGAGAAAGTCAGGAAGCATGTGCACCCTTAACACTGCTGGCAATGCTGCCTTGCTATGCACACCCCTTTTTGCTTGTTCCAGAAGTTCCTTTTTCTAATTAGAGCCCCTACCCCCAGTTCTCTCTCTCTCTCTCTTTTTCATTCTGTCTTTTCTTTGTTTTTGCTTATCTGTATCATGTATTTTTTAAAAAATTCAAAACAAATATGAACTATTGTAAAATCAAAAAGGAATTTGAGAAGGGAGAATTAGTTACTGGCCACTTTTTGCAAGTGATAAAAAAGAGAGGCATTTAAAATATATCAGGTATCAAAAATGAGAAAAAGAATTAAAATGTACATTTAAAAATAACTGTTAGTTAAAAATAGGAGAGTATAGAAGAGCTTTTCAGAGTTGTAAAATTTTTAAAGAATCTTATTGAATAGGGTTATGTTATATTTTCTGGGGGGCAATTGAGTAACTGAAGTTAAGATACACATTTATTTATAAATTAGAAATAAAAGCACTTGTCTTTTTCCATGTCTCAGAAACACTACAAGATTAAGAGGTATAATGCAAATAAAATTACTTTGGATTTTTTTGTGGTTTATTGAAAAATATTTTACAATAAAAGCATGGTCTAAATAGAATTGCAAATAAACTTACATTTTTCCCATGCTCTATAATCACAAATTCCTTTTATTCTAGTACAATTTTTCTTCTATATAGTTCTTATTTCTAGATAGCTTGAAATTTGGAAAGCCCAATTATGCTCCCTCACATGTTTATATGTCAGACATGAGCTTCACCATTCTGTACCATAATTACGTCTTTTTGTACCTGTTTTCTTAGATTACTGTGAATACCTTGGGGAAAAGTATGTGTTTATTTATTTTGTATCTCTTTTGCCTTGAATAAATAGGATGCTCAACCAATAAGCTTAATGAGTAGATTTATGTAATGTAATTCATGCTGTGGAATTTTACTGCTGAAGAATAAATAATGTTGAATCGTTATTGAAAAGACAACCCATTTTGATTTCATGTATGCCAACCAGTAAAATATGAATATTCTTTTTTTTTTTTAGAGGTGGAGTCTTGCTATGTTGTCCAGGCTGGTCTCGAATTCCTGGGCTTAAGTGATCCTGTCATCTAGGCCTCCTGAGTAGCTGGGACTGCAGGTGCATGCCACCACTACTGAAAATATAAATATTCTTGAAAAGAGGAAGCAAACTTTGAAATATCTAAAAGATAATTTCCATCACTGGCTAATTCTGAACTCTCAGGACATTAGGAAATGTTAGGATAGGCCGGGCACGGTGGCTCACTCCTGTAATCCCAGCACTTAGGGAGGCCGAGACAGGCGGATCCCGAGGTCAGGAGATTGAGACCATCTTGGCTAACACAGTGAAACCCCGTCTCTACTAAAAATACAAAAAAATTAGCCAGGCATGGTGGCAGGTGCCTGTAGTCCCAGCTACTCAGGAGGCTGAGGCAGGAGAATGGCGTGAACCCAGGAGGCAGAGCTTGCAGTGAGCCCAGAATGCGCCACTGCACTCCAGCCTGGGCGACAGAGCGAGACTCCATCTCAAAAAAAAAAAAAAAAAAAAAAGTTAGGATAAAGAATCTCATAGGTTCACAAAGCGTCCCCCCTTTTTTCCCTCTTTTATAAATCTCTTTTCCACCTGTTCATGGGCCATAAGTAAAAATTTTTAAAAATTGACAGGAAAGATAAATTCTATTTAAAAATAACCATTATTTTCACAAGACAATCATGCTTCTTCATGTAAATGCCCCAAAAGATAATAATTTAACCATACTTTTCCTTATGATTGTATTTGTATACAAATACTGAATATAGGCCAGGCACAGTGGCTCACACCTGTATCCCATCACTTTGGGAGGCCGAGGTGGGAGGATCCCTTGAGCCAAGGAGTTTGAGACCAGCCTGGGGAACATAGATATACCTTGTCCCTGCAAAAACTAAACATATTAGGTGGGCATAGTGGCACTTGCCTGTAGACCCTGCTACTCAAGAGGCTGAGGTGGGATGGGAAGATAGCCTGAGCCCAGGAGACTATGGGTGCAGTTAGCTGTGATTGTACCACTGCACTCCAACCTGGGTGACAGAGCGAGACTCTGTCTCAAATATATATATTTCAGCAAGCCTATAACAGTGTTTGCTCACCCTGGTAGGTTGAGTCCCACATTGGCTGCTTCCGACTGGTTATCTGAGGAAACACTTCATACATACCTATGTGTGTGTGCATATATATGTACAACCAAAAAAATCAGCTTCAAGAAAAAACTAGTCAGCTTCAAGTAAGTGAAAATTTTAGGGCAAGTGGTAGGTAGTGATAACATTTTCCCTTCAGGCCATTCTGAACCATTGATATATTTTGCACATGTGGCTCCAGTCTTCATGTTTTCCCATCTAAACTTAGGCCAGCTCATGAAAGGGCAACACTCTACAGTGGGAAGAGAACCAACTTTACAGTCAGACATTCCTGGACTCGAGTTGCTGCCGCTCCACTATTTAAAAGTTGCAAGTCCTTGGACAAATCACTTCACCTTTCTGATTTGAACTTTCCCCATCTGTCCAATGGGGATGACTCAACACCACCCCGTTACCTATTAGGCTCTCGGTAAACACCAGTATTCATGCTCTCACTTCCTCCACACCTAAACCTCTTCCAAAAAAACACAGATATCTCTTTGAGTCTGTTATTTCATATGATACCTTCTTTTTTTAAACTTTCCCGTGGTTTCCAAAACCAAATGTATGTGATAATACATAGTACATATTACTACTATGTAATAACCGGTAACAGTGTTTGCTCGCCCTGGTAGGTTGAGTCCCACATTGGCTGCTTCCAATTGGTTATCTGTGGAAACACTTTATCCTTTTATAAGGGTGAATCTAGAGTGCACTGAGTAATGCATAATAAAATTAGTTTTGGGGGTAAGGAACCAAGTTTAAAAGACAAAAAAAAAAAAAAAAAGCTGGGGGAGGGCAGATAAGCACAGTAAAATAATCTCCAATGACTTCATTGTGAAGTAATGACTTTTACCAAATAACTGCATTGTAGTTTTATCTTTCCAACCAAGATTGTGTTAATGCTCTAAAATTAAGTCTCTTGTGAAAGTTATCTGGAATTTCTCAACGAGTTTTTAAAGGGGTTTTATTTTTTCATTGGAGGTCATGCCTCAAGAATTTGTAGGAATTCCGCCTGGAAAGTAATAATCAGTGGAAACTGGCAGTCAAAGCTAATTTATATTACTCTTCCAGATAAAAATTCCTTCCGTCTTAGACCTGCATTTCAAAAAAGATTATTATCACTCTGGAGAGAATACATCAGTGTAGAAAAAAGAAAGAATGACCTCAAGGATGTCTTCACTGCCTCTGTGCAACTCCAGGTCTGCTTCTTTTTAAACCTCCTTTTAAAAATCCTCTCTTTTGAAATGTTTTGAGGATATTCAAAGCCAGGAGATGTGTCAGAGGCCTGCCTGGCGAGAACTCTCAAAATGATGTTCCCTAATTTGCCTGTTGTGGGAGTTCATGAGACATCTTGGGTGGTGGGAAAAAGACAGAACTAGGAAATATGGGGGAGAGAGAGGTTCAGTAACTGCCCTAAGAGGAAGAAGGTGGTTTTCATATATTCTCATTCCCTTAGTGGCTAGAGGGATTGGCTATGCTCAAATCAGAGCCTCAGCGCCTCCTTTAGTGGTCGTGTTTTCATATGCATAACACATTTGTGAGGTTCCATGCTTAATGAAGAAGCCTTGGCTTTTAAAATGAAAGACCTAAATGTATTTTATTTTATTTTATTTTTGAGACAGGGTCTTACTCCAGCACCGAGGCTGGAGTGTAGTGGCTGTATCTCGGCTCACTGCAGCCTTGACCTCCCAGGTTCAGGTGATTCTCCCACCTCAGCCTCTCAAGTAGCTGGGACTACAGGTGCACACCACCATGCCTGACAAATTTTTATGTTTTTAGTAGAGATGAGGTTTCGCCATGTTACCCACGCTGGTCTCAAACTCTTGGGCTCAAGGAATCCACCCCACTTAGCCTCCCAAAATGCTGGGATTACAGGCATGAGCCACCCATTCAGGCCAGTAGATCTAAATTTAAATTTCAAGTTCTCCAATTACTAGTTCCTTCATTTACAAGTTACTTAACCTCTCTGAGTCTCTATCTATAAAATGGGTTTTATAGAATTGTTAAGGGGAGTAAGGTAGTTGTTCTGTGTAAAACATGCAGCTCAGTGTTTGAATGACTAAAGGTTTGTTGTGTTAGTGTTTTACCAACTAAAAGTTTGTTGGTAAAACAAATGAATAAATACATGTTAGTTCCTTCTACCCTCTTTATCGCTTCCAGAGAATCTGGGAAATGTCAACTCCAATGTAAATAACTTGCAGTCTGTTCAAGGATCCAACCAATGAAGTACAAATGCACTAGTACTCTCTTTAGTAATTTTGAAAATGTTTTTGAATCAATACCAATAAAAATCCACAAAAGAGATATGCCAAATGATGATTTGTATGACTAAATCAGACATTCAGAAGCCTTACCCATTTCTCAAGACTAAGAGCCTATACCTAAGTGGCTAAGAATAACTTTTCAGAACCACTTTTTATTCACAGGATTTCAATCTGAGACACTGCCCAAAACAGACACAGCATCAAAACCAAATGGCCTGCCTTTGTTTTTAAATCATCTGAGATACGTGTAGTGGGTCAGACTCACCAAACTTCCAGCATTCAACAGAGCAAAACTGAACAGAGGAAGTATTCTATTTACTAAGAATTCAATCAGTCTTATTGAAATATTTAAAAGTTGGACCAAAATGTACAAGCATCATAAATACAGTTTGTACAATTCCAAAAAGCATCTATCTGGGACAAAGCCATTGTTAATCCTATGTGTTTTTGTCAGTGGGTAGGTAATTCTTTAACAGTAGAAACAGAAGACAGATTTGCTTCCAATTGTGAGCTCATTCCTAAGGTCGCAACTGAAAGCTGAAAGAGAAACAGAGTCCAAAATAAACATCAGTTTGGACTATAAAGAATTTCTCTCTGAGGGTGCCCAGGTTTATATGAAGGAATTCCACCTCAAACAAGGAGAAATCTAACTCACTTTTCCCAGTTATTAGCGGGCACGTCTAGTGTCTGCCTGTTCACATTGATCCATTCCTCAACCTCAAATCCATTTTCCAAAGACCCTGGCTTAAGAACCACATGGACCCAGAGTTCTTCTGATTCGTTGCACTTTAGTTGCTTAGAGGGGTAAAAAAATAGTTATAAACTATCTGTAGGAACAGTCCCTAACATGGTTGGCCAGAAAAGCTCAGTAAGAGAGCCAAAAAGTTTAATTTGTTGTAACCTATGATTTCTTAGTAAATATTAACTAATGTTGGAAGTATGCATGGATTTACTTCCCTAGGCTGTTTGAACCTTTTAAATCATAATTTTTTTAAACAAAAAATTTAAGCAAGACCTTAAAAAAGTGACTCATAAAAGAAGGGTGTTTTGTTAGCTTCCCTCGCCTGCCTCCCAGCTACCCGTCTTCAGGGTGATGTTTTTCTTTCATGAGCTTGTCCCCTCCACTTATGTGCCTGGTTGATGGATAATTCCCTCTGCAGGTGTCTCAAAGACCCTGAGTACCCTTTTGGTTGAATGCCCAAACAAACTAACCACTGTTCACAGAGGTACTCACCTTCCTTACCCTTTGTCTCAGTCATGACTAACTGGATGCCCAGCCATATTAGGATTGAAGATTTAACCGTTTATTCAGGTGCAGAACCCCAGAGGCCCTGCACAGAGTGACAGCTGGAACATAACCCAGAAACCTACATATCCCCTAGCCATCAAAGGCATCTTCCTGGCCCAGCACGCAGAAGCTCGGTGGATCTAGAAATAACTGTTTATATGGGCTGGATTTTCAGAAGTTATTATTTCTTTATGATTGATTCATTTATGTGTCCATATATTGCCAAAATGTCAGATGCTATGTTCTTCTACTCCATGGGCAGAGAACTTTAAAATTTAGAAAATTTTCACCATGTATGCATTAATTTATTATTTATCAGATATTGATTTAACACCAACTATGTGCCAATGAGAGAAATGAGGGAAAAGGCACACTTAGAAAAAGCAATTTTAAAGACAAGAAAGGCTACATAATATATTGCAGGAAATGAGTAGGTCAATGTGGCTGGAGCTTAGCATTCATTGGAGAAGGTGGAAGGGGCCAGAAGGCTGGGGGATTTAGCGGAAGGTGCTGAGAAGGCCCATTGCAAAGACCTTCTGAATGCCAAAGTGAGGATTTTGGATTTGATTCTGTAAGCAAAAGAGAAATTTAAAAACCATATGATCAGATTTGTGATGAGCAACAATGATGGTGTTAGTTGTAGTTTGGTGGGTAGCTGGAGTAGGGGACAGAACAATGGCAAATAAACTAGTAGAAAGGCTCTGGCAATCTGAAAACTCTTAAAGAAAGCAGTGAAGAGAAGTTGAAGAGAAGGGGACATTAGGGAAATTAAGGGAGATAAGTCAACATGACCTCATGGCACACCTCTTTCAGAACAGACATTTTCTGCTAACAAATATTGCTTAAAATAAAAGGTCTCAAAGCTGGGAAATGGGAATCTCTTTTCAATACTGAATTTATAAAAATAGCCCGAAAATTTGTCTTATATCTCTCTTTACTAATTCATGACTTCAGAGCTAAACCCAAAAAATAGCAAATCAAGACAAATTTACAATGACAAAATTTCCTTGTATGGGAGGAGGTGGGTGGTATGAAGATGAAAATGATACAATCTCTTCCCTTAGAGACTTCATAACCCAGCTCCATGGTTCTCAATGGTTGTGTGTTGTGAACAATTGTGATGTGAGTCATAATTAGATTTTTAAAATGACAACAGAAGGCAGCATATGTAGGTTTTTAGTAGCAGTGATGATAAGGGCATAGGCAAGTTAAGAAACTTACCTGCAATCTGTAAGTGGGAGAGCCAGGGTGAACTCACTAAGTCTGTAGTGGATGCTGTGGAGTGCTGCCCAGAGCTGCTTTCAGGACCAAAGAGGGCACTCAATTTTCTCAGGAGCAAAGAAAGAGTGTTGACTGCTCATAACTCCTGGTGCCTCCAGGAATTGCCATTGGCTGAAAGAAGCTGCCTCACCCAAGGTTCAGACTAGAGATTGAGGTGAGATACAATTCCCTTAATTGGAAAACTCTGGAAAGGTCATCCCAGCTCTACACCCAGAAGGATTCATTGAAGCCTCTGTGGCAACTTCATTGCAGTTCAACTTCCCTCTCTGGACAATATTGCTTCTTTTCTTCCTCCAAAGATGTTAATTCCAAGAGCACTTTCTAATAAACCTATTATGTGCTAATTTCCATCCAGAGTCTGTGCCTCAGGAACCTGAGCTGTGGGAAGGCTTGAGGTCAATGCATGTGTACTTAGCTATTAAGCCATATGGTAGAACAGTCATCACAAAGAGTTTGAGCCAGACCTGAAGGAAGAGTAGATTTTGAAAGAACAAAATTTGGTGCTTAGGCCACAAGAAATAATGGGGAAATGAATATTTGGGGAGCAATGACTAGATGAGTCAGTCTGGCAAAAGCAAAGGATTCAAATCATTACCAGAGATAAGTAAGGGAGCAGCTCAAGTTGCTCTTGGATGCCACAGTTGGGAGCTTCTGTCTTGCTCTGTGTTCTCCATGAAAAACAGAAGACTGAGTCAGAAGAAAATGCATCAGGCATCTGTGGAGAGGATGGAATGGAAAGTTGAGGAGGAGGGCAGATGTGAGTGACATTTTATGTTAAACATCCACAAGGATCCTTGACTAATTGAGTAAGGGAAGCCAAGGAAAGATAGAAGTCATACAGATTTGAAAGCTTTGACAAAGGCAGGCATCCTTCCAGAGAGATGTTATTTGTTTGCCCTCTCAGGAGCATCTTCAGGATAGATTGAGTTCAAGGACATCTCTCTTCTATCAAATGGTTATTACAATTCTCCTCTTCCGTGAAATGTTACTTAATCAACTTTCTCCAGCAAATTTTCCATTTCAATGGTAGCCTAAAGGAGAAGACAGTGGGAAAATAGTCAAATGGCTTTGGAGATAATCTGCAATTTGGATGTTTCCCCAGGAATTAGTGCCATAGACCACACAGGTCTATGCTGGACATGTGACACATGGGGACTGAATAAGCTTGGGGGACAAGGCAGAGAAAACGTAAGTCCTGTAATGGATGTTTTTATTGTCTTTCCAAGGGCATCCTTTCTCTTCCTTAAACTTGAGGTTCTGATTAACCTCAGATGCCATATTGGAAACACAAGCTACTTCAATACACATTAATTCTATTCTGGATATATTGTGTATTAAGATACCTAAGCTATTTTTTAATATACGCACATGTCTAGTGGCTCAGTCATAATCAGATACTAATCACTTGATGAAATCAGTAGGAAAGACATTACACAAAAATGCTGTTTCGTGTTTTGTAATCAGCCTTCCAAAGACAAATTCTTGCTGGCTTTCAGCCATAGGAAACAAGATGTTTAATTTCAATGTGAATTTCTTGATTCCGTATTTAAATAAACAACAAATTGTGACAGATGAGAAAAACAATGTCTCCAGTGATATGATTGCACTAAATTGCCAAGTTGGGGGAGGGGAGAGAGCTGGGGGGAGAGAGACTATATTTTTAACTCTAAGCCAGGGATACAAAAACTAAAATTATAAATTTGGGGAATGGGATTATTTCTTTCTAATATATTTTACATAATATCATAATCAACCTATTTTTTTGGGGGGAAATACCCTATATTCCTTCCCATTTCTACTATCTCTCTCACCCTTTTTATTTTTATTTTTTTCAGCTCTGTATGGTTTGCGGAGACCAGAAATGTCAAAACTCTGTGGAGAACAGCTGTTCTCATTTCTGGCTCATCTGCTAAGGAAGTGCTCAGAATCTCCTCAAAAGGCTCCTGCAAGCTATCCCATCCCAGATGTAAACTCGGAGACTGATTTTGTAGTCTTTGAAAGAATTGATCAGACGCAGTAGAACTGGTTTCCTTACCACTGAATCTACTATGTGAAAATTATTTGGAGGCCACAGCTAAAAGGTTGCAGAGCTCTCCAAAAGTCCCCAAGCAGTGAATCCACTAGTATATTAACAAGACATCGACAACACATGCCTTTGGGTGGGAGCAGAGGTAATTGCTGTTGGTAAGAATGGATGTCTCCTATCCCAGGAAGCCTCCTCTGAAGCCCCATCTGCCAGGCTAGTTCAATAGCTCTTCTATGGGTACACAGGAAGCCTTGCCTCTCTATCTCAACACACCATAAAACACATATTTTTATAATAACCTTCTTACGTGATTAGAAACAGAGGGCCTACCTTACTTGACATTGTACCCCTGTGTAGTGCACAGTATGTAGTACATCTAAAGTGTTCAGTGAATATCCTAAAGATGAAATCAGTTTTTAAATCAGCTGGATGTAGCTACAAGACTAGATGAGGTGTAAAAGGCAGCTGTGCTGGGGAAATGAGGGCAGCAAGGTTTCAGTCCTAGTTTTAGGTTTGGGACTCTGACAGAAGAAGCATGTCCTGCAGACTGGTAGGGCACCAGCAGAAGGTGGCATCAGTGCCAAAAAGGTTGCTCTGACAGGCAGAGAGAGCACTTGAGCTTAGATCTTCCTAACTAAGTTGGGCTCCCAGGTAGCATGGGCAGGACTCAGCAATTCCTATTTGTTCCAAATGGAGGATGTAATATTACTGAGAATCTAGGATTACAAGAGGGGAGTCCAGTGGTTGGTGTGAAAGTGCCTTGTGGTTGTGAACTTCAGGGCATACTATCTGGCTGGGAACCAAATTCGAGTCCCATTGAGATCTCAGGGCTTTCACATTCCCAGGAGAGGTGAAGGGGGTCAGCAGGGAGGACCACCTGTCCCGTCAGCTGAGATTTGAGGATCAGAAGGCAGCAACACAAGGTGGTGTCGGGAGAGACAAGACATTGCTGCAGTACAAGAGGAGCAAAAGACGGGTGAGGAGCCCACGTGTTCATTTCTATTGTGTGGGCCCCCACTGCACACCCAGGTGCCTGCTTTTGAAGAGCAGGAGACTAAGAAATATATTCATAAGTGCCTGGGATATGTAGATTATTTCAATTATTGCATTAAACTGTAATCAATCCTGAAAAAAGTAAGCAAGCTAAGTTTTTCTTTTCTTTCTTTCTTTTTTTTTTTTTGCTTTATTCCGCTTTATCCTGCTTCCAATGAATGGTGGCGTTTGATGACAATGGGAGCATTTTGTAACATAATAAAGAAGCTACATTTTTTTTTGCACATATGAATGGAGCATGAAGGCATTTGTAACCCTGTGACAGGTGATTTTAATTACTAATCTAGGTGCATAGAAGAAAAAGACTTGGCCTAACTTGGCACCTAAATAGAGAGCTAAGAGGTTGGGGGAGAAATCTTATCTTTGAGTGGAAGTAAAATAAATCGGGGACATATGACTGTAATCATCACCATCTCCAGTCCCTCCAAGAGTCAGGAGACCTGGTGAAACCTGAATATTAGGGAAGAGGTGGCTTAACACCCCTGAAACATAGTAAGCATTATTATTAGAGAGGAATCATTAGTGAAGTCAGCTGACATGTGTTCCCAACAGAACAAAGGACAGTAGATTGTAGAGAAGATTCAAAGCTGGCACTTATTTCAAATATTTGTATGCTTTTTACTTCTTGTACTTCCAAACCATCCAAAACAGCAAACAAAAATAAATAAAAGAGTATTTTCTTCCACATTTAATAGAAGCTAAAAGACTGAACTAAAACACAAACTGACTATATCTGCATCAGAGATTCTTTGGTCTTGCATTATGTAACATATTGAGAATTTATAAATACGCAAATATTATTTGAGTATTTTCCTTTGTTGTTTGACATTTTTTTCTGTCAACAAACACCATTGTATGAAACATCATAATTAGAGTTATTTGATACTTGCTATATACCAAGTGTTATTTTAGGCACTTTATAGAAGCTTACTCAAGCGTTGGTTAACAATCCTTGAAGTGGGTGCTATTAATTCCCTATATTACAAACAAGAGAACTGACAGAATGATACTAAGTAACTTGATTGAGATTTTACAGCCAGTAATAGTAGATATAGGATTTGATCTCAGGTTTTCCATGACCATAAACTGTGCTTACCTCCTACACCAGGCTGGTCTGTGAATAGAGTATATTCAACAAAACTTTGTGAATACCTGCCATGTGTAATGTGCATGTACAGAATATAAAGATAGTGCATTTGGGTATGGTCACAAGTTATGTTAGGGGTCCCAATCCAGACTGCAAGAGAGGGTTCTTGGATGTCGCTCAAGAAAGAATTTGGGGCGAGTCCACAGTGCAAAATGAAAGCGAGTTTATTAAGAAAGTAAAGTGGTGAAAGAATAGCTATTCCGCAGACAGAGAAGGGCATTCCCGAAAGTAAGAGGAGGAATGCTCCCACTCTAGGTACAATACTTGTTTATATATAGGATAACAACAACAACAACATATCATAGGGAGATGTGCTCTGCTATAAGGGTTTGTGATAAAGGGTTACTTTTCTTAATCACTGTATTTTGTAAAAATCAATATTATTATTTTTAAAGCAAAATTAGAAATGCTTCTCAAGATGTTGGAAGTCTGGGTCTGTTTAGTAAATGTTATCAATCTGTTCTTTTAAACCTAAACATGTAGAGGGGCTAGGAATAACTAACGTCCTGGGAATGCAGCCCAGAAAGTCTCAGCCTCATTTTTCCTAGCCCTCACTCAAGATGGAGTTCCTCTGGTTCGAATGCCTCTAACAGTGAGATGGAAGACATGGAAGCACACTAGCAGGAGAAACCAACTATGCCTAAGAATGACACAGCACAATAGAGCCACAATCATGTCCATTTATTTACTTATTTATTTGCAGCATGAAACCAAGACATCACACCTGAGCATTCTGATGGGTCTTAGCAAGAGCACCTAGGTGACCTGTTGTTTCTCCAAGGCTGACATTTCTCAGTCTCCTGGCATTAGAAAGGCAGAGCCAAACCTCCAGGATTTTGCTGCTTACCTGCAGCTCTCACTGAGCCCCAGGTTATCTGGATTTAGAGGATTGTGGATCAGTAGGATTGGCCATTAGACACTAATTCTCATTCAATTAAGGAAGGGATAACTAATGTGTTTCTCTGATGAAAAAGGTAGGGTGGCCAAGGGGCATTAATATCAGAGAGATCTGCTTGGATTTAAACCCAAATTTGGTCACTTAATTATGTCATCTTTGAAATATTTATTTAACTTTTCTGAACTGTGGTTTCTTAATTTATAAAATGAGGATGGCGCGAGCAATTGTGGGCATTAACTAAAACAATACGCTTGAAAGTGTTTGACAATACCAGCAGCTCATGAAAAAGAAAAACATCTAAAACAGAATGTGGGTGAAAAGACTGAGAGTAATTTTCTACTTGAAGCAGAGTCTTCACTGAAAACCATACTTCTTTCTGCATGCCCACACTCTACAGCCTATTGGCTTGTATTATAGATTTTTATGTGTGTGGTATATTATTTTCTCACAATAGCTCTCTTGCCGTGTTCTGTCTGCTATTAATCTGTAAGATCATTAGGCACAAGGATTGTGAATTCGATTTCTTTCATATTCTCTTCCCATAGTACCTAATAAAAACTCCCCACAGAGCCTCCATTCTGTGAGAAGAATATAAATATACAGCACTTCACAATTTACAAAATCATTTCACATGCATCCCCTCATTTGATCTCACTACAGCTCTCACGGGCTTCCTTGGTTCTCAGATCACGATGATTGGGAGGTGGACAGACTAAGTAATGATCAGGTTTCGGCATTAAGCATAGCATGTACTCTGATACTTATCAAATTTTTCTCTGCCGCCTCCTTTTTCTCTCTAACCTTGGGCCCTTAGAAATGTATCTCAGTTACACATCCTCGGGTCCTGTGCCTCCAAAGAAATTTCCAAAGGCAAAAAAAACAAAAAAAACAAAACAAGAGGTAACTTGTGCCAGCACATTTCTGCATGGCCTCCCTAGAAGGAAAGGAGCCTATGTTTATCATCCAGATGTATTAAGACGGTAACATTTCCTGACCAAATTCGAGCAAGACGATTTAAATGAGAGCGTGCCTAATGACATTTTATGACAAATGCAATATTTTAGAGGCATGAATTAATTTTAAAGCGTACTTCTACCACAATTCTCACAAGTTAAAGTACAATTTTAAAACATGTAAGACAAGTTTTTTAAGAGCAGTTTTAAGTTTATGGCAACATTGAGAAGAAGATACAGAGATTTCTTATATACTCTTGTCTCCACATATGGTCAGCCTTCCCCATTGTCAACATCTCCCACCAGAGTGGTGCATTTGTTACAGTCGATGAAACGACATTGGCACATCAATATCACCCAAAGTCCATAGTTTCCCTTAAGGTTCATGCTTAGTGTTGTATATCCTATGGGTTTAGGTAAATGTATAATAATATGTATTCATCAATATAGCATTATACAGAGTGTTTTCACTGCCCTGAAAATCTTCTGTGCTTCCGTGAAAATTTTCACTGCCCTGAAAATTTTCTGTAGATAAATTATCCCACGCCTCAAACCCTGGCAGTCACTGATCTTTTTCTTTTAACTGATTCCATAGTTTTACCTTTTCCAGAATGTCATATATTTGGAGTACATCATATGGCCTTTTCAGATTGGCTTCTTTCACTTAGTAAAATATGCACTTAAGTTTCCTTTGTGCTTTTCTATGGCCTGATAGCTCATTTCCTTTTAGCACTGACTTATATTGCATTGTCTGAACATACCACAGTTTCTTTAACCATTCACCTACTGAAGAACATCTTGGTTGCTTCTAAATTTTGGCAATTATAAATAAAGCTGCTATAAACTTTCCTGTGTAGGTTTCCATGTGGATACAAATTTTTAACTTCTTTGGGTAAATACCAAGGTGTGATCGCTGGATTTTATAGTGTATTAGCCCGTTCTCACACTGCTATAAAGAACTACCTGAGACTGGGTAATTTATGGAGAAAAGAGGTTTAACTGACTCACAGTTCCACAGACTGTACAAGAAGCATGGCTGGGAGGCCTCAGGAAACTTACAATCATGGCAGAAGGCAAAGGGGAAGCAAGCATGTCTTACCATGGTGGAGCAGGAGAGAGAAAGAGTGAAGGGGGAAGTGCTACACATTTTCAGACAACCAGATCTTGTGAGAACTCTATCACAAAAACAGCAATGGGGAAGTCCACCCACGTGATTCAAGCACCTCCCACCAGGCCCCTCCATCAAGTGAGGATGACAGTTCGACACGAGATTTGGGTGAGGACACAGAGCTAAACTATATCACATGGTAAGGAATATGTTTAGTTTGGTAAGAAACTTTCCAAATTTCTTCCAAAGTAGCTCCTCCATTTTGCCTTCCCAGTGACGAATGAGACTTCCTGTTGTTCCACATTCTCATCAGTGTTTGGTGCTCTGTTGGTGATCTGGATTTGGGCCATTCTCATAGATGTGTAGGCGTCTAATAGATGTGTAAGTGTCTAATAGGTGTGTAGGCTATTCTAATAGGTATCTCATTGTTGTTTCAATTTGCATATCCCTGAAGATACACACTGTGGAGCAACTTGTCATTTGCTTATTTGCCATCCATATATCTTTTTTGGTGAGGAAAATATGATTTTTCAAATCCTACCTGGGACCTAATTGCACTGGCATAAGGGTAGCTTGGGGTAGCAATGGAAATCATTCTTAAAGCATTTTCTGTAGACAGGTTATCTCTCTGTTAAATACATTGCTAAATTATTTACGTATTGGCGGGACTAAGAAGTCTGGGCAGCAAGTCCTTGTCATTCTTCCTCACCTCTTCCTGCATTCGGATAAAAAGAGGATTGTTTTGGTTTTAGAGGTATCAGATTGAGGCCAATATCATCTCTACAGAGATTCTGAGTTAAAAAACCCAAACCGATACCTCAAGGAGCAAAATGATGAACTAACCTAGCTGAGTAAATGCATGGTAGATGTGTTATTGTTACTCCATCCTGCCATTCAACTGGAAAGATGACAAAGTGTGTTTTTCTCTCATTGTGTGTCCTCCTTCCATACCATTCCCTAGCTTCAATTCCATGCAGATTTTTTCAAGGAAGAAGTAAAAATGTGAATGGAAAAAAGTGAAAGCAAACCATTACAGGAAACTGTCAAAAAGCAGAGATGATGGGCCATGAAAATCAAGATCATGAGTTGCAACTGTCACCATACAGAGGAGAACAGGCAAATCTTATGGAGCAAAAGCCAAAGGCTGTTTTTGTGGAGCTGAAGCTGGCTGTGCAGAAGAAGTCAAGTATGTTTTTCAGAATTTCTGATGGAGCTCTTGAGGAGATGAGTGTCATGTAACTTGTTCTGACCAGTGGGATGCAGCAGCAGTGACACTGTCCCACTCTCAGCCTGTGCCTAGGAGGCCTGGCAGCTTCTGTTTTCATTCAGGGAAGGAGACTCCTAATTTGCTAGAATGCATTTTACATAAGGATGCTGCAAAATTCAGAGAGAAAGCATTTTAAAGGAAAGCATCTTTATTTTTTTTCTTAGTGACCTTGACTGACCTCCCCTCTGCAAGCCAGGGATAGCTATTGCTATGAAATTGTGCTTGTTTTCATATCATACGAGCAAGGATGATAGATTGTTTGTTTTGAAATTTTAAACTGAGCTTGGTTCCAATCAGGACTGAAATTCATCAATATTGTGCTTGTTGTTTAATATTAAAATAGTAACTTGCCAATTAGTAAATAGCTCCTGCTTCTAGTCCCCAAATGATCTCATGGCCCTAGGAACCCCCTAGTTTGTCACTTTAAGGAAGCCACTAGCCAGCCTATTGCAACTGTCATGCACCATCCCCATATCTCTGCTCCCCAGTGGGAGAGTCTGCATCCCTGGAACTCTAGAGGGCCAGTACCTGGTGGCCATTTAGTCCCCAAGAGCTTCAGTTATCTGCTTGCCTGTGGGACCTGCAGCCCTCCAAATGCACTGCGGCTGGTTGTTTTGTATGTGTGTGTGTATATCTCTAGCTCTATTTCTATTTCTATCTCTATCTCTATCTCTGTCTCTAATTTCTATCTCTGAGTAATGTGTTTGTGTGTGTATACACAAATATATGTGAGAAGGGAAGGAGAAAAAGATGAAATTCACATATTACAATGTAAAATTGACCATTTTAAAGTGCACAATTCAGTGATATTTAGTACTTTCTCTCACTTGTGCAACCACCACCTCTATCTAGCTTCAAAACAATTTCATTGCCCCTAAAAGAAAACCTTATGCCAATTAGCATTCATCTTCCATTCCTACCTCCCCTCAGACCCTAAGGCAACGACTGATCTACTATGTTTCTCTGGATTTGCCTATTCTGGACGTTTCACATAAATGGAATCATACAATATGTGGCCTTTCATGTCTAGCATTTTTCGCTTAATATAGTGTTTTCAAGGTTCATCCATGTGGTAGCTATACGTCAGTACTCGATTCCTTTTTGTGACTGTATAATATTCCATTGCACAGATATAACACTTTATTCATTTGTTGATGGACAATTGGGCTGTTTCGACCTTTGGCTATTGTGAATATGTGTTAGATATTTTAAATGTTACCCTGTGCTAGTGTCCCTCTAGTGATATAAACACATGTGAAGCACCTCTCATTTATTTCCAGTGCAATTAGTGTTTTATGAGTGCTTTCAGTTAACATTGTATTATACAGCAGTCCATCTCCTTCACCAATGAAATTTTCATTAGTCAAAACAGTAAGTTTTTCAGCTAATCTTTACTTTAATTCTGATTTCGTTTGTATGTTTAAAGATGAAGATGAGAAAAGTGCTTTATCGATAAAGTTGATTTCTTTTCCTTAAGGAAAACCTACAACTGAAGACTTACTCATGACAAATATTTTTAAATAATTTTCCACTAATTTTGTGGTGAGTTCTTTAATCTGAATTTTCCACATAATAATTTTAGTCTTGCTTGCCTTCTTAACTGTGTAGACACTACCACTGTATAATTTTTAAGTGTTATTACCATTAATTTCATGTTAGTATTTTCAGTGGGCCATTTTTTTCTCTTGGTTGATCACTACCTGGGTTAAAATTCATATTCAAATGCATTAGTTTTCTTTATAGAGGATTCAATCCAATTTGCTTTCTGTTGTCATTGTCTCACCACCAGTGCAGTGGCACAGAGGAGAGTTGGGGAATGGAGGCAGGGAAAGGTTACGAGCTTGGCCTGGGAGCCAGCCCCAACTCTCCTGTGGACCATGGGAAGGTCTTTAACATCTCTTTGATATCAGTTTCTGCATCTTTAAAATAAAGACAGTAACAGTAGTCCCTACATCATAGAGTTGTTGTGAAATTAAATTAGTTAATACATAAAAAAGCACAGAGAACAGTGCTTGGCATATATGTAGCATATGTATAGTTGCTGCTACTTCTTATTCTTTCTTTTTTTAATTTACTATGAGAATCCATTTAATATTTTCTTGTGTATTTATTTTTTACTTTTTGTAGGTACATAGTAGGTGTATATATTATTGCGTTACATGAAATATTTTGATACAGGCATGTAATGTGTAATAATCACATCAGGACAAATGGGGTATCCATCACCTCAAGCATTTTTCCTTTGCATTACTTATTATTCATTCTTCTGAATACGATGAATGAGGCAGAGTGCTCCTCTGGGATTGTTTGATCTCTAATGATTCTGGTGATCAGGACTTTTGCTCATTAAGCCATGTGTATTAGTCTGTTTTCACACTGCTATAAAGATACTACCCAAGACTGGTAATTTATAGAGGAAAGAAGTTTTATTGACTCACAGTTCTGCATGGCTGGGGATGCCTCAGGAAACTTATAATCATGGCAGAAGAGGAAGCAAGGCATGTCTTACATGGCAGAAGGAGAGAGAGGAGAAAGAGCAGGGAGAACTGCCTTACAAAATCATCAGATCTCCTGAGAACTTACTCACTATCATGCACATAGCATGGAGGGAACCATCCCCATGATTCAATCACTTCCCTCCCTCCATACGTGGGAATTACAATTTGAGATGAGATTTGGGTGGGAACACAGAGCCAAACCATATCACCATAAGAACAATTTCATTCTGAGTCTCAAATGCCTGACTAGTGCCCAGGCATAGAACATCTACATTACCCACTGCTTCCTCCCTCTTCTGATATGAACAAGATCAAACTGATCTGTACAAGGCCTTGACTCAATGACTAAGTCTCTACCCACAGATCACAAATGCAGCAATACAATCTTTTTAGTTAAAAATGGCAGGAATGCTTACAGTGACCTAACACTTGAATGCTTCTATGGTTCCTAATAAATTTTTTTTTGCCTTTCCTCTGCCCAAAGGCTGTACAGGCAATTGTCAGTCACTATGATATCTCTTTTAAAAATGCTGTGCTTTAATTTTAAAATATTATATTATTAATTTTATTTTAGCCAGAGTGATGAGGGTAGAATTTAAATTTCAACTAGCACGAAACAGCTTATGAGGAAAAATAGATTTTTCCACTTTCCATCCCTTTCCACACCTGGGTCCTGCTCCCCAGAGGCAAATACGCTAAACTGCTCTGCTTCTCCTTTGTACTTAGCTCCACGTTTGTGAATCATATGCATGCACTGCTATTTCTTCATCGATAATTCTAGGCATGGATGATGAAGATTTGTTTCTTTGCCCCCATCCCAAACAGTACCTCTCAATAAAGTTACACCCGGATTTTCTTTTTACTATATTATAATCAAAGTTACATCATAAATGACATGGCAAAGAACATGCCCTGTTGTCACGTGCTTGAAAAGTCCTACTGGGTGCCGGATAAGAGCACCAAATATGGAGCTAGATTATAAGCCCAGATCCATTGTTTACTAGATGTGTGGCCCTGGAGAAATCACTCCAACACTCTGTGCTGCCTTGTAGTAATTATTTTCCAAACATTTCATCATGTCTGCCATAGGTCTATCAATAATCCATTCACTCAAACACATTCATTTCATCTCTTCAGCCCCCACTTCTCTCTTTCTTAGAGCCCCACCAAGAAAAGGATGGATAATTTCATCCTAGAATGATAACTTTCATTCCTTTATGGTGGATAATTCTCTAGACCTACTACACACTCTGCTGTAATCATGAACCTTCCCTTCATCTCTCATAAGATAGACAACAATTTTTGCATTTTCTTTGTTGGTTTACTATGTTGTTTTCTAAAGCACTTATATTTCTGACATGACAAAATTATTTTAAATAAAAAATGCATTACCCTTATATTTGATTTTTTTTGGAAAAAAAATAGAATTCTCAGTTGAAAATCACTGTCACTCAGAATTTTTCACGCTTTGTTCCACTGTCTTCTAAGATTCAGTTGCTGTTAAGAAATTCAAGACCATTGTTTTGTATTTGACTGTGTTATCCCCCTCCCCTTTGGAAGCTTCTAGGATCTTTTCTTGATTTCAAGTATTCTATATTTTACCATAACCTACCTGGAATTTTTTTTTTTTTTTGTCATTCATTGTGCTAGGTGCTCCATTGTCCTTTCAATGGGAAGACACATGTCTTTCAGTCTGAAAATGTCTTAAATTACTTATTCAATAATATCCCCCCTTCATTTTCTCTCTTTTCTTTCTGGAACTCCTAATTAGTAGCTGGAGAGCTCACAAGATCTATGATATATTTTTTCTTATCTTTTTCCCTCCCATTTCTCTCTTCTTTAATTTTTGTTCTACTTTTGAGAGTTGCTTGGCCCTATCTTACAATTTTCTATTTAATGCTTGTATTTTACTTTTTATATTTTTTATAGACAGGAGTTCCTATTTGCTTCTGATCCTTTCTCATGGTAACTGTTATCTATATTACAGACTTGTTTCCCTGTGTATCTTTGAGGACATTATGATTTTCGAAAAGTTTCTTTCAATGTCTGCACTGACTCTGATTCATCTAAGTCCTCTGTGTCTAGTTGTTTGTTTGTTTTATGGGGTTTGGTCTCCATGCTCATGTTGCACATTTTCCTCTAATGTCTGGTCATTCTTCTCTGTCCAAGTGCATGTAAGAGAGAGTGGCTAAAATACTGCTGGAACTACTGTACCTATGAGCAGAGGTGCTGATTCTCAGGGATCACTGCAGGGTCTGTGGGGATGACGTCCCCTTTCCATTGAGGATCTCAAATACTTATCTAGAGACATTTTTCAGTGGCCGTTCAGAAAAAAAGAAAAAATCTAATTTCTGTCAGTTATGGAGCATGACGGTGGGTGTGGAGGGACCAGCATAAGTTTGACAATTGGCATCCTGGGAGCAGGTGAGAGGGTATGATTGAGGCGAGACACTTTTCATTCTTCCTAGACTTCTCCCCTGTTTGGTTTTTGGAGAGAAAGAGCCTTCTCCAGTCTCACCTGCTGTGTGTGTGTGTGTGTTGGGGAGGGTGGTTCTATAGTAGTTGCTTGGCTGCATGCAGTGGAGGGAGAAACTTGGTTCCAAACCTTCTCCTGAACTCCACTTTCTTCTGAAACCAAGTCCTCCAATTCTGAGCCTTTCTGGGTTTTACAGGGTGAATTAACTCACTTATTGTTTCCTTGATAGTAAGTGCTTAGATTTACCTTATTTAGATTTTTACCTATTTTCATTTACTGTTTTCCAATTTTCAAATATATCTTTAAATCTTTTATGTACTATTGTCTTTTTCTTTATAGATTAATTATTACCTTTCTCTCTTTATTTTTATTTTTTTAAGTTACTGGCACAGGGTAGACAGGGAAGATATTAATTGCATGTGTTTACATGCCAGTTTAACTAATTTCATGCCAAAGGAAAAGATACTTTCTACATAGTGTTCTATGAATCAAACTGCCAAGCCCATCCTAATCAGGGGAACATAATGGAATGTCATCTCAATCACCCTGAGTACTTCTTTAAAACTAATTAATGAAGTCTCATTCCTTTATTATCTGTCTACTTATTTATTTATTTTTTGAGACAGTCTCACCTTGTCACCCAGGCTGGAATGCAGTGGTGCGATCTCAGCCCACTGCAACCTCTGCCTCCTGGGTTCAAGTGATTCTCCTTCCTCAGCCTCCTGAGGAGCTGGCATTACAGGCGCCCGCCGCCACACTTGGCTAATTTTTGTATTTTTAATAGAGATGGGGTTGTGCTGTGTTGGCCATGGCTGGTCTTGAACCCCTGACCTCGGGTATTTTGCCTGTCTAGGCCTCCCAAAGTGTTGGAATTACAGGCATGAGCCACCATGCTTGGCCTACTATGCCTTTTTAAAATGTTAAGAGTCCTTTTGCAGAGGGTCCTAAAAAGAGCTGATGGATGTTTTCTCAAACTGGCAAAAAAAATCAATGCATATGAGAGTAGATTGTGTTCAGTTATTATTTGTGATTTGATGCTTATGGAAATCAACTTGTACCCTTTTTCCTAGACTAAACATATATGTTGTTCAGAATGCATAATTATTAATAAGCAAATTGTTAATGTGATTCCAATAAATGTGAAAAAATTAGACATTATCCCTTCATCTCCCCTCTCCCACCTGTATATATCTCAAAAAATAGGTAAAAATATAGCGTGATGGGGGGAATAAATTGGAGATTCAAATCCTGGAAAAGCAGATATCCAGTTGTCTAAATGAGGTGTCATAAAGATATTAGGAATAATAGTGTTATAATAATAGCTTCTATTCCAACTCAAGTATTTTGTTAAGTTTTAAAAATACCTTCTTTAGGCATCAAAAAACTTTATATAATACGTATTATCTGCTTGTTTACAAGTGGACATGAGGCTTAGAAAAGTTATGAGGTTCAGTGAAGCTCCAGAAGGGTTTTGGACTGCAGTCAGCATGGCTCTAAAGCCTGCATACTTCATATTGCAGTAGAAAGCGATGAAAATGGCATTCACCTATAAACTTCTAAAAAATTTTCAGAGACTTCCCTTGAGAATTGTCTGCCTATGTAATATTCATTCTATTCTGCCACCTCATCTGGGTGAAACAAGTTGAAACGTTTGTTATATATGTAATCAGATTTTCAATAATCTTGAGCTCTCTTAAAGATATCAGCCTATTTGTAATTTCTTCTACCCCATTTTTTTTTCTCCTTTTCTGATGTGGCTTTTAGAAACACCTATGGATATTTTGGAGTCTTTTCCTTTATTGAAAATTAAAATATGACTGGCTAAAATATGACTCAGAGAGTTTTCATTTGAAGGACGTGTAAATCTCACTGTGAAAAATCCTTTTGACTTTGGTTTTCTCTGCATAGTTGAAAATACTGTTGTGATAGGATGGCCATGCTACAATTAAACAAACATCCTATAAAAAATTCAACTTGTCAAAACTGGCTTGTTAAATAAGCTTGGAACCATTATCTGAACAACAAACTAGATCTGAACTTGGATAGCAGACTTCAGTTTTATGGGTCTTCCAATGATCTCATTGTTATAATAAATGAGTACATCAGGTTTCCTTATCCATCAGGAAAATCCTACACTCTGTGTTTCAGATGACTCAGAAAACACACAAATGTCTTTCATGCTGAAAGATAAGCAGGTTCTGGATTGTTTTCATCCAATGTCCTTACAGCTTCACGTCAAAGCAACATTATTCTGAAGTAAGCTCCTGACTGGGGGAAATTGCCACACCTCAGTTCATCTGGGCATTGGATCCATTACCTGATGGCGTGCCCCATTTCTTTCTTTTTTCAGAAATATGCTAAATGTACTGGCATGGAGTCATATAGGAGCATTGGTACCTACTATGCCATTCTCTCCTTGTCACAAATCCCCTGCCCACCCACATTCCTCTTCCCACATAGTCAGAATATTGCCTGGATGCAAGAACATTAACCCAACAAGTGTTATCTCTTAGCTGTTGGCGGAGGAGGCAAAAACGCACGAGCCCTTCATGCTTTTTTCCAGACTGCATTGGGAAAAGACAGTCACACGGGAGCATTCTTGATGCTGGATTCCTGGAAGGAATCCCCCTACAAGGCTGTACCTCTTTTTCATGCCCGAGGCCAGGAATTCTCAACCTTGAGGTGATTTTCCATCCCCCTACCCCTACTGCCATGGATATTTGGTAATGTCTGGAGACATTTTTGATAATCACAATTGAGGGGCACTATCAGCATCTAGAGGGTAGAGGACAGGGATGCTGCTAAACATCCTACAAGGCACAGGACAGCTCCCACAACAAGGAATTATCAAGGTCCAAATGTCAGCACTGGAGAGGCCATAAAACCCAGTCCTAGGCCAAAAGGCAAGTAGACAAGATGGCAGGGTGTCCGCCCTTCTTTCCCAATCCATGAAACGTTTTGTTGTTGTTGTTGTTGTTGTTGTTGTTTAGTGATTTTTATGTGACAAAAGTTTTGCTCAATATTGAGAAAGATAAGAAAGAATTTCACTGACTTTAGAGAGGGAATAAAGTACAGTGGGTAAGAGTACTGACTCAAGAGCCAGACTTTCCTCAATTCAAACCCCAGCCCCATCACTTATGAGCTGTGTGTACTTGGGCAAGTTCCATATCCTTTTTGGATATTTTCTCATCTGTAAAATATTCCCAGACAACCGGACATACATTGTAATCTTGTGATGATTAAATGAATTCTTACATATAAAGGCTTTAAATAGACCTGCTACATAGTAAAGGCTAAATTGTTAAATTGTTTTTTTCTCTCTCTCCCTTTCTCTTTCTCTCTCTGTGTACCACTTAAGATGCCTGGGACACATTATGAGTCCTCAGACAAAAAGAGGCTTGATTCTCTACAAAGGGGAGCAAGAGACATAGCAGCAATGTGGTTTATGGAAAAGAGTCCAGGGGTAGGTTATGTTCTAGTGTTCTAGTTTGCTTTTGTTAAGATCCTTGGCAAAATGGCTTACACAACAATCTGGGCCTCAATTTTCTTATGTGAAAAATGAGGATGTTGGCACTGGCCACATCATAAGGTTGCTGGGAAGATAAAATGAGATAATAAATGTAAAAACAATTTTTGAAATTGTGATCGGTTTGAACTTTTTGTAGAATATTTAAAGTTGTACGTTTGCCATCTTTCTGTATTCCCTCACATCTCCTCCAATACTTAAACAACAACAACAATAAAACTTCTTCTCCTTGGAAACAGTGGATCTGGAAAAGCTTAACTTATTTGAAGTCCCCAGATTTGTTTTTGGACAAAAGCCAGTGAATTGAATTAATTTTCAAAGCTTTGCTCTGATATTTAAAAAAAAAATCACAATGACAATTTCCTGGTTTTAGGAGATGAGAGGAGCTTAGGAAAAATATGTCAATTATTTAAGCCAATTTGTTAAAATGCCTTCAGATGAGCAGATATCTGAACATGGGTCATTTAGTGGTTGAGGGCTAAAGTGAATAAGACAAAGAAGATAGTGTGTGAGGCCATCAGATTCTTGTTGTTTTCCAGCTTCTGATCCTAAAATGTGGTGCTTTCCCTTATCTCCTAGTTCTGCTTGGAACTGCTGATCCTAGTATACACTCTACTTTCCACTTCAGTTCCTCTTTGTGTCATCTGTATGGAACAAGGCCCATGTTTAGATAAGTGAAATGAGTTCTAAACCCACAGTGTCTCTCTCCCTTTCTCTCTCCCTTTCTAGGCACAGGCTGTTCTATGCTCTGTCATCAAGGAAACACTTCAGCTACACCCCATTTACAACACCAAAATTGCTGATCATAATCAATGAATATTTTCAGGTCTGGGTGAAAGGTGCTGCCAAAATGCATCATAAAGGACACATCATTAAGCTCTCAATAGAAATACCACAGAAAGGGAGCATGACCCCTTGTAAAATTAATTGCTCCAATTGGGGATTACAGAAGATTAGGTGGAAGTAAATTCTACGCTGTGATTGTGGTGGTCACTGTACTGCCAGGATAAAAAGAGCCCTCATCTCTAAGGACCAGCGCCCTTCTAGATATTAGATTTGTTTTTGCCAGACCTCTGATATCTACTGCTAAAATTCTGCAGTTTGCCTCTTTGGTTATCATTGTTCATTTTTCCTTGTGAACTAGATAGGGAAAAATATGGAAGTCATTGGGGTAATTTCACAAGTCCATGGTGCAACTTAGTCTTGATGTGATAAAAGCCATTCACCACCAATCCTACCATCGGGACAATAACTGGGGTGAAACATCTCAATTTCTATACCCGAGCTCTTGTAATTCTTCATAAAGAAGGTTGCGGTGTCCCATATGTGTCCTTTGGGGGAATTTCCTCCGTACTTCTCCTTTTCCATACTTCTTTTGCAAACTGATCTGTCTAGGCATCATGTAAAAATGGGGCCAAACTGAATTTCCCATCCAGTATGCAACATGATCCCCACTCAAAGTAAAGTCAATCTTTATTTGTCGTATTCCCCAAAGGCCCAAAAGACTGTATCATTACATTTGCACAATTTACACATGGCCCACCCCCAGGGGCAAAAAGCTATGCCACATGATTTAATTCTACAGTGACTTCTCAGAGTTTCCATTAAGATATTGGAAGCGTTTTTGCTCAATTTACCCTCTGGCTGACTCAATTCTATGTCTTAGACAATGGATGCTTTTATAAAGAAACGTTCTTGGCTTATAAATCTTAATTTTTGAAAGAGTCCACTGTAAATGTAAAAATTGATTTCCTTTGCTGTTTTTTTTTTCCTTTAATTCCAAATAATGCCTTGTGTACCGCTGCTGCCTTGAGGAGCAGGAAAGCCATAATTTACCAGATGTGAAGCTATTAGGCCTTCATTTCCTGAAGCAATGAATTAGCAACTCTTTTACCCTGTCACAGAAAATTGTCACCAAAAGAGTCCAAGACACAATGGCAAGTCCAATTAATGTTTTTTTTTCTTCAAGTGGGACCAGCTGAAAGATGAAGTGACTTGAGTGAGAGGCAAATTGATTTGGAAATTACCTCGCTTCAAAGGCTGGCTGGGAAGCAGAGGGAGCTGCAGTAAACATTATTTTTATATTTGATATCATCACTGTTTCAATAATTACATTAGGATCACCCTTTTCTACTAGTCAAGGTAAAAGATCACAGATGATAGCTTTAATTTTGTTTGCTCCAATTCTCTGGAAGAAAACACTTAAATTTCACTTTTCAAGAGTAGTTAAAAGTAGCAGCATATAAAGCTCAAGTGTGCAAGACCTGTTTTAGTTAGAGTAGTGTCTTAGGAGCAAAGAATGAAGCTAGGGTGTAGAATCTTGAGCCTTAAGATGAGTTTAATATTTTAAATATTGTTTTTAGCATATATTAAATTTTACAATATATTTACATATTATATTTAACTCTATATTAAAGTTTTAATACTTAAAGCACTAATAATAATTTGAGATGAAATATATAATTTTATTTGCCTATAGATCACCTTAATAGTACATTCTTGTTCTACTCTATGGAAATATTTTTAATATTTGTGATAGACTTATAATTTGCTTTTAGAAGAAAATGTTCTCTGAAATTGATTTTGCTGTTAAATATGTTCATTTGATAATGGCAAATCAACTTAAAATTTGATGAGAAGAATATAGATTAGAGTTAATATAATACAGTCTATTGTTTCTGAATATATAGAAAATTATGAATGTCTTTCCCTTGTTTGTGCATTTAGTTAATCATCATGTCTACACCATACAAGATTAAATTGGCTGTACAGGTATACATTGCTCTCCAGGAACTTGGGAACCAGTGGGAAGACTAAAGGATGTGCCCGAAGACTGATAATTATTAGGCGGTACACAAGGAAATCAGAGCCCATGTAGTTGTTACAGACACTGGGGCCAAGGACATTTTAAATGAGGGAAAGCTTGCTGTGGGGTGAGATCAGTCAGAAGAGACTTGCATTTCTTTTCCCAATAAATTTTCCTAAATACAGAAGACAAAATTGGATGGAGGCTGGGGAGGAGTTTGGGTCCCAACTGTAGGCAGGGAAGAGAGAGGAGAATAGAATATGTTGAAAACCATATTTGAGAAAAATCAGTATTTTCGTTTAGGTTTATGTCAAGATTTTCATCAGACTGAAGGGACAATAGGAACGACTTAGGAAAAATAACTCGTATTGATTGGGTGATACTAAAGAAAGAAGAGTTACCTTTGAAGAATAGTATATAAAACTTATAATAATAATTAGTAGTAAAATCACTTCTCAAAGCCTCCTATAAGAGGAGGGCATGTAAACTTTTAACAAGTAATTATAGATGATCTCATGTGATAATGTCAGGAAAATCCATTCCTTTGACTGCTTTCAGAGACTGAATCCTTAAAACTCAGCATAGAAAATAGAACCTACTTCCTGAAATATGCTGATCAATACCACTTCAATTCTAAAAAATACAAAACTGGCCGGGGGCGGTGGCTCATGCCTGTAATCAAAGCACTTTAGGAGGACAAGGCGTGTGGATCACGAGGTCAGGAGTTCGAGACCAGGTTGGCCAACATGGTGAAACCCTATCTCTACTAAAAATACAAAAGTTAGTTGGGCATGGTGGCAGGCACCTGTAATCCCAGCTACTCAGGAGGCTGAGGCAGGAGAATCGCTTGAATATGGGAGGCAGGAGTTGCTGTGAGCTGATATTGTACCACTGCACTCCAGTGTGGGAGACAGAGCAAGACTCCATCTCAAAACAAACAAGCAAAACAAACTCTTTCATGCTTCAAGTTTTCTTCAGTTAAAAGATAGAGGGAAGTCTTCTATTTTATCATTTCTGGGTGTCCTTTTGCACGCCTTCTAACCCCTGATGAACTAGTTGGGCTGTTGGGCCCCTACATCAGTGTGATTTCCTTCTGTTCTACATTTGGGCATGCTGTTTTCAGTGCCGGAAACGATTGACTCCACTATCCCACTTCACTGCATTTTTGTTCAAACTTCTTTGCATTTTCAAGATGTGGCTAAAATTCTACACGCAAGTTTCTCTTCATTCCTTTACAGCTACGCCATCAGCAAAACTTTATAAAACACATACAGGGCCAGGCGTGGTGGTTCACGCCTGTGATCCCGGCACTTTGGGAGGCTGAGGCGGGTGGATCACAAGGTCAGGAGTTCGAGACAAGCCTGGCCAATGTGGTGAAATCCCATCTCTGCTAAACATATAAAAAATTAGCCGGATGTGATGGTGCACACCTGTAGTCCCAGCTACTTGGAGGATGAGGCAGAAGAATCGCTTGAACCTGGGAGGCGGAGGTTGCAGTGAGCCGAGATCTTGCCACTGCACTCCAGCCTGGGCAACAAGAGCGAAACTCCATCTCCAAAAAATAAAAAATAAATAAACACATACAAAGACCACTGTAGGAGTCACAGAAAGAGGACAAAATGTATGGTTTTGCTCAGAGAGAAACAATTCCTTTTGAGAAGAAAGATCATGCAAGAAAGGAACAGTACGTTGGAACAGAAGTTCAGCAGCATATCATGAGCCCAAAGTAAGGTATAAATATTGAAGGAATTAAGCTTGTTAGTTTAAAATTTAAAATGCCTCACCTCCTCCGTCATTAGCCATTTAATTCTATCACACCTGTAAATTGACTCTTCCTAACCTAAGCTGTCGTCATTAGGTGCCTAAGAAAAACACAAATAAATCAAAGTCAACATACTTTTATTTATTTATTCAGAGATTTAGGAAAAATTATATCACACTGAGGGTTCTGATTATGAATGAAGTTTATTGAGAAAGTCTTACATCAAAAAGTGTGTGTTAGCAATTCTGCATGACATCATCTGATAGATACAAGAAAGATTGTATGTTGATTCAAACTGCTATTTTATTGCAGTTGTGTCAAGTAAGTTAAGCCTCCTTTTAAGAACTTTAAAAATGTTTACCTTTTCCAGGCAATTACTTAACTTTGCAATTATCCAGAAAGTGAGCTCATGTGGAGAGCAAAATATAGTAAATAATCTTAACATATGGTATTAAATATAAAAATTTTTATCTGGTGCTTTTAAACAGATTTGATTTCTTTATGGATATTCTCTATATATTGAGTCATTGTCATATTCTCTGTTGGTTCTTTAATACAGTGGCTGTCTGCTAAATCTAATTTATAGGGCCTCTCAGAGTTTATTTCCATTGACTTCTTTTTTTCTCCCTTGAGTATGGTTCACACTTTTCTGCTTCTTAGCGTGTCTTATAATTTTTTATGGAAAACTGGATGTTTTTGATAATACAGCAATTCCGATTCTAATTTTCTTTTTTTTTTCTGCTGAGGGTTTCTATTACTGCTGCATTTTTTGTTTACTCCTCCTACTTTTTTTTTTAAGAGTCTTGCTCCGTTGCCCAGGCTGGAGTGAAATGAATGGTGCCATCTCGCCTCACCGCAACCTCTGCCTCCCGAGTTCCGAGTTTAAGCAATTTGCCTGCCTCAGCTTTCCAAGTAGCTGGGATTACAGATGAGCACTCAGTTAATTTTTTTTGTTTTGTTTTTAGTAAAGATGGGGTTTCACCATATTGGCCAGGCTGGTAATGAGCTCCTGACCTCACGTGATTGTCCCTCCTCAGCCTCCGAAAGTGTTGGGATTACAGGCGTGAGCCACCAGGCCCAGATCATTTCTCTTTTGTTAAATGAACTAACCTAGACTAAAGCAGCAGAACCTGTCATCCCTGTGGTGTATGGCTACTCTGACGTCTCAGCTCAGATTTTTGAAAAAAATTCTTACTTTCACTTTTCAGCCTGCTTCTTAGGGGTCATCTCTGTGTCTGTGTAGCTTAGTGGTCAGCCAATGACTGGTCACAGGCTATGCTCCAACACCTCTAGTTGATAAGGCTTCTACTCTCTGTGGATCTGTGTTTGGTTTAGGGGGTTGCATTCTAAGTCTGGGCAGTTTGGAAGCCAGCCCCAATTCTTTCTTTCTGCTGGGCCCTCTCAGGTCTCTGCTGCATAAGTGTAGAAGCTTCCAGAAAGCCAAGGATGTATGCAATGCTTATTAAGGCCCTCAATGACTATCTCGTTTCCAGGATCTCCCTGACTAACCCTCTGATATTCTACTTACACCCCAACAGGGACTGCAACCTTAGGCTAGGAGAGCGGCAGACTTTTCTCATTTGCTGCTGGGTGTGGGTCTTCCTTCTTTCACTCCAAATAAAGTCAGTCTCCTGCAAAGCAAAGCTGCTGGTTTTCACAGACTGCCTTGGAAGATTTCCAGGTTGCTGGGATAATTGTTTTCATCAAATTTGTCCAGCTTTATAGTTGTTTAGGGGAAAATGATTGCTGATCTCTTCATTTCTTCATAGCCAAAGTTCTACCTCATTCAAGATACTAGAATCATGCCTTTTGTAAAGTTAAAAAAAAGTTTACCTTTCATTTAACTGTGGTATTAGGCATCATTTATTGGCAGGTGGCCACCCTTCACTGCACTGAGAAAATGAGTCAGCTATCAAGCCAGTGTGATCTGAACATTAGTCTGATAAGAAAGCAAAGAGATTAGCATTTCAGCCTTAGAAAATGTTAAAGATGAACATTAGCTAATCAAATTCATATTTCTAAATTAAATGCATATTCTTTTAATTGGCAATATTCTTAAATGCTCTTCAATGCATGCAGAAAAATACAAATGCAAAAGATTATAATCCTTTAAACTCACGGAGCCGGTCTTTTAGTTAGAAAAATAGAAAATGTCAAAGGAAAAAAGCCTTCAGAAAAAAAAAAAAAAACACTTCAACCAGCATGAATCAGTGAGCACACATTAATTCCCACTTGTGCTGTGGGGATTAGCACAAGCTAGCTCCCAAGAGGAAGTTTCTCCATGTCCCACAGAATCTTCACAAAAATGTCACTTAACAGTGCCCAATAGGCCGGGCGAGGTGGCTCACGCCTGTAATCCCAGCACTTTGGGAGGCCGAGGCAGGCAGATCACCTGAGGTCAGGAGTTCAAGACCAGCCTGACCAACATACAAAAACCCCGTCTCTACCAAAAATACAAAATTAGCTGGGCGTGGTGGTGCGTGCCTGTAATCCCAGCTACTCGGAGGCTGAGGCAGGAGAATCCCTAGACCTCAGGAGGTGGAGGTTGCGGTGAGCCGAGATCGCACCACTGCACTCCAGCCTGGGCAACAAGAGCCAAGCTCCGTCTCAGATACAAAAAAGTGACCCATAAATGAACAAACAGCATCACCACATATGTAGAAGGCAGGATCAGCCCTTCTTTTCTTGTTTGTTTCCCCCTGTCATAGTGATACAGGAGATAGAAATAAATTATTTAGGCAGATAGTAAGGCAACAGAGTCCTCAGTGAATTTCCTTTTTAACAACAACATCAAAAAAAGCAGCCCCCAAATCATTTCTTTTCTAACAAAGAGCAGCCTGAAAAATCTATCTGCAAACATAGATAAGCAAGCTGGAAACTTGCACAGATGAATGCTGGCAGCTTGTGCCAATAGGAAAGAGCTACCTGGAAGCCAGGTATGTTCAGCACAGCGACTCCATCTTCCTTTTTCTTTGTCACCATATGTACGGTAGAAAACCAGGCAATGTGGCGCCAGCCGTGTAGAGAACCCATCTGCTTAATGAAAGATTAGGGTGGGTGGCCAGCCTTTTCGTGCACTATGCATGGCACACCCAGTCCTAACCAGTTTTTCATGCCTTATGCAAATGGAACACCTGGCCCAACCAATTTTTCATGCCCTATGTAAATCAGACACCACCTCCTCAAGCTCATCCATAAAACCTTCTGTATTTCACTGCAAAAGCAGCAACACATTTCTTCAGGACCCCTGTCTCTTCAGCAGAGAGAGCACTTCTCTTTCTTTCACCTATTAAACTTCCACTCTGAACTTCACTCTGTGTGTGCCTGCGTCCTAATTTTCCATGGCCATAAGACAATGAATCTCGGATATTGACACCAAACAACAACACCACTAAAATAACACCACTTGGCATCTTTGACTGAGTGAAGTGGATACTTTGGTGTCACACCACTGCACTTCCACCTGGATTCTGCCAATAACTGGAGGGCAGCCAGAATCTAGCCTTTATGCCCATTTTCCATCATCAATATCTAAGCTTGAGATTTAGAGAAATTTGGTCATCAGTAGGACTTGAACTCTCAATCAAGTATTATAGCCCATCTAAACAATTTTTTTTAAAGTTCGTTCATATTTTTGTCACTTCTGGGAAATAGCAGTTTGGTATTTTTATGATTTCTAGTCACATTCCTATTTATCTTCATTCTTCAACGTAAAATGGCAAGAATATATTTAGAAAATGATGCCTCTATATCAGAGATTTTCTACTTCTTCATAGTATGATATGTTTATAATTATGATTTGTGATATATTTATAGCCAACATGTCTTGTAAAAATAAAAATTCAGTTCATTGATTTAAATCTCTAGGAATAAAAAAGTGAATGGGGAGGTGGGATGTGTTTCAACTGTCCATTAGACTGATGTATTTATAAAACAAAATAATTTTTGTTTTATATTAGCATAGATTAATTGGCCTAGATGTAAAGCACAAAGAAAAATCTTTTAAATGTGGCCATTGAAATGTCCTTGCATTAAAGCATTGATAGAATATTAATCAGATTTTTGGTCCCTGCCTATTTACCCCTTCTGAATAAGAAAACTGAGGTGACTTATTCTGCTATGTTGTACATTACCACACTATTTCCACTACCTGTGAAGTCTGTGAGCTAAATCATTTTAAAAGAATTAGTCACTATGTTAAAAGTTTTTCCTTTTGGCATGCCTTCATTCCATGTTTTGCTGTTGCTCTGAAGCATTTCCCTATTCATTAGCAATGAAGTTCAAAATATATACTACATAAGCAAAAGCAGTTAGCTAACACATGCTTCCCTTCTACTCCTCAAGATTCCCAGGCATCACTGCATCCTTCTCCCATCTTCACTTGTAGGACACAGAAGAAAAACTCCTCTCTTCTCTGACAATAATCTCCAGTCTCTCCATTCATATACACTTGGGCATACAACACTTTTCTCTTCCAATAAACTTTTAGAAGAGACTGCTGGCCATGGCTTGTCACAGACTTAGAGCAGGTGACTGCCTTGACCGGCTACATCACCTTTGACAATCAGCCACAGGAAAGGGGGTTTAATTACAATGAACGTTAAGCAGATTGAGAATAAACAATTACTTCACAGGCAAGCTGGACCACATGTATTGCTACTAAGGCCCATGAGCACCTTGGGGGCCAAGTTATAAATCCCAGAAAGCCTTCTGAACTTAGCAAGCACCTTACACAGGGTAGACTGTGAGGTTGATGAATATTTGGTTAATGAGTGAATTAAATGGATGAGTGACTACAGAATAATGAAGCCTGCTTTTGTGTGAAATTGACAAGAGTTTCCCTAGAGTAATGTAGAAAAACACCTGCCTTTGCAGAGGAGTCTGGATGATATGTCTTTCAAAATCTTCTTCTAGCCTTTATATATGGACTTGTTTTTTATTTATCAGAACATATAACTTTTTCACTCAGTACCTGACAGTTGTTCCCCATTTCACTCAGAGAAAAAGTAAAAGTACTTACAATAGCCTGTAAGACCCAACATGAGCTCATCTGACTATTCCCTTCATTACCTTTCTGACTTTAGCTTTCACTTCTTTCTCCAGCCCATTTCCTCCACCTCCATTGGTCCCCTTGATGGTTCTTGGATGCACCAGGTACATGTTTAGAGGCCTTAGCACCTTTGTGCTAGCTACTCCATCTGCCTGATGATTTTACCCAGGCAAGCGCATGGCACATTCCTCGCCTTCTTTAAATCTCACCTTTGCACAGAAAACAATCTTGACCGCCTTATTTAATACATTATCCCCCCACCCCTCCTTATCACCTTACACTTCTCTATTGTCTTCTTAGCATTTACCACCTCCTAATATAATGCATAATGTACTTACTTAGGTTTTCCTCTGTCCCCTGTGAACTGCCTCCATTTCCACACTAGAATATAAGCTCCACGAGGGCAGGAATTTTTGTGTTTTGCTCACTGCCATACCTATAACAATGCCTAACACATAGTAAGTGCTTAATAAATATTTGTAAAATGAATTATTACTTATAAGGTGTTTTGGACCAGTTACTATGTTAGGAGTTGAAAAGCTACTGTGTGTTTTAGTTGTTCCTAAACCAAGCTACATATCAAAATCACATGGAACCCCTGTTAAAATAGATTTCGGGCTCAACCAAAGAAAATTCTGATTAAATGATATAGGGTGGGACTCAGAAATACGTATAGAGGCCTCAGATGATCCTGCTGGAAGCTCTGAATGATAGAAAGAACATGATTTTGGAGTCATATCTATCTAACTTTGAATCTCTACTCTGCAATTTATCAGCTGACTGTGTGATCTTGGGCAAATTACTTATTGAAGCTTATTCTCTAGCAGCCTGTTTTCTCATCTGTAAAATGGGAACAAATATTTAGTGAATGAATAACTGAATGAAGGAATGGATCAGAAGCCCTCAAAAGGATTTCTATAAACATTAATGAAGGTAACACAGGCCTGAAATGTGAGAGGCATTTAAGAGATATTAATGACCTAGTTTTCCCAGACGTAGTTATATTTAACAAATAAGCAGAGGAATATCCAGTCCATATTTGCATCTTTCTTGGTTTGGCAGAGGGTGAGTTTACTGGGGCTTCATCTAGGCATGAACTATTTAATCTCTGTACTTGGAGTAGATAGGGGTTGGCTAAAGCTAGCAGAATATTTTGTTGTTGTTATTGACTTTGGCCAGAGGTTCCATGTTATTAGCTCTTTGGGAAAATGTACTAAGTTTATGAGATGGGTACATTTTGATAAAAATAAATAAGGAGTGTGTTGCTGGGGGGATTAATGAGTGGTCTTGTTTGAAATGACCATGTGTTCTCTGGCTTCAATGATTGACACTCAAGAAGATTCCTCCTAGGGTTTTTGGAAACCCACAAAGAGAATTGATTCAGTGGCTTAAGAAATCCAGGGTTTATGAATGCTCATATATATCTACCATACAAAAGCTGAAGTTTTCCTGCAACTCTGGGGTTTATTTTCACAGAAAAATTGGGGTGGTATTTTCTAGCATTAAGTAATTCATCCATAAATTCACTGTGATCTTTCTCTGACACAACCAGTAATAGGAACAAATTTTATAGAACTATTTATCTTCTACATACTCTCAATTTGTGGTACAATTTGGAGAACAAGAAATAAAGGGAAAACATAATTTTGGGGAAAGATATCAGTGTACTTTACTGAAGAGAATATAGTCATGCACAGCATAATGACATTTCCATCAACAACGGACTGCATATAGGACAGTGGTCCCATAAGATTATACTACAGCTAAACAAGCCCTATCCTTAAGTGACTCAGCCATTATAACATTATAATGCAACGTATTACTCACATGTTTGTGGTGATGCTGATCTAAACAAACCAACTATGCTGCCAGTTGTATAAAAGTATAGCACATACAATTATATATAGTGTGTAATATTTGATGATAATACATGACTGTTACTGATTTTTGTATTTACTATCACTATACTTTTTATCATTATTTTAGAGTATACTCCTACTTATTAAAAAAAAAGTTAACTGTGAAAAAAACCTCAGGTATATCCTTTAGGATGTATTACAGAAGAAGGCATTGTTATCATAGGAAAGGACAGCTCCATGCTTGCTATTACCTCTGAAGAACTTCTAGTGGGACAAGACGTAGTAGCAGAAGACAGTGATATTGATGACCCTGATCCTCTGTAGGCCTAGGCCAATGTGTGTGTTTGTGTCTTTGTTTTTAACAAAAGAGTTTGAAAAGTACAAGAAAAATACATTTTAAAAATAGAAAAAAGCTTATAGAACAAGGATATAAAGAAAGAAAATAGTTTTGTACAGCTCTAAAATGTGTTTGTTTTTAACTAAATGTCATTACAAAAGAGTCAAAAATTTAAAAAAATGTTAAAGTTTATAAAATAAAAAAGCTACAGTTAGCAAAGTTTAATTTATTATTGAAGAAAGAAAAAATTTAAATTAACTTAATATAGCCTAAATGTAGAGTGTTGATGAAGTCTACAGTAGTGTACAGTAATGTTCTAGGCTTTTATGTTCACTTACCATTCACTCACCTGCCACCCCAGAGCAACTTCCCATCCCACAAACTTTATTCCTGTTAAGTGACCTATACTGGCTTACATTTTTTATGTTATTATACTGTACTTTTACTGTACTTTTTCTGTGTTTAGCTATGTTTAGATATACAAATATTTACCATTTTACTAAAAGTGCCTACAGTATTCAGTACGATACCATGTTGTACAGGTTTGTAGCCTAGGAGCAATAGGCTATACCTTATAGCCTAGGTGTGTAGCAGGCTGTACCACCTAGGTTTGTGAAAGTACACTCTATGATGTTTGCACAATTACAATATCTTAAGGATGCATTTCTCAGAAGGTATCTCTGTCATTAAGTGATGCTTGACTATACTACAATAGAAATGTATGATTATTAAACTAGAGAACAAAATGCTAATGTTATTAAAATATAATTCTATAGTAGAACTTTGAAATACTTGTTTTTAATTGTCATCTATAACTCAGTTAAATTGGGGAAAAAAGAATTGCAGCTTATTTGACAATCAAGCGCCGTTTTACAATTTTTTCAATCATTAAATAATAGATTATTGTGTAACTCTTGAATCAGGGTTAACATGTACTTGTTTATGATTCATCTCTTCACAAATGCCTTAATGTAGGAGCAAGCATCATGTCAAGGCTTTTATGGGACCTGGATCTGTGACTTCAACATAAGAAGAATGTAATAAGCCTTTATTATTTATGTGATTGGCTTGCCAGATATAATAACATGCTGCTTTTAATCCATGTAATCAAGGAAAGGAACATTAGCTAGAAAATTATAGAGAGTGCTATATATACCCCAGGACCACACCCATGCTGTGTCAGCCCTCCAGGCATTCTTTTTCTTTAGCCCATTTATTGCCATTAATGCTCCTCATTTAAAAACAAAAAAAGTGAAATTAACACAAGTGAATGTAAACTTTTAATCTTAACTTCTAATGCAAAGACAACTGGCTACTTGAGAAGAAATATTGTTTAATATGCCCACCCTAGCCAATAATAAATAAATTAGATATTTTTAAAAAGACTGTTGGCGACGTAATGTGTATAAGGCACTGAAATCATAATTGGCACTACCGTTTTGGCCCTGTGACCAGTTTTACATCAGGGACTTATTTTCCAGCTTTTTCCTCTGAGTTGTTGTAATCATTTGCTCTAGTAGAATCTAAACTGAATGGCATGCACAATAAATGTGCTCCCTCCTGGAGCTCACACAGGCATTGTAAAATGCAAAGGAAAACAGTGGGAGGCATTGAAGTGGCTCACACACTGACCTTTTGAAAACCAAATAGGAGAAAAGATCATCTAAAAGCCCGGGTTAGTCCAGAATCCCACACACATGACTCCAGACTGCCCACCCCCAACCCAACCAAGCATTCGTCTTCACATGTCACAAACAGACAGACCCAAAGACCATAAAGTCAGCCTAGATTCATAGGCATAAAGCCATCATGAGAGGATGAAGTCTACTTTGGAAAATCTATGAAGTTATTTTGCCCAAGTTGGTAAACATTCTTCATGTTTGGCTTTGCAATGTAAATCTAGATTAAATATAAAGGAATAACTAACCAAATATTTTTCTAGCTGATTATGAAGTATTTTACAGAAAAAAAAATTTTCAACTGACCAGAAACTCTATCATATATACCCAGAACAAAGAGATAATATACTTAAATTCCTCTGTCCACCCAATTGGTGGTCTGAAAATTTAATTTTTCTTTCTTTCTCTGATACCACTGCCAGTAGTAAATATTCAGCTGTTAGAACAGAGTGGACTCTTTGGTTAGTACTGTGTGATACAGACCTGAATATAGGATTACTCTAGAAAGACTTTGACACTGGAGATAGGTATAGCAGTGATTTTTTAAAAAATAAAAATTGGATTAGTTTATCAGGATTAAGGAGAGAAAATGGCAGATGGGAGACAGGACTAATGGGCAGCTCCCAGTTGGACAGACAGGACAGCATGTGAAGACTCACACTATGAACTTTTGCTCTGAGACCTGCCACAGGAACATGCCAGGAAGACTGAAAGAGTTCACAGATCCTGCGGAAGAAGTGGCTGGCCACTGCAAACTCCATGAGATAGCCAAAAAACTGTGAGTTCCCAAAGTATGAAAGGGGAAAATATGCCTCTGAACACACATCCCACTGCGGAATCTGAAAATCCAGGTCATGAGAAAAAGATTTAACCTTACGTAGAACTGAAACAAATTTAGGGAGCTGAGCAAAATATTAAAGCAGAAGAAGCAGCAGGAAGAGCCCTGTAGGCACTCCCAGGTCCCAGCTCAAGCCCAGGGAAGCCATCCCTGACTCTATCTCACAGGGGTCCTTGGAGAAGGTAGCCATCAGAAGTAGGGAGGGATCACAGGGTGAAAGAAGCTTCCCACTGAACTTCGTAATAATTTAGTTCAAGCATGAATTTTCTTGAGCAGAATCTAGGGGACAAACAGGAATTGCTAGAGATACCAGCACAGGAGCAGTGGCCATCAGTATCGGAAGGTGGAGAGGCATGAGACCTAAAAGCCATGCTTGCTTTCTCAGTGGCAGGCTTGTAACCTGGGGCAAGATCTGAGCCCTGCATGCAGGCTGCCTGGATATAAACTTGGCACTATTGGTGGGGCACAGCAGAAGTGAGACTGGCCTCACCAGCTGTGTGGGAGCTGGGTAACACCTATAACTGCTAGGTTTCCCCCACTTCCCTGGTGACATATACAATGAAGCAGAAGCAGCCATAATCCCCCTTGAAACATAACTCCATTGGCCTGATAACCACCTCCCCATACCCCACAGTGGACGTAGCAAGCCTGACCCAAGGAGAGTCTGACCTGCATGGTTTTCCTCTACCTGCCTGGTAGCCAAACACAAAACACATAAATTCTTGGGAGCTTTATGGCCCTGCCCATTACCTGAGAAACTTATCCTGTCCAACTTAGGGCAAGCTTATATCCCCCTTCTACTGCCACAGCTGGTGCTCTCTTGAAAGTGCCACCTCCTGGCTAGAGGCCAACCAACTCAAACCATTACAGCAATTCATGACAGAATAATCCTGCTCCAAGGAAAGACAAAACAACAGCTAATTCCTCTGCCTGCAACGTCCTGGCTAACCAGAGGTCCTGACTCTGTCCATGTGACAACTTCACTGCTAGAATAACTAGCATTTGAGAAAACCAAAACGCTAAACATAACTACAACCAAGGACTCTCACAGAGTCTACTTCCCTCCCCTGCCACCTCCACCAAAGCAGGTGCTGGTATCCACAGCTGGGAGACCTGAAGATGAATCACATCACAGGACTCTTTGCAGACATTTCCTAGTACCAGCTCAGAGCCTGGTAGCCCCACTGGGTGGCTAGACCCAGAAAAGCAATAATAATCGCAGCAGTTTGGATCTCAGGAAGCCCCATCCCTAGGGAAAGTGGGAGAGCACTACATCAAGGGATCACCCTATTGTACAAAAGAATCAGAACAGCAGCCCTTGAGTTCCAGACTTTTCCTCTGAAATAGTGTACCCAAATCAGAAGGAACCAGAAAAGTAATTCTGGTAATATGATGAAACAAGGTTTTATAACACCCCCAAAAGATTAATGGATCCAAACCAAGAAGAAATCTCTGAATTCTCAGATAAAGAATTCAGAAGGTTGATTATTAAACTACTCAAAGAGATAGCAGAGAAAGATGAAAACCAAATTAAATAAATGTAAAAAATAATACAGGATATAGATGAATTATTTCCAGAAAAATAGATATCATAAAGAAAAAACAATCACAACTTCTGGAAATGAAAGACACATTTAGAGAAATACAAATTACACCAGAAAGTTTGAACAATAGACTAGAACAAGTAGAAGAAAGAACTTCAAAGCTCAAAAACAAGGCTTTTGAATTAACCCAATCAGACAGAGTCAAATAAGAAAGAACAAAAAAATATAAACAAAGTCTCTGAGAAATTTGGGATTATGTTAAACGACTAAACCTAAGAATAATTAGTGTTCTTGAGAAAGAAGAGAAATCTAAAAGTTTGGAAAACTTATTCAAGGGAATAATCAAGCAAACATTCCCCGGCCTTGCCAAAGATCCAGACCTCCAAATACAAGGCGCTCAAAGAACACCTGGGAAATTCATTGCAAAAAGATCATCACCTAGGCACATAATCATCAGGTTACATAAGGCCAAGATGAAGTGAGGCAAAGGTATCAGTTAACCTGTAACGAAAAACCTATCAGATTAACAGCAGATTTCTCAGCAGAAGCCCTATAAGCCAGAAGGGATTGAGGATCTATCTTCAGTCTCCTCAAACAAAATAACTATCAGCCAAGATTTTTGTATCCAGCTAAACTAAGTTTCATAAACGAAGGAGAGATAAAGTATTTTTCAGACAAACAAATGCTGAGAGAATTTGCCACTACCAAGCCAGCACTACAAGAAAGGTTAAAAGGAGTGCTACCACCACCTCTGCCTTTTTCTTCATGAGTTAGTATTTAGTATTACATATCAGTAATATGCTAGCTCATTATCGCTGGATCAGCTCCAGGAAATGAAGACAACTGACTATAATATTCCTTGAATTGTTGTTGCTATCCTGGAGCCCTAGCTAGTAATATAACCCCAAACCTTCCCAACTGATAACGAATCTTGAGCAGACAATCACCACCAGGTGGTGAAGAATCATACACAGGACGATGAGAGATTTAGATTTTAAAGTTGGACACCTGAACTGCTTAGATGTACAAGTTCATCCAGGTCATTTCAATAACCATATAAAAATGTAATTGAATAAATTTGAACTTTTCTTATCATTTTATGGTGAGGTTTAATGATAGCTTATTTTTTCTCTTTCTTTTCTAAAAAGATATTTAAGGCGATGCCTTTTCCTCTGAATACAGTCACTACTGAGTCTTTTGGATCTGATATAAAGTATTATCTTTTTCATTGCTTTTGATATGGTTTATATGTCATTTTGATATTTTCTTTGTGACCCAAGGATTATTGAAAGGCATGTTTTAAAATTTCCAAGTATAAACGGCTTGAAATCTCAAGTATTTTAAAAAGAAGAGAATCACCTTTTAATTATTTTTTAATGATTAGGATAAAAAATTTGGCCTATAGAACCTAATTTCTAAAAACTATTAAAGGTTTTTTTGTCTTCAAGAACTTGAATGGCTTTCTGCAAATATTCCATGGAAATACAGAGAAAGGCATTTTCTATTTGAGATTATAAGGCTTTTTTTATATATGTATATGTGTGTGTATTTATGCATGTGTCTGTATATATGTATATATGTGTGTATGCCACCTATATTATATATATAGAATTTATAAATTTTATATACATATAAAATTTAATATATATATAATGAAGTTCTTTATTGTATTATTCGACCCCTCTGTATCAATATTCAATATTTTTTGGAGCCTACTAAGTATCTCCAGTTCTGAGAAGATATATTTTATCAAGTATTTCTTGTAATTCAAATCACTTTTCTTTAGTTATTTCACTGCCATTTGTTTGATGTGTTGAAGTTATGACTGCTATTTTATGCTTTATTATTTCCTTCTTTATTCTGATTAGTTCTTTTAACCATTCCACTGTATCTAATATTTATACTGGAACTCTTTGTTTCTCTTCGTATTTGCCTTTTATCTCTTTGACCCTTCCATTAATACAATTTTTTCCTCATTCAGTTTTAATTATATGACTTCTAACACAGATTTTTTTTCTTTAATACCAATCTTAATGCCTCTGATTTTAATGGGAATATTCAAACCACTCACATTCAGTGTAATGATTGATATAAATGAGGTTTATTACTTCCATCTTAACCTTTAAACTTTATTTTGATATTTCCTCTTCATTTTTCTTCTTTTAAAAATTCTGCTGTTTTGTAAAATTATCTTTTGGATTTGTACTAATTTACCCTTGTCTTGCAATTTAAACAAATTCATTCATTTCATAAATTTGCAGAACACTTTCTGAGTTTTAATGAGAATAAACTTCAAATTGTTAATATTCTTCAAAAGTTATGAGTGTTGGTTTAATTACTCAAACTTCTTTTAGTCATATTCATTAATTTCCAAATATTTCAATTTTTAAATAAAATGCATTTATCCATATCAGCTACTTTGTTTAATTGAGTAATCTCATGAATTTTTCTTTTTTCTTAATTTATTTATATATTTTTTTATTTCAATAGTTTTGGGGGAACACATGGCATTTGCTTAAGGTTCTTTAGTGATGATTTCTGAAATTTTGTTGTGCCCAACACCTGACCAGTGTACCCTATACCCAGGGTATAGTCTTTTATCTCTCACTTCTCTCCAACCCTTCCCCCCGTGTCTCCAAAGTTCATTATATCATTCTTATGCCTTTGTGTCCGTGTAGCTTAGCTCCCACTTATAAGTGAGAACATACGATGTTTGATTTTTCCATTCCTGAGTTAATTCACTTAGAATAATGGTCTCCAACCCCATCCAGTTTGCCTAAATGCCATTATCTCTTTCCTTTATATGGTTGAGTAGTATTCCATGGTATATATACATATATATATATATATATATATGTATATATACCACGTTTTCTTTATCCACTCATTGGTTGATGGGCATTTAGGCTGATTCTACATTTTTGCAATTGTGAATTGTGCTACAACAAACATTTGTGTCCAAGTGTCTTTGTTACATAACGGCTTCTTTTCCTCAGGGTAGATACTCAGTAGGATTGCTGTATCAAATGGTAATTCTACTTTTACTTTCTTAAGGAATCTCCATATTGTTTTCCATAGTGGTTGTACTAGTTTACATTTCCACCAGCAGTGTAAAAGTGTTCCCTTTTCACCACATCCACACCAACACCTATTTTTTTTTATTTTTTAATTATGGCCATTTTTGCAGGAGTAAGGTGGCATTGCATTGTTGTTTTTATTTGCATTTCCCTGATAATTAGTGATGTTAAGCATATTTTCATATGTTTCTTAGCCATTTGTGTATCTTTTGAGAATTGTTTGTTCATGTCCTTAGCCCACTTTTTGATGGGATTATTTGTTTTTTTCTTGCAGATCAGAAATCCTTGTAGATTCTGAATATTAGTCCTTTGTTGGATACATAGTTTATGAATATTTTCTCCCACTCTGTGGGTTATCTGTTTACTTTGCTGACTATTCCTTTTGCTGTGCAGAAGCTTTTTAGTTTAATTAAGGCCCATCTATTTATTGTTGTTTTTGTTGCATTTGCTTTTGGGTTCTTGGCATTCCCAAAAGAAAGAAGAAGTAATATAGTAAAGATGGCACAAACAGAAAACAAATAGGAAGATGGCCGATTTATACCCAAATATATTAGTAATGACATAATGTAAATGGACTAAAAACTGTATAAAGATAAAAACTGTCAAGATTCAACAATTTTTGAATTGTTGAAATTTAACAATATGCCTACAAAAGATATACCTTACGTTTAAGAGCATAGTATAGTTGAAAGTAAAAAGGTAGAGGAAAATATGCTATTTGTTGCAGGAAGTCAGGGACCCCGAACGGAGGGACTGGCTGGAGCCATGGCAGAAGAACATAAATTGTGAAGATTTCATGGACATTTATCACTTCCCTAACAATACTCTTATAATTTCTTGTGCCTTATAATTTCTTAGGTGTAAGAAATTACTTTAATCTCTTAATCCTGTTATCTTTGTAAGCTGAGGATGTACATGACCTCAGGACCCTGTGATGATTGCATTAACTGTACAAATTGATTGTAAAATGTGCGTTTGATCAATATGAAATCTGATTGTAAAACATGAGTGTTTGAACAATATGAAATCAGTGCACCTTGACAACGAACAGAATAACAGCAATTTTAGGGAACAAGGGAAGACAACCATAAGGTCTGACTGCCTGCAGGGTTGAGCAGAATAGAGCCATATTTTTCTCCTTGCAGAGAGCCTATAAACAGACATGTAAGTATGAGAGATATCACTGAATTCTTTTCCCAGCAAGTAATATTAATAATTAACACCCTGGGGAAGGAATGCATTCCTGGGACAAGGTCTATAAATGGCCACTCTGGGAGTGTCTGTCTTATGTGGATGAGATAAAGACTGAAATATGCCCTGGTCTCCTGCAGTACCCTCAGATTCGCTAGGGTGAGGAAAAACCCCACCCTGGTGAAATTGAGATCAGACCAGTTCTCTGCTCTTGAACCCTGTTTTCTGTTGTTTAAGATGTTTATCAAGACAATATGTGCACAGCTGAACACAGACCCTCATCAGTAATTCTAATTTTGCTCTTTGCCTTGTGATCTTTGATTTGCCCTTTGCCTTGCAATCTTTATTGGCCTCAGAAGCATGTGATCTTTGTTACCTACTCCCAGTTCATACAGTCCCTCCCCTTTTAAAACCCCTAATAAAAACTTGCTGGTTTTGCGGCTCAGGTGGGCATCACAGACCTACCGATATGTGATGTCTCCCCTGGTGGCCCAGCTGTAAAATTCCTCTCTTTGTACTCTTTCTCTTTATTTCTCAGACTGGCTGACACTTAGGGAAAATAGAAAGAACCTACATTAAAACACTGGGGGCTGGTTCCCCCAATACTATTCAAACAGTAACCAAAAAAAAAAAAAAACAAAAACTGGTATGGATGTTTTAAAATCAACCAAAGTAGATTTTATAGCAATTAACATATTTTTCATAATGCTAAAAAGGTAATGAATCAGGAATACTATATACAATAATTCTAGACATATATACAGCTATTAACATAGCCTCAATGTGTGTGAAACCAAACTTCAAAAAATGTTAAACATAGACAAATTAACAATCATAGCAGAGACTTTAACACAGTTTTTTACAAATGATAAAGTAGAACAAGCAGATCTAAAACATAAGGATACAGAACATCTGAAAAAGACAATTAAGAAACATGATCCAATTGGCATAGTAGGATAATAACAAAATACATATTTGTTTTAAGTGCACATGGAATATTTACTAAAATTTACAATATACTAGGTCATAAGGCAAGCTTCAATGAGTTTTAAAAGCTTAAAATCATGGAGTGTATTATTTGACCACAGTGAAATTAAGGTGAAAAGCAATAACCACAAAAAAAGATAGCCAGAAAATTCCCAAAAGGTTGGAAAAGAAGTAGTATACTTCTTGATAACTTATGGATCAAGAATAGCCACAGTGGAAAATCAAAAATAATTTGAAGTAAAATATGACAACTTGGAGAATGCAGCTAAAGCCATGTGTAGAAGGAATCCGTTATCTTACAAACATATATTGCAAAGAAGGGTTTAAATTCAATGACTGAATATCCGTCTAAACAAATCAGCAAATTCAACATAAGTAAAGAAGGGATGGAAAATAATAAAGGTTAGAGCAACAGTTAATAAAATATAAAAACTAAAGTGCAATCAAAGGATTAAGAAAGCCAAAAGTTTGTTCTTTCAAAAGGAAAAGTAGCAGCACTAGTAAGACTAATGAAAGAAAGAAAGAGAGAGAGAGAAAGGAAGAAAGGAGAAAGGAAGGGAGAAAGAAAAGAAAGAGAGAAGCAAAGCTCAAATTAGCCTTCTGGAAAAAGGGATCATTATTACATTTTGTAAAGATATTCAAAATATAATAAGAGAAAATTATAAATAATTACACTCCATTAAATCTGAAAATTTAGGTAAAATGTACACATTTCTTGAAAACCACACATTCCTGGCACTAATTCAAGGATAAATAGAAAATTAAAATAGTCCTTTACCTGTTAAGAGTTGAATCAGTTATCCAATAATCTCCGCAAAAAGATAACTCTAAGCCCAGATGATTTCACTTGTGAATTCCGCCAAATATGTTATTATAAAAACTCTTCTATAGTAGAGGAAAAAAGGATCATTTCCCTAACTCACTTTATGATGCAGTTAAACTTTGATAGAAAAATCTGATGAGAATATTACAAAAAGGAAAATTATAGTCAAATGTATCTTATAAAATAGATGAAAAAATTCCTAAATAAATATTAACCAAGCTAATCTAGTAATGCATAAAAGAAATCATATATGATGGTAAAATGGCTTTAAAATTAAAACTCAATCAATGTAACATCACACTAAAAGAAAAAGGAGCAAAATCGTGGATATTTTTGTCTTTGTTATCTTTATAGATATAGAAAAATATTTTGATAAAATTTAACATTTATTCATGATAAATACTCTTAGATTCTAGGAATGAAAGGAAACTTTCTTAATCTGATAAAGGGTATCTACAACATACTTACAACATATTTAATGGTGATTTATTAAAAGATTTCGTCTTGATGTTAGGAATGGAGACAGGCTTGTCTACTCTTGTCACTCCTGTGCAACATTGCACGAGGGGCCCATTTAGAACAAGGCAAGAAAAAGAAATCAAAGGCATAGGAATTGGAGAGGAAGAAATAAAATTGCAATTTGGGGAGACAAAATGATTTTAAACATAGAAAACCCAAATGATTTATAACCAAACTACTAGAATTAATAAGTGAATTTAGCAAGTTTGCTGCATATTAGACCAATAAAAACATTATATTTGTATATACTTGCAACAAATAAATAGAAAATTGAATTTTAAAAATACATTTACAGGAGCATAAAGAACAGCAGACATTTCTGAATTAATATAATGAAAGATGTACAAGATCTCTACATTCAAAATTAAAACAATTAAAAAATCAAAAACATTATTGAGAGAAATTAAAGTAGTTCTAAATAAATGGAGTATATATACCATATTTATAAAAAATAAAAGTTATTATAATAATGTCAATTCTCCCCAAATTCATCCATAATTTTAATACAATTTCAATCAAAATGTCAATATACCTGCTGATTCCAATATTTATATAGAAATTTAAAGAGCCTATAAAAGTCAAGGCTTTCTTTAGGAAGAAATAATTAATAGCAGAATAAACCGAGCTGAGGAAAAGAACTCAGAATGTGAAGTCTGGTTCTCTGAAATAAGATAGTCAGACAAAAATAAATAAAAAAGAATGAAAAGTAAGGAACAAAACGTTCGACAACTATGGGATTATGTAAAGAGACCAAATCTACAAATCATTGGCATCCCTTAAAGGGAGGGCAGACAACTTGGAAAATATATTTCATGATATCATCTATGAAAACTTCTCCAACCTTGCTAGAGAGGCCAACAGCCAAATTCAGTTAATACAGAGAACTGCAAGATTCTACACAAGAAGATCATCCCCAAAACACGTAATTGAGCTTTCTCCAAGGTTGAAATGAAAGAATGTTAAAGGCAGCTAGACAGAAAGGGCAGGTTACTTACAAAGGGGACCCCATTAGGCTAACAGTGGACGGCTCAACTGAAATTCTACAGGCTGGAAGAAACTGGGGGCCTATGTTCAAAACTCTTAAAGTAAAAAGTCTTCAACAAAGAATGTCATATCCAGTTAAACTAAGCTTCCTCAGTGAAAGGAAAATAAGATCCTTTGCAGATAAGCAAATGTTGAGGGAATTCATTACTACCAGACTTGCCTTAAAGAGATCTTGAAAGGAGTCCTAAATATGGACAGAAAAGACCACTACCAGCTAATACAAAAACACACTTAAACCCACAGACCAGTGTCACTATAAAGCAACCACAAAAACAAGTTAACATAATAACCAGCTAACAGCACAATGACAAAATCAAATTCATACATTCAGTACTAAACCTTGAATGCAAAGGGAATAAATGCCCCAAATAAAAGGCACAGAGTGACAAGCTGGATAAAAAAGCAAGACCCATTGGTATGCCATCTTCAAGAGATCCGTCTCAAACGTAATGACACTCATAAGCTTAAAATAAAGGGATAGAGGAAAACCTACCAAGCAAATGTAAAACAGAAAAAAGCAGGGGTTGCGATCTTAATTTCAGACAAAACAGAGTTCAAAGCCACAAAGATCCAAAAAGACAAAGAAGGGCATTACATAATGGTAAAGGGTTCAATTCAGCAAGAAGAGTCAACTATCCTAAATTTATATATGCACCCAACATAGGAGCACCCAGATTCATAAAGCAAGTTCTTAGAGACCTACAAAGCAACATAAACAACCACACAATAATAGTGGGAGACTTCAACACTCCACTGACAGTATTAGACAAATCATTGAGGCAGAAAATTAACAAAAATATTCAGAACCTAAACTCAACACTGGACCAAATGGATCTGATAGACCTTCATAGAACTCTCCACCCAAAAACAACAGAATATACATTCTTCTCATTGCCACATGGCACATACTCTAAAACGAACCACATAATTAGACATAAAACAATCCTCAGCAAATGTAAAAGAACTGAAATCTACTAAACACAGTCTTGGACCACAGCTCAGTAAAAATAGAAGTAAAGACTATGAAAATCACTAAAAAAACAAGCAATTATATGGAAACTAAACAGCATGCTCTGGAATGACTTTTGGGTAAATAATGAAATTGAGGCAGAAATCAAGAAGTTCTTTGAAAATAATAAGAACCAAGATACAACATACCAGAATCTCTGGAACACAACTAAGGCAGTGTTAAGAGGGAAATTCATAGCACTTAATGCCTATATCAAAAAGTTAGAAAGATCTCAATTAACAACCTAACTGCACAACTGAAAGAATTAGAGAAGAACAAATCAACCCCTAAGCTAGCAGAGGAGAAAAATACAAAATTAGAGTTGAACTGAAGGAAATCAAGACACAAAAAGTTATTAAAAAGATCAATAAATCCAGGAGTTGTTTTCTTGAAAAAAATTAATAAAATAGGCCACTAGCTAGACTATTAAAAAAGATAATAGAGGAACTCCAAATAAATACAATTAGAAATGACAAAGGGAACGTTACTACTGTCCCCACAGAAATAAATACAACCATCAGAAACTACTACAAACACCTCTATGCACACAAACTAGAAAACCTAGACGAGGTGGATAAAATCATGGTCACATACATTCTCTCAAGACTGAGCCAGGAAGAAGAAATTTATGCCCTGAAAAGACCAATAAGAAACTCTGAAATTGAATCAGTAATAAATAGCCTACCAACCAAACGAAGCCTGGGACCTGACGGATTCACAACCAGATTGTACCAGATGTACAAAGATGAGCTGGTACCCTTCCTACAGAAACCGTTCCAAAAAACTGGAAAGGAGGGACTCCTCCTCAACTCATTCTATGAGGCCAGCATTATCTTGATACCAAAACCTGGCAGAGACACAACAACAAAAGAAAACTTCAGGCTAATATCCTTGATGAACAATGATGCAAAAATCCTCAACAAAATTATTGTAAACTGAATCTAGCAGCACATCAAAAAGTAATCCACCATCATCAGGTAGGCTTCATCCCTGAGATGGAAGGTTGATTTAACATACACAAATCAATAAATGTGATTCATCACATAAACAGAAGTAAAGACAAAAACCACATGCTTATCTCAATAGATACAGAAAAAGGCTTTTGCTAAAATATAACACACCCTTTCATGTTATAAACTCTCAATAAACTAGGTATCGAAGGAACATACCTCAAAATAATAAGAGCCATCTATGACAAACCTATAGCCAACATTATACTGAATGGGCAAAAGCCAGAAGTCTTCACCTTGAAAACTGGGACAAGACAAGGATGCCCTGTCCTACCACTTCTATTCAACATAGTATTGGAAGTCCCAGCTAGACCAATCAGGGAAGAGAAAGAAATAAAGGGCATCCAAATAGGAAGAGAGGAAGTCAAACTATCTCTGCAGATGATATGACTCTATATCTGGAAGATCCCATAGTCTCAGCCCAAAAGTTCCTCCAGATGATGAGCAATTTCAGCAATGCCTCAGGATACAAAATCAATATGCAAAAATCAGTAGCATTCCTATAAACCAACAACAGCCAAACCAACAGCCAAATCAGAAAGGCAATCCCATTCACAAATGCCACAAAAAAGAGTAAAATATCTAGGAATACAGCTAGGAATACACATGAAGTGAAAGGTCTCTACAATGAGAATTACAAAACACTGCTCAAAGAAATCAGAAAAGACACAAAGAAATGGAAAAACAGCTCATGCTCATGGATAGGAAAAATCAATATCACTAAAATGACTATACTGCCCAAAGCAATTTATAGATTCAATGCTATTCCTATCAAACTATCAGCTACATTCTTTACAGAACTAGAAAAAGCTATTTTAATATTCATATGGAACCAAAAAGGAGCCTGAATAGACAACACAATCCTAAGCCAAAAGAACAAAGCTGGAGGCATCACATTATGCAACTTCCAACTATACTACAAGGCTACAGTAATCAAAACACTATGGTACTGATACAAAAAGAGGCACACAGGCCAATGAAACAGAATAGAGAGCCCCGAAATAAGGCTGCACATTTACAACCATCTGATCTTTGACAAAGCTGACAAAAAAAAATCAGTGGGGAAAAGACTCCCTATTTAATAAATGATGCTAGGATAACTGGCTAGCCATATGCAGAAGATTGAAGCTGGACCCTTTCCTTATGCCACATGCAAAATCAACTCAAGATGGATCAAAGACTTAAATGTAAAACCCCAAATTATAAAAACCCTAGAAGACAACCTAGGCAATACATAGGAACAGGCAAATATTTAATGACAAAAACACCAAAAGCAATTGCAATGAAAACAAAAATTGACAAATGGGAACTAATTAAACTGAAGAGCTTCCACACAGCAAAAAACAAACAGAAAAACAAACCATCCATAAACAGAAAACCTACAGAATGGGAGAACAAATTGCAAACTATGCACCTGACAAAGGTCTAACACCCAGCATTTATAAGGAACTTAAACAAATTTATGAGAAAAACAACCCCATTAAAAAGTGGGCAAAGGACATAAACAGCCATGCAGCCAACAAGCATGTGAAAAAAAATTCACTATCTCTGATCATTAGAGAAATGAAAATCAAAGCCATAATGAGATACTATCTCACACCAGTCAGAATGGCTATTATTGGAAAGCCAAAAAACAATAGATGCTGGCAAGATTGCAGAGAAAAGGCAACACTTATACACTGTTGGTGGGAGTGTAAATTCGTTCAACCATTGTGGAAAGCAGTATGGCGATTCCTCAAAAAAGCTAAAAGCAGAACTAACATTTTACCCAGCAATCCCATTATTGGGTATATATCCAGAGGAATATAAATCATTGTATCATAAAGACACATGCATGTGAATGTTCATTGCAGCACTATTCACAATAGTAAAGACGTGAAATCAACCTAAACACCCATCAATGACAGATTGGATAAAGAAAATGTGGTATGTATACACCATGGAATACTATGCAGCCATAAAAAGAATGAGATCATGTCTTTTGCAGGGACATGGATAAAGCCGGAGAAAAATATCCTTAACAAACTAACACATGAAGAAAATAATGTCTGATGAAATAATATGTACAATAAATCCCCATGACACATGTTTACCTATGTAACAAACCTTCACATGTACCCTCAAACCTAAAATAAAAGTTAAAATAAAAATGAAATACAATGCCAAGACTTATGCCACAAGGCCTCAAGACTTATTATAAAATGATACTAATTAATGCTTTGAGCCATCGCTTCAAGAATAGGCCAAAAGAACAGAGGGAATAGAAACAAACACAGATATGTGGTCACAAGATTACAACAAGGGTAACAGGGCAGTGTGGTAGGGAAAGGGTAATCATTTCAGTAAATGGTTCTATGTAAGTTGAATATCCATACAGAAAAAAGTGAATCTTGATTCCTTCTATACCATATACAAAAATCAAATTATATAGAATATAGATCTAAAGAGTAATATACTTAAGCTTTTAAACACAGAAGAATAACTTTGTGACTTTGGTGTAGACAAAAATATTTCCTTAACACCACTGGTGCTACTCAAAAGATGCTAAACATAAACAAGAAAATTAATAAATTGGCTTAAATTAACATTAGTAGTTTCTTAATTTATCAAGACACCACAAAGAGAGTGAAAAAGCAAAGAATGGGAGACTATATGTCACCAGTCTGTGCAACAATAAACTCAGATTATGATCTTTAAAATTCTTACAATTAAACAAACAAAAAGCAAATGGGAAATGGACAAAAGATATGAGCAGACACTTTAGAAAAGTAAATATCCCAATGTCTATCAACACGCAAATAAGTGTTCAGTTTCACTAGTTATCAGCGAAATGTTAATTAAAGCACAGTGCATACCACTAAAGCAAAACAACAAGTGCTAAAATGAGAAAAGATAGAAATTACCAAGGGTGGGCAACAATATGAAGCAACTAGTACTTTCATGCACTTTTGTATGATTTGCATGAGAGTGTAAATTGATAGAATTCACTTTGAAAAATAATTTGATATTTTATTGTATAGCCAAACATTAGCATCACCTATGATCCAGCATTTTCACTCCTTGATATTTTTGCACATCAAGAGACATGCATAAGAATATTCATGTCAGTGGTGCTCATAAGAGCAACACACACACACACAAATCCCTAACAACTCAAATGTACATCAATAGCAGAATGGAGAAATGGTGGCATTTTAACACTATGGAATATTACACAGGAGTGAATTACATTCAGTATTATGAATGAATCTTTAAACATAATGTTGAGTGATGAAAGAGGGCCATTAACAAGATGATCCCATTTTTACAAAGGCCAAATACCAGAGAAAATAAGCCACATACTGTGTGCGTGTGTGTATAGTTTATTTTTTTAAAGGGAAAGAATGATAGAAGGCCGGGAGACTTGTGATAGTGGAGGGAAAAGGAATGAAATAGATGAGAAGCCTGAGAGTATATGTAAGTCACTGATGACCATCTAGTTCTTTAGCTACGTGATGGTTTCATTGTGAGATATCCACATAATGAAATATGCAACCATTCTCTCACACACACCAGAGAGAAAAAGAGAGAGTAAGTGAATAATGGTCCCAATATATTATTTGAATACAACCACTATCTTGGACAATTTGTGAAGGGGTACATGTTTTTTTAAAGACATATACATATTTCTGTGTGTTTGTGAATTTGTGTGTGTAAGGAGAAATCAGTGTATGCCAAAGTGCTTGTTTCTAGATTATAGGATTTATTTTCTTTGCGTTTATCTGTGGTGTCTAAAAGTTCTATACTGAACATATAATATTTTAAAGAAGTATGCTAATTTTAGGTGTCTAATTCATCATCACAATACTCTTCAATGTTGAGTAAGCTATTTATTTTTACTATAGCCTTCACGCCCTGAAGCAACCACAAAATAGAAAATTTTACATCGAATGCAGTCTCTGTGCAAATAAGCCAGTCCCCACAATGGCTGAAATAATCGTTACCAACAATCTGAAGTTATTAGTGCCATAATGACACAGTCTTGACAACTTTCATAATTAAATTTTCAACAGCTTTAATTCCTGGCATGCTTTATAATTTGATAACTTCTTTTCTGGAAATAAAGGAGAAATCAAAAATCAGATAGGAGAGGAGAGAACCTTCACCCTTCTGATAATATATGTCTCAAATTTAAAGAAAATAAAGGCACTTAGGTCAGCATCTAAACCTGAAGCTCTATGCTAATTTCTATTTTAAAATCTGCCACTCTCATCTCACAAAGAGCCAGGTGTGGCAAACATCCTCTTGCATAAGTCTGTAAAGCAAACCTCATCACCAAGAGTGTCAGAGCCCAGAGATTTATTATAAAGTGATATATTTTCAAAGAGCAGCACAAAGAGTCTTTTAACACTGAATTTGTCAGGACCTCGTCGACATCAAACAGATGCTTTTCACTTGGAGCATTTGACTCTTAAAACTTCAATGTTTCATATGTTAAGTGATTGGAAACTTGGGAACCATGAAGTAATACTTTTCTCTGATTTGGAAAATTTGACTCTTTAACAATGAAACTTTAGATGCATATTAAGAAATACTTTGAGAAGTGGTATAGTGTTTTCTTAATAGAGAGACTATCATTTGATTCAGTAATATTACTTTTTCAAGGATTAAAAAAATCCCTAAAGTTGATTTCATGTTTTCATAGGTTTTTTTTAACCCTCTCTACCCTTTTCCCCTGTACTCACCTACATTTCTCATTGATTTCTTCTAAAAATCAACTAAGCACCATGTGCATGAGGCTTTAATAAAAAAAAAGTCTAACATGGGTCATTTGATGTTTGCCTTAAGAAAGAACTCATATGCCAGAAGCCAACTGCTATCATGTCATATTCTTGAATAAACATGGTGCCTCTCCTAAGCTGAAGCTGTTGTTTATTATTTTGCATACATTTTAACCCACATAGTCATATTGAGCTTTCCTGGTTACCAATCACATTATAAACCACAGAAAGCATGCAAAGCTGGAGAAGCAGAGCCTAGTTCTGGTTAATAGTCCTACTCAGCCTTTGGTCCAGCTAACTCTAACTACATCTTGAGCTGGATCATAAGGGAAAGAGCTATTGCTTTTGGATTTAAGAAGTATGCAGTGCCCAGCGTTCCTAATGAACAGGAGAAACAGCTGGGCCACCCAACATGATCTTAAACCTGTACCATAAATAATGAAGCACAAACTAGAACTTTCTCAAGTAAAGAAACTTATGAATTTCACTTGACAGATGTTTCTTTATAAGATTTTTGCATTGCACTTTTTAATTTAACAAACAAAACAAAATTTCTTTACTTTGGATTCTATTACTCATTCGTTAGAGTGTAAGTCTGGAGTAAAAGGAATGAACATTTATTGACTATAATGTACTAGAAAATGCAACACATTATCATGAAAATTTGATTTTGCTTAAGAAGTAGTTATAATTGCTAACAAAGAATAATCTTTTGCTTAATATCTACTGCACCAGATGTGATATTAGGCACATAATTACATGTCTATTTTAATACTCAAAATAGTCTTGCCAGAGAGATATTATCCTCACTTTTCAAATGAGAAAACAGATACAGGGAAGAAGGTGTATGTGCTCACAGTCACATCATAATGGGCCAGCAGTTTAACTTAGGTGTTTTTCAATTTAAGGTTCCGGCCTTCCCATTACATGTTTCTTTATTTTATAGAAAGTGTAAGTTAGGCCGGGCACAGTGGCTCAGGCCTGAAATCTCAGCATTTTGGGAGGCCAGTGCAGAAGGATCATTTGAGCCCAGGAATTTGAGACCAGCCTGGGCAATATGGTGAAACTCCATCCCTACAAAAAATACAACAATTAGCTGGGCATGGTGGCATGTGCTGTAGTCCCAGCTACTCAGGAGGCTGAGGTGGGAGGATCACTTGAACACTGGAGATCAAGGCTGCAGTGAGCCATAATTGTGCCACTGCACTTGAGCCTGGGCAACAGGGTGAGACCCTGTCTCCAAGAGAAAAACAATGTAAATTAAGGTTGTCTACTTGTAAACGGGGCATTTGCTTGTCATAAAGGGAGAGAGTTCTGGTGTCGGCCACTCCAGGTTAGGGTGAGAATGCAGGATGCATAAGAAGGAATCAGTAAATAATATCTTTTTTCCTCTCCTCTCATGTTCAGATACATTTGAGAAATCAGACCTAGATAAAGATAGAAATGTCAGCTTTAGTACTAATAAAGCCGATTGGATAACATGACTTTAGATATGTTAATGAAGTCTAAGTCTAGACCTTGGGCCAGCTTGCCTACAGGATCTCATTAGAGGATCCTGCAGTATCACTAGAGAATAAGATTTCTGCCTCTTATTGATCTGGGGCTTGCTGCCTTTTAGTGAGTCAGTTTCTACTCAGTTGAGAAATACGGACCACGGATGGCATCTGCCAATCAGATAACTCCATTCTCTTTCATGGGGCAAGGAGAAGATGGGGCACAAAACCAGGATTGCTATGTGAACAGAAGTTTTGCAGAAAATCAGAAAACAAAAGGGAAAAGAGGTTCACTCATAACATTCTTTAGCATTTTAATTTGTTAACCATTAAACCTAACATGAACCAAAGATATGGCTAACTCCCCACATCCCCCGACACACAGAGGATATTCCTTCATGATGGTCCATCTCCTAACTTCATGCAGTCTTAGTCTCTCTGTTGTTTATCGACTCGAGTCCACAGTGTGCAGTTTAGATTTTGTCAGAAGCCACTGAAATGGGTCGAATTTTATATTAATCAAAGTAACTCCAGGCCTAAATTCATTATAGGATGAAATTATCTCCTTACTCTTATTTCCTACTTCAAATTCTGTTGAGGAATGTAATTCAATATAGCTTACCAGAGATAAAGCATAAAATAACATGATACAATATAGATCCTTCTTTCATACATTCTCCAGTTGTACACAATACAGATCTTCCACTTACACAGGTCCACTTCAAATTTGATTATAAAGTCTTTTTATTATCAAATCTGCAGGACATGATTAAAGTAAAACTTCTCTTGCTCTCATATAAGTTAAAATGCAGTTAAATGTAAGTTCACAATCATTTAAATCTGAAACTCATTCTTCCAATTTATCATTCTTATTTCAATGCCTGTGTTGAGTTGGGGGTTGCTAAGGGATTCCTTAGCAATCACAGCAGAGAATGGATGAGGTTCCCTTAGGACTCCAGACATAGGGCAGACTAAAACATCCCGAGGTACTCATCTTCCCTGACTAGCCTGTTTAAGCAATTCTAAGTTGCAACTTGATTTCCCCTTTTTACCCTGTAATTCTGAAACTGTAATGTGATATGGTAAATGAGCTCCCTCTAAGGATCTGAACTGTAGAAGGAAGGAAGGAAGGAAGGAAGGAAGGAAGGAAGGAAGGAAGGAAGGAAGGAAGGAAGGGATGGAAGAGGGAGGGAGGGAAGGAGGGAGGCAGGAAGCAAAAGAAGAAAAAAGAGAACAGAAGAAAGGAAGGGAAAGAAAGAGAAAGAAGAAAGAGGAAGGAAGGCAGGAAAGGAGAAAGAAAAGGAAAGAGAAGGAAAAAAGAAAAAGAGGGAGGGAGGAAGGAAAGAAAGAATAAAGAAGCAAGGAAAAAAGGAAAGAAGGAAGGAAGGAAGAGAAAGGAAGAAATTTATGGCAAGTGTTTTTTGTTTTTTTTTTTTTTTTGCAGTGGCATGATCTCATCTCACTGCAACCTTCACCTACTGAGTTCAAGCGATTCTCCTGCCTCAGCCTCCCAAGTAGCTTGGATTACAGGCATGCACCACGATGTCTGGCTAACTTTTTATATTTTTAGTAGCGATAGGGTCTCACCATGTTGGCCAGTCTGGTCTCCGACTCCTGACCTCAGGTGATCTGCCTACTTCGGCTTCCCAAAGTGCTGGGATTACGGATGTAAGCCACTGTGCCCAGCCACAAGTGGTCTTTTATAACATATATTGTGGTTTCTACCATGAAGCCTGGTTTGGAATTGTAGGAACAATGAAATCTGACTTTTAGGAACATTTTTCCTAATCCCCAAGTGTGCACCAGCTGGAGAATTCCCTTCCATACAGTCCTCACTGAGAAAGCTGATGATGCTTCCGACACCTGTCTCCTATTAGGGGCAATCCCTCTGCCATGTGCTCTACCAGGCAGTATCCCTCCTCCACTGTGGAATTTTCCAGGTCTTAAATAACTTGCACTATCTCAATCATGAGTGTTACACAGTTCTACCCAAGAGGCATTCTCCTATCAGACCAACATCCAGACCTACTCTATAAACCACTGCCCTACCTGGCTTTCCTTCAGTATTTTCACTTCCCTGTGCCTTTCTTTATATTTCTTATTGGGCATGTTTTTTCAAGGCATAGGCAATAACTGCATCCCTCACTTACTATAACTATGTCATCGTGAAGGTCACTTAATAATCCTCAGTCTTTGAGCATTGGTTTTCCAATTGCATTTATGGACTCTACCAGAAACTTTTAAAAGGCTCAAATCGATAGTTTTCTGATTATGGTCCCTCTGAGGGGATTCTTTTTAGGCTTCTCTCCGAGATCTTGCCTGCTTTCCTCTTGTACATTTCTGTGAGTTTTGGTCATTTTGTTGGATTTGTTAGTAACTTAAAAAAGCCCTCCCCTACCTCCCTACCTCCCAAATCCTTTTTTTTTTTTTTTGAGATGGAGTTTTGCTCTCGTCCCCCAGGCTGGAGTGCAGTGGTGCGATCTAGGCTCTCTGTAACCTCTGCCTCCCAGGTTCAAGCGATTCTCCTGTCTCAGCCTCCCAAGTAGCTGGGATTACAGGCACCCACCACCACGTCCAGCTAATTTTTTGTATTTTTAGTAGAGACTGGGTTTTCATGTTGGCCAGGCTGGTCTTGAACTCCTGACCTCAGGTGATCCACCCACCTCGGCCTCCCAAAGTGCAGGGATTACAGGCATGAGCCACTGCGCCGGGACCTTTTTTAAATTTTTTTTTAAAACAGCTATGTGTAGCTGGGCACACCTCCTTTTCCCTTTCCAAAACTCTAGCATATCCTCTCAGATCTCCTTTTCTCCATCATGCTTGCCTAACCTGCCTACAACCTCAACAATTTTCCTAAGGAAATATTTCTTCCTCCAGCTTAATAAACCTGCTCTTCCTTTATTTTGTTTTTATTCTTACTGCCTCTTTGCTCCTTTATAATAGTAAGGCCAAAGCATAGGACTCAAAGCTTCTAATCCTTCCTTCATTTTTTGATTAAAATTGATTTCTGGAGACAGTGTTCTTCTAGACACAGGCCTTCTTAATTGTCCTCTTTGTCTTTGGACTTGTGAAAATTCAATTGTTTTTGGTTTCTATTTCTTCAATTCCAAAATATATTTCCATTAAAAATTATGTATAAACAAAATTGATCACCATTCTGTTGGTAAAGCCACCGTGTTGTAAATCTCTCTGAAATCCACAGCCATGATCAGAACTTAGGAAATTCATAAATGTAGAGTGACCTAGAGACACATGTTTGGGGAGTAAAAACCTGTGGCCAAACTACATGAATCCAAGAGGCTGGCACTCCCTTCCAGCCATTCTTTCCCCTGTTTCGGATTGCAGTTATAAGAAAAGCTAAAATGTGGAACAGCTGATCTAGCACAACCTGCGGATGCCTGGTTTGACACACACTGGTGCTCCTTAGCCCACATAGGACTGAAATGCTTTTACAGTTTAAACTCCAGTCTGCAGGCCTGACTCAGAAACACTGTAAATGCAACCAAAAATTGTTATGCCAAATTCTTAATTTCCACTGTTATTTGCCCATCTCCAAATATCTTATAAATATCATCTGAGATTTTAGTTCTAAAACTATATTAATTTTTTACAACTATATTTATATATATTAATTATATATATAATTTTTTCAACTATTTTCTTTAGTAATTCTTATAGCAAGATTCATTGTGAGTCAATTTTGTGGCTACTACATACTCCCAACCAATACACAATGATGGAACAGGGACATAATAAGCCATAATTAAAGTTTCCATTTAGAAAAATAAGGAGTGAGAGGAACAAAGCAGTTACTATTCCATAGCAGTGATGGAATCCAGCAAGGCAGGCATTGTAAAGGTCTCTACTGCAGGCATGTAGAAGTGCTCTGAATAGGCCCTGCTTCTGTCTCTGGAAGGGACTACTTTGTTCATCATTCTCCATGACCCCTGGCCTGTTCTCTGCTAGGTTCTTCCTGGTCTCCTTGGACTGTTTGGAGGTGGACATGGGGTAGTATGCCAACTTTGCAATAACAGAAGGTTGGAGACCAGTGGTTGGTTTAAGTCCATCTTCATGGTTTCTCTGGCAATATAAATTACTTCAAAACCTTAGTAGGCTTCTGATCTATTTGCTTCCAGTCAGTTGAATAGTCAATAGTACTGGTCAATAACCCCACTCCAAATCCCTCTCAGGACATAGTTCTTAGCCTGATATATTTTGCTTTCTCACTTTGATGCCTTACCCTCTCAACTTAATAGCGCCTATTTTAAAACTACCTTTAACCAAAGGTTAAAGAAAACATATTTTAAATTTTATCATAGATTGATCTCCTAAGAAAAAATAGACTGTTTTCTGTTTACTGGCCACAGAAAGCCAGTAACAACTCAAATTAGTTTTAAATCCATCCTATTTAATCAATGACAACTTTGCATCTGTAATCACACTTTAAAAGCCAGCTGGTCAACACCACCTTCACTCCAGTTAACATCCCTCTGAAAGACAGCCAGTTGACAACAGTCTTCCTCACTTCCTAGCTAAAAATCAATCTCCAAACTCTGTTTCTGAAAATCTGCCAAGTCCTTAACTCCATGGTTTCCCAAACTCTCTATATGGATTTTCTATCTCACAAGCACAGATCTCCCTTTCTTAGTAAGTAATAATTTCAGATTTTTATTTTAGGAAGTTTATTTTAGAAAGTGAGTAGTGGTCTCTTCCATTGACAGCTCTCAGTTACTTTATTAAACTGAGAAATTGTACTGGGTCAATGTGGCTCAGAAGTCTTAACTCTCATTCTTTGATGTCTAGATATAATTAGAATTTACAACCCAAGAAGGTAAGGATTTCTAGCTATCCAGCTTGCTTTGTTTCTGGAAAGCTCATGCCCAAATTCTAGGTCAATGCTGTATTATTCAGGCTTTTATTTTACCATTAACTCCACCTAATGTAAGTTTTCTTGTATATGTTAGGAAAATTAAAACTAGCTATTATAAACAAACTTCTCGCAGTGTCAATAGATAATATAATAAAATTGTATTTCTTGCTCACGTCATAGTCTTATGTAGGTTGGATGGCTTCTCCTTGTGTGGTTCTACTCCAAATAGTAAGATCCAAGATGCTTCTATTTAGTGGCATCACCATCATGGATATCTTTCCTTCTGGCCATGTCAACAGTGGAAATATCATGAAAAATCCATATATATATATATATATATATATATAGAGAGAGAGAGAGAGAGAGAGAGAGAGAGAGAGAGATTATATATATTTATTTATATATATAATATAGATAGATATAGATATATATAGATATTTTGAGATAGGCTGGAGTGCAGTGGCATGATCATAGTTCACTGCAGCCTTGAACCCCTGGGCTCAAGTGATCTTCCTGCCTAAGCGTCCCTGAATAGCTGGACTATAGATGTAGGCCACTGCACCCAGGTGACATTTTAAGGATCAGGCCTAGAAGTGGTGGACATCATTTGTACCCACATTCCATTGGGAAAGAGTCCAATGTAGTCTTCCGTGTGCACAGGAAGAGAGAATGGAATTGGAAAATTTAGGCAGTCTCTTACACAAAAGACCACCCAATTTTCTTAGTTCTTGGAACTCAACTATAGTGTACTGTCCGTACATAATAAATATTACTTGAACTACTTGAAAACAATTTTATTGAAAAAGAATGAAACATGAGAATTTAGTGCTAAAGTATTCATTTTGGGGAATTTGGCTTTTATAATTTAAAATCATAGGGAGCAAAAAGTTATTTCCTTATTTTCTTCTTGATATTATAGTTCTGCTTAAATTTTAACAATATTTTCAAATAACCATAAATGGGAAGGGAAATTAGCCTATATACAAATAAACTTAAGGATCTGTACATGTTCCAGTTTAAGCGTGTGGACCATAGTTTTGTCATTATGCAATGGAATTTTATTTCAATGCATTTTGTAGAAAATCTTCCAAAATTATATAAAACCCTAGGTCTGTCACTTTGTCATGTCAGTTTCATTTTAAAGCTATACCACTGAGAATTCTAAAGATTTTTCCATGCTTGTTTAAAAGTATGTATTTTCAATATGCAGATATTTATAAGTTATATTTCTCTAGGCCATTTCCATGACATACTTCACTAATTTACTTCCATTGCCATTCTTAGGTCCAGGACAATGTACAAGGGCACACGTGATTTCAAAGTCTTCCAGCAGCCACTCTTTCCCAGCTGGGCTATGAAAACCACACAGACATACAACTGTAGTGTAATATGCTATGAAATCAACTTTATATTTTTCCATGTGTCTTAGAACCAGGACCTCAACATTTCAGACTGCATCATATTGTGTTTTCCATTGGATTCATTGTTTGACAAGGTTTAATGATAGTAGAAATACTGTGACCTTTTCTTCACCCTAGGTAAAAACATTGCATCTCACTGAATCTTCGGCAAATCCGTTGATTACCATCTGATGAGCAGGGAAAAGTCTAGTGATCACATAAAAATGAGCAACTGAACAGATTCAGTAATAATTATTGGATTAAATGTCTGTAAGGAAAATGCTGTAATTTAACTTTATTCCAGGCCTAAATATGGAGAGAGTTAAAATATTGTGATGTATTCTAGCAGCATACTTGAAGATCTGCCAAGATTGCCATTATAATCCTTACTTGTCAGGAGTTTATATTGTCACATTTAGTTGACTATAAATTGGAATATAATACCTAAATCTCACTTTGAGCTTTAGATCTAATTATGTTTAAACTATTATATGTGCTGACACAAGAGAACACACACACACATTGCAAATCACAAACATACTTCTATGAACAAAAATTTTTCTCTATATCCCGATAGTGCTTCTTCCATAAAGAAAATTTCATTGTCATCTTGACCACCTCTCTGAAGTATCTTCATATTTCTGGTCTTCCCTTCTACTTCTGGAATGCTACCTACTCATCCATTTACTAACTTATTAATTCAGCAAACATAAACTTAGTACCTACTGTGTACCAGGACCTGTGCTGGATTCTGGAAATGCACTAAGGGCTAGCAGGTTGCCAAGGCAGCACAGTAGTAACTGCACATCTGGGCTTTGTTCAGATAGCGTATGTTCAAATCCCAGCTCTCTCATTTATTTTATAATTTCCCAATTTGTAAACTGGAAATAATAATATATTTCCTGGCACAGTGCCTGACACAAAGTAAATCCTGAATGAATGTTAGCTATTATCATCTGATAGTCTCCCTGGCTATCAGAAAGGAGAGGGATAGGAGGGGGGTTATGACAGAGAAATAGAAAATAATTAAAGTAATTATCCTGATGCACAAATTTCCTGGGACAAACCCTCATCAGCACATAATCCACACATCTTTGAACACCTTCTCAAGGTCAGTCATTCTATACTCAAGATATATTTGCCATATTTTAAAAATAGTATCTTCTCTGATTACGTTTTAGGTGAATTCATATAGAAAATGCCCAAAACATATTTACCTAAACAATAGTAATGAGATCATATGTTCATCTTCACAGTCCAATTATCTTGTTTTATTTTTAAAATGGTTAATGACAATTTTAAATAAGTTGAGGTTTATATTGTTGTTTATCTGTGCTGGTATGGGTAAAGTAAGGGCCTATTTTATTTTATTATTTTCTATTTGATTTTCTCTGATGATCTCAACATTGTAGAGCAGAGAGTATGTACAAAGTCTGCAGTGGTTCCAGACCTGGCCCCAGAAGCTAAACAAAGGCTTTATATCTGGATTATTAGCTATCAATTTGCTTATAGAAGCAAGTTTTCCTCAACATGGTGTATGAAGTTCTAGAAAACATATCTCAGGCAAATAAAATAGTACTCTGAAGAAAGGATTATTCCAAAGGGGTCATCACAGAAACATTAAAAGTTTAGGCCGGGCGCAGTGGCTCACGCCTGTAATCCCAGCACTTTGGGAGGCCGAGACGAGCAGATCACGAGGTCAGGAGATAGAGACCATTCTGGCTAACACAGTGAAACCCCGTCTCTACTAAAAAAAAAAAAAAAAAAAAAAAAAAAATTAGCCGGGCGCGGTGGCGGGTGCCTGTAGTCCCAGCTACTCGGGAGGCTGAGGCAGGAGAATGGCGTGAACCCGGGAGGTGGAGGTTGCAGAGAGCCGAGATTGCGCCACTGCACTCCAGCCGGGGCGATCCAGCCTAGGCGACAGAGCGAGACTCTGTCAAAAAAAAAAAAAAAAAAAAAGTTTAGATCCACCAAGCTTTCAGAAATCATCTTGCTTGCACTGCTCAGTTGGAACTTGAGGAAACTAAGGCTGAGACATATTCAGTGATTTGCTAAAAGCCATGCAATAATTGCAAAGTCTAAAAGCCAGGTGCATAGATGTCCCATTCATTTATTTTTCCTTCATTCATGGCTTCAGTCATTCAATAAGCATGTATTAGGCAACTTGTCTAGGCCAGGGATTGTGCTAGATGCTGGGGATAAAGTTACCAGTGAGACAGTCCTGCCCTAATGGAGCATAAATTGCTGAGGTGACTGTGGGACAGGTGAAGAGAATATTAATAAAGAATTATAATGTAGGTGCCATAAAACAGGAAGCATAAGGTGCTATGATAAAACCCAGGGGAGCCTATCTCAGTCTTGGTGTTCCCAGAAAGCTTCCTGGAGGAAGAGAAGTCTAAGTTGAAATTTGAAAAAAACAAAACAAAACAACAACAACAAACAGACAAAAACTAGACAAAAGGAGAAAAGAAGAAAAGTAGAAAGTTCTTTATCAAAGTAGACCGAGCAACAAGATAACAAATATAACTCTATACAAAACGGAGTCACCATTACTGCTCTGAGATGGTGTCATATGTTGTAATTACTAATACCACCTATCTGATGAAACTTTGTATCACATTATCCAATAAAATGTGTTGACAAAATCTTTGGTAACTGTTGAAAACTTTTCCCCAGGCTTTTTTCTCCCACACACAGAGTCTGAGTCTTTGTTAAGAGTCATGGCTTGGTTAATATATAATCCACATCGATGTTACTTGAAAAAGAAAGGGATACATTTCCGTTGCACTGAAAATAAAGTATAAAATATTTAAACAGTGAAATTTGAAACATATAGTAATCCATGTATTTTATTCTGCTGACGACTTATTTAGCACAATAGCTCACTAAAATATTCTCAGCCTCAAATGTGTAGTAGGAAATTTCCAATGAGTGTGCATATTCATTTGTGCTGAGCTGACTTTTTATGTTGTCTTAACCATTAATTTCTTCTTGTCAAAATACTCAGTGGGAAATTTTAGTTAACAGAATTATTTTTTATTTAGCATTTTTATGGACCAATACAATTTTAGGTGCTACAACAATAACAAAAAAAACAACAACTGAAGTGCTTTCTCTTACACATGGACACAGGGAGGGGAACAACACACACTGGGGCCTGTCAAGGGGTGTGGGGGAGGGAGAGCATCAAGAAAAATAGTTAATCCATGTTGGGCTTAATACCGAGGTGTTGGGTTGATAGGTACAGCAAACCACCATGGCACACGTTTACCTATGTAACAAACCTGCACATCCTGCACATGTACCCCAGAAGTTAAAATTTTTTTAAGGTGATTTCTCTTACAGGCAACTGGTATTTCACTGTTTTTAAAATTCATAAAAAGTTCAAGTAGACTATCCAACTATAGTTCACTATTTTGATACTTTACACTGTCACAGAAGACTAGGAAAACTCAGAGGTATATGAAAATATTGTTTCTAGGATTTTAGGAATGAATGGACTGTTTTGGTAGATAAAGTGATATAGTTTTATTTCTTAAGAGAATGTCTTATTGACAGTTAGGGATTCCATAAAGGTTTTGAATGACTTAATGCCTGAAAGTAAAAACGAATATATGAAATTAACAAGAGGTCTGATACAGACAACTAAAACCATGCAGATATTTGTAAAGTCACTCTTTATACAAAATGGAGGTATCATTACTTGCTTTGAGATAATAGCTAAGGCTGTAATTACTAACACTGCTTATGTCATGACACTTAATATTACACTATCCATTAAAATGTGTTAAACCAAAGTGTGATAACTGTTGAAAACTTAGCCTCTCCTCTTCCGCAAGAAACCACATCTTCTCACATCCAACACTCCTAGATAGTAAGAGCAGTCTCCTGCCTGAAAGAATCTAGTGCTCCTAAATGTATAGAATCCAGATGTTAGTGGATGGCTTCAATCATCCCACATGGGACCCATGTAGTGAACATTTTCCTTTTTTTATTTTTAATGTCCATATGTTTGTTTGGCTAGAAATCAAGTTTCATTACATGCTCCTATTATTCCACTGTATAACAATTTTATTTATAGGTCCTTCACATAAGGACTAATTTCTTTGATAGAAAGGCTGCTAATGCTTATTTAAGCTCACTATAATGAAAACAATATTGTTGAAACACCAAACAAATGCCCGACCTCAGAACCATGTCTTTGGTCCTCTCCTGGATAATGGAACTTCACAAGGTCAACTTACTCTCTGGGCTCCTTACAAAAATGCACTGAAGGTAGACAGGAACTTTATTAAATGCTGGAAATTCATGTATAAAGCAAGTATAGTGTACTTAATCTCCATATTGGCATCGAAAAATCTTCCTCATGCCAAGACTATACTTGAATTTAGGGGCTCACATAGATAATGAATGCCTTAGAAAACCATGTAGGAAGTAGGCAATTCTGTTTTTGAATACACCCTATATGTGCGTACGCATGTAGTAGAAATGGCAGTCTTGATTTCTGTTCTACTCTGCAAAAACATGTTTGGTCATGGCACATATTCCAAAACTGAATGTAAAATACATTATCTGAAATATTAAAAGTGCATTGATGTCAAGTCAGATCCCAGCCTATTCTTCCACATTGATCCATAGGTAATTAAATTATGTCCTGTAAAAAATGCTTAGCTTGACAGCCTCACTTTCCCTTTCAGAGGGGTCTGGTAGTAATCAAGGATCCCTTGTTATTAACTTTAGAAAGTTATGTTCTCAGTGCAAAAAGTTTTCCGTTTTAAGAATGTCACCTTTATGTTTCAGATGTTTACATTTTTGCTCACCTATGCAGCCATGAACAAATACATTGGTTAGTATGTGATTTAATAGTATGGTTATCTCAAGCTTCTGCAAAGTGTCTTGTCAGCCATCTCAAAGCATGTGTTCTGCAGTCAAGCCCCAATAATATTTTAATTAAATCAATCTACAATTTTCTTCAGGATATCTTGGTCAAAGTGAATTATAATGTAAACAAATGACAGATCTTGTATTATGTTATGCAAGATATACATAGTAAGCCAGTGTGAAAAATTAATACTTTAGTAATAATTTTAAGTGGCTCAGATTGTTGTCATATTCTTATTTCATCAAATACAGGGATAAAGAAATGAATAAACTTAAAAAATTTTTAAAAGATGAAATTCTCAGTTTGCCTCCAAATTAGAGGCTGCATATACATTATCCATTGTTTGCGATTATAACTTGTCTTAGGGACTGCTCAATGTGCACTCGATTGAGTGAACATGAATAAATGTTCCTAAGTGATAAAAATACCAGGTCAGCAATCACGTTATGTTATATAAATGACCTATATAAAAGATATTTCAAAACTTAAAATTCTATAGGAATGGCATGAATGTCTCGAGGTGTTTTACAGCACTAGATAGAAAAATAAGTTTTTGGAGTGATGGGCAATTATTAATATAGAAGCAATAGTTTTCTTCTAGTTTGACCTGCAGATTTTCATTATTATTTTATATAACTTTCAATATTTTCTCTAAATATAAATTTTAACATTTCTAACTAACATTACATTATCTTTTGTGCATAAATAAGTATGGGAATCCTTTATACTTAGTATTCTGTGAGTATTGTTTATTTGGTTTGGGAAATAAACTATTACTTAAGGAAGTTATCTAATAGAGAGGTTTATTTGGTTTTAGGCTCTATAATAATTTGATTCAATAGCTTATGAATAAGAGTTACATTCATTAAGTATAATTTTTAGTATATTACTACTTTGTTTTGCAAAGCTGAAAATGATTTTGATTTGAAGCAAAAATATTTTTATTTGAAAATAAGCAATAATTATGGTAATAATGATTTATTAGTATATTCTTTGTTCCAGGCTGTGTATTGGATACCTAACAAACACACATACATAAATTCATTCTCAAATGATCTTATAAGGTTTATACCATCATCACTTAACATGGAGAAGTCAGGGACCAGGATGTTTAATGAACTTGGCCCAAAATAGCAATACTTAGTAAGGTTCAAACCCTAATGTAAATGACCTAAGATGCTACAGTCTTTCTGATGTTTTCTTTACTTCTCCTCCTCTGCCCCATCACCCATACACATTACATCTCTTTTTTCAGAATCCCTATCACAGCTTCTTTTCCCTATGTATGGTCATACTTAGAGGCAGAGATTATACTACCTTGGAAAGCATTTCTTTATTATTATTGATATCTGACTGCATTTTGTTAGGCCTTTTTTATTTAAAGTGCTAAAATGCACATAACATAAAATTTATCATCTTTTTTTTTTTGAGACAGGGTCTCTCTCTGTCACTGAGACTGGGGTGCAGTGGTGCAGATCACAAGCTCACTGCAGCCTCGACCTCGTGGTCTCAAGCCATCCTCCTGCCCCAGCCTCCCAAACTAGCTGGGACTACAGGCTTGCACCACCATGCCCAGTTATTTTTTAAATTTTTTTGTAAAGACAAGTTCTCCCTATGTTGCCCAAGTTGATCTTGAACTCCTGGGTTCAAACGACTCACTTGCCTTAGCCTCCTAAAGTTCTGGGATTACAGGCGTGAGCCAGCATGCTTGGCCAAAATTTACCATCTTAACCATTTTTAAGTGTATAGTTTAGTATGTTAAGTATATTAATACTATTGTGCAAACAATCTCCAGAGCTTTTCATACTGCAAAACTGAAACTATACCTGTTTTACAATTCCCTATCACTCCCTCCTTTATCCCCAGGCAACTACGATCCTATTTTCTCTTTTATGAGTTGAACTATTCTAGATACCTCAAATAAGTGGTTGTCCTTTTGTGACTGTCTTGTTTCACTTAGCATAATGTCTTCAAGGTTCATCCATGTCGTAGCATGTCAGAAGTTATTTCATTTTAAAGGCTGAATAATATTACACTGTATATGTGCCACATTGTGTTTATCCATTCATCTATTGATGGACATTTGGGTTGCTTCACCTTCTGGCTATTGTGAATAATGCTGCTGTGAATATAGGTGTACCCTGCTTTTAACGTTTTTGAATACCAAGAAGAAGAATCACTGGATCATAAGGTAATTCTATTTTTAATTGTTTGAGGAACTGGAATATTGTTTTCCATGGTGGCAGCATTATTTTACATCATCACAACAGTTCACAAGGGTTTCAATTTCTCCACATCATCACAAACACTTGTTATTTTCCTTTTTTTTTTTTTTAAATAGTAGCCATCCTATCAGACGGGCAGTGATATATTGAGGTTTTGATTTACATTTCCCTAATGAGTAGGCATGTTGAATATCTTTTCATATGCTTGCTGGTCATTTATATATCTTCTTTGGATAAATGTCTATTCAAATCCTTTGCCAATTGTTTAACTGGGTTATTTGTTTTCTTGCAGTTGAGTTGTAGGAGATCTTTATGTATTCCAGATTGTAATCTCTTATCAGATAAATGATTGGCAAATATTTTCTCCCATTTCATAGGTGCATTTCACTTGTTGATAGTATCCTTTGACATACAGAAGTTTGTAATTTTGATGTAGTCTAATCCATCTATTTTTACTTTTGCTGCTTATGCTTTTGCTGTCATACCCAAGAAATCATTGCCAAATCCATTATCATGAAACTTTCTTCTTATGTTTTTTTCTAAGAATTTTATAGTTTAGCCCTCATTGATCCATTCCGAGCTAATTTTTGTATACAGTATAGGGTAAGGGCCCAACTTCATATTACACTATTTTTTTTAAAAAGTATGCATATATGTTTGTGTGTATGTATGTATTTATATTTTTAAATGAACTGCACTGAGTCTATCTGAGCTCGGGCATTACTGTTGAGTTATAGAAGAGCTAAGTTGTTTGGGGGTCTCAAATCTATGTGATAAATATCTCCCTTAAAAACTCACAGACTTCAGGTGAACACAGGTAGTAAAAAATACCCTTTCCAAAACAAACACAGTATGAAAGCTAAGATAATAAAATGTAGAATTTGAAGAGAAAACATGTCTCCTGAAATCCAAAGGCCAGTTGTATGAAAATGACTGTGGCAGAAACATATATAATTTCAATTGTATAGGAAGGGACAATAGTCTCAAGACATGTGTCATGGAGAACATAGAAAAAATACAAAATGGTCCCTATTTCTGAAAGCATTTATTATTAAGTGAAAATATGACAGCTAGTATATGCCACATAGAAAATAATTACATATACATATTGGTAGTTATTTGACATAGCCTTTACCCTCATGAGAACATATATAGAGTTGTCTATAGATATTGATGTTCAACATGTAAGGGAGGCATGCCGAGCTTGTCAAAGCATGGCAGACGGTCTACAGGGAAATTGATGCAGACAAAACATCAGTCTGGTTGGACTTCCCCAGGGAGTGTTTTTGCCATCTGTTTAAAAATGAATGATCCTTTTTATTTTCTAGCTTTAGTGTTGTTGTTAAGAAAATTAGTAAATAAAGGTTTAATAACATACATTTTCTACCGTTTACTAGTGACATTCGTTCTCTGAAAAACCTCAATACATGGAAATACACACCCACATATACATATATATACACAATATATGTATATTATATACATACATGTGTGCTTATTAATATGCACATTTGCATGAATATATTTATATATCAAGGTAAACTCTTGTTGATAGAAAATACAAATATTTTTAGTCCGGAGAATGACTAAATGAACATACCATGGGCTTTGACATCTTCATGTTCTTGCATTGTTTTACAGTTTAGGACAGTTATTTCCATTGCTTACAATCACAGTGTTTGATGTTTCCAATGTTCTCCTCTAACATGTTTCAAACAACCCTTTCTACATTCTTGTCATCTGGATCTCATCTCCATGTATGCAAGGTATTCACCCACACGGCCCTCCATCTGTATGGAATTGTTAAGGGGTCTTAAAGATGATTTACTTAAAATTCTAAACATTTCAATATACCAGCAAGAAGGACTAATTTAAAAGTAACATTCTATTTTTTTAGAAATGCCCTATGAGTTAGCTGTCATTGTTAATGGTTTTTATTAGCTATTTGCAAAGATTTATATAATTACATTTTGACAAGTAATTTTTTTAAGAGAGTCTCTAAAAATGACTTCTGAATCAGAACAATGCCCACGTGGGTGGGTGGTCAAGTGGGATTCTGTGAGTCTGGCACAATGTTGGATGGAGAACTGCCCTGGCATGGTTGTCTTAAGAATTCAGCTCTTGGGCTAGAACGGTGGCTAGTAAAAACAACTTCCAATCAGCACTCTAAAAAGCTGTTTTGCATCAATCCATGAGTATTTAAGTTGAACAAACATTTTGAATTTAAATATTCACTGAGCATTTAGATAACACTTTAGGCATTAAGAACCAACTGAGTTAATAGAATAGGGTTAAAGGAGACACAGATGGAGGCAGATTGTTATATTTGGGGATAGGAGGTTGTCTGCTAATCTTTAATTATAATTACATTTTAAAACTTTAATGCCATAAGATTAGCTTGATACATATTTTTCTTGTATCTTTCTTTTAGACAAGATTGAAAACATTATGAATCAGGAAAATACAATACCACAGAAACTAATTTTCTCTTGATACAGAAACTAATTTTGTCTTGACCAATGAATTGACTTTGCTAAGTCAATCAAATTGCAAGATAAACCTACGGCCGGGTGCGGTGGCTCACGCCTGTAATCCCAGAACTTTGGGAGACCGAGGTAGGCGGATCACAAGGTCAGGAGTTCGAGATCAGCCTGGCCAATATGGTGAAACCCCGTCTCTACTAAAAATACACAAATTAGCCGGGCGTGGTAGCAGGCGCCTGTAGTCCCAGCTGCTCGGGAGGCTGAGGCAGGAAAATTGCTTGAACCCGGGAGGCGGAGGTTGCAGTGAGCTGAGATTGTGCCACTGCACTCCAGCCTGGGTGACAGAGTGAGACTCTGTTTCAAAAAAAAGATAAGCCTACCATACAGTTTTTAAGTTGTTGAATAGTGAAAGTAACTCAGGTTACTTCTTATTTCAAAAGTTTCTATTTCAGAGAAAAATCTCTTATTTTTATTTACGTGACTAAAAGGCCATTTGTGTGGTAACCTTAATAATACATTGCCCTACAGATAAATGTAAGTCTCACCCATTTAAATGACAGAAAATATTTCCAACTTTTGAAAGGGTATTTTGCCCTCTTCAAATCATTTCAGTTTGTATGATTAGAGGACCTTGATAATATTAGTTTAGGGGAAAGGATCCAAGTGAAAGGGGAAAAGTTCCCTTGTCCCCCTCGCAGGGCATGCGATGAGGGTGTGGCTCGTTTCTTTAGTGTCCCACTGCTCAAACCTCTAGGAGAGCATTCAGACGGGCAGGCTATGGGGCTCCGACCCCACAGCAGTGTCTAGCGGTGAATACTTACAGCTGAAGCCCTAGTGGGCGTGTATTACAGTGTGCTCTTTTAGTTTTGCCATCTATAGGCGGCCTGTGTTAACCAGCTCAATTGGACCCTGTACCTTGTCGCTAGGACAGAGAGATTTCTGTATCCCGGGATTTTGCCCTGGTTTACCGGAAGAATCGGATGATACATGGGCTTGGAGAATTAGTGCAAGGTTTTATTGAGTGGAAGTAGCTCTCAGCAGATGGGGGAGCCAGAAGAGAGATGCTTTTCGCCGGGAATCAGGCCACTCCCTGTCCTTCCTCCAATTGCCCCAGCCAAGCTCTGCGTGGTTCTGCTGTTCGGTAGCCTGCGTGTCTCTCTCTCTCTCTCTCTCTCTCTCTCTCTCTCTCTCTCTCTCAAAATGCTTGTCCTCACCTATGTCCATGGGAGTTCAGCCCTAGTCAGGGACCACACCCTTCCCCGCTTCCGTATCATTTAAAGGGACCACGCTCTTCCCTTCCCAACACTTCCATATCGGAAGAAATATTTACATACCTCTCCTTTTACTTACTCTCAATAGCTCAAAACGCATTCACTTGCAGGTGACTTTAGGCAAATTATTTACCCTTTCTGTCTTTCAGTTTACTCATATATAAAATGGGAATACTAGTAATATCTATTTCAAAGGGTTGTGGTGAAGATTAAAAGAGTTACAATACATATAAATTGCTTATGGCCAGACGCAGTGGTTCACGTCTGTAATCCTAGCACTTTGTGAGGCCTAGGCAGGCGGATCACCTGAGGTCGGGAGTTCGAGACCAGCCTGACCAACATGGAGAAACCCTGTCTCTAATAAAAATACAAAATTAGCCAGGTGTGGTGGTGCATGCCTGTAATCCCAGCTCCTCAGGAGGCTGAGGCAGGAGAATCTCTGGAACCTGGGAGGCGGAGGTTGTGGTGAGCCAAGATCGCGCCATTGCACTCCAGCCTAGGCAACAAGAGCAAAACTCCGTCTCAAAATAAATAAATACATACAAAATAAAATAAATAAAGTGCTTATAATTGTATTTGAAAAAATATATTTCCAGATAACTACTTACCACAGTGATACAACGAGCCATCAGGCATATATTCTATATGGGAAGCTTGAGGAAATACACGTAATCGTAGTAAACAAAATAATAAATTATGTCACGTGAAAAAAAATCATATTTACTTGAGATAAGACATAGCAACATTTAAGGGGAACGTTTTCTATATTGGAGATTGCCGCAGGAATTCCAGTTGCCTACCCAGCATTGATTTTCTCACTTTCCAACTTTTTTTTTCTTTCTTTTAGCAGAATCTAATTACATTCGGGTATCTGCTCTCCATAAAGACATGTGCTGCATGAAAAGGTGATTCTATCCCCAATTGTAGGTAATAAACTCTACTCTGGCTAAGCAAAGCATGATAATTCCACTTCTCTCATCAGTGATTGGTTTAGAAATGGGCATGTGACCCACATCTGGCCAATAAGATGTGAGAGTTGGTCTTACGGGACCCTTTAGGGAAGTTTTCTCACTCTCAAGAAACAGCCAGGAAAAGAGATGGTTTCTCTTTGTTCTCTTGATGACGTTACATCTGAATGTGATGCCTGGAACCGCTGAAGCCGTCTCTCTACCAGAGAGGGAGTCAGTCTGAGAGCAAAACCAGCCCTGTTAGCATGGCGGTGACAAGTGATGGGATGAACTTGGGTCCTGAACAGCCTGGCTACACTGTGGAGGGCTCTAGGCTTACTCAACCTCTGGACTTCTGTGTGTATGAAGCAATATCTTTATTGCTTAAGTCAGTTTGAGTTAGTATTTTCTATTACATGCTGTTGCAAAGCATCCAAGCTGATAGAATATCCTTTTAAAATAGACAATACGGAATAAGTTATTATTTAAACATATACTGTTCTCCGTTAAGAAAACCATATCATGGAGAAAGGGTGATATAATAACATTCCCTCTTTTCTTCTATAAGGTGTTAAAATCCTAAGATTAAATTTTTTAAATGTCATTTTTCAATTTTTTTTTGCCAAGTCCTATGCAATCTAAAAACACTCCTGTGGCTGTTTTCCAAAGTCATGTTGTACAGCAAAAGTTTCCATTTAAACTACAAACTCCTTCCCCAAATGGGACACACTAAATTTAAGGAAAGCTGGCATTTAAAGTGCAAGACTACAGAATTTTCAGCACTATAACTGATCAAAATGAACAAAAAGATGCAAAAATAACCTTGCAAGTGTTAATACTTATAAGTAGGAAGAAGCCCAAATTGATTTCATAAACTAAGAAATATTAGCCAGGAAAAACACAATATCGAAACAGACACCACAAATCAACATCCAACTCCTGTCTTTGAAAGAGGAAGCAGAGTGGTGGGAAGTCAGTAAAGACAATTCTGAAAATCTTCTGAACTCCTCTGATTTAGACTTTTTTTCTCGAATGGAATATGGATGTGCTACTAGAATGTAAACTCCTCAGAGCAGAGATTTTCGTCTGCGTTGCTTACCAAAATCTCTCAGCATTTACAATAATGTTCAATAAATGTTCATTGAATTAATTCATACATACACTGTCATCTTGGCAGAATTAGGCCCCTGCATAGGGGTGTGAACAAGTTCAAACAAACGATGCAGTTTTTTCCACATATCACTCATTCAGTACAAAGACAGAAGAGTTGAAATTATCTTAAAGTATACGTTGGTACTTTCTACTTGCCTGGTTGTTATAACACAATCATAAGATATTGAATTGGTTTTGCAAGTAACTTAATGAAGTACATAATACTTAAACTTAATGAGACTATCTTTATATATGATTTTAAACTTTTCCCCTAGTTAATTCACATTCCTCATTATATTCATCTTTACAACAACTACCAACAGTTGCTTGAAAATTAACTCTTCTATTTTTGAATAAAGAAAATGAGGCAAAATAGTTTGGCAATAAATATTAACTAATAAACAGTTAACTGTTGAATATCTATTGCACACAAGATATCAGAGTACCACAGCATGCATGTTAGAGTTGTTGGTCAGCAACAAAGCTGGATCAGAATTTGAAGTCATTGAGTATTCACCTTTTTTTTTTTTCTATGTGTTATTCCAAAGAGATTTCACATCAGCTACCAGTTACTTTCAGCTGATAGCAGCTATCTATTTGATGTGCTGTGTTGAGAAGGGTTAAGAACCTACGTGGCTTCTCAGGGAAGAATATTTTGACCGATGATCAGTGTCTTCCAAGGACAGAGTGGGAGCAGAATGCATGCTGTATATTTGGCAGCATTTTATAGTCAAAAACAAAATGTTGCCTTTATAAAAACTAAATCTAACCTCAGGGAAAACAAAGGCAAAAAACAGAGGATCAGATCCCTGGATTCTTATGAAATAAATATAAAAGAACATCCAAATAAACTAGCAGTTAAAAAAGCCAACCAGAAATGATAGTTATGTCATTGTTCAGTATTGCATGTCAATTGTGTGGCAATCACTGTACTAGGCACTAAGAGAAAAAAGAAAAGATAAAGGGATAGATAGCCCTTAGCCTTGAGTTCAAAATATGTAGTGGGTACAGGACCAACATGTAAAAGATGAATACAGAAACATGGAGAACAGAGAACATGAGTGACAACTTCTACCATAGACACTTGGGCAAGGCATTGCGTCACTCAAAACTTGTGTCTAAAACGTTTAGTTTGTCAATTGAGGGAGAAGGAAAGAGCATTCCAGGTAGAAGGAATAATATGCTACACACAAAGTCATGAAAAGGTTTGGCACGTCCAGGAAATATTGGCATGGTAGAAGCATCAGGTGTGTGTGTATGTGTGTGTGTCTATCTGTCTGTGCATATGCACTGTAACATGGGAGACGAGAGGCAGGAGGTGAAGCTGTGATGAAGCTGGTAAGGACCAGATTGTGAAGGGATTTACTGCTGAGCTAAAGAATTTGAATGTTATTCTGAAGACAGACTAACATGGGGAGCCAGCAGGGCTTATTAGGTGGTGGAACAGACCAATAACTCTCAGGGCACATGGGAAATAAATAGGTGGAAGAGAGGAGAAACCAGAGGCTGGGAGATCCATCCAAACTGATTATGAGGAGGGTAGAACTAAGAGGGAGTCAACAAGGATGATTTAGATGTCACAATGGAAAGATGTTGCTTTTATAGAACATCAAAAGCATCTGTTAACTGACAAGTGAGAAGATGAGAGGGGGGATGAATAGATGCTGACATAATGATATTATATGGAGAAAAAGTCATTTTTTAAAGATCACAAAAGGAGAAGCAGGTTCCAGGATGAACCACAAAAACAGTAACTCAACTTCTGTCCTGGGCTCTTTATATTAAATCTCACCAGAAACCCATTTTACAGGTAAGGAAACAAATACTTGAAGAGATTAGCATTTTTCCCCCCAAATCACGCATTTGGTAAATGTAAGAATTTTGCATTGTTTTGAACATATTATGCCTGGTGAGCAACCAGGAGAGGAGGCCCAGCAGGAAGTTAGAAACATGAATCTGGAACTAGGATGAGTGCTTAGGGCCAGAGGTATAGACATGGAGCCAGCAGTCTGAAGCCATAGAAATAGCAGCTCAGCCAGAGAGAGAATAAAAAGAAACAATAGAGTCAAAAGGACCTTCCACATTAAGGGGCTAACAATGAGTGGGTCATTGAAAGAAACAGGAAAATAGCTGAGAGAGACAAGAAAAACTAGACTGCAAGGTCCAAGTTTCTAGAATCGGAGGTTAATCAAACCCTATAAAGATATGGAAAAGATAAGGACTGAAGCAGGCTATGGAATTAGAAAATTAGAACTCTGAAGGAAATGATTAATAACCTCCAAAAACTCCTAAATACATAATTCTACACTATGACTATAAACATTAGATTGGGCCTGCTATCACACTGAGGCAGAGGGAGAGACCAATGCATTCCTTTAGCAGAACAGTAAAAACTGAGCTAAAAGCAGCATGAATATTAAAATGTCTACAAAGGAAATAGTTCTGAATCTACAACATTTGAATGTTATATGAATTTTCAGCCATATTTTTTTCTGAACACTACCATTATGGCAGTGTGGCACAGTGACAATAACATCCATAAGGAGAATTATGTTTTTGTCCTGCATAATCAGAACCATGAGTACGTCACCGCTGTTCTTTGGATCTCTGTTTCCATATGTATAAAATGATAATCTCTGAATTCCCCTCCAGTAATAAAAGTTCTTTGATTCTATGGAAGAACTAAGACAATGTTAACCAGCTGACCCAAAACACACGACACTTCATAGGGTAATTAAGAAGTCCCCCTCAAAAATGCATTTTAGCTACTATTTGAAATTGATATTTTTTCTCTTGCCACTTAAAAATACTGTTGTTAGACTTACCTAGAGATTTATTGCTGTTGAAGTAAAATATTTTAAAAGAGTCATATATTTGCTCTTGCCAGTTAGTTCATGTTGTGAACTTTCATTTTTAACACTTCTTTCTTTCTTGTTACATAATCGAGAAGCTGGCTTAATACCTAATGCCCAAAGGAAAGACTTCTGTCTCTCATGGACACCCCCACTCAATATTTCAATTTCAGTAATTTCATTGGCAAAAGAACACATAGCAGAAGTTGCCAAAATTAATATGTTAAGTAACTAATATGTCAAGTATATCTCTAGTTTCAATTGGACAAGCCAATAACTGAACAGGAAAAATCAGGGTAGGGAAGAAAGGGAGACAAAAAATGGAAACAGAGTGATTTTTAACTAAAGTAATACTATGCCTTTAAGAGTAGAAAGTGAAACAGCAAAAGAAAAAAACAAAACAAAATACCAATTATGAATTTATCACAATAAAAACTGAAGTAACAAGCTATTTTGTAATTACCCCTAAAACAAATTTAAAATAAAATGGAAAAGCATCAAACTTTCTCATTGCTTCTTAAGAAAAAAAATAAAAGATCCCAGAAGCTCTGAACCAAACTATTGGCAAAAACATAAGTCTCTTATGGGCATTTTGCCCAAAATATGATTTCTTCAGAACAAAACATCCACTATTCATCATGGAACCATTAATTCTATTCTTGTTATAAAAATCACATGACTTTCAAAACCAAATAGAAAACTAAAGGCCTAATAATATCACAAAGAAAAAGCACATAATAATGAGAGGATAGCACAAAAATATATTTTGAAGTAATATTTTACATTTTTGAAAAGTCCACTCAATATTTTGAATATAATTTCACACTTATTTTCTAAAGTACTCAAGGGCTAGAAAACAAAGAATAAAGGTTTTGCAGGAGGATTATAACAGGATTCGAGGGAAGTCAATGGCAAATGTTGAAAATGTTGATCAAATTGTATGGTTTACTGGGCAATAAATTATTTTTCACTTTATTTCCTCTTAATGAGGAGAAATTAGGGAGGCAGGTGACTGTAGGCTGAGGGAAGACATCCAAACAACTACCCAAATGGTGTCCTATTTGTTGCTACTTCTCTTTCAGGTGGGAAAAGCTTGGTCCACCTCAGCCTTGGGCCCATGCTTTTATATCTAGTATTAACATTCATTCTGGATGTGTAGAAGTCTCTGCCCTCTTTCAGACAACAGTTACTGCTATGGTTTGAATGTATGTGTCCCTCCAAGATCCTCATGTTGGAATTTAAACCCCAAGGTGATGGTATTAAGAGGTGAAGCCTTTTGGAAAGTGATTAAGTCATGATGGCTCTGCCCTCAAGAATACATTAGTGCTCTTATAACAGAAGTTGAAGGAACCCCCCTAGTGCCTTTTGCCTTCTCCATTCCACAATGTGTGGATATAACATTCTGCCATATGAGAATTTAGCAAAAAGACACCATCTTGAAGAAGAGACAACCTTCGCCAGACACCAAATCTGCTGGCACTGTGCTCTTGGACTTCCTTATCAATTAATGATTCTATGGTATTTTGTTATAGCAATGGGAACAGACTAAGACAGTTAAAGAGCGACACACTTGCATTGAGTGTAAAAGGAGGGAAACTTACAGTCCTTTTAAGCAGAAACCAAGCAAGTTGCTAGACAGCTGGCTGGTACAACTGGAAGATGAGGGGGGTGGTGTGCATGATGGTTACTAAGGAAAAACCAGCAACAGAGGGACTTCTCCTAAAGTCCATCATGCCGAACTTTGATCCATTTGAAGATGGCAGTGAAACACCTCAGAACTTTGTTTTGTTTTCTTTACAACTACGCATGCCTGCTTTCAAGAAGCTTTGGCCCTCTCAGGGAGATTTCCCTGAGACAAACAATTTCCCATGGGAAACAAAAAATGGGCCTTGATTAGTATTCAGGGTCTTATTTTTTAGATTGAGTTTACAAAGCTGAAGAGGTTGATGCCCTGAAGTGTGAGAAACTGACCCCTCAAAATCAAAATAAATTCTTGCAAGCAGCTGCCACATTAACTCAAAATTGAAATGTGGTTTGCTTACTGCATAGTGTCACTCTCCTTCATGGAGAGCCCTTTGATCCATCCCTCCTCCTCTCACTGCCTTAAGTGGCATGAGAAGGATGATTTGATATAGGACAACATCTCCCTGCTCCCAAGAGGGATTAAAAGCCATACATCTATTGAATATTTTGAAGAATGTCAGGTAGGGAAAGGATTCCAACTTTTGTGGCTCTGTTGGATTCTAGCACGTGAGTTATCATCCTACTGGGTCCCATAGGGCGAGGATATGTCCAAATTTGAGTTGGGGCAGAGATCATAGTGGGGAAGGGAAGTCACCATAACGTGAGTGTTGAGCCCTCTATTGTTTTAACATATTGTTGTTTTGGCTTCCACTACTGAAAGTATAAGTGGTGTTGATGTTTTACATGCCTATACTGTGAATGCTTGCAAGTACCAAAAGGGATTTTACTGATTGGAAACAGCCAGATGTAGAGAGGTGCTAATACTTCTGCAGTCCCACATCTTCAATGATTCCTTTGAGTTACACATCTCCGTGACTCTAATGTTGCCAACGGGAGCCTCTGGCAAAGGAAGGTGGCCTCCACTTGGAGGTGCCCCTTAGACTTTGGGCTTTGCCTCCTTGAAACAGCTACCAGCAGATAGGCCTCTTTTGAAAAGCAGCTATTAGTTTACTATTCGGTGGGTTCTTGTTGAAACTGAGCACCCGACCCCCAGGGGAACTGTAACTCTTTGACTTGATATTTCAGTTTTGGCAAGATCAACTCAGACTCCATGACTAACAAAGTGAAAAGGGTCCAAAAAAGCTCACTTGTCAAATAGAAATGGTAAATCAAGAACACAGCCAGCCTGGCTTTGGTGACATCTAGGTGCTACATGAAAAGATGCAGCTTTTCTTCTCCACCACCTATAGCAAGATGCTGGCTCAGTGGAGCCCCTGATTCATAGAGGTTCCCCATAATCACTTGGCCTGCTTCACCAATGCTTCGGCTAAGCTGAAATCTGCTGGTGTCCACTGGGTGGCTTCAACTGCTCAGTCTCAGGCAGGACCAACTATTCATAACTGAAAATAGACACAGTCATCACTGCACTTAGTGGTCAGAACTGAAGGCTGTTCTCACAGCTCTGGCAAATAATACTCTTGATGCGTAGGCAACAACTGCATGCTAGAATTTTGATTCCTGCAAAAAGTTGACCTGGTTGTCTTGCAATGAGGGCAGCCACACAGCATGGGTCATTGACATTGACCATATGTTTCTGACACATTAATCACATCTGCCCTGTGACGTCTCCTAGGGGTTGTAAATGCTGCCTTACTGCAATTAACACTTTTTCAGGTTGTGTATTGGTGTTCCAGTCTCGTAAGTTTACTCCGGGCACAACACTGTGGCCCATGAAACTAATCTGTTGTATTTTTGACTTTATGGGCCACTTGGTATCTGACAATAATGTGCCTTTTATTGCAAAACACTTCAACAATGGGCTAGTAGTCAGATTTGATGGATCTTTTATGCTCGCTATAATTCTCAAGGATCTAGAATTGTTTAATGTTGGGCGTTCTCCTCAAAAATCGACTCCAGAAATGTCATGTCTGGCTGTACCTTCCGCACTTTCTTCTGGTTCACATGCCTTAGTAAGGCAGTTTGGTCAGTAAATGAAGGTGTTCCCAGAAAGAGATCATCTCCTTTCAATGATATTCCAGGTAACGGCCAGAAGGAAAGTGCTGGGAGCTACTTTGAAAATCTGGCATTCCACCTGACAATTACTGGGCATGATGATGCTCTTTTACCTAATGGGTAGCCCTAGGGAAAAGTCCTTCTTTTCCCTAATGGTAGATGGTACTAGTAGATGGCTGGCCTGCTTGATATGCCTTCTGAGAGGCTGCTTAGTAAAAAAGAGGCAGGATATTTAAACTTAATTCTGGTTAACAGATATGGATTTACTTGTTGCACTGACAAGATCTTAGATCAAAAAGATAATGGCTAATTGGTTGAGTACATTACTCGCCAAGTACCCCTACAGCGGTCCATGTGGGCCAAAGTAGGGTGGCATAATGGGTCTCTTGTATGTTTTTTAAATGCTCTAGTCCCTTTTGTATCTAGTCCTTCTGGAAGAAAGCTCTGGATTAGGGCTGATTGGAAAAAAGATGAAGTTATAGCTTCTGAAATGGGACACAAAATTATTATAGGGAAAGCAACAATTCTAGGACCTGAGAACCCTCCAGTAGCTACACAGAAGGGAAAAACTTTAATCATTGCTATCTTCCACAACAACCCCTGGAGCTTTCCTTGCAAAGGAAAACATGATGTTGTTCTCCCAAACTGTTGCAAGCACCTTAAATTTAAATTAAAGTTGAAATTAAATTTGACTGCTAGGCCTGCCATACCTCAACAGAGGACTCACTAGTTTATCACTATTCTCCTTTACCTTACTGAGAAGTTTATGGAAATAGCAAAAAAGAGCCCCAGCTCCTGTACCACACCTGGGCTTGTGTGTTTGTGTGAGTTTACACAGACACATGCACACACACACACACAAACATGAACCCACCTACCAATACCCCCAGGATCTTCCCCATTTCTCATAGAATAATAGTTGTCACTATTCATTCTGTGGTATGGACAGATGCCACCCAACTGGTGGTGCAAACAGCACAGGAATGCCCCTGGGCATCCCCTGCATAAACCAAGAACTGCACTCAATTGTTTTAACTAACTGGGAACTCAAAGGCTTACCAGATGGCCAGAAGACCACACTGAGGACATGGTCACCTGTTCCTGTGACTGATATTGGTCCTGTTTGAGGTGGCCTAACAAGTGTTAACTTGTCTCTAGAAAACATGGTGACTTTCACCTTTTGTAAGAAACTTTGGCATTTAAGGAAATAACACAAATCACTCTTGTAGACTTCAGGTGACTGCAGGGATCTCTCCAAAATGAGGCTTACCTTGGTTATTCAGGAAAACTTTCTGGAGAGAAAACTGATTTGTTATTTAAGCACAGTCTGAGGGCCCATGATCCCTACAATGGGAATAACTATGAGAATAATTAGAAAAGTTGGTATGAAGTTTGTGCCAGTCTTTAGCTAAAATGATTAATGATACCATCTTGGCCCTGGAAGCATTCAGGTCCACCTCAATTCACTAGCTATGGATGCTGTGAATGGCAACACTGTCCTAGACACTTCCTCCTTGCAGGCCAAAGTGGAATCCGTGTACTTGCTCATACATCCTACAATGCTGGGACTAATGTTTTGGACAAAGCAGGAAGGTCAGTACAGAAACTTAAGGAGGAGGACAGCTGGCCTCCTAATGCACACCCTTAATCATGGGATTTGTTTGGCTGGATGGGGCCAGGACCCCGGGAGGCACAGTTGAGGTTAGTATTTCAGGTTGGCCTCATTCTGGTACTTGCGTTGTTATTCATGGTTGTCTTAATTCAATGCTACATGAAACAAATTGAACTGATTTCATTGCAGCTAAATGGCAGAATTGAACAAATATGAAAAAGATAACACATGCATGGGTCTGTATCTTACCTTCAATATAGGAATATGCTTAGTCTTCCCTTCAGAAGGCTGGTGAATCGGCTGTCTTGAGTGATCATATAGTCTGAATTTTCTTGAAATGTTTACATCAAGTGTGTCCAATTTTTTGGCTTCCCTGGGCCACACTGGAAGAAGATTGTCTTGGGCCACACAAAAAATACACTAACACTAACAATAGCTAATGACCTAAAAAAAAAAAGGCAAAAAAAGTCTCGATGTTTTAAGAAAGTTTATGAATCTGTGTTTATTCAAAGCTGTCATGGCCCACATGTGGCCTGTGGGCTGCAGGGTGGACAATCTTGGTTTACATGCTTTTGGCATTTTCCTGAAATAGTTGGTAACTTGTAATTACATGGCTTTGCTAATTCTGTGCTCTTGTCATATGTCAAGAAATTTTTTTCATCTAATGAAGACATTGTTTAAATATGTTCTTGGTAATAATAATCTGGACATTTTATTTTACATATCAAAGTACTACACATGCTCAATTATAACCAGTCTGCCTCCTATTTTGTTCTCAGTTCATTTTGTTATACTTCAATTGAACTATCCAATTTCCTATAAACAATATATTTAATTTCCTTACTACTGATGGTCACTGCCTATTCAGTTTTCAGCTGAGAAAAAAATCCTATCAATAAACATTTTACTTCTCTTTAAGGATTATAAAGTAATAAAGCCTGTTATAAAACTTCAAGCAGAAGAACTATATAATAAAAAATGAAAGTCCCCCTTTACTCACATCCTAATGTGTCTCTCTCCTCCTTTGCAAAATTCCAGTTCCCCCAACACATAAATGTAATTTATTGTGATACTGATTTATGCTTTCTTCTTGCTGCAATTTCTCCTCACTCATGTAAGAAAGTATCATGGCTACTTCAACTTCCTGGCCTTAGGAAATGTTTATATGTGCAAAGCAACAGAAAGTTTTGGGGTAGGGGGCATGAAGAGAATGGTTGAGTGGTTTCTTAGGAGAGTAAAACCTTAAACTCCAGGGTTCCCAGCCTTAGCAATGATTTGTCAGGCTCAAATATTTGGCTTTAAGAGACCACACATATGTGGGCAATCACCATCTCAAGGTGAATGAGGAGTAGATAATTGAAGGTCTCCTCTGAATATATTGCCCTGTGCAAGGGGCCCAGACCTTGCATGATTTAGAATGAAGAGTTCATAACTAAGACTGAATATCCTAACAGCTAATTAGATGGAGGACCAGGATTGAAGATTATATAAAATATTTCGATATATCTTCCACACATAACTCAGTCCGTGAAGAAAGATTTACAACCATCTCTCACACACACACACACACACACACACACACCAAACCTGGCAAAACAATACTAACGATACCTTGAATCTGTTTAACTTTTCATTTTGTTAAAGACTTACAGAACAAGCATTCATTAAAAAATCTGGATTTCTTTCCTTTAAATTATATTTGGTATATACACTGAACATGTCACAAGCATGATATCTATGACACATGCATATAAAATGTATGCTACTCTTAAGGCAAAATGCATCCATAAGGATTTTAAACATGAATGGCACAGAATATGGTCAAGATAAAACATTCAATATTTCAAAGTGAAGGTCATTAAAAGCTTTAGAAAATTAAAGCACTGCATGAGTTGAGTCTTCTCTGAAGGGATTTTATTAAATTCTCAGTCTTAGAGGAAGGAAGAGACTTCTACTTTTGACCAATATGATCAAGATGGAATAATGGGGTCCAAATTAATTCTACTTGAAACAACTAGAAAGCTGTACTACATATATGTTTTTACATATTGTACTCTGGCAGCACAGGACAGTCATTCCTTAAGAAAGGAAGACAAATGAGGTAAGCTCTAAGGACTGCCCCGGCTTACTGTCTGTATCAGTTTTCAGATTGCAGCCTGGGGAGGGAGATCTAGCTGGGGCCATGAGGATACTGAGCTGGGAGTCCACAGAGGTCAAGAGCTTAGAGTTCACAGAGTAGAGTACTGCACACAGAGTACCAGAGATCTGCAGAGGTGCCCCCGCAATTCTTCAGTAGAGTACTAGTCATCAGATATGTGTGAGGAAACCATGAACCTCCTGAAAGGAAGAGGAGCAATAGGTGGGGCTCACATGAGGATGAGAAGTTTGTGTTCCCGCTAGCTATAGTGTAAAAACCTCACAATCCAGACAGTATCATATAGAGTATGACAAAATGTATTGCTTGAGTAGTGTGGCAACATTAGTCCTGAACTAAACACTGCTCTGCTACCACCAGGAAGCCACAGAAGAAAGTCTGAAAGGATAAAACAGTTTTTAATACTTTTCAATAATTGTATTCCATGACAAAACTTGTGAATATTTAGAAATCCAAAAATACCAAGCACTTAACAAGATAGAGCTCACATGTCTAGAATCCAATCAAAAGTCACTAGATATTATAAAGGGACCAACAAAATACTACCCTTAATGAGAATAAAAATATATACAAACTCAAAAATGATAGACTCAGAAAATATTAAAAATTGCTATAATTATATTCCATATATTCAAAAAGGCAGAGATTAAGCCTATTATATAGAAAAATGTAAGAAATAAAAAAACTAGAGATGAACAGTATCTGATATGAAAAATAAGTGCATTTTAGAATAAAAGATCAATGAACTTCATGAAGTATTTCAGGCAGAAGGAAAATGACACCATATGGAAATTTAAAGCTATATCATGGAATGAAGAGCAATAGAAAAGGAAAATGTAAGGGTAATATAAAAAATTTTAAAATCTTTTTAAAGGATCATTTAGCTTCTAGCTGTGATGTAGTAACAGGGAATCTTATTCTTTCACCTGAAACAAAGAAAGAAACACATGGCAAAATAATAGAAAAAATGTCTTTTCAAAAGCAGTGGACATTGGGTAGTAAAGGACAGTGAACCCTCAGAAATGGGAAACAAACAGGGTGAGCTTTATGACTACTCTGGCTTACTGACTTAAGTGAGTCCCAGTCCACAGTACAGGGAGGGGAAATCCATGCAAAGCCTGGTGGACTCCCTGAGATGAGACACAGTTATGAGTCTGAGTAGATCAAGCTGGCTACATTTGATAGGGCAGAGTATGAGAGACAAGTGAACTGCACAGAGAGAGAAGTCCTGAGATCTAGAGATGGTCTATCTTGAGTATTAAGCAGACTACTGATCACCATGGGTGTGAGTAAACACCCTCAGGCTGGGGAAAGAACCACCCACAAAGATCAGAGGGCACTCCAAGCACAAGACACGTGAGAAATTATACCAAGACACACAATAATCAAGTTGGTCAAAATCAGTGGTCAACAGAGACTACTAAAACCAGCAAGAATAAAAAGACACAATAGATACAGAAGAACAGAGATAAAAATGACAGAAAATTTATTGTCCGAAATAATTCAAGTAAGAAGATAGGAAAACAACATGTTTAAAACACTAAGAGAAAACATGTTTATCTGGAATTCTACACTCAGTGAAAACACCTTTCGAAAACAAATGTAAAATACAGACTTCATCGACACAAAAGCTGAAATTTATCACCAGATTTGCACTCCAAGAAATATTAAAGAATGTACTTCAGTCACAATGAAAATACCAGAAAAAAAATACAGGTCTTCACAAAAAATTGAGGAGCACCAGAAATGGTATCTTCATGGGTAGATAGGTAAGATTTTTTCTCATTATATAATTCATTTTAAAGAAAAATTGCCTGGGTCAGGTGCAGTGGCTCAGGCCTGTAAATCCAGCACTTTGGGAGGCCAAGGTGGGTAGATCACTTGAGGTCAGGAGTTTGAGACCAGCCTGGCCAGCATGGTGAAAACCCATCTCTATTAAGAATACAAAAACTAGCTGGGGATAGTGGCAGGTGCATGTAATCCCAGCTACTTGGGAGGCTGAGGTACAAAAATCTCTTGAACCCAGGAGGTGGAGTTGTAGTGAGCAGAGATCACGCCACTGTACTCTAGTAGACTAGGTGACAAAGCAAGACTCCATCTCAAAAAAAAAAAAAAAAAGAAAAGAAAAATTGCTGGTTTAAATAAAGTAATATGACGTTGATGGTACATGCAACTTATATCTATAAGCAAAATAACAAAAGTAGCATACAGGCTGGGAAGGGAAATATGAAAGGTTATTATAATAAATGTGAAGTGGCATAATATTGCTGTAAGAAGATAAAAAGTTATAGTATGCGGAAATCTCTGGGCCCAGATGATTTCACTAAAGAAATCTACCAAACAGTTAAGGAAAAATTAATAGCAATACTATATAATTTATCCCAGAAAACAGAAGAGGAGAAAATACTACCCAATCTATTTTATGAAGCTAATACTGTCCTGATACCAAAACCAAAGATAGTACAAAACAAGCAAAAACTGCAGACCAAAATCTTTCGTGAACATAGACACAAACATCCTTAACAAAATATTAGTGAATACAATTCAGCAATATATAAAAATTATACAATATAACCAAGGGAGTTTATTTCAGGAATGCAAAGCTAACGCAATATACCAAAATTGAGCACCACAGTAACAGACTGAAGAAGAAAAATCACAAATATATTAATTGTTGCAAAAAAATCATTTGACAAAATTCAACAGCCATTCATCGTAATAACTCTCAGAAAAGCAGGAACAGAGAGGAATATCATCAATTTGATAATGGACATGTATTAAAACACTACAGCTAACATATTTAATGATGTAAGACTGAATGCTTTCTCCTAAGGCTGGGAACAAGACAAGGATGTCTGCTCTCACCACTCTTGTTCAGCATAGTACTAGAAGTTCTAGCCAGTGTAATATGCAAACAAAAGAAAATAAAAGGCATATATTTGGAAAGGAAGAAATAACACTGTTTCAGTTTGTGGATGACATAATGATCTTTGCAGACTATCCTAAAAATCTACAGAAAAACTCCTAAAATTAATAATTGAGCTCCATAAGATCAAGACCAACATATAAAAATTGTGATTCAATATGCTAGCAAAGGGCACTTGGAAACTGAAAATAGTACAAACCACTTATAATCAATCGCAAAATAAAATACAAGTATAAATCTAACAAAATAGGTACAGAACTTATATGGAGAAAGCCTCAAAAACGCTGATAAAAGAAATCAAGTATCTAAATAAGTGGAGTAACATATCATGTTTGTGGATTAGAAGATTCAACATAGTAAGGATGCAAATTCTCCCCAAATTGATGTACAGGTTTAAAATAATTCCTATCAAAATCCCAGCAAGAATTTTTTTTTTTTGTAGATACAGACAAGGTTGTTTATGTGGAAAGGAAAGGAACAAAAACAGTCAAAAGCAATCTTGAAAAAAAAATAAACTGAGAGGACTTACTCTACCTGATTTCAAGACTTATACAGTTATAGTAATTAAGACTATGTGATGCTGGTTGAAGGATGGATACATAAATCAATGGAACAGAAGAGAGAACCCAGAAACAGATCCACAAAGGCAAGATCTAGCTGAATTTTGACAAAGGTGCAAAAATATTTCCATGGATGATAGTTGTTTCACCAAATAGTGCTGAGACACTGTTAATCAGCATATAAAAATTAACACATTCATTTAGAAAATGTAAATTAAGCCACAATATATTACTACCATATACTTACTGAATGGATAAAGGAGTCATAATGAGTGTTGGCAAGGATCTGGAGCAATACTACTCTCATACACTGCTGCTAGAATGTAAAATGGCACAACTATTTTCTCAAAGAGTTGGCTATTTCTTGGAAGGTTATAAGTATGCCTAAAATATAACCCAGCCATTCTACTCCTACTTATTTACCAAAGAAAAATAACATAGGTCGATGCAGAGACTCTTACATGAATATTCATAGCAGCTTTATTTAAAACAGCCTCACACTGGAAGCAACTTATATATCAGTGGTGAATGTGTAAACAAATAGTGATACATCCACACAATGGAATATTACTGAGCAATAAAATAGATGAACTATTGATGTACACAACATGGAAAAATCTCATGATAATTTTGTTGAATGAAAGCAGGCAGGTATTGTATGATTCTATTTATACAAATAGGGATAATGTATATTTAATAAAACTTAAACAGTTGTGAGGATCAAATAAAATTAGATTATGTATGCATGAGAACCAACTAATATATGAAAATGTTATTATTTATAGTATTTTCATTGAAGTAATACAATTTTTCAGTCATCTAACAATGTATTCCTGGAACCAGATCATGACTCTCCTTATGGTTAATCTTTATTGAGTGTTTATTATGTATTGGCTTTTGGCTATTTATTTAAATCTCAACAAAAATCCAATGGGATAAGTACTATTAGTATCATTTTACAGATGAAATTGAGACCTAAAACAGAGCAGCAATTTGGGTTAACAGAAATAGAGCTCCACTGAGAATTAGGAGACCTGAATTTCTTGTCTTGACCTGCAAGCTGTGGGAAAGTCTTTAACTCCTCTATTGCTATTATTAAATACCAGTAACAACTTCTCGGCTTACTTCACAAAGCTCTTGTGATGATCAAATGAAATAATGTGAAACCGGTTTATAAACCTAGAGTATTAATGTTATTCCGTGGAAAATTACATAAACACAAATATCTTTGGAAAGGTAATTTAAACAAAGTTGTAGAAAAGATAAAATAACATTATGCTAAGTCCTTTCATGTTTTTTCATTGTCCTTATTTATATTAGTTTAGAATACTTTATTTCAAAAATTTAAAAGTTTAAATACTTAAAAGGTTTCCAAATATTTACAGAATTGTGTCTGAAAAATTATGCACAGATGTTTGTCTATTGTTTTTCATTAATAAGATTAGCTACTGTCTACAGTGATAAGCATTTTAATAATAAAAAAGTCAGGAAAGTGTTATTTCTTAATATTTTAATTATCATTATAATTTGGCAGTAAAAATCACTTTTCACAAAGACATTACACTTACATTAACAAATCACTCTTGATTCATTCATTTTTGTTTTTCCATTTCTCCTGGCAGCTTTGTAAGAATCCATAACTTCAATATGTCTAACTCAGTTTTGCTTAGCTCATGGTAAACATTTGGAAAACTATGAAACTTCGTGGTCACTCCTAGAGATTTTAACATTGAGTTTGTCTCTTCTGCCCAAGAATGAAGAACTAACTCATCTGCAGTACCATGACACTGAAATAATTCAGGAAGTACACCATTACTCTTCTGAAGAGCCTAGAGAAGAAGATACAAAGACAGAAAAGTTTAAGAAATTCCATTTAAGATCATTCTTAGAAATCAGAGAGAACAGGAAAATTCCAATTTTACCAAGGCTTCAATAACTAATGGGAAAAAAAAGGCAGAGGGAGTGCTGTCTGAGGTATACATTGGTGGGCCAGGCCTGGGGACTTAGCTGGTTCCTGGCATCACTCAATTTGTAACTGTGTGTCACTTACATTTATTCTATAGAGGACGTCTTAAAAATGGCCAAAGCATTTCCTAAAGAAACTAAGTGACTTGGGAAGACAGACCTCTTCACACAATGTGGAAGGAGGGAGGAGTACACAGCTAAGGCACAATCAAGGGGACAATTACATTTTAGTTCTCTATTCTGTATCTGCTTTAACATTTCCACTTCTGGTACTGAAGCTGTAACATTATAATTGAAGCTGCATCATATTCATAGATGAGGATATTGCTGCATAATAAGTATGTGCTATGTAATTGATTTTTGTTTTATGTTCATGATGCAATAAGCAAACCCAGCTATAACCATCATGCAGTTTTAATATGTATAAAATTTACATATATGCTCCCCCACAACCACACACATGATTATCCTTTCCTCCTTGACATTTTGCTTAACAATATTTCTTGTACAGGGGATTTCCAAAACATTAATGATCAGCTGGAATTTAATCACTACGACTCATTTGGCCATGAATTCCAGGAATGGTCAATCCATATCAACTGTGCATCAACTGTGTGTGTGTTTTACAGCTTTATTACCGATTTTGCTTTAGTTTTAACATGTATATATTTCATATTTTTTTCATTTTTTTTTAAATCTGGAACTTACCTGGTAAACAGCAGATGCTTTATTCAGAAAACTAGAAAGAGCAAATACTCCTGCCACATCTTGATGATTTCTATATGCTAAATGTATTGCCATGCATCCTCCCATAGAGAATCCTCCTAAAAACAAAAACATACTTAAAAGTAGAATACATAAAATAATAATTTAGGATATGATATATAACAATTTTCCATATTTTTAAAATATCTGGAGACCTTTAAAGAGAATGCTAAAAAGAAATTTCGTCTACTCTAAGTTTCACAGACAAAGGCCTGCGATAACATAAATAACCCTGTTCCCTCTATGTCACCACTGGTAAAGAGAGCTGTGCTCTACAAGGAGCCAGGATTAAACAAATATATCATGTTCACCAAGTAAAATATCTATCGTAATTCAAAATGAGTCATATTACAAGCATTACTTAAATTCTCAATATTTACTTATATTTTGTTTACACGTACAGAAACCCTCACACTGCAACGCAATTAATAATTTGCACCTTTTTGTCTTACTTGCTAAGCTGTGAGCTCCATAAGGAGTTATGTATCTGGTGTTTGCTATATAATAGATGCTTAGTGAATTCTGAATTAAGAATGATAAAAAAAATTTGAGGAGCTAGTTAACACATTTTTGGATTACAATATTATTTTGGAAACTAATTTATGGTGATATAATAAAAATGAAACATGTATGCCTATATGTAGTTTTTAAAACCAAAGTTTGAAAAAAAAATTAGTCAAACTGTTATTGTCTCTTTAATGTACCAATTCTATGCCAGTCACTGGATATATGCAGATTAAAATACACAGACCCTCCTGTTCAGGGGAACTTTGAGAAGGAAACACATCCAACACAGAATATGGAGATAGCTGTTATGAGGTGACGGCAGCAGAGAGAATGGTGATTCCAGGCCTGACGACAAGTCAGTGACTCAGTGTGACATTCCTAAGCTTGAGAGAAAGCTAAATGACATCTCATTATATTCCATGAGAAAATACAGAATGTAAATCATGTAGCCACACACTCATAGAAATACAAAAATATACTTTGAAGTAGAATTCAAATCTCCTAATTTCAAGTCTGCTGCTTTATTTCACTTAACAAAGTGTAAAGCTGAGCTCTTAAGAGACCATAAATTTGAATTTACTACAATAATCTTTTATACATGGAGGGAACTGAGGCCCAAGATTAGGTACATATTATTTTAAATATAAAACTATTAATAGTAATTTTGGAATTCGGATCTTTTGCAATAGAGTTTAATATACTTTCTACTATCCCTTGATATTTATTAAAATAGGACTACTTTATCTGGAATAGGCAGGTAATATTATTTTGGACTCAGAACACAAATACCCGAGAGAAGATTACCAGTCTGGCAAAGTTTAGATTTTTTAAAAAAGGCACACTATGTAAATAATGAATAAAAGTTATCTGTGATTTTCAACATACCAGCAAGAAATAATAAGTTCTTATCGTAGCAGTAGCCCACCATGGACAAGAGCCACCTGAAAGGCTCTTTCAAAATACCCCCAATAACTCCAGATGTAGATACATCTAATTAGAAGTTCATAAATGAGCTTGGTGGGGGAGAAAAAAGCATAAGCATCTTAACACTGTATGTAAAATTTGCAAATGTACATTAGATTCTCCAAAAGGTTAAAAGCCACTGGGCTACATTATCCATGAATTTGTGCATTAATAAATCTTTGACATGTCCCATTTAGATATGAACAGCTTACGTAAATACACAAATTAGTATTTCTGGTAAACATTTATTGTAAGTACACAGAAAAAAATCTCAACTTTATTGTTTTTTGCCACAATTCTAGTTACAGATTTCTCTCTGCTTATGAAGTTTTCTCTTTAATAACATCATGAGGGTTGTAAAGCGAAGACATTTTGAAATAAAATTCTTATCGATTTAATTTATTGAATATAAATTATTGAGATTTTGAAACCCTTAAGGGTAAGAAACAGTTTTTCTTCAATAATCATATTTTCATTGAGTGCTTATGATTAGCTGAACAAAGTGTCTCTGTGGTGCACGCATACTAATGAGTCAGTTTCAACTTTACACGCTCAGTGGTAAGTATAGTGCTTTGCACATAGCAGTAACTCAATAAAAATTTAACTGAATTTTTAGAAACCGTATGGGTTTCTAATGAAAGTAGTAAAAAATTTACAAATATCTCTTAAGCTTATCAAAGAGACAACATTAAGGAAACTAGTTCTAGTCCTGCCTGTGATACTCCCAAGCTGAATGTCTTTGTGTAAATTATTTAAAATGCTGGATTTCATTTATAGTAAAACAAGATAGATGGACTAATCTCTAGATTTTCCACCAACCTTTTAAATACAAATACTTAATCAGTTATAAAAACTAAAATTGCGAGAACTTTTAAAATGTACAGTTACTGTAAATACAGAAATCTACTTTCAGTTTAAGAATCCCTATCTCTCAGAACACAATTCTAGCTTTCCTAAAAGTTCACAGAATAGAGCTTACCAAACACTCACTTCCTTCATCTCTTCCAATTTCCCCTCTGTTCTTTACAGCCCATTTACTTACAAAGGAATTTCAGGTTGCTTAAAATCAAACACACTGTTAATAATAAAACTACATCTCTAAAATAGGAGAGAATGTGAGAGAGGAAGAGATGGGATTTGAGCAAAGAGTGAGACACAGAGAATAAAAAAAGAGACTTACAGACCATGATGTTAGGGTGGGGGCAGTAATTACGTGTGCAACTGGGCATTTAACAGTTTCTCTGTAGCAAGGCAATATTCTTTAACAGAAGGAATCATAACAAGTCATACTAGAAATTTTTCTTAGCATTGAATTCCTTAATAGAATTTATTAAATGGATCTTTATTAAACATAAAATTCAAAATCAGACATTCTACATACTGCCACTTCTGTTGCTGATTCTTCTCATAAAATTCTGGGACATAAAGACTTAACTTTCACTAGAATTTAATGATGGGAGCTGGGATTTTTGTGTTTTATTCATCAATGTATCCCTCTATGCTTACAACAGTGCCTGGCACACAGAAAGTGCTTATACTTATTAAACAAATGAACAATGTAACTGTAACTCAGTAACAATATCTCTGCAAGGAGACAAATTTATCATCAGAAAATGTAGGTTTTTGGTGATTTAATTTGATATAAAAGTAAAGCTTAAAAAAACCTACAAAATCTAGGAATGAATGATTAGTGTGCTCCAAGCCCATCATTCCTAATCTGACCTCTTAAAAATAAAGATTTTAGACCCAATCCCAGACCCACTAACAAAATCTCACTGCATATGTCTAATTTTTAAAAGCTCTTATGCCATAAATCAGATGTCTGAGAATCACAGCTGTGTGGCAAATAATTCAAAATTAAGTAAAATGGGTAAAAACAAAAAGTTAAAATATGGTCACCATTTAAAGAAAATCCACACGCGATAGATAACAAGGCTGCAGGAGCAAATTTATTATTTTTTTCTGAGAAATTCAAGAGCCTGAATTATGTGTCTGCCAAATGTAACTAATTAATATTTGAAATATGTTAGTGTGACCAAGGAACCAATTCTATATTTTATTTAACTAAAGAGCAACATGTAGCTAGTGGCTACCATAGTTCTAGACCATCTAAGCTGTACGAATGATTGAAAAAAGCTTCAAAATTTATAAATGAAGCAAAAATAAAATTAGTATTTCATAGATAATTTTGAGGCTAAGATAAAGATCATTAAAAGATAAAATGTAAATAAAAGATTAGTAGGCAAAAACTTACATTAAAAAGAGATTTTAAAAGCATAACTATCAAGAAAATTTTACATATGAAGTGACAAACACTTCATTTTTGTTGACCAGGGAATGTAATCACTTTATGTAGTTTCAGAGACTTTTGATGGTAACAACTTAAAAAAAAAAAAAGAGAGAAAGAAAACATTTACCCGCACATAAAATGTCATTATGAATACACATAAATGCATCCTGCAGACATTTAACTTCATGTTTAATTCTCTTAAGTTACAATGAAGAAAAATATACTCATTGAAATATTATTATTTTAAGATTTAATCTAAGTCCCTTTCCCATTTATGATTTTGTGAGGTAATCTGCAACTCCTCACTAGCCGTCTTTGACAATACAATGACCTTTAGCATAGGACACTACTGTGAAAAGGGACTTTGTGTATTTTTTCCTAACAGAAGAAAATTTAACACAAAGAACTAGTTATTTGAATTCAATTTTCCACCTAAGAGTCTAAAAAATGATATAAAATCTACTGTTCAATAAGTAAATACGAAAATAGTAAATCCATTGTAGGTAATGGTTATAACGGGTATTTACGGTTGCTGGCAAAGTATTTAAAATGTCAAGAGTTAACATTTCAACATACACTTAAGATTAACAAGCTGAATAAAACATGTTAAAAAATAATAAACCTGGCTTTATGAACTCTTTATATAAAATAAAACAGAAACAATCTATAAAAAGACTATATTAGGAACATTAAGATAATCAATCTGAAAGTAAAATCCTTAAAAAAATCCACTTAAAGTGTGCTATCAACTGAAAAGAACTTTAAACATGCAATAAAGTCCATTACCATTCTAAATTTCAACACCTCTTCCATTTAACTGGTATACTATTATAATTATTCTTCAGATTTGGGAATACAGAAATTATGACTATTACATTTATTTGGATATCTCCTCTCATACAAAACTTGTGGGATAAACAAAATATTTATTTTCCTCTATGGAAAACTGTTAGAACAACAGTCCAGAGCCTTTAAAGTCCTACTAGTTGTTGAAGAAACATAAAATGTTTAATTAAAATACATATATGTTCAAAGAAAGTAGAAGAATGCTATCATTCTGAAGTTTTAGCTCCCAGCTGGGCTATAGAGAAAACGTGTACAAGTTCAGAAAAAGGCAGGCTGGAAATTTTGATGCTAGACTTCATCTTGGGAATTCTAACTATCCCTTCATTTATTTTTATTTTTAATCTTATTGCAAAATTAATATACACCCATTGTACAAAATGTTTCTTGTACAAAAGTTTCTTGTACAAAATTTTACAATATTTTGTACTGTACAGAATTTTGACATGTTCTCTTAAATTTCATTTTTACAGTTAAACTAACTCTACATGTTCAATGTATCTTATTTTTTTCATGTAATACTAATTTGAAAGTCTTTCTACAGAATTACAAAATTTTATAATTATTTTTAATTGAACACATACTTACTGAGTGCTTTTGTTTTTTTTGTTTTTTTTTTTTTTTGAGACGGAGTCTCGCTCTGTCGCCCAGGCCGGACTGCGGACTGCAGTGGCGCAATCTCGGCTCACTGCAAGCTCCGCTTCCCGGGTTCACGCCATTCTCCTGCCTCAGCCTCCCGAGTAGCTGGGACTACAGGCGCCCGCCACCGCGCCCGGCTAATTTTTTGTATTTGTAGTAGAGACGGGGTTTCACCTTGTTAGCCAGGATGGTCTCGATCTCCTGACCTCATGATCCACCCGCCTCGGCCTACTGAGTGCTTTTTATGTGTGTGTGCATGTAGTACTTAATGGTTACATAATACTCAATTCTATTAATAGGCCATCATTCCCTCAACCATTCCTGTCATGATGGATATTTAGATCATCCACGTAAATTACTCCAGTGTAGTTCCAGAAAGACTTGATTCTCTCTGCTTCAAAATTCTGATAATATGCTTATATTATCAAAATTCTGATAAATCTATTCATATCATTTGTCAGGTTCTATACATCCTAGATCTAAGTTAAGCCTAAATTATAACAGTATTCTCTCTTAACAACGAATTATCACCACCTAGTGGCCAATAAAGGAAGGTATTATGGGGACCCGGGTTCTAGTCCCAACTCTGTATTAGCCAGGAACACTTTGAATTTTAGTTTCTTCACCTCTGAAATGAAAATAATTATATCCTACTTTACTTTTACCTACTGCAAGACCCAGGAGATCTAATGTATATAAAAACAACTTCAGAACTTAAAACATTACCTAAATAGAAAACACTGACATGTAATGGCAATTTTAAAACTATCCAGTGCAATATAGATGCCAATTAATTTAAAGCTATCTCTACCATATGTACTTTCTAAGCACAACAATACACAAGGGAAAAATGATATACCTTTCTCCAGTTTCCTGTCTTAGACAGAAACAAACTAGAAGGAAATGAAGAGTTCAAGACAGGCTTTAATAATGATGGAGAATGTACTGACAATAAAATGCTTATATTCTGCACACTGGACACTGTTAATATGTTAATAAAGCCAGAAGAAGGCAGGACAATCTATTATTAATAATTTTCTCAGAATACAGAATTTGAATCCTGGTTCTGTCAATGACTATACTGCCAACTTTCGAAAAGTAATTTAAAAGTCACTATTCTATTGCCTGTTTTCCCTAAGTTTTATCTTAATGTCTGGTAGAATCATATGAAACATAAATATACAAAAATAAATTTTAAAAAATCAACATTTTTCTTATATTCCTAATGTGCAGAGTGAGGATCCATGAATGTCTCCAAGGAACCCCCTTTAACTGAACATCCCCTGTAATGAGCCTTTTGCTGAGTTCTCTCTCTCTTAACAAAGTTTACTATTTTTTCTATTAAGAAAGCAGTGCATATCCATTGCAGAAAGCTTAGAAAACAAAAAATTTTCATAGCTAAACCCCACAGATGATTAAAATTTTAAATGTAGTTTTACTCATCCTGGTATTCCTGAAGTCTTAAAATAGTGTGTCAGTTTAGCACTTCATCATTCTACTAGATCTATTGCATTTGCTTTCTTGCTGTTTTTCTGACCTTCACACTGACTAGTCAGCCCTCCAGAGTTGTCAGCATAATCTTTCTAAAATGCCCATTTGATCACATCATTCACTCCCTGTATATAATTCAATGATACTAGGATTTGGGATGTACACCAAACTATTTCCTGGAAGGATTTAATGTGTCCCTTGCTTTCTTTCATGAACATGTTTCTGTCCTTGTTTACCAGTCACATTCTCAATTATTCTTTAAGACTCAGTTGCCACTTCAACAAAGCAGTTCCCAACTCCCAGAAAGATTTACTTCTCTCCTTGCTGCTTACGCTATACCTTCGACATTGTTCTTCAATAATACCTGTACAGTATTAGAATACTTTACTTCCCTCTCTGCCTTACTAGACTGTAAATTTCTCAGTTTCTTTTATACTCCAGCACATAACATTTTATTGACAATTTGAAAATAAAATTTAGTGAGAAGTATCATTTTTGACCTGTCCAAGCTAGACACACTACCTAGAAAAGGTAGAAGATCACATACTGTAAAAAAAAAAAAAAAGTTTGTAAAACTGAGTTCAACATAACAAAGTACCACTAATCAAATAAAACCGCAAAGAATGGGCTCCTATCTACATCAAATACAGAGAGTAGTTTTGTTTTATAAAGTTACACAAACACAACTACACTCTCAGAGATTGGGTCCCATTAGGACATACTGTCTTACATTAAATCAGAAATCTGAACAGATTATTAAACAAAATAAAAGGTTAACAACTTTTGAACCTATCCCCTTCATATTTCTTTTCCAATCTTACATTTTGCTAGTTTTTCCCATTATAATTCATTTTTAAAAGAAACCTAGCCTGGGCCAGACATGGTGGTTCACAGGTATAATACCAACACTCTGGGAGACTGAAGCAGAAGATCACTTGAGGTCAGGAGTTTGAGACCAGCCTGGGCAACATAGAGAGACTCCATCTCTACATAAAACAAGCAAACAAAAAAAAAAACAGCCAGGCATGGTGGCAAGTGCCTATCATCCTAACAATTCAAGAGGCTGATGCAGGAGGATCACTGAGTCCAGGAGTTTAGGTTGCAGTGAGCTATGATCACGCCACTGCACTTCAGCCTGGGCAACACAGCAAGACCCTGTTTCAAAAAAAAATTACCTAACTTCATTCCTCACTATGGGTTGTGTGTGCTTAATAAAAATTGTTTGGAATCTCAAATGCATTTTTCTTTTATTTCCCACTGAATCCCTCCTTCATTAAAACGTTATGAATAGCACTTAAATCTGACCTAACAACTTAAATGTACCCTAATAGACACTGTACAAAAGTATAAAAGCTAGTAGAAAAATACTAAACAGTAACTCTTGTTTAAATAATCTAGGAGCAATGAAAAAGAAAGAGGGAAGCAGAGCTCATATACCACTGAGGAAAAAGTAAGCAGCTGGTAGGGAAGAAACAACTAAGCTACCTGTAAGTCTCCAAGTGGTACCACTGTTCCAGTGTGGCCTTTTGCTATCCAGGTGACCATAGGATGGGTGGTATGAAGTATGTAATAATGGCAAGAAAACTTTTTCAACATTACATGTCAGACACATTTGTATTTCACATGAACTGACTAGTTCAACTACCACAACTTTAAAAGGTAGATATTATTACCATCATCCAAGACACAGAGAATAAGGAGACTGGACACCTACAAAGTGAGGAATATAGGATTAGAACTCAGCACTCTGAGTCTAGAGCCCAAGTTCTTAACTATGTTATATGATGTCAGCTTAAGGGCATTTGTAATTATGATGTTTCTAACTCAGGGAATACATACATGAGAAGTTCAGCTAGATCACTAAGGTAAACAACAAATACATACGAGAGGTTCAGCTAGATCACTAAGATAAACAACCACCACAACAAAAAACTGCAACAAAAGACTTGAATATTATTTGCTCTATGAATCAATAACTAACGTATGTGAAGAATCCAGCATATGAAAAGTGGGGTAATAGCACTAATGTTTTGTCACAGTATAAGAGGTCAAGAAACGTGTGTTTTGTGGCATGTGTATAATTCCATAAAACTTAGTGAAGATTTATTTTCACTGGCTGGTTAAAGAACTATACAGTTAACAAAAACAAACATGACTGCCTTTGCACTTTTGTGGTCTCTTTCTGTATCTCAATGTAGAAAAAAGAGGCTTTATAGACATTAATTAGCTCATCTCACAAAAAATGTTTTTACCCCCACTTTAATTTGGTATATTATATATTATAATATGAAATTAATAAATCTTAGATTTTATAATTTCATAAGTCAACATATCTTCCAAAAAGAAATTTTATTCTCATAAACCCAAAAGAGGCTTAACAAAATACTGACCATATAACTGGTGCTTTAGAATTATAAATAAGACTGTCTTTTAACAAGGTTCTCTTGGTACTTCAGAAAATAGTCTTCCATTATATGGTAGAAAGAAACAAAAATAAACTCCAGATGAGTCAAATAATTCAGTGTAAAAAAAAAAGCAACACTAGAAAAACCAGTAGAAAATTTATTTTATATTCACCCACGTTCTAATGAGAAAACTTAAACTCAGAAATTATTTCAAAACAATTATAAAAGATTTTAAAAGTTTTTTTATGTCAAACTATAATGGAATTGAAAATAACAAATTAAGCACAAATTAAAATTAGTTACCACTTCCTGTGTACTTATTTTGAGAAAAATTTTTTCAAGACCATATTAATCAATGTAATAAGGTTCTAATTCTTCTAAAGATGGTTGGAAGTATCAACTGGTACACTTTTTTTGTGACAGGAATTTGATAATACGTATTAAGAATCTTAAAAAAGTTCAGCTAAATGTAAGAATCGTTGGCTTTAAAATGAAATAAAGTTAGATTCAAAATTCATATTGGCTCTCAGACCTTAAGAAAATCCAGAGATTCCAGGTTAGTGGACTGCTTCCTTGTACCAGGAGGCAACTCCGGGGAGACAGAAGCTCCTGTCCTCAGGACCCTTCCAGACCTTGCCATATATATCTCTTCACCTGGCTGTTCCTCTCTTCTTTATAATATCTTCTATAATCAAGTGATAAACTTTATACTGAAGAGGAAATAATCCAAGCAAGGAAGAGCAAGCAGATCAAGATGTGTAGCTCTTTTGGCTGCCGAGTTGTGGTTTTTGACAGATCGTGGCATCAGGAACACTACCCCCAAAAGAGATCTTGTGAGCACTGAAGGCCAAATGCTGTGAAGGCCAAGGGTTGTGGTGATGGATGATGTGGTATCAACAATCCAACAAGGAAAGCAGGTCTACGGATCAACTGCTTATCCCACGTGGTGGCAGTGACAGTCCAACCCTTGGGTGATATCAATGTTTTGCACCATCTAGAGAAGATGGAATGCCAGTTGATGAACTGACCTCAAACCATCCTGAAATGTGCTAATAAGTGGTGGGCATTTCAAGAGTTGGTTGGCCATGGTGTTCCTCTGTCAGATACTTTTTCTTATGATGGCTATAAAAATTTTGCTAAAATGACTGATGAAACAGAAGTACTGGAGCTACAAATGGTAGTGAAGAATACATGGGGTCATAGAGGTAAAGCTGTTTTCTTGGCTCGAGATAAGCACCATTTATTTGGCTGATCTAAGCCATCTTATTCATCATGAAGCTCTATACCAATTCCAGAAGCATGTAGAAGAGTTTCAGGGACAGGATATATGTTCCACTGTCATGGGAGGCTGTATGGTTGGCACCATGTTACATTGTTCAACAGATGGAAGGATGCAAAGCAACTGCTCACTAGGTGGTGTGGGGATAATGGGCTCACTGAGTGAACAAAGGAAGCAGCTAGCTGTCCAGGTGTCTAATATCCTGGGGATGGATGTGTGTGGCACTCATCTCTTGATGAAAGATGATGGCTCCTTCTCTGTGAGGCCAGTGAAATTTGCTATTTTCCTTCAGATGGACCTTAAATTTAATTTCTTGGACACTTGAAGGCAATAATATTCGAGACCAGCCTGGGCAACACGGTGAAATCCCGTCTCCACAAAAATACAAAAAATTAGCCGGGCGTGGTGGCAGGCGCCTGTAGTCCCAGCTACTCAGGAGGCTGAGGCAGGAGAATGGCGTGAACCCAGGAGGCGGAGCTTGCAGTGAGCCAAGATCACGCCACTGCACTCTAGCCTGGGCGACAGAGTGAGACTCCATCTCAAAAAAAAAAAGAAAAAAAAAAATTAGCCGGGCGTGGTGGCGTGTGCCTGTAGTCCCAGCTACTTGGGAGGCTGAGACAGGAGAATTGCTTGAACCCAGGAGGTGGAGGTTGCAGTGAGCCGAGATCTTGCCACTGCACTCCAGCTTGGGCGGGCCACAGAGCGAGACTCTGTCTCCAAAAAAAAAAAAAGATCAGTATTAACCAGCTTTAAGAGAGGTTTGATCATGCTTACTTGTACAATTTTTCCCCATTTTAAAAAGAAGTGTTATAAAATTTTTTACCATACACTTAAATAATATTAAAATTGATTGAAAGGTTGATTATTCATGAACAGAATAATACTTCTTGTCTGTACAGGATCTCATTTCACCTCATAAAAAATATACAAAAGAGGAGTTTCTAACTTATCTTCGGATATTCTAATCATACCTAAAAGAATTTGTCTTGCACAGGGTAACTGAGGGACTCACATACATATATTAGTACCTCCAACTCATTAACAGAAAGAAATACTAAATGCTTTTTTTCACTGAATGACCATACTTTGGAGTACGCATACTACTTGGTATTGAGAAATAAATGGGGAAGAGAACTGCTTAATTAAATCATCATTCATATGTTCACGTATAGACCTTCTGGTTGCCACATATATTATGATATATATACTTTGAATAGTTATATGTCATGTGTAAGTAGACAAATGCATTTAAAAACACAAACAGAACAACCTCTGTATTTGATGAAAAGCTCAAGTTTGTGTTGGTGGGGTATGGGAACCAGGAAAAATGTACGTAGCTTTTTTTCAACTTAACCAACTATATCATAGGAAATGTCTGAAATTAGTTCACTTCTAATTTTACTTACCATCTTTTGTGCATTCACGTAATATTAAAACATAGCTTTAGCAACCTATTTCTGGGCTGTAAACTTATACATCAGAATGAAAAGGGGAGAAATGGTTAACTTAGATTTTATAAACATGGAGATCTTCTTGAATACCCTTAAAAATTAAGGTAAAGAATAAGAAAAAATTATTCTGGAAGAACCCAAAAGAAACAGCAATAGATATTTAAGTGAATGTTAAATTTATTTTCATAAATGTTTAATAACTTATGTAATTTCATTTCCATTATGAGAAAAAATATATCAAATGTGTAATCATGATAAAATCTTAATTACTGTAAATTTTTATGTCAAAATTAATTCTAAACTATACTTTAAAAACATTTCTGATAGTTTTTATATCACCCATGAAAACTGGATTATATATAGCATATATAATATGTACATATATGCATATATTATAAGCTATTCTACTTAAAATGTTTAATAATAGTTTTTTTTCTTTTTTGGTGCCTATAATTGACTGGTCATTTCTGCTAGCTTTTCTACAATGAATGCTGAAATACTTCTGTATATGCTGTCAATCAGAAAACTACCCTGGAGCATTAGAAAAATTCAACAAGAGACTTGATTTAATCAATCACATTGTCGGACTTTGAAAATATATCAAAGGCACTGATTTTTAAAAATCATCTTTTTCTCAAGAAGAAAATGGAAAAACAAATTATCTTCATTCAGTGAGCCCCAAGTTTGGGGTTTGAGGGGGCTTACAGACATTGAAAAATCAAGTCTTGTGTTATATTTTTCTCCCAGGTGACTTTTTTTGAGGTTTATGGGCAATCTGGCTGGTAAGACATGATTCCCTCTAAGAAAATATAGGTGCTCAAACAGGTAACCTCTCCTGCTACTGTTTTTATATGTGTGTTTAACTTCATTTAAGATTTGTTTCTGCTTTGAGAAGCATCTGTTCATGTACTTTGCCCACCTTTTAATGGGGTTTTCTTTTTCTTGTAAATTTGTTTAAGTTCCTTGTAGATTCTGGATATTAGACCTTGGTCAGATGGATAGATCGCAAAAATTTTCTCCCATTCTGTAGGCTGTCTGTTCACTCTGATGACAGCTTCTTTTGCTGTGCAGAAGTGCTTTAGTTTATTAGATACCATCTGTCAACTTCTGCTTTTGTTGCTATTGCTTTTGAAATTTTCATCATAAAATCTTTGCCCATGTCTATGTTGTGAATGGTATTGCCTAGATTTACTTCTAGGGTTTTTATAATTTTTGGTTTTACATTTCAGTCTTTAATCCATCTTGAGTTAGTTTTTGTATAAGGTGTAAGTAAGGGGTCCAGTTTCAATTTTCTGCATATGGCTAGCCAGTTTACTCAGCACCATTTATTAAATAGGGAATCCTTTCCCCACTGTTTGTTTTTGTCAGATTTGTTGAAGATCAGATGGTTGTAGATGTGAGGTCTTATTTCTGAGATCTCTATTCTGTTCCATTGGTCTATGTGTCTGTTTTTGTACCAGTGCCATGCTGTTTGGTTACTGTAGCCTTGTAGTATAGTTTGAAGTTGGGTAGCATGATGCCTCCACCTTTGTCCTTTTTGCTTAGGACTATCTTGGCTATATGGGCTCTTTTTTGGTTCCAATTTTAAAGTAGTTTTTTCTAATTCTGTGAAGAATGTCAATGGTAGTTTAATGGGCATAGCATTGAATCTATAAATTACTTCGGGTAGTATGGCCATTTTCATGATATTGATTCTTCCTATCCATGAGCATAGAATGTTTCTCCATTTGTTTATGTCCTCTCTTATTTCCTTGAGCAGTGGTTTGTAGTTCTCCTTGAGGAAGTCCTTTGTATTCCTAAGTATTTTATTCTCTTTGTAGCAATTGTGCATGGGAGTTCATTCATGATTTAGCTCTCTGCTTGCCTACTGTTGGTGTATAGGAATGCTTGTGATTTCTACATATTGATTTTGTATCCTGAGACTTTCCTTAAGTTGCTTATCCACTTAAGAAGCTTTGGGGCTGAAACGATAGAGTTTTCTAGATATTGGATCATGTCATTTGCAAATAGACACAGTTTGACTTCTTCTCTTCCTATTTGAACACACTTTTTATTTCTTTTTCTTGCCTGATTGCCCCAGCCAGAACTCCCAATACTATGTTGAATAGAAGTGGTGAGAGAGAGCATCTTTGTCTTGAGCTGGATTTCAAGGGGAATGGTTACAGCTTTTGTCCATTCAGTATGATACTGGCTGTGGGTTTGTCATAAATGACTCTTCAGACATTTCTCAAAAGAATACACTTATGCAGCCAAAAAACATGAAAAAAAGCTCAACATCACTTATCATTAGAGAGCTGCAAATCAAAATCACAATGAGATGCCATTTCATACCAGTCTGAGTGGCAATTATTAAAAATTCAAGAATTTTTGAATTTTGAATTTTTAATATGCTGGCAAGGCTGTGGAGAAACAGGAACACTTTTACACTGTTGATGAAAATGTTAATTAGTTCAAGGATTGTGGAAGACAGTGTGGCAATTCCTCAAAGACCTAGAACCGGAAATACCATCTGACCCAGCAATTTCATTACTGGGTATACACCCAAAGGAATATAAATCATTCTATTATAAAGATACATGCACACATATGTCCACTGCAGCAGTATTCACAATAGCAGACATGAATCAATCCAAACGCCCATCAATGACAGACTGGGTAAAGAAAATGTGGTACATGTACACCATAGAATACTATGCAGCCATAAAAAGGAACAAGATCATGTCTTTTGCAGGGACAAGGATGGAGCTGGAAGCCATTATCCTCAGCAAACTAACACAGGAACAGAAAACCAAACACTGCATGTTGGAAGCTGAACCATGAGAACACATGGACACAGAGAGGCAAATAACACACACTGGGGCCTGTCAGGGAGGCGGTGAGAGGGAGAGCATCAGGATAAACAGCTAATGAATACAGGTCTTAATACCTAGGTGATAGGTTAATAGGTATAGCAAAACACCATGACACATGTTTACCTATGTAACAAACCTGCATGTCCTGCACATGTATCCTGGAACTTAAAATAAAATTAAAATTTTTAAAAGATTTGATTTTGTTGTACTAGGATTCTTTAAAATGTAATATACTGCAGAAAATCCATAATATCTCTAGTACTCAAAGATGAACTAGATAAAGTAATGGATCTGGGAAAGGAAGAGAGAGGATGGGGCAAGAGACAAATGGACAGCAGTTACCATTCAGTGTGATAAACTCTTCAATACACACTCATTAAGAGTACTACTCAGAGTATTTTCTCCTTTTATCTATTTTTTTGCTTATGAAGAATGTACTTTTATTTTTTAAAGCAATTTCTCATCCTGATCTTTTCTTTTCCTATTGCCACCACACCACTTCAGACTTTCATTATATTATACTGGTTTCTCCATGTCAGACTTCTCATCCTTTTACTTACCCCTTCTGCCAAATTAGTTTTTCAAAGTACAATTCTTATGACTTGAAGACATTATTTAATGATCCTTTACCAATTATTACATGTTATTATACCTACAAAATAAAGGATTAAAAACTGAACAGAGTATTTACTGAGAGTCTGGAAGAAACCAAATAGTTTGTTCATCTCTCAGTAAACAGATATTATATTATTATTTCCACTTTACAGATTAGGTAGCAAAAATTAAGTGTAGGTAATAAGTGGTGAGCCAACTAGGAAGTGGTGGACTGTAGATTTGAACTCATTTTTGTCACCATTATGCCATCACGTTCTAGTCTCTTACTGTGGCTATCTGAGTCAACAGGTACTTTTTAGTTAGACACAAACTTTGTTACAGCCAACTACTGTCCAGACAGACAAAAACAAAAAGCATTACTCTGTCCACTTCTACTTTACTGTACAAATCATTCCCTCTACCTAGACTTCTACACTGTAATAGTTAAAATTTTAATAATTTGTGCATCTTAAATGCCACTGCCATCTTTCTATTAAATCTTTCTCTTACAGCCCCAAATGCATGTGACTACTTCTTCCTCTCAATTCCTACAGTACTGACAATTTATTGATTGGGTAATGTTATTTGTTATAGATTTCCTGAGTATTTGCTCTGTGCCAGGCATTGTGATAGGTTCTGGGAAATAAAAAGAAATATATACTATCATTGGCTTTGAAAAGCTATTAGTTATACCACATTAGAGCACTCATCACAGCCTGGCTGGCATTATAGTTACCACTTTAAGAATCTCATTGGCCCTTTCAGGTTGTAAGAAATATGTAAGGCAGATAGATCTTGCTTTACTTATCTGCACATCCCCGTGAACATCTATAATAATGCGTAGCACATAGTGGGGACTTAAAAAATACTTGCTAAAGATTGAATGATGACTGAATGATACATGATTCACATGTTTGGAATTCTATCTTCTAACTACTTCATAATCCCCTAGACTAAGTTGGGAATCCCTTCCCTACACTCTTCCTAGTCCTCCCATAATGCTCCATGTTTATCTCTATTAGAGTTAAACATCAACGTTAAACATGGAAACACAGAAATATAGAGTTAAACATAATGAGGAAACTAAGGACCAGAAAGGTGATGTTGTTATGCTAGAGGCCACGCTGCTTTCAACAAAGTGGAAACTAACGCCAAGACAGAATAGAATGGATTTTATCCATTATATCATGTTGTCTCTCATGACTCAACAGACAGTTCAGCACTTCAATAAACACAAAGAAAGTTTATTAGTTTACCCAAATCCCATCTATAAAGAATTTCAATGTGCATTTTAATGTTATTTAGAACATAATGGGGATACTTAATTTGCTTTTTAATTTCATCATTAAATACAACTCATTGTAAGTTAAATAGTTACATTTGGAAATAAAACCCTTTCACCAAAATATGTCGTGTACCATTCATATTCTACATGCCCCATCTCACTTTTGCATGTATTAGAAAAAGATTTTAATAATTTATGTATATGCTAAGTCCAGAAACAGAAAAAGGTATTAAGCAGAATAAAGAGCTTATATAAAGCTACTTATATTCCCTTAGGAACAGGGCTTGCTAAAGACAGTCTAACAAAAATTTACAAATATTCTTGTGAGATTAACTCTGAAGATTATAATTTTCATAAATGTAGTGGTATATTTTGACTGTATATCTTAATGGCAATAGATGTTTAAACTTATATTCATAAGAGTTAAGGTAACTGAAGTAAAATGTTTTAAAAATTGAAATGAATAATTTCTTAACTGAAAATTAAACTAGAAGAAAAATTTTAACTGCCACAAGAGTCTCAAAATCCGTTATTATTCAAAAAGAAAATCAATTAAAGTTTCATGCGCTGCTGTTTATAATTCTAATATCTTTGAAATCCTCAATATGTAAAGTTTATCTGAAACTATGAATGCATCGAATGATATACAAGTGCTTCTAAATAATGTTCCAAGTAAGATTTGATGTATAGAATTAGACAAAAGTGAACAGTGATAAATTACCAACATTTAAAGGTCTTACCTATTAATATCCTGTTCTTCTTGATGCCACTTTTTACTTCTTCATCAATCAAATCAGTAAGCACTTGACACATGACATCAATTGATTCAAGGTGTTCTGGGCAGTCATTGGTTATTTTAAATCTGTCAAACCATACATTGGAGATTCCTCCTTTCATAGGAGTATATGATCTGTTTAACAACCGCCCCCCCCCAAAAAAAAAGAAAGGAAAAGGGAATATGAAAATGGATGCTTTAATTACCAAAATAATAGTGTTTTGAATAAATGATTTCAATTTCTTCTAAGTTTTATAAGTTAAATGCATATTAAAACTACTCTCATGTATATTGTATTAACTATCCCATACTTGTATCTAATCCATTAAAATCTACTAATGCCAGTTCATATCCTCTTTACCTACTCCCTCCATCTTTTAAGAGGGAGAACAGTTACAGTACCAGTGAATCTTAATCCATTCATTGTATATTCATGCTCTGGGATACTATGTTGGTTAAAAAAAATACACACACATACGTGCACAGGCACACACACCATCAAGATATTCCAAACTGTAATGGAGTAAAGGGGGTCCTGTATTCAAGTATTATGTTGGTAGATGTAAATGAAAGGGGAACAAAAAAAAACCTTAGAGATTTCTGTGGGCAAACACAGAGAGGGATGGGGGCTATATTAGATAAACACAGAGAACAAATGTTTTCCAAATATGAAAAACGGAAGAGTTGCACAGAAGATAATCCTTATCCCTTGGCATGCCCTGCTTTCTCCTCACGTAATGATGAGAAACAGAGTGGCAAAGAAAACATAGCCAGTGACAAAAGTGCCTATAGTAATTTGAAAGAACTCTAAACCAATGACAAGTAATATTTCCCTTTGATGAACCCAGACACAGGATTCTTTCCACACCAATACCTCCTCTACTTTGCCATCTCAAATTTAGCTGTATACTGTCACCCACCAAAGTTAGTAAAGTAAAAGCATGAAATGTGCAGCTAAATTGAAAAACAAAAATAGACGGCTAAAAGACAACAGGTGAGACCTGAACATGCTTTTGTACTTCTTCTCTAGTGAAAAACCCAAGTAGAACCTCAGCATATTCAAGGAGCTAGAAATATTCAATTGTCATTGGCCTTGGGATGCATACAATCTTTAGGACCAGTGGGTGGTGCTGGAAGGGAACAAAATTACACCATTTTTCAATATTGATCATACCACCCCAAAATAAATGGACATCCACTTAAGGGGCTTGAACGTCAAGGTTATATTTGGAAAGTTTCTCAGAGAAACTAAAAAAAAAACCTGGAAACAAGAAAGTTGAACTGACTAAAATTTAACAAAAATTCATATACGGGGATCTTTTATTTACTCAAATAGAATCATATAAACATTACTTTGTAACACATTTTCTAAAATTTAAATGGATATGATGAATACCTCTGAAAGTCAGTACATAAAAACTTAAATGTTTTCCCTAAGTTTATGCAGATACATAAAATTTTTTAAATATGAGATTATATATATATACATTGTTTAGATGTTTTTCATGTCAATCTTATTCATTTTTTACCCATCTCTACATTCCTCCTCTTCTCTCCAACTCCCTCACACATCTTGTCCTTTACATTCGGTAAACTGTGTAAATGATCTGAAATATATCCTTCAATGTTATTCTTATAAATTAAAATATGCATATTTACAGGCTATTTCTTGGCACACTATTTCTTTTCAAAAATAAAGTAGTCTATCTGATTCTATTATGTGCATCATGCTTTTTTCCTTCAACAATATCTCATGGAAATCCTTTCATCAGTTACAGTTCTAACTTACCCTTTTAATGGCTATATTATATCCTATGATAAGCATATTCTGCAATTTAATCAGCCATTCCCCTAATAATGGGAATTAATTTGGTACCCAGCTTTTAGCCACTAAGAAATATGCTTCATTAAACATATGCATACGTGTTTTTATCTACTGGAACTTTTATTCCTATGGAAAAGAGTCAAGAAACAGGTTGGATTAAAAGGTACAATTTTTGTCTTAATAGATGTCTCAAAGTTGCTTCCATAAAAGTTGTAAAAATTTACCTTTCTACAGGAAAGGTAGGAAAATATCCTTTTGCCCACAGCAGTAATAGCAGTAGGTGCTGACATACATTAAAATGTTACCATTTAAGAGTATCAATTGAAGTTTTAAAACCAACTTTATTGAGGTATAATTTACATATATAAACTATATTGAACTACACACATTTTAGGTGTATAGTTCAATTACTTTTTACAATGCAACCACCATCTCCACAATGATACAGAACATTCCTTTTCCTTGGAAAATTCCATCATGCCCCTTCACGAGCAACTCCCGTAACCTTCCCAAGCAACTACTGAGTGAGACTATCAACATTGATTTCTTTTGCCTGTTCTAAAACTCCACATAAGTGGAATTGCTGACTGATGTCATTTGCTATTATTTTTTCCTATTGTCATTTCAATTTTTTTCTTGTTTAAAAGAGTACTTTGTCTATTATTGACAAATATTTGTTGCATATATTTCAGGTATTTTCTTCCAAGTCTATTTTGAATATTGATATTACGTTATTATGTACTTAAGGGTTTTTTTTTTTTTTTTTTTTACTGGACAAAAGACTCTACATTTGATATAATGTCTTTTTAAAAAAAAATTTAAATTTCTGGGTCTCTAGATTTGCTTAAGAAGCTCCTGCCAATCCATACATTTTTTATATATAGTAGCCCAGATTTTCTTTTAAGACTTTTGTTTTCATTTTTACACCTAAGCCTTGAATTTTGGGGGAATTTCATACATGGAGTAACCTAAGGATTCAAATTCATTTTATCCCATATGATAGTCAATTGTGCTTGTGCTATTAAAAGAAGGAGAGAGAAAGGGAGGAAAGGAGGAAGACACCCTTCTCAGCAAACAGTGAAATTTTATCTTTGCCATATATTTTATAGTTCTGCATTATCTAGTCTCTCTAACCCTGATTTCTGTAAGACATATGCTATATATAATGAACTGACTTCCCTCTAATACATCTAGAATGGTGCTCGTTCTATATCATACATGCAGTGGGCGGGGGAACAGTCACTCAAATAATTTTCTATGTCTTGTGATTCAGCTGAAGAGCTTTAGTTGAGAAAGGCTCTATTTTGTTCCACTAATCTCTTTATCTATTAAGTTAGTTTCTATTTAGTATCTATTAAGTTAATTATTAAGTTAGTATATAACGTTAATCATATTATAGTGGTTTTAGAGCATATTTTGAAGTTGTGTAAGGTAAGTTCCCCTCTCCTATCATTACTCTAGTCTGTGTTTTCATACTTGTCCTAGCTATTCTCAGGCATCTATTGTTCTTGATTATCCAATAAATTTATCAAAAAATTTAGTAAACTTGAAACTATTTTCAAATAATTATCCTTAAAAAATCCTTTTGGAATTCTAATTAATATTGCATTATTGTCTGAGAATTACATTTTATGACATAAACCTATGAGGAGGGCAGATTTTTGCAGACTGAGCTTTTCCTTCATTGCTCTTTATCCAGGCTTTCAACTGCTGCAGAAAAGATAAAATCTTGCACCACCTCTATACTAGGACTCCAATAAGCATAAATTATCTCACAACCCCATATGCCTTCTGACCCCAGAAGCTGTGTGGCTCTAGAAAGGTAGATAAATTAGAATCAGAAGGGGAGAGAAGGCAGAAAGCATTCAAACCTTCCTCCTCCCAGAATCCCTTCTCAAAACTAGCTTCTTAACTAGTTTTGAGTTACTCATTTTCATTACTCTGAAAATGAGAGTAGGTGCTTTCCAAATAGTCATTGTCAGACAAAATGAAACCTCAAATTGTAGTCAAACTGTCACTAAAATCACAGTGAAGTTCTAAATCAAAATATCAAAAATACAACACTCACTTTAAAATTCAAATGAGCCTATTACCCTTCTGAATTGTTCTACTTCCCTTTTCATTTTACTCTGCTATTTCTGTGTTTATTTGTCTGTCTAAATACTTAAATAAGGATGATATCATAGGCTAAAATGTGAATCATTCTGGGAACTCAGCCATTAATGGAAAAAAGTGGCATTCACTTAACTTTTTTCTTTGACAATGCCTTAATTAGAGATAGATGCTCAGCAGAAGTAGAATCCCAATGTAAGTATGTTACTAATGTGGTAGCTAAGAAAATTAAAATTCTGTTCAAATGGAGTAATTGAGAAAATTTAACGAGACAAAAATAATTTAGAACTTTCTTGCTAAGAAAGCATAAACAAGAATGTATAAATCTCCTAAAATGTTAGAATAACATTTAAATAAAATATAAAAGTTTGTTTTTTAAACAGCTAAAAACTATCACATATGTTATACTCATTCACCTTCTTCCTCAAATAAATCACTTTATTAGCTGGTATAAAACTCCTCAGACATTACCACAATAAATAAATATGTTTGGCAAAGAACATCTGTGTGGTTCCTAAGTTAATCAATCAACCAACCCATTACACATTGGTAAAATATTAAGCTAGAATAAAATGTCCAAGGTTAAAAAAAAAAAAAAGTTGACATTCAGCTTGATACCAAGTTGTTTTTGATCTGTGTTGCCTTAAAGTCATAAAATCGAAAGTTCATTCATAACCTTTAAGTTAACAAATTGGCACCAGTCTTCCTCTTTATCCTCATTTCATACCACTTCTCTCTCCCACCCTTCACTAGGTTCCAGTCACATTTGTCACTTCCTTTTCTTCAAATAGTACGAGCTTATTATTAGTTGAGTGGCTTTGCATCTGATATCCCCACTACTTAGAGGGCTCTTTGCAACATTTCTGCATGGTGGGCTCCGACTGTTCATTTAGGTCTCAGCTCAAGTGTCACCTTCTCAGGGGAGCTTCTTTGACTCTCCAACTGAAAGTATACCTCCCTTTTACCCTGCAACACACACATATACTCTCTATCCCCAGTCTTAATACCATTTATCACTATTTGAAATTATTACATTTAATTTCCCTTTTATTTTCTGTCTCTACATGAGCTCATTGAGAGCAGGGACTTCATTCTTTCCACAGATACATACCCAGTGCTAAGAACAAAGCCTGACATAGAATAGATGCTAAATATTTGCTGAATAAATTTCAGTAATCATTTGTGCCACTTGGGAATAATTTGTGCCAGCCAGAAATAACAATGTCTAAAATTATTTTATTTTTGCTCCAAATATATTTTGACTTTAACTCTTATAAAATCTACACTGTGATTTGTAGAAAACAGTCCATTTTTGTTTCTTTTTTAAAAAATCATATCTAAGAAAACTTTTCCATACTAGTACCTATTTAAACATACCTAATACTTACCAAAGAAGTACATTATTTCTTCAAAATAGCTGTTTTTAGTAGGGTTCCTTACTAGCATACTTGTAGTACAGATATACTGTTATCAGGAGAGGGCTCTCCTACTATCATGCTTCAGATAGGAATTCTAAGTGATGGAGTAAAGAGGAATTCATGGTTTACTATGCCTAAATAAAAAGTGCCTAGTTTATTTTAGAATACATATTTACTGAAAAATACAAACATGGACTTTGTGTGGAAAAACAGTGAATCTAAAAGTATAGGCACTATGCAAATCTTATTACTTTTAGAATTTTTTAAAACACCAAAAGAAACTATATTATCATATAAATCATAAATGGCTTGTTAAAAATTATTTTTAAATGGAAATTCTAATAATAAACACAAACTAAGAAAATCTCTAATTGTAAATATAGCTAAAGCATGTTATAGAAATAAAAATCTTTATTGGGCACTTCATTTAAAGAGTCCAAATTACCACAGTGAAAAAAAAAAGCAGTATTTTCCATCTAAATCAACACAGCAAACTAATTGCTGACTTTTACTGACTATGCCCCTACCTTAGCTGATTTAAAACATCTATTAAATACAGTTGAGGAAAAGGGATACCTTATAATCAAAATGGTAATTCACAATTTAATCAAAACACACTTATATGCTGTAATAGACCACAACTGAGTATATACAATAAACTATTGTTCTCCTCTTAAGCTGTTTAAAATATGGTTGACTGTTGAAAACAAAAATTATAACCTTGTTTGATACAGTTTTCAATGTATGCAGACAAAATACATATGAAAACTATAACATACACAAGATGGGGATAAAGGGACCTATATAGTTACAAGGAAAAAAAAAACAACAAAGAACTCTAAGTAGGTAAAAAAGCTTTGCTATGTATATCATAATCCCTATGGCAATCAGAAAAAAAATAAAGTAAAATGGTGTATTAAAAAACGAATAATTCAATAGAAAGTGTGAAAGGGAAACAGAGGAATGAAAAGCAGTAGACCTAAATTCAAGCATATTAATTGTTACATTAAATGTAAATTGCTTAAACAAATCACTTAGAAGACAAATTATCAGTTTGGTTAAAGATGAAAACAAAGCCCAACTACGTGTTGTCTATAAGAAATCCACTTTAAATACAATGATATAGGTAGGTTAAAAGCAAAAGAATGGAAAAAGACATACCATACAGCTCTAATCAAAAGAAAGTAAAAGGATGAAAAATGAAGTGCCATGTAAACAATAAGCATAGGGAAGCTGAGATATACTATATTTTTATTAAACACAGTACACTTCAGAGTATTACCACAAATTAAAAAGGAACATTTTATAGATAAAAGTAGCCATAAAAAAGACAATATTACTACATGAATATGCACCTAATAATATAGCCTAAAAATACATAAAGAGAAAACTGACAGAACTAAAGGGAGAAACAGACCAATCTACAATCATAGCTAGAGATTTTAATACCCATCCCTTGGCAACTAATAGAACAACTTAGAAAAATAATCACTAAGCATATACAGAATTTGTGTAATGCTTTCAAATACCTTGAACCATTAACATTTATAGAACGTGACACGCAGAAATGCACAGTAACAGTCACCAAGATAGACCATATGCAAAGCCATAAAAAGGTCCCAATGAATATCAAAAGAAGAAAATCATACAGGATATTTTCTCTAATAATAATGAAATGAAACTAGATATCAACAGTAATAAGAATATCTAGAATAGCTCCAAATATCTGGAAACAACATGTTTCTAAATAACTCATGGGTTATTTAGGACCCAGAACTTATGGGTTATTTAGGTCCCATGGGGTTATATAGGTCCCAGAACTAAATTTTCCATAACTGGCCAGAAAAATACCTTCCATCCCACATGCCCTTCTTACAGTGTAACTCTGTCTGACACCTCATTAAGAAACAGAAGTCTGTGTTTTCTCTGCTTGATTCTAAGCAGTCTTTTAACTAATGAGGGAAGAGTACTATGTTACTGTTAACACTAAGTCTTTAGGTCTGGTTCTCTTTAGACACTTTTGCTCTTGGAATCCAGCCTCCATGCTGCCAAGATACTACATGGTGAGGTCTCACATAGGTGTTACGGTAATAAGACCAAAGGCAGGTCCCAGTTAATATCCAGCATTATGCCATATATGTGAGTGAGCCTTCAGATGATTCCAGTTCCTGGCAATCACACGACGAGTCATTACCAATCTTCAAGTTTTCCCATAGGAGAGGCCCCAGATCAAGTCATAACCACCATCCCCCTTCTGAATTCTTAGCCCACAAAATTTGTGAACATAACAAAACTATTATTATTTGGGGTGGTCTGTTATACAAGTACAGCAATGGGACCATTTAGATTTGAAAACATTTCAACATAAATAAAAAGAAAGAAAAAAATTAGTGGAACTTAGCTACAGTAATGATTAGTGAGAAATGTATAGATTTAATGTAAATAGAAGAAAATAAGAAACATAAGAATAAATATAAATGAAATAGAAAGCAAATAAGAGAGAAAATAAGAAAGCCAAAGCTGGTTCTATAAAAGATTAATACAATTGGTAACTTCTTGGTAAGATGAACCACGAAAAAAAAGAGAAAATATACAAATTATTACCAGCAATGAAATAAAAGTTATCAACAACAAATCATAAAAGCATTAAAAGGAAATATCATGAACATCTTTTTGTCAATAAATTTGACAAATCAGAAAAAAGATACAAATTTCATGAGAAATACAAATTATCAAAACTGGCCTAAAAATAAATATAAAATCTGAATATCCTGGTTCTATGAAAGAAATTGAATTCATTATCAAAACCTTCATAAAAGGAAATCTCAGGTCCAGGTAATTTCAATAGTGAATTTTATCAAATATTTAAGGAAGAAATAACATAAACTCAGACACAGAGAAGGGAATCCTTCCCAATGCTTTTAAGTGACTAGCATAACCCCGATGATAACGTTTTTCAAAGGCATTAAAGAAAATCACAGAACAATATTCCTCATGAACACAGACATAAAATTCTTTACCAAAGTATTAGCAAAACAAATTTAGATACATATAAAAAGGATAATACATTACAAAAGGGTTTATCCCAGGAATGTAAGGTTGGTTTAAGACTTGGAAATCCATTAATGTAATTCACTGTGTTAACAAAATGAAAGATAAAAACCATGACTATTTCAAAGGACACAGAAAAGCATTTGATAAATTCACAAAGAAACCTCTCAGCTAATTAGGCAAAGAAATGTCCTCAATATAAAAAAAAGGCATATATACAAAAAACCCTAGAACTAACATCACACTTAACAGTGAAATACTGAACACTTCCCCTCTAAGATTACACAGGAAGGAAGTACTCACTTCTATTTAACATTGTACTGGAAGTTCAAACAAGTCCAAAAAAGCAAGACAATGAAATAAAATGCACACACGAAATTCATAAGGAATATACTAAGTAAGTACTAGAAATAAGTGAATTTAGAAAGATAGAAGGATACAAGGACATAATAAAAAACTAAAATTTATTTCTCTGTACTAGCAACAATTTGAAAATTAAGTTTTTTAACATTCCATTTACAATAACATGAAGAAACAGAATACTTGTAGATAAATTTAGCAAAAGACTTCTACACTAAAAACTCCGAATCACTTCTGAGAGAAATTAATAAAGACCTAAGTAAATGGTGAGACATACCATGTGTATGTATTAGAAGGCATCTATTTTCTCTAAATCAAACTAGATTCCATGCAATTTCAATCAAAATCCAAACAGGTGTTTTGTAAAATTGAAGAGCAGGTTCTAAAATTTACACGTAAATGCAAGTAACATAGAATGAGCAAAACTTACACCACTTGGTTTCAAAATTTTCTATACAGCTGTGATAATTACAACAATTTTGTACTACTATAAGATTAGACCAATGGAATAGAGTCTAGATAAGAATTCAAATTATGCTCACAAAAAGACGTGTAACAAGAATATTTATGGTAGCATTATTCATTAGATCTCAAAACTGGAAATGATCCAAACGTGCAACAACAGTAGATAAATAAACAAACTGTGTTATATTTATATAATACCTACTTAGAATTTTAAAAATTGAACTATTGATACACACATATAGATGAATCCCAAAAATACCAATTTGAATAAAAGAAGCCAGACACAAGATTCCATTAAGTCACTCATTAAGTGACTCAATTTAACTGAAATTCAAGAACAAGCCAAACTATGCTACAGTAATAGATATGCAAACAATAATACATGAGATGGGAGTTGACTTGAAAGAAGCACAAGGAAACTTTCTGGGGTGATGAGAATATTCTCCAACTTAATTGAGGTAAATAGGTGCATAATTTTACCAAAATTCTCTGTACTATAATTTATCAAAATTAACTATGCACATACAATTTCTGTATTTCACTGTAAATTTTAAAGAAACATGTTAGAACTTATGTCCACAAGATGTCATTAAGAATGTGAAAATGCAAACCACAAAGAGAAGGTATTTGTATTCATATATCCAACAACAATAATAAACTGTATCCAAAAAACTACAGAACTCCAACAAATCAATAGAAAAAGATGACCAAATAAAAGAATGGGCAAATAATCTGAGTGGGCATTTCTTTTGAGGATATTTAAATGCTCAATAAGCACATAAAACAGTGTGCAACATCATTAGTATTAAAGAAATATTAATAAAAATCACAATAGGATACCATTACACATCTACTGGTTTGGCTAAAATTAAAAAGACAATGGAAAGTGTTCAGGAGGATGTGAGACAAATGGGAATCTTGAATACTGCTGGTGAGGCTGTCAATTGTTACAGCCTCTCTGGAAATATGCTTGGCATAGTGTACCAAAGTTAATAAAGCTTAACCTGCTTTTATACATTTCATTTTCACTCATTTCTATAAATACTGGCTTGGGTAAAGCCACATAATAGTAAGCATCACTTCCATGTAACAAGAGATTAGATACATTCTAGGACAAAACTGGCCAACTAACAGGCAGGTAAACCCTGAATATCATTTACATGCCATCAATGGAATGATTTTACAAGCCAAGTGATATCTTCAATATACCTTATAGGAATAACATAGTCAATGAAATATCCATAGTACAGAAAAACTTATGGGTTTACAAGTGGTGAAAGAAAAAAATCAGGAGAGAGAATAAATACCAGAAATGTGGACAATATCAGAAAGTATGTAGCAACATGTTAAAGCATGAAACCTTGATAAATTTTTAAAAAGGTTATTAAAATTCATTTTTATCCTGTACCAATCACATTAAAAAGAGTGAGAGTTAAGGAAGGCACGTATCTATCACATGCCTCCTTTTGACGTCACCGGAAAGGTAGCAAGCAAGGTAGATGACACCAGAATCTCTCTTATTAGCAGCACAAGAAACATTGCCATAATAGATGGAAGGTAGCAACTATCCTTAAAACCGCAAATGAAGCCATATTATGCTACAAAAGCAACGACAATAAATCTATGCCCAAACTGCTTGCCTAAACAGGGTAATGTGTTAGGAACACCAGTCAGAAGTCTTAAAACAGCAAAGTACACCATGAATGCCAGAGCATTCTAATAAAATACTATCAAACAGCATTCTGAAGTCTGGAAACCAGTTAAAAGCTACAGGCTTAATGATACCGCAGTGCTCCTCAATTTGAGACTCATTAGTTAAAACTGGCCCATAATCTGGTGCTCACTCAATCTATTGCAGGGTCAAGTCTTAGGACAAGTAATTGCAACCCCTTATGAACAACAATTCTTAGGTTATTTACCACAACAAAATACACTTTTTAAAACCTCACATAGGCATAAACTATTACACAATTAAAATATTAGTATTATATATAAATACCCACAATTACTCATTCCTATTACACTATTTTAAATAACAACAACAAGCAAATACTGCAAGATATTTATTCAATCTTCACTAAACATCTATTTGTCAGGTTCTATGCTAAGTGCTTAGAGATACAGTATCCCTCAGTGTCTGTAGGGATACAGAAGTAAGTATCATATAAACTGCTCTAGAAAATTAGTCCAGCATAAGGTAGGAAAAAAATCAGCTAATTATAATATACTAAGTATGATATCATCTCTCTTAACTGACCTCCACTGAATTGCCTCATAGTATTAACCAAAGCCATGTATTCCTATATCTAACGCCCATGGAAGACCAAATGGTCCAGATCAAGAGGCTTCATTCTTGCACACCCTCACACTTTTGCTCCCACAAACTGAGCCTTATGCTTTTTATGCTTATTAAGAGTCAACTATGTTTGTTCTCAAATTTGTTTATGCCAGTTTCATTTTCTATTGCAATTAAATAATTTAATATTTAAAGTAATGTGTTGGAAATCTTCTATGTTTTGCTACTAATAAGTGAAAACTTGAGCAAACCAATAAGTAAAAATGATGACTTGATCTAGAACAGTGGCTCCCAATCTACTGTATATGGGAACTCCTCTTTAAGTTCTAAAACTAAGCTGTAGAAAATGGCAGCCCCTAACCACATAAGGTTATGAAGCACGTAAATGTAGCCAGGGCAACTTGAGGAACCTAATTTTTACTACTATTTAATTTCAGTGTAATTATTTAGCATCAGAAGTAAGATGTGTCGTACATGTAAAACATGCCAATTTTCAAAAATTTAGTGTAAAAAATATAAAATATCACTTTAATAATTTTATACCGATTACATGTTGAATATTTTGAATATACTGGGTTAAATAAAATATATTATTAAAATCAATCTTACGTATTTCTTCCTTTTTATAATGTGGTATCAAGAACATTTAAATTTATATGTAGCTCATATTACATTTCTATTGGTGAGTATGGTCTAAAACGTTCGATGATCTGTTCAAATAGCTATTGGTTATAAAACTGTGTAACAAAAAGTTACCATGAAGCTGGTCCAATGATTTCATATTTTACTAAATCACAACAGCACCCACAAATAATGCTTAGTGCACATGGAGATTTTTGGATTTTCTGAAATAACTCTGGCCTAAAGTTTGAGAAATACTGCCTAGAATTCCTATCACAATTGGTAATGACATGAAATTCTTAAGATAAAAAATATTAATTCCTAGAATAAGGTTTTCAGTGGTCTTATGATTAATCAGACAATTGTATTTATATTTAGGTAGAAATGAACTTATCTTTCATCCCTGCAGAAATACCACTATGTTTCTTCCTTCCAACTTCAACTATCCTAAAAATCAGTAACAAGAAGCTTTTTTGACATTTTCAAAGACATGCAATTTATAGCACAAAAATAACCACTGGTGATTGGGTCTTTTAACTAGATTACCAAACTTTTAAACTCTATTAAAATTACATTTAAATAATAACTCCTTTGAGTCTTCAGTCTTACATTATCATTTTGTTCTCCCTTTTTCAATTCTATCAATTAAAGTAAGTAAATTCTTATTAGTACATATAAAAACGTCCTTGAAGTTCTGGTTTTATTTCTCCTTAATACTAAGTTAATGAAAATATAAAGCAAGGCATTTGCATAGTATGCCTGATAAGAAAAAAATCAAGAACAGGCCAGGTGCAGTGCCTCATGCCTGTAATTCCAGCACTTTTGGGAGGCCGCGGTGAGTGGATCACCTCAGGTCAACAGTTCCAGACCAGCCTAGCCAACATGGCAAAACCTTGTCTTTAAAATTAGCTGGGCGTGGTGTCACATGCCTGTATTCTCAGCTAGGCAGGAGGCTGAGGCAGGAGAATCCTTTGAACTTGGGAGGCAAAGGCTGCTGTGGGCCAAGACTGCACCACTGCACTCCAGCCTAGGCAACAGAGTGAGACTCTGTCTGGAAAAAATAAAAAAAGAAGAAGAAAAAGAAACAAAAAAAAATCAAGAACAGATTATGAGAAAAATCAGATTGGGGCGTAGCTCCACACATCATTTCACTTAACCAAAAAAAAATCCCAATCCCTGATTTACGGCATGTGTTCCGAATAAAAGACTATGCAGATGTTAATTTAATATTTACAAAGAGTAGTTTGACCTCAAAACTATAGCAGTTTTATTACTGTGAATTTTTTGCACACACCTACAGGTTATATAACCTAAATATTTATTAAGTAGTCAATTCTATCTTCCTATTCTGGTTTACTGATTAAAAAAGCATAACATTGTTTCTTGATAATCCTTTTAAATGTGGAAAGAATGCCATAAAACCCTTTCCCAGAGATTATGAATTCTGGCTTAACTAAATTATTAGAAAGATTATACTTGTTGGAGTTATTAAGTTTCCTTTTGGGGTGAATGTAGGGAAGAAGTATGAAAGTTGAGCAATCTGCAGGGCAAGAGGAAGCAGAGTTACATAAGCCATGCTTGGGACACAGTTTAAATTCAGAGCTTTAGGGAATGCTTTACAGAAAGGGAATAAATTACTCACCTGGCAAAACTTGGTCCAACAGTGTAACTGCAATAAAGAATACATTCTGGGGACAAAGTACTCTAATTTAAAGTATGTTAAATACAAAATTAAGCTTAAAGAACACCTAGCTGGCACATCTCTCTATATATATTTTATGCCACAGAGTTATATTGACAAGTGAGATAAATTACTGCATACCTGGGAGGAGCTGTTGGATAAATAATTTTTATGTGTTGGAATGTTAAATCTTGATTTAAAACCTGCTTGATCCACATTCTTAATCCTTGTCCAGAATCACCTGATGAATCAAAAAATCTAGATTAAAATAAATATTTTAGTAATACAATGCATTTCAAAGCAGTCTAAAACTTTTATGTCACACAGAGGATGGAATAAAGGATTTAAAAAAGCTCCATACATCATAATAACCATATAGAAACTGACTTACTAATATGAATTAACTAACTAGGTCTCAATAACTAGCAATAATTTTGATTATTTTACTCCTGGCTTCACCATTGATTACTCTGAAGATCTTGTTTAAGCTTAAGTTTTAAGTTACCTAATTTGTTTAGTGGGTAGTACAGGAATAAATAAATAAATTGATTTTTCTAAAAAAAATTTTATTTCTGTATTTATATGTGACTTTTAATAGTCATTTCTTATCATATTCTTAATAGTAATAAATTCCTAAAGTGACTGTTAAACTTCTGTAGTTAGAAGAACCTAATTTTCTTGGTTAAAAAAAGTCCAAAATGTGTGTTCAGTGTAATTTTATTTTAACTTGAAAAAATCATAATTTAATTTTGACAACATGTTTACATGACCTAAAAGAAGAATTATCTACTCCAAAGCTGGTAAGTAATAAAAAGCCATATAAATATTAATGTATATGTATTTACAGAAAAAAATGGAAGGAAATATAAGTCCATCTTATGGAGTCCTGAGGAGGAAATTAAGGTCACAACTTTAATTTTTTAATCAATTAACTCATTAAGGTATCAGTTCAAAAACTGCCTATTGAATCCCTGTTAATGTGTCAAGCACTGTGTTCACTGCTAGAGAGGCAATGATGGTGGGGTGAGGGAGGAATAGAGTCCCTATTCTCATGGAGTGTGTAGCATATTGTGAAAAACAGAAATTAGTCAAAAAATCACACAAATAAATGTGAAAGGCAAATGTACCTGCTTCAAAAATGAGACACTTGGTGTTGCAAATATTTATTTTATTCACAACTGACTGGGTTTATGGAGTTCAACAATAAATGCACTAGCCTATAAACTCTGCAAGAGGAAGTTTATGATGTATTTTATCTGAGTTATTTGTTCACATAGTGCCTAGAACAGGACTGACAAAAACTGGGTATCCAAATATAGTTGCTGAATGGTTTGAACTAAAGTCTACAGGATGGTGAGAAGTGCAGGGCAGAAGAAAAAAGTATCCCAGGGCGAGGAAAGGGCAGGTGCCAGGATTCTGGATAAGAGGGAGCAGTATGACATGTAAGAACTGAAAAGCAGAGAATGAAAAGAGCAGTGTCTATAAAATGAGACCAGAGAAACTGTAGGAACGTGACAAATCTGTTCATGAAGAAGTCATGAATATTTCTGACAGAAAGGTTGGCATGATTCTAAAGGATCAATCTGGAAGCTGTGTCAAGACAGAATTGAAAGAGAGCAAAAGTAGATGTACAGAGATCAGTTAGGAAACTACTGTTCATGCTTAGACTACAGCGATGATGTAGATAGAAACAGATACTAGAGAAATTTAGGTGGTAAAATTAATAGAGATTGGCAACGGATTTGTTATAAAGGGTCAACAGTAAAAGGTCTCATGGATGACTAACAGGCTTTTGGCCGGAGTAACTGGGTGAACAATACTAGACACCTGCCTAGACAGGAAACATAAGCAACAGGCATACACAGGTTGAGTGTGAGGTGCCTCTTTGTAATGCATACAAGGTCTTATACCATGGGTTGATTGAGCAACTATGGACAGCTAGAGGGGAGGACAAAATCCAGCCTAGGGTCCTTAAGGAGGATAAGCTAAGAATGAGTTTTACATTATTAAAGACTCCTTTCTCAAAAAGAGAGAGAAGGGAAAACTATGGGGAAGAGACCTTACATGGCCCACAAAAGCTAAAATGCTTACCTGACTTTTTGCAGAAAGTTTGCCAACCCCTGCCCTACACTACCTGGATGCCAGTACCCTCTTGGATATCCCTTCCTATTCTTCTCACTCCAGACACACTAGCCTTACTGCTGTTCCTTGAACATGTCAAGGACCCTACCCTGGAGCCTCCGACTTGGCTTTAAAGCCAAGTCTAAGTCTAGCTGTGAAGTTTCATCTTCTGTCATCTTTGCAGTGAGGCATAACCTGACTACTTTATTTAAAATTGTAACACTGTTCCAACTTCTCATCCATGGAAGAATCCCCTTATCCTGCTTTCCTTGTTTCCATAAAACTTACTACCTTCTACTATAGTATTTATTTACTTCATTAGAACATAAGCTCCATGAGAGCAGTGATTTGTTTTTTTCATTGCTGTATGATCAGAGCACAGAACAGTGCCTTACACATGGAGGCTGTGATATATTTCTTGAATGAATGGATTCATGAATGAATGTCTATCAGGCAGTTAGATGAACTTGTCTAGAGCTCAAAAATAGAATCTATGAATCTCCACAGAAATTCAAAGGTTCTATTTTTACCTATACACCAGTGACACAAATGGGTATCTCTAGGAGACTTCTGTGATTAGCCTAGGGAGAAAAATGTAGAGTGAAAAGACCTTGGACCAAATTTAGAGAAACCCCATCATTAATGGCCAGGTAGAGGAGGATGAGTCTGCAAAAGAAACCAGAAGGAGCAAATCAAGACAGAAAAAGAACCAGGAGAGTTTTTTGAGAAGAAAGCTGAATGCAGATGACAGTTCACGTAAGAGGACGACTGAAAATGTCCATTACATTGAGCGACATAGAGCCTGAGCTTACTGGTGACTTTACCAAGAAGCTACTCAGTCAACTTGCTGAGCCTTACCACACAAGAAGAAAGCCATAAACAAGACACATGGTTTGGGCTTTGTGGACCTACTAGCTTAGTGTGGAATACAGACATTACATTACATAATTACAAGTATGATGACTACCACTGAAAGAAGAACCAGTGTCCTATGGGAGCAAATAAGAGTGAATTAATCTGATCTGAGAGACTGAACAAAACTCATTAACCTATCATTTATTTTTATCATCTTAAAAGAAGGTCCGTCTTTAGTACTTTATTAATAGAAAAGGCTCAAATTAAGTTGGCTACATATAATTTACACTCCCATATGTTCTTCTATGGCTGCTATCTCCTAGAAGAAAATCTCAAGCTTTTAAGGTTTTTTATTTGAAAACACAAAATCTGTCTTTAACAACATTTTTTCAGCCTCGAAGAGTAAGAATGCAGCTGCAAAACAACATCTATCCATTCCCAATGTCCACTTTTTAAAAAGCTAGTACTTTATTCCATAGTAAAAGTGTTAAAACTGGTTAACAGTATGGCAAAACTGAGTGTGATAAAACAGAATTGGTTTGCCCATATTCTAGTTAAGCAGAAACCAAACATCTCCTATAACATAACCACATACATTAAAGTTGAATGTAAAATCACTAGCTGCTAAAGACCTACTGGATGATAAAGACCTACTCCCAACGATAAAGATGATAAAGACCTACTCCCAATAAGGTTTTATTTACTTCAGTGGAGATTTAAATATATAGGAATCACATTATACTCGCATACTTGGCAGAATTCTTTGAATAAATTCTTGGTTCAAAGTACAAAGGAAAAAATACATACATACATGACTCTGAATTTTAGAGACATACCCTTACAGGTTATAAAAATGTAATCTGAAATTCAAAAAAAGGATAATTATTTTAAGCAAAGAGGTCCAGGGGAAAAAAGAACATAGTCTAGGAGTTCTTCCTAAAGATAATGAGAATTGATTATGAGAAAGGGTACAGTGTTGGGGAATTTCTGGGTACTTATAAATGAACACTCTTGGAGCCCTAAATAGTACTACCAGTCTCCTAGTTATTAAGTACCGCTGTCATCTTACACACGTCACCTTCTAAATATATGCCGTCTTTCCCTTTAAACACTATTGGACCTCTTCTTCCCTATCTCCAAAACAATATATCCTAGTTCAAACTTTTTCACCTTACCCCACCAAAGCCCTGAGTTTGAGGTCGGAGAGCTTTGGGTTCTAATCCCAAATCCGCCACTACTCACAGTAACAGCTAAGAGACCTTGGCCAAGCTGCTGAACCTGTCTGGCCTCATTTTCAAAATAAAGAGAATACCTCCCACAATTGCCCTTTTCCAGGTCTCTGCCCAGTACCTTTCCAATTCCCTTCCAATCACCGTCCCATTTAAGCCTACCCGTCTCGGCTCAAAGACCACTTTCTTCGAAAAGTCTGACAAGCTTTTCATCTTCCAAATGCCTTAATAATGCCTAACCACATTTTTTTCTCTTACAATTCACTTGGCAGGAAACCATGCACCGTCTTGTGATCTTCCATGCACTGCTGACTCAAACTAATTGGATTGTTTTTGTTTTTAACTTTAGGTAGGCCCCCTGAGGACACCGGCTGCATCTCATTTCTTTAAAAAACATTTCCTGAGAGCTTACCCTGGGCCAAGCACTGGGGGTGCAAAGGTTGACACAAGGGCCCTTACTCTCATAATCCAGTGGGAAGTTCACAATCCAGTGGGGAAGACAGACAAAAGTGATTACAGATGAGTGTTAAGTAACGATACAGCATTAAGCACACGTTACTAAGGGCAGGTAGTGGAAGATGCCTGTCCCTGGGGGTCCTGCCCCTGTAGTCTATCTTGGAAGTTTAATGACACAGGCGGGAAAGGGAAAGGAAGGAAAGAGAAGCAGCAAAAAGGAAAGTGAGAGAAAGCACTCCAGCCATGGCACAGTGGCTTACAGAAAAGAGATAATCTGTAAACAGTATCTAAGTTAACTGTGAATCTCAATTGTCTACATTAGTATGGGAGCCTGGAAAAAGCAATGGGCAATTACGACTGAAAAATCACTAGTAGCTGATAATGAAAAACACTAAATAATTTCCCTCTAGCAGAAGACTTACCTTACTAACTTGCTCTGTTTAAACTTGGGGCGAGGAATGGGGAGGTGTGTTGTGGGGATGGAGGGCTGGCTGAGCGGCGGGACACAAGGCCCCAAAGCGAGGGTGGTGGACCAGTGACCGCCCGATAGAAAGAGGAAGACTAACGGGGGAGGCTGGGGGCAGGTGGCGCTGCCCGTGCATCTACAGCCGGGGCTGGCGACGGGGGAGCCACCCACTGGGCCCTATTTGGGCCCGGCGACACCTCCACTTGGGCAATACTGGGGTAACCGAGGGGAGGATGTTTCCCGAGCTGTAGAAAACCAGGACGTAAAATTGAAATCCACCTGAGCCATGCAGGAAGATCAGAGAGGCGCTATGCCTCCCTGCCGGCGACACGATACAGCGCTGCAGAACCGACCCCGACGCAGCCGCCATCGCTGATGCCACTGCCAGTCATGCGGTTCCGCCCCTGCGTTGCCGCGCGGGGCCGCGCACGCAAATACGCAGGCACGCGCGGGAGCACGCCCGGGAGCGCGCATGCGCAGCGCTGCTGGCCCGCTCTCTGAGGAGCTTTCAATACTTTGGGGTCAAGTTTGAGGCAGTTGTAACTGTACTGAGTTTAGTTTTGCTAATAATGGTATTCTACGTGTGTCAGCCTCGTGTGGACTTCTGTAATGACTAATGGATATGTTTATATCCTGAGCATTTGCTGTAGGAATTTTAAATGCAATCCCAAAACTCAAGATTACCTTATTTGGAGAAATATTCGTGTTACTATGTTTAAAATTTAATAGAACCATATTTTACCTTTCACTTTGGGACTCGCACAGGATGTTTGCAGCTCTTGATATACAGGGTAAGCGAAGCATATAATAATAAGTTCTCTTCGTGTCTCTTATTTTTAATAAATAGTTTACAAAGCAAATCTAATTTAATGAGATTCTGCTTTATATACCCATTAGAATGGCTCTTATCAAAAAAACAGAAAATAAGTATTAGTAAAGATGTGTAGAAATTAGAAACCTTGTGCATAGCTGATCAGAATGTAAAATGATGTTGCGGCAATAGAAATAATTTGGTGGCTCCTCAACAAGTTAAACATTGACTTAGCATAGGTACTAGCAGTTCCACTTCTAGGTATATACCCAAAAGAGATGAAAGCAGGGACTCAAACAAATACTTGTACTTCAGTGTTCTGTAGCAGCATTATTCACAAGTACCAAAAAGTGGAAACAACTCAAATGTTCATCTACAGATGGAGAGATAAACCAAATGTGCTATGTACATATTGGAATGGAATATTATTCAGCCTGTAAAAAGAATGTGATTCGGATACATGCTACAACATGGATGAACCTTGAAAACATTATGCCGAGTGAAGCCAGACACAAAAGGACAAATAATTGTATGATTCCACTTACATGAGATATCTAGAATTGGCAAATGCATAGGGACAGAAAGTGAAATTAGAGGTTACCAGGGACTAAGGGAAGAGGGAGTTGGGAGGTTGTTGTTTAATGAGTACAAGAGTTTCTGCTTAGATAGTGAAACATTTTTAAAAATGGACAGTGATGATGGTTGTACAACAGTGTTAATAACTGCCAGTGAACTATACACCTAGTAAATTTTATGTGTATTTTACCATAATTTTAAAAATACTAAGAAATGGAATTATTTCCTGTATAAAGTCCAAAACATAGGTATCTTTTAATACTGAAGGCAGTGGCCCCAGCAGGTTGCTCTTGCCTCATGTAAAATTCAACAAAATAACCCAGTAAAAGCTTAAGTACCATTAAACACTGGCCTTCCATTCATTGTAGTCTGCATTACATTTTAGCAATTACAACTTACCTTTTATTTGTTCCAGGTAATCACCCTACTTACAGGTAAGTAAACTGTTTACTATCAACATTAGTTGCCAAAATCAGCTCTAAGCTATCATGGTGTTATATTAATAACAATACCATCAACAAGAATGGTCCTACATGCCATTAGTTAACCAAATCAAAAAGAAATTCTGAGTCATTTCTCCAAAGCCCATAGATCTGCAGCAGAGAGTTGTATAAGTGAAGTCCCTGAGGAGGACAAACTAGGGTAGGCTGAGCTCTGATAGCCAATTCTTAAAAGAAAAACCTCTGTCTTTTGACCTGCCTTCCCCGTATGAGTTCTAGATAACCTTCCCTAGCCAGGTGAGAAGAGGGCAGTGCTACTAGGAAAGACCACTTGGAGATATACAGGGAAGGCTTTAAGTTCTACTCTTAGAACTCCATTTACTACCTGAAAATCTTACTGTACACCACCCCACGCTTTTGAGACAGCAAAAAATCAGAATATAATTATTTAAGAGTAATGATTATTAATAATAATAAGCAACTAATATTCATGGGATTCAGTAGGTGCCAAAAACTGTCATAAATTAATTCCAATAAAACTCAGTACTATTACTATCTGCTTTTGTCAATGAGGCTCAAAGAGGTAAGGAACCTGGCTCAAAGTCATAGTGCCAGTCAATTGTAGAACCTGGATTCACATGCTGGGCTTGACTCCAGAGCATAGGTTCTTAACTATTACCCACATTTACACATGAGTGCACAGAAATGAAGCAAGGGCATGTCGCAACTCTTATTTCAAAAACAAAAGTCTGGAATTTGTATTGTGGCCCTTTAGAGTCTCTATTTATTAGGTGTTCCTGTGCTTCTTTAGTTTTTCCCAAGTCTACTGCTATTAGTTCCTGATTTGTTCTTCCAACTATTCTACCAGTTTAAACAGGTAGATAAGCAGGTGGTAAATACCAGAAGCAACCTTCTGTATTCTGAATTTCACTGAGAACTCCAGCCTTCCCAGATTCATTATTAGAATGAGCCAGATTCTTCCACACTTAACCAAAGTGCTATTTTATTTCCAGTGATTTAAATGCTTAGCTATTGTTGCTATTCCTTTCATCTGTATTTGTTTATAGGACAAGCAAAGGTTTTAGATTACCTATATTTAGAGATCCCATCTGGTAGGCAAACTGTTGAACAAAAATGTTTTGTTCCTTTCATGTTACTGTACTACTTTGAAATGTAATTAAGTTTCAAGATGACTATTTGCTTTTGTGGTGGATCTTTTGCCCTATTGAAGGTGGGGGAATATTATCACTGGAAGATTCCTATTCATACATTCTTTTACTCTTTATATAGCTCCTAATTATTTTTTGTTGCTACTCATTTGCTTTCTGCCAATCTATATGCACCTCCTTTTGGTAACTTCAGTTCTAAACTTAAAAAAGCAAGTAAACAAAATAAAAGAAAAAGAAAAAGTTCTCCTGTTTTGCAGGGTTTCAATATCAATTAGGATCTAACGATATAAATGGCAAAGTCGGAGTTTAGTTTACTGTTCTTCAGTGTGTTGAGAAATGCTTTAGGCCACACTTAGTTTTCAAAACAGAAAAGCAATTGAAAGTTCAGCCATTAAGATTAGTATATTTTGCCTGGGTGCAGTGGCTTACTGTAATCCCAGCACTTTGGGAGGCCAAGGCAGGCGGTTCACTTCAGGCCAGGAGTTTAAGACCAGCCTGGCCAACATGGCGAAACCCCATCTGTACTAAAAATACAAAAAAACTTAGCCGAGCATCATGGCGCATGCCTGTAATCCCAGCTACTCCGGTGGCTGAGACACAATAATTGATTGAACCCCGAGGCAGAGGTTGCAGTGAGCCAAGATCTCACCACTGAACTCCAGCCTGGGTGACAGAGCAAGACTCTGTCTCAAAAAAGAAACAAAAACAATGAACAAGATTAGTATACTTGGTATTTTCAAATGATAACAGTTAAATGAAGTTGCATTTGTCACGCAGACAGTACACAGTTTCCCGTTTGTTGTTTGGCTCATTCTTAAGCATCAAACCATATCCTCTCTATTGGTTAGTTTTCATCTGTTGCATCATTCAGAGAGAGAGAAACACACACACACACACACACACACACACACACACACATATATATATAAACAATATATACACATTGCACAAAATGCTTCAGCTTCAGCTTTAGGTAATTTAACATTTTGTCATAGATAAATAAAATGATTTCTTTTATGCATTCCCCCTGTCCATTCATGAAAGAAAAACTAGAAACAAACTTAAAGGTCCTGAATTCTTACAAAACAGCAAAACTATACTTTTTATAAATGAGATTATAAACTTTAACATAATCATTGCCTCAGTTCTGGGGACCTTAATCTTTTTCAGTCCAGTCTTTCCAGATACAGATATGGGTCATTCCTCTACTTTACCTTACTACTAGATGTGCATGGTCTCATTCTCTTTTTAGAGCAGATGGGTCACGTGGGGCATTGTGAGATGGACTGAGATGGCATTGGCAGTAGGGGTAGGGGAATACATGAGCTCCTCAAACACAGACCAAACGCAGCCTTGGAGAATGGATAGTGATTACTCTGCTGGATTATTAACAGTCAACATGATACACACCAAAGCAGTATGTAGGCCCTAGAGGAGGACAGTGAACTTTCCTCCCTTGGGTGCAGGCTACAGGGTCAGTGTTTATGCTTGGACACCAGAACAATGTTCTTTGCATTGCCATTTGTCTCCTCTTTTCTGGGAAATGGGTCTTCTTCCATTTGGACACCTCTTATGGCCAGTTCTCAAATTCCTAAGTTACCCTCTGGAAACACTTCTTATTCAACTTCCACTCAGTGCTTATATGAGTCTGAGGAATCCCTCCTGCAATCTTCATATTTGTCTCTGTACTCTAGAACCTATTACTTTTTTCTTCTATAACAAATTTTCAGGCTTTTGAAATCCAGGGCAAGAATCAACAGCAACCCCTAATCAGGTTTTGGGCCCTTGAGGGCAGGGAAGTTCAAATCCTACCATGAGATGAGGGGAAGTCATTGCATTGCATACGTCTATTACAAAGAAAAGAAATAAAAGCCAAAAGAGTAATTTCCTTATGAATGCAGTCAGAATATCTACTGTATTTTGCTACATTCATTTAAGAGAAGATTAGATAGGTAGATATAAAAAATGTTGAAGTAATGAAATGATAGGAGTTCCTGTTCCAGCCTCGGGGATGACAAGCTATGTAAATTAGACAGGCCATTTAGTCTCATTGGACACGTTTCTCCAATTGTGAAATAAGGGAGCAGGACTTGATGGAGAAGCCCCAGGTTCTGTCATTCTGAGATCCTGAAAGAATTTAAATATGTGACATGTGCCACTCATTTATGAATATACCTCTGATGTTTAACTCTACTTATAAAATAATGGTTCAAAACTCTTAATTGCACTACATAAACTTTTAGTTAGTAGTATGAGAAAGATCAGCACATGTGATTCTCCTTCCTCCTTGTATGGCTGAGTTTAGCAGCCTTAATCTCTTCCTACTCTTTCTGTGATTACTTTTAAAAGCCAGGAAAAAAAATTTAAAAAGACCTTTAAAAAAAGATAATTAGAAAATATAAAGTCAATTTTTGCAATTTGAAAAATGGAAGTGCACTTTATTCTGAAGTAGACTATTTTCAGGTTGTGTCTGTGTATGTGCATATTTCTCTGTGTATATATATTTATGAATATTTTCTATATATGTATAATTGGCATCAAGGTATGACAATGGATTTTCTTTTATTATAACTATATATGAAGAAAATCGAGACGCTTTGAAAAATCTACCTTAGTTTATATTTGAAAGGCAAATTAATACAATTATTTTGTCTTATCATATTTCCAAAGAATTTACTTTCTTATAGATTGATGGCAAAGTGTCAGTCTTCAAGAGCAGATATTCTTTGTGTAGGTTAAAAATGGATGCAGGTGTATATACCGAAAAGTATTGAAAGCAGGGGCTCAAAGATGTACTTGTACACTCATGCTCATAGCTGTGCTATTCACAACAACCAAGAGATGGACGCAACCCAAATGTCCATCAACAGATAAATGGATAAATAAAATATTATATATACATGTAATGGAATATTATTCAGCCTTAAAAAGGAAAAACATCCTGTCACATGCTACAACATGGATGAATCTTGAGGACATTATGTTAAGTTGAATAAAGCAGTCACAAAAAGATGAATACTGTATGCTTTCCCTTATATGAAATATCTGAAGTAGTCAAATTCATAGAAAAAAAAGTATAATGGTGGTTACCAGGAGCCGGAGAGAGGAGGAAAAGGGGATTAGTAGTTTAATGGATATAAATTTTCAGATTTGCAAGATGACAAAGTTCAGGAGATTTGTTTCATAACAATGTGAATATACTTAACACTACTGAACTGTACACTTAAAAATGGTTAAGATCATTTTACATTATGTGCTTTTTATCACAATAGAAAAAGGATGCAAGTGACAAGAGAAGTTTAAAGCAGTGATTATTCAAAATGTTAGTTTGTCATTCATTATATATTTTCATTCATATGCATTTATTTAGTTTTCCTTCACAGGGGTTAACAAAATAAAATAATATAAGTGAAAACAAATATCTTTATTAGACACTCTTGCAAACCTGAAAACACATACACAATTTCAAAATAATTATAAACAAAATTGTCATTGAGCTGTGGTAGAAGGTGCGATGGATTTGAGGTACGAAAACCTAGGTTTAAGTACTTTTCCTGCATGGCTAGTCCTGTGAACTACTAAATTGTAGTTGCCTTAATAGCAAGAACTGTTTTATTTCTTTGTATCCTCCTGAAATACCTAGAACAGTGTCTCAGATATTACTTGTTGGAGTTAAATTATGCTTTTAATTGAGTTATATTTTGAACAGGAAGGATGAACAGAGAGGAAAGCGCTACACTCCTCTGGCATCTACTTGTTACTCTGGCATGTAAGCAGTAACCAGAGGTACACAGGTGACAGGCCACCTCTTGGAGAAAACCAGCCAAGGCCAGGGTCAGGATCACAATATTAGGCCTGGTTTTCAGCTTAGTGTGGGAAGCAAAATTTTTGAAAATTACAAAGCCCAATGTCAAATCTTGTAGTGAGAACCAAGCAAAGCTAGAACATGACCATGAGCAAGAAATAACTAGGTCATAAAAGACAAGGAAACAAAAGAGCCATGATACAGGAAGGCTGGTAGCTTAAAGTGCGGCATGTGTGATTGGAGTACTGAGGTCAGTCAGCCAATGAAGAAGAGACTCTGTACTATGGCAAGGCAATTAAATTGATGGTGACAATGGCGGGGGTATTTATAGTCTCATTTAAGATTTAGCTTAAAGTTACAGACTCTCTCAAGTGAAAGGGAAACCAATATACAACACACACACACACACACACACACACACACAGTACTCTGAATGCCCGTTAGAGGGTTTGTGAACCCACCAAAGCTAATGAGTAGACCCCTTGAAATTGGTGGATCTCAGAGTGTGACTCACCTGCCTCATACTTTTATGCTTTTGAGGGCAGAAACACATAAAATTAATGGCCACAGGTCCGTTCCAATTCCCAACAAGGCAAAGCTTATGAGAGGTCCTGTGCTTTATGTCCTCAACTAAATCAAAGCAGTACTATTTACCTGGTGCAAGCTACAACTGTCCAGTTTAGTTGATATAGTAAAAATAATTAACTTTTATGGTGGTTGTCTCAGAAATTTGTCTATTATATATACCTATCAGTAAAAAGTTTTTAGAACATCTCTTATAAATGTGTATTTTTAATTTATAAATTATATGAATGCACTATTGTAGTAATGCATTATGTGCATACTGAACATAGAAAAAAGTAGAAATGTAAAACAGGGAAGAAAAGTAAAATATAAACAAATTCTTATGTTTTCTTTCCACATGCCCAAACAACTGTCTTGTACACCCATAAGGTGTAGTAATCCTATTTAGAAAATACTATTCTTTAGGTTAATTATGCAAATCTAAGCATGGAAATAAAAGCAAATAATGTCATTTTGATAGGAATGCCTCATTTTAAGAAAGTATAATTTATATCCCAAAGTCTAAATTTACAAGATAGAGTACGTATAACTTATATCTCAATGAGTGTCTGTTTCTGTGACCTTCTTGCAGGCAAACTGGATTTTTTTTTCATTTTCATTCCTCAGTGTCTATAAAAGCATTCTTCACAGAGTTGTCTTTTTAAAAAGATGCTTTTATAGTGCATCTATTAGAAGGATTGATACCAGTTTTCCTAAAGCTCTTTAGGAACACACCTCTACTTATGTTCCCCATTTTATATCTGGAGACATCCGGTCTTATATTCTACTCTTTTTACCATGTTGAACACCAAGAGTGTTAAAAATGTGCTGTGCCACCTCCTGTCCCTTCAGCTTTGCCCATTCTAATCTCAGCCAGGCTTGTAGCCCTCCTCTATTTACTTCTTCAACTGCCTACTCATTCTTCAAAACTCAGGTCTGCTGTTTCTTCCTTTGATCAGTCCTCTTCTACAGGCTTTTAGCAAGCTCAGCTACCACGAACATAGCCATTTGCACATTTGACTGTTTACTTTTCTGCCTTTCCCTCTTTATACCAACATTGTGGGCCTGAGAAACAATAATATCAACAAAAATAAAGAGCTTCCCTTTAGTGTTGGCTCTGTGCTAAGTCCTTCATCATTCTCTCACTTAAAAATAGGATGCAGGGGTGTGTGTGTGTGTGTGTGTGTGTGTGTGTGTGTGTGTGTGTGTGTGTGTTTGTAGAAAGAATTTTTGCTTATTTTTTTCTCATATTACTTATTAATTTATGCTCACATGGTCATTATAGAATGCATAATACACAAAGGACATTCACAGATTATATTAACCACATCTGTTTCAATAGGAAAAATATAAAAGACAAGCAATTTACTCAATAATTTAGATTTAAAAAAACACGGTACACATCGGTGTTTGGAACCTTAACTGACAATCTCAACTGTTGCTTTAATATGTACCAATGACAGTCTTTGAAAAACTATTTATCCAGGTATTTTATTTCCCTTTTCTAACAATTTGTATATTCTTCTTGCTAGCATTAAAATCAAAATGGAAAAACATTAATAATATTTTATTTATGAAGACAAGTGAGTTGACTGTAATAAAAATATTAATTCATGTCTTGCTTTTCAGTAAGAAATACCACCCATGAAGTCTGCTGGCACTTGCTGCTAGTAATAGTATAATTTCAAGAATGCCAGAAAAAGTGCATACCTTCCCTTGCAAAAGTGTGAATTATTTATTTTTCTTAATAGAAAATGTAAAGTGCATCAGTGTTTGGCTGAAAACAATTTAACAGCATATTTTTACCTAGAAAATGGGAAACATCGAAAGGACTTGTCATAAATTAACATAAACCATAATAATTTATCTCCCTTTCTATAGAGCGTAGGCATATAATTTAAAATCTAAAAACATTTAAAGGATTAGATAATAAATTACATTCAGCTTTCATTAATTTAGCTATTCTTTTTTTTTTTAAAGGGAAAGTTCACCTATGTTACACAGATTTAAGTCTTCCTCTTCTTCTCAAAAAGGTATCCTATTTATGTAGGGTTTTTACATCATGCAGATGGATGTGATAGACAAAAAAGGTATTTTTCATGGTTATTGAAATCATCATATATACTAACAATTTCCCTCTCTTGCCATGCTTGTTAGAGAATAGTTGAGTTTGGTCACATGGCATGGTTAACATCTGGAAGTCACTCAAGGTAATAATTACCACGGATTTGTTGCTTATTCAGAGGAAACATACCAGAATGGAAGTAAAGAAGGCGAGTTTTATGTCTCTTTTGACACACAAGGACTCAAATCCCATCATTGTCTTTACGTCATCCATTACGCCAGTAAAAAGATTGAACTGTCAATAAATACGTTCTTTGTCTTAAAACAAACTTCCAGAAAACGTAAAAATGCACTGCAAATGAAATTTCTTGATTATTTCAGTTCAAACAGGACATGATTTTCATTTTGACCCATGGCCCTAGCCATAAACACAAGGTGCATGCATTTTTTTCTACAATTTGTGCTTTGTGTAAAGCACCAAGTTTCTCTCATAACATTATTAACCAGACTTGTTCATTTCTGAGTATGAAAAAAAATACAGAGTGTAATATAAAAAGTTCAGCCATACTCTTTATACTGAATAGCAATCATTTAACTGTGTTCCACAGATCTCCAAGGCATTTTCAATAGTATCAATCTAAGAAGCTTCTCTAGCAATTTGTTTAAATCTAGTTTAATAATGACATTTTCATTTTGTCTCTATGGCTATTCCTGTAGATTCTATGGCATTTAAAAGGTACATATGAGCTCAAAAAAAAAAGACACAAATCTTGTAGAGAATCAGTTTTTTTTTTTGTTTAAATAGTGGCCTACGTCACAAGTTAGAAAAAAAGTAAAGGTTTTTCTTTACATACAAAGCTTATGCTAATTATGGCAATTGTTTTGGGATCTGTAACTTAAAATGAAGCTCTTTGAAGGCAGAACTTTAATTTGCTATGGTTCTTGTTCTCAGAAGCTGTATGTGTTTTTAATTATTGTCTTTATTGACCAGTGATTGGCTAAATCCTTTTCTCAAAAGACGTCACCACGTTCCACATTACTATGTTCCTAGCTGTTCTGCTGATGTTTCTTGCCAGCCTCCCACGTTGTTTGAAGAAGTACTTACTGCATCTATAAGAGTTTGTCAGGATCTTGCTGTTTGCAGTTCATCCACTTAAACTCATTAAAGCCTTTAGGGTGTTTTGTGCCTAGACCAGTGAAGTTGTATTGTGATCAACATAATTTGAATTCAAGTGGATTAAAATCTCGTTGTAAGGGATACAAAATCAGCAATAACTCACATACCCAGATGTCTCATTCTAATGCAAAACTGTCCAGTATTCACCACTTGCCAATGTGAGCAGGAGAGTCTTAAAAAGTTTTTAATAATCTCCCTTCCAGAGCAAAATCAGGAATCAGTTAGTTTCCCAGAGATTATGTGGAAATGAGGCAAGCTTATCTTCACAGTGTTAGTCATCCTCAAAGTTCAACTAGATACCGAAAATTTAGTATTTATTATCTCAGGATGGATGATTACCTGAGGATCAGTAATAGAAACTTTTCATCAAAATTGATCAAGTTTATTAAAATGTTAATAGCACTGGTAGATTGCCTGCTACCTTGAGCACTGTTACAGAAGGTAATTGATAAGTCTGTACTCTTAAAAAACTTGTTAGAAACTACTGCAACTAACCAAAATGGTTGTTTTTCCATTTCCATGATATTTAACATTGGTAACACTAAGTGTAGTAACAGGCTGGGCGCAGTGGCTCATGCCTGTAAACCCAGCACTTTGGGAGGCGAGGCAGGTGGATCACCTGAGGTCAGGGGTTCGAGACCAGCCTGGCCAACATGGTGAAACCCCATCTCTATCACAAATACAAAAAAAAAATTAGCTGAACATGGTGGCGGCCGCCTCTAATCCTAGCTACTTGGGAGGCTGAGGCAGGAGAACCGCTTGAACCCAGGAGGCGGAAGTTGCAGTGAGCCGAGGTTGTGTCATTGCACTCCAGCCTGGGCAACAAGAGCGAAACTCCATCATACACACAGACACACACACAAAAGAATAGTAACGATAATGGGAATGAATTTGTTCCTGGAAATCATCTGCTATTTGCAGAATTTGCATTTGTTTGTGAGGGAAAATACTCCAGTGGTACATTTTATTGAATTATGGAACATAAAAATGGTAATATCACACAGCTTATGTAACTGCATTCTTTTATTGTGGCCTTTAAAATACACTCAATACACTCACATACTTTTTGGGAATTTGAAAAAGGTCACTTTTCAGTGGCTTCTTCATTTAATTCCACATTTTAAAAGGTACAACCAGAATTTCCTTATTTGGTTCCATTATTTACTAATCTGCACATGATTTAGACTACCAAAATTGTACTTCTCTTAAATGTTAGTTATGCTTTTTGGGCTTCTAAACTAATATTTATATTTTTTGTAATTATTTATTACTACAATGTGTTATTCAGATGCTATGAGTATTTTGATCATATATTGGTTGAATTCATTGAAAACTTTATCCAACGAAATAGTATAGAATGTTCATAATTGTAATGTACTGTGCAAAATGAGAGATAAATCATATTTTAGTTCTACCTTTAAGGAGTTTACATTTAGTAAGGAGATATGAGATGTACACCTATAATATAAGGTAACTAACAATAACTGCTGTAATAAGGCCATAGCAATTTTTTTTACAAGTTCAGAGGAGAGAATATATTTCTAGCTATGTAAATTCAAGGAAGGCATCTATAGAACAGACAATTGCAGTTCTCTAAATACTCTAATCAGAAATTCCCAACCACTTGAGTCAACAGCACCTAGGAGCCTTCAGGTAGGACTTAGAGCTACTCTATGTCCTCTCGTTTGACCGAAGTTTAGTATTTCCCTACGGGAAAGGAATGTACCCTACCAATGCACCCTTGTGCCTCTCTTTTCTTGCTTACCTTGTTCTGGCCGCAGCTCATTTATTTCAAGCCCCTGTGTAAAGAGTTTTTTTTTTTTCTTCCACAGTTGATTTGGGATCTTTTGCTAAAATAGCACGTTCTCTGTGATTTATTAGGCCTGTGTGACTTGGATATAGTAAACTCGCAATAGACATGTACTGATTGAATGTTGAATGAGTGACTAGTGAGTGATTGAGTGAGAGGGTGAATGAGTGGGTGAATGACCATCAGCTGGGAAACAAACCAGCCCAAGAAAAACAGCTGGGCCCTGACTATATTATGTGGTGTAAATTTCACAAGAACTCTTAGCATCATTCCTTGAACTCTATTGTAGTTATTCAATAAATATTTGTTGGACATGATGTTCCTCAAAATCCTGAAGTTGTACACTCATATTACAGTATTTACATTGTTAGGGAAAGCTATCTCCTTGTAAAAGGGATAATCCTGTTTCACTACTGCATAAATAGATCATTATGTAGTGTTTCCAACAGCTTTTCTAGAAATAACCCCTTTGAGGTTCAAAAAGGAACCAGAAGTGATTAGATTTTACAAATGTTGTGCCACTTCTTATTACATGTAGTATTCAACAAAAAGAAAATCCCACAAGACAAATCTGTTTGCCCCATGGGCCAACTATCATAAAGTCTCATTGTTACAGCATCTACATTCTGGCATTTGTTTGTCAAAAATGGGCGGAGGTAAAAGTATTCTTTTTGCCAGTTAATGTGATGCCATAAAGCAGCATTTTTCATTTTTCAGCACTTATTAGCTCAGCTCCCCAGCTGTGTAGCACCACGCCCTGGTGTGACATTGAGAGAGAGAATTCTGAAAAGTTTATATTGGCTTAAATTTATAGCTTTCTTTTGAGTGGGGGAAGGGATTTTTAAAAAGGACATTGTAATTTTGTGATGTTGTATTACAAAACCTCTATAATATGAAATAATAGCTATGGGAATAATTATCAGTATATTGTGTTTGGCTCCCCTAAAGCAATATTAGCAGCTCTGTATTTAGAAGAAGAGTGAAGTAGGAAGTTATTAATTATTAATTAATTGATTGACCCATTTAATCGAAGCACTTTTATATCCTGCAAAATGTACAGCTGAGTGTCTTGCAAGAAAAATATATTCAAATATGTGAGCCATTAGAGAAAAATACAAGCTCAAACTCCACTTAAACAGTTGGATTTTGACATAATTATTTGTATAATTGCTTTAAAACTTTATATCTCTTGTTTTCTGGAGAGCAATTTCAAAATGACAAAATTAAATTGATTTCACTGAAGGTTTGGTATGGTCACCAGAAAATGGGTTAAAACAATTATTGTAGCATGATGTGGCACATTAAAGTGAAATGATTGACTACAAGCTAAAAGTTTTAAGACAAACTTAATCCTTGGCTTCTTCTTTGCTGCTCTCACACACACTCTAACATGTGACAAACAAGGCGGAGATTTTTAAAAACATTTTAAAAACTACATCTTGAGTGAGACAGTACAAGTAAACTTGATCAAACTCCTTATATTTATGTTGTGTGAAAGGCTTAACTATCAACACAAAATCAGGTTTTTAGCTTTCTTCTAAGTAATACTTTATATTGAAAGTAGAGTGGACGAAGAAAGAGCCTTTACACACCCTAAACAAGCTTGAAAGAGATGCACAGATATCTTTCCAGCCAGGGCGGGAGGGGAGATCTATGAGTCAAGACTTGCACGCTGCCCAGGCTGGCACTGACAGTACATAAATACCTTCCTGTACTATCAGAATGAACTGAAAGCAGCCTTAATTGGCTTGATGGCTTTGTTTGCACATGTAAAATGCAAAGTAGCAATTGCATGTCTTCTAAAATAATCTTGAAATTCCAGGGCTGTCTTCAATTCAATGAGCTTTTTTAATCTCTGTAATCATAATCTTATTCCAGATAGAAGACTAGGACATTGGACATTTCAGCAGGCATTTTAAAAAGTAGCAACACTAATTTTTATGCCAAGTGTAAGGATTATTCTTTAGAAATAAGTGAGACATCTTAAAGAGAACTCACTGATGCCCAAATTCTATCTTTTTGCCATGGTTGTGAGATACAAGGAAAGAGCAGCAGCTGGAAAATGAGGCTGGTATATAGCCATTTACAGAGAAAGACTCATTTTGAGTACAAAGAACTGCATCTGGAAAGAGGATAAAGTGGTTTCACAGACAGCACCCAGTAGTTTGAACAATAGAAGAAAATAGGTACCATCACTCAAATAAAATCCACATGGGCAAAAGTTATACATTGGACTTCTTGACCAGCGTTAATATGTAGCCCACACTTTTACTTAGGAAGACAAAAGACAGGCTAAGATTTAGAAACTCAGATCAGAGGCCTTTTTTCTATTTTTTTTTTTAACATAGGAGTGACATGTTCATATACGTAACAGGCTAGCTGTGGCACATAGAAATAACAATAAGAGTGAATGAGAGGCTATAAGAAGACACTCATTAGTAATCTTTTTCTTTTTCTTTCTTTTTTTTTTTCTTTTGAGACAGAGTCTTGCTTTTTTGCCTAGGCTGGAGTGCAATGTCTCACTGCAACCTCCACCCCCCAGGTTCAAGCGATTCTCTTGCCTTAGCCTCCTGAGTAGCTGGGACTACAGGCATGTGCCACCACACTCAGATAACTTTTGTATTTTTATTAGAGATGGGGGTCTCACCATGTTGGCCAGGCTAATCTCAAACTCCCGACCTCGGGTGATCCACCCACCTCAGCCTCCCAAAGTGCTGGGATGATAAGCGTGAGCCACCACACCCAGCCCTTCAATAGACTGAGAAGGATGGGAGAGAAGGCAGATTGGAAAGGTTGAATGGTATAGGACTTTGTTATCCATTTGACTTGGGGATGAGGTATAGGAAATAATCTAAAATGGCTATTTTAAAGTGTTCTGGTGAAGATATTAACAAGTATAAAGAATACAGACGAAGAAGCAAGTGTAGAATGAAGATAATTAGTTTAACTTTCGGTGGGTTTGAGGTGTTAATGGGAATTTGGTGACAGCTGGGAATTTTGGTCTAAAGCTCAGTTTGGGGATAGAAATAAATTTTGAGAGTCATTAGCATATAGGAATCAGAGAAAACTACAGGAATTGAAAAATCATTTGGGGAGAAAATTTGTAGGAGAAGAAAAGATAACTTAGAAATCATTTTTTTAAACCCACATTTAAAAGCTAGATCAAAGAAGACAAATTAGTGAAAACCTCTCAGGAGGAACCATGAAAGTAGAAGGAAATATAGTGGAATGTCATGAAAGCAATGGAGACAGTTGTTTTGAGATGTAGGTAAACAACTGTGGGGTGCTATAGAAGGATGAAATGAATCCATAGGATTTAGCAGGTAAGGAAGAGGTGACCAGAAAAGTTTCTGAGAGCAAGTTCAGTAGAAATGTGGGACTCAGGGTCAGATTGCAGTGACTCGAGTTGGGAATCTGGAATGAGAAAGTGTACACAGCGAGTGTAGTCTATTCCTTTAAATAGTTAACTTGTAAAGCCAAGGAACAGACAGGGCTGGAAAAAAAGGTATTTTAAAATATGTGGATGATGCTATCTTATTATAAACTGACAAAAGAAGGCAAAGGAGAAGAATAAACAGAACAATCATGTGCAGGAACTCAAAGATGAAAGGGGAAGGGAGCCAGAACCTGGAAGAGCAGGGCTGTGCTGCCTCTAACACTAGAAAGGGAAGAATGGGTCAAGAAATAGAGGTAAATCTGAATGTGAGAATAGATTACACCCTGCAATGGCCATTTGCTGAGAATAAAAGAAATAGAAAACAGATTAGAAGCTTAAAAACATAGAGGTTTAAAGGAAAAGAGAACTGAGTAAGAATAGGGAATAATTGCTAATTCACTGTAAATACAAACAGAACATTTAAAGGAGCTAATCAACATTGTCATCAAATTTGTACCAATAGCTTCTGGGAAAAAAAAAAGAAGAAATAAACAACGTATTGATCTGTTTTTGGAAATAGCAAGGCAGGAAGTCAAGGTGGGGTGGAGGTATTAATGAGACTGGCGAGGATGTAGTACTGTATGGTTTAAATAGTAAGAGAATTAAAGCCAGAAAGGGCAAACAGACAGGAAAAATGATGAGGCAATAAAGTGTGTAGATCTTCAATGGGGTCTCTGAGCCAATTTAGTGGGAATGAAGGAATAAGAGAGATGAAAGGACAAGAAATGACATATTAAAACATTGAAAGTTAATTATTTCAGAGGTAAGATATTATGATGCAGAGTATGGTAGTGTGAGAATGCCCTAGACTGTTAGGGTTTTAAGGGTGGGGAATAGCAAGGATATTCTGTGTCCAAAGTCAAAGAAATGGGGACAGGCTTGAATAGCGCTCATGAGGCCCAGAGAAAGGGGAGGTCCAGCTAGAAAGGAAGCAGTGATCTGTCTGGAACAGTAGCTGTGTGCTGAAATTTAAAAGAGAAAGATATCTATATTTCTTTTTTAAACTGATAGACTGAGCTAATTACAGAAGGGTTTGAAAACCTATTGCGGGATGAGAGCTTTTGTCTAGTGGACAATTGGAAACCATAACGAAATGTTAAGCAGCAGGATGCCATGAAGAAAGTGATGTTTTTGACACATTTACCTGGATGGAGACTGTGGAGGTGATTTCAGAGAAGAGGAGTCTATACCTTCAGGGTGTCATCAAGAGGCTCAGAATACAGGAGATGGAGGGATCTGAGCTTGGGAACAGTGGCATGAATCTAGACAGCCCCAGCTAAGAGATGACAGGATTTCATGACAAATTGTATACAGGGGAGATACAGAAGAAAGAGTTAAAGTGGTTCTAACGTTTCCGGGCTGAGACACCAGAAAACTATCTTTCTATTAAGAGATGTGGGGAAATTAGGAGAGGGTGGGGGTGGAGAGAGGGAGCCGGCGAATCAGAAGATCTGCTCTGATGCTTCTTGTTTGTGCCATGAAAAAATTAATTTCTTATGAATCCACAGGATGTCAAAAGCTCATAAACAGAGTTATCGTCATGTTGTTTTATTTTATTAAAACTGATGTGTGACAGAGCAGTACACTGCTGAGAGATTGTCAGTAGCAAATATCAACCTGGTGTGAAGAAATCAGAAGTTGGGTGCCTCATTTGGTAATTTGGAGAAAATACTTCTGGTGAACAGACTCTGTTAATGATGTCTGTGTTCCAGTTAAAAAACTTTTTTAATGGAGGATAATATGAAAAAGACTATTTAATCACACCTTGATTTTTTTTCAGTCACAGCTGCATATGGGTAGCAGGCACCATGCTGGGAGCACTACCTTTGATTGCAAAGCATAAAATTTTTACAGGCTTTTTTTCCCCTAATAAGTTAAAATTTGGGGTCTCCTCTATGTTGCATTTGGGTAATAATCTTGGACAAAATATTTGAAAGTGTGTAAGTGGGCCTAGTTCAAATATTTTTTTAAAAATAATCTTTGATGGTTCCTAGTTACTTAGGTTGTGGAAAAAAGTAGATTAATGAATATTGTAAATGAACTTTACTGTGTAATAGATTTAAAATTGGGCTAGATAGATCTGTAGTAACTAAGAGTAATGAAAATATTTCTTGAATTGGTTGTTTCATAGTAGAAAAATGACAGCATTTTATTATATTTTTGGAATTAATTTTTTTCTAAAATATTTCCTTTAACTTTATTTTTATAGAACTAGAACGTGTCTTTTAAGAGCATGCGGTTTTATAATTACGTGGAAGTATGCTACGCAAGGGAAAAAAGCCTCTTGCTGTAAGTAAATTTTGCCCTAATTATTGGACCATCAAAAGTGAGAATAAATGTTGCCAGTATTGGCTTGTGTTTTCCTCGTGTGGAGTAAGATTCATAATTTTCCCCACGTAGAGTGTGATTTTCAGAATTTTTACTTTAGTTTTATATTTTGAATCTCTGATTCTTCAGGGATTCGGAGAGTCATTGAAATACCTTTTCTAATTATTTCTAGAATAAAGAGTAATAGTAGTGGAGTAGTAATAGTCGATTTGTTTTCTAGGGCTGTATCAAATCACCAAAACTCGGGTGGCTTAAAAAGAGAAAAAATTATTCTCTCACAGTTCTGGAGGCTGGAAGTCTGAAAGCAAAATGTCAGCAGGGCCATCCTCCCTCCTAAGGTTCCAGGGAAAAATTCTTCCTTGCTTCTTCCAGCTTCTGGTGGCTCCTGGCAATCCCTTGTGTTCTTTGGTCTGTAGTAATATCACTCCAGTCTCTACCTCTAGCTTTGCACGGTGTTCTCTGTATCTCCGGTTCTTCTGCATCTGTGTCTCTGTGCCCAAATCTCTCTCTCCTTTCTTCATAAGAACACCAGGCATTGGATTTAGTGCCCACCCTAAATCCAGGGTGATTTACACCTGAAATCCTTAACTAATAACATGTGAAAACACCCTATTTCCAAATAAAGTGACTTTCTGAAGTTCTGGGTAAACATGAATTTTGGGAGGACAATGCTCAACCCATTAAAAGTAGTAGTAATCATGTGTTAGGCTTGTATTATTTTATGTTTTGAAAGTTATCAGCCAGAACAGCTGTAGAGGGGAGGGCCTGCAAGGGTGAGTGGCCAAAAATGTGGAGGCTTCAGGATATAACACAGGAAGTGGTCTGGCAATAGAGCCGTCCCTCAGGCCTTGCATGTTCCATAGAGGATTCACCAGATGGACCTGCAGCAAGATCCTTGGCCTTGCATATGTCTTCCAAGATCCCCTGACATTTCTATATGTGGAAATACAGTCAGCAAGTTCTACCCTGATACCTAAACTGAATTCACCACATACTAGACTAGACCAAAAAAGGGGTAAAATGAATGTAGACCTTGGAAGCACACCAGTTTAGCCACTCATTCAAGTGTCACTGTTTTTCTTAACAAATATGCTAATAGCACCTAACACTTGTGAAGTACGTGTTTTCTCATGGAGTGTCACATGTATAAGCAAGGTGGAAAGGTGAACTGGGACTCAGAGATTGGTGAAAGAACATGTGGCTCATCAATGAGTCCAGTGTTTCCTTAGCATCTGCTTGGTTCTAGGCTATGGCTAGGAGGTCCCTGAACCAGAAACAGATTAAAGGTTGGCTGATTACTGGTCCAATGGCCATTCATTATATCATATGCCTTATGCAGTAGTGGCCATGAAGTGGGGCTCTGGGGTTGGAATCTCAGTTGTTCTAGTTGCCTCTCTGAACCTCGGATGTTTCATATGTAGATTGGGAATGATAATAATAACTACTTCATAGGCTTGTGGTAAAGATTAAATCAGTTTATAGAAGTACAACATTTAGAACGGTGCCTGATACATAGCAAGTGTTCAACAATATTCAATTATTATTACTGCTCTATATGAGGAACAAGAGCATGTATATCTTCCTTTACCTCAGGAAGGTGATTATTATTATCAATACTAACATATTTGCATAGTGCTTACAATTTGCAAACATTTTTATACAATCCTTTTAAAACCCATTCAATTTAATCAATACAGTTAAAGGCTAAAAAAACTGTATTTCAGAGAAGTCAAGTGACTTGCTTAGGTACATTGAGTTAGTAACAGTTGTGGACTGAAATCTATGTTGTCAGCCCCATAAGCTACTCCTTATATATTAGGAGAGAGGGAAAAAAGTTGGTGAATATACAGTAACTCTAACCTAGGCTCAGTGATATGGAAAATTGAACCGAGAAGCATCCTATGAAATGGAAAATGAACTGATTTCAAAGTCAGAAAACTTGCATTTTAGCTTCTTCTCTGACATTTGAGCTGGAAAATGATGTCCATGCTTTTGCAAAGTCAACTGACTGTTAATGAGATGAATCCTCACTCCTCAGGTCCATGTGATATATTTCAAATGGTAGAGCTCTGAGTTGTTAACATGCAAATCCTTCATTCATTTGCTGAGTTTGTATTTTCTGGAAAACGGCAGTCTGGCTTGTGGAGCAAACATATTTGTATAATGTGCTGGTTGCCACGTGTTCGGGAGAGGTTCCCATGCATTGCTGTTGATGCAACAAGGATGGGGCTTTTAAATGTTGATACTATGAAAATGTAATGTGATTGGACTTGGACAAGTGCCTGAACAGACCACCCATCATATTATTTTGCTGCCAAGCAAATTCAATTGAAGAGCTTTGAAGTTTCTTGATAGCGAATAATTCACCTTTCATTTTAAATGCATGCTGAGTTGTACTGAAATATTCACGCTGAAAAGTACTTTTTGTTGCATATTTTTTCAAAGAACTTTCCCTTTTTTCGCTTTTATTTTTAGGATTTACTTTGAAAAAAAATCCTACCTTGTTGAGGGAAAGAGAATACTTGGTTTTAGGTGTGCCATGAAACTTTAATCAGTGTTTGAAGGTGATCTCTCAGAAGAATGACCTACTTTGTGACCCTTCCTGTGTTTGTTCACCAGATCTAGTGACTGGAATTTGCCTTATTCCATTACTTCTTGCCCTGCTAGATACTCTTCCATATTCAGAGGAAATTCTTCCACTGGAGACTAGCGTTATACCTGGCATATAGCAGGCATTTAATACATGCTTGATCATTTGAATTGTGTGTCCCATCTCAGTAACACAGGTAGTTCTGGGTCTTAGCTCCCTTCTTAATTTACCTGTGCCCCTGACTACTGAGAACAAAGTTTCTATTTTGAGAACATTCCCATTACTCTCACACTTTCCTTCCCCCACACTGAGAACCCTGATTCCCTGAGTGACAGCTCATACTAAGATTTACCAGAGCCACCTGCTCCAATAAGTACAATTGTGACTGGAGTGTAGAGGGTGTGAGAGCAACTAAGCAACCGTTATTTGGGAAAATGCTACGAAATCATATCTTCACAGTTGCTTACAGTAACTCACAGCTACAGAAGCACATCATTAGTTTCTCAGTTGGAAGTCTTCTTGTGGCAGCATATGATTTCTTTCGCCCTTGAACTCCCTAGAGGTTTTTTCTTTACTATCTTTTCTTGTTAGGCAGTTTTGCATAGTGGTTAAACATGTGGATTTTAGAACCACATTGCCAGGATTTGAATGGCTCTACCACTTACTGTGTGATCACAGGCAAGTTACTTTCCTTTTTTTCCTGCTCCAATTTTCTTATCATAAGTCTTATTATGGACCTAATAACATTACCTAATAAATAGGAATTAATGTGAGATTATATAAAGTACATATTTATATATCTATAAAACAAAATATAGCATAAGTACTCAATACATTGTAGCCATTATTAGTCACAACTTCCAAACAGCCCTTAATCCTCCACCACTACAATAAAATCTCTGCTGTTAAATTCCCACAAACATGCAGCCTTAGGGGTACAGATGGGATGCTGAACAAAGTTCAGAAGCAAAGGAAAAGTTTAGGTCTCAAGAAATCTTTGTATAGAAGCCATCATTCATGTCCCTGACATTCACTGGAAATAAAAGGGGTAAAGTACTGATAATTCTCTTAATTGGTGATTCCAAACTTTACATGCACAGAATCTCTTGGTGAGCTTATCAATATGTGAAGGATTTGATATGTTTGAAGCGGGGCCCAATAAAGTGCATTTGAAACAGGGTCTCAAGTGAGTGAATGATGCAAATAGTCCACAGATCGCATTTTGAGAAAGCTTTTCTAGATTTTGGTAAGGTACCGCTCTCCTCTTGCTCATTCATTCATTCATTTGATACTTGTTCTGAATACCTGCAATGGGCAAGAAATATCATGCCTGGAGCTTTGGAGGCTCCAAAATGAATTAAACACTGTCTTTGTTTTCAAGAAACCAAAAATATAGTGAGGAAGATACATCACACATATTTTTTAATTTTGTAAGGAAATGAATGAAATGCACTACGTATATTCTATAGCTAAGCAGTGTGATTAGAGGGCAAAACTTGATCAGTTGGGTTAACATAAGAATGGACTCCCTAATCTCACAAGGGACACATTCGAGAATCTTGATTTAAGAAAATGAATCGTAATATTTTAATAAAATGGACCTAGAATAAACCATAAGATCTAAAAAGTTTTCTATACTAGAAATGTGAGAATGTAAATAGGGAAGCCTTAGAAATACCCATCAAAGCGGACCCTCTATTAGCTCAACTATTTTCTTACTTCATCTTTAACAATTGAGTTAGTAGTATTTGCTCCCAAAGTATGACCATGAAGAATTTTCCTTCCCTGTGTGCATAAATGATTCCGTTCCTAAACCCACCACCAGGGAAATCCTGAGAAGGAGAAAGCGTCACATCCAACAGTCATGTACAGTAGGATGGTGCTGTTTCTGGCAGCCTCATTGTAACAATTAAAATAGAATAAACCTTTTAATTTCTTCTTCCACCATTATTAGATCCTCAGCTCTTTGATGAAAGTCTTATTTACCTTTGCAACCTGTTCATTTGCAAGTCACTGTGGAAGTGAAATTACTGGCTGGGTTCAGTAGCTCATGCCTATAATCCCAGCACTTTGGGAGGCTGATGCAGGTAGATCACTTGAGGTCAGGAGTTTGAGACCAGCCTGGCCGACATGGTGAAACCCCATCTCTACTAAAAATACAAAAATGAGCCTGGTATGGTGGTGTGCACCTGTAGTCCCAGCTACTCGGGAGGCTGAGGTAGGAGAATCACTTGAGCATGGGAAGTGGAGGTTGCAGTGAGCTGAGATCACACCACTGCACTCCAGCCTGGGCAACAGAATAAGACTCTGTCTCAACAACAACAACAACAACAAAAAGAAAGTGAAATTGCTGATTTTAACAATCATGTGTAAAAATGATGATTGGCACTTTTCCTGATTGGGACCTCAGGCAGTATCTAATTTAACTATAAAACTTGAAATGGAAATTCAGAGAACTAAGTGACCTGGGTAAGGACAAGTAGCTGAGTGGTAACAGGTCGCAGTGTCTCAAATCCAGGATTACTGATTCATTATTCTTCGTAATAGGTCAGTGGACCTATTACATATTTATGATCATGCATCCCTACTAGTAAAACAAAATAAATGTTTTGAGCCAGTCCTTCCAACATCTTTGTACTTATGTGTAAAATGTTTACATGTGCTACTAACTAGTATATTAATCGTATTATAAAATATATTTTGAAAATAAATTTTTAAAGGATGAAATTGAAAATAAATAGTATACAGAAGATGTAGAAATTTTTTCATCTCCCTGCTTTGGAGCAAGGCCACTCAGACTTTTATCTTAATAGGGCAAAATGATTTATGTCATTTATGTCAGGGAAATAAAAAGTCCTTAATGATTATAAGCAAGGGGTAACATACTTCCATCCCTAGTGCCTTATTTCCATAACACCTTGGTCCAGGAATGTTTATTAAATGACTAGCTCAGGACTCATTTCTGCACATTTTTTTCACTGTAGTTTTGTTGTTGTTGTTAAGTTATACCGCTCTAGTTTGATAAAAGAAAAGATTAAGACCTTTATTTGTGAAACTCAGAAGGTAGATTTTATGCTGTGTATTGAAAAGTGCATTTTTTTCTCTAAATACCACACATATCTGTTTCATCTCTCTTTAATTCCTGGGAGAGCTGATGAAAGAGAGCTGTTTTTCTCCTTAGGAATTTCCTTCGGATTATTCTTATTTCAGTACACTAATCTTCTGTTTTTAAGTTTCTTCTACAGAAATTACACATATCTCAAAGCCAGAGGATTTTTATTTCGAATTCTCAAAGGGTAGCAGAAGGAAAGGAATGCCTTTAGACCTAAGATCTTGTTTCCAAAGGAGTCCTTAGAAGTAACAGGGAAGGCTTGGAGTCTGGTAATGAAGGAGGTAGTGGGAGTGGGTGGAGGGAAAAGTAGATATCAATATAAGCAGATTATCTCTAATGTTTTACAGAGTGTTAAGGGTCTTCATAAACAGAAACCGCAAGGAACCTGGGATCTGACAGCTGTTGGAGGAATGCCTGTGAGGAAGGAGGAGGAACAGAAGGTATGGTTGCTAATTTCCAAAAATAAAAAAATAAAAAAAAATGAGATGTCAGACATTTTAATGGGAAAAATAAAGCCCCACCGGACGATAGATGACAGAGCACAACTAGCCATCATTCATGATGCTGGGACCAAATATCTTTCATGAAACACTCAGACACAGATCTTTAGTGTATGTTTCCCTGAGTTGGTAGAGAAAGGGAATGGATTGATCCCATGCTTCACCAAAGATGCTGGAGTTAGACTGGAAAGTGAAGGAATAATTAGCTTGTGGAAATAATCATTAAACAGATAACCTTATACTTGTTCACTCAGACCCCAGAGAGAGCCAGGTAAAAATTTCCATCTTTTCTTTCTCTCTCTACATAAACACATAAACAAATTATAGTAGGTAGGTAATGGGAGATTACTGAATTGCACTGCTTAATTTTCTTAATTTACAACTGGGACTGATGGGTGGCAGCTAGTCCTGACTCATACAGGTTTTGCACCATCAAAGGTTTATATCCTCTAAAATAAAAGTGACAAGAAAGAGAGTGAACTATCAGAATAATTCCTCCCAGCTGCAAGATTTGGAGCTAAGCATTGTCAAAGGCAAAGTGTGCCTGATCCAGTTAAGAACTCCCTCATTCTTTATGGAATTTGAGTATTAAATGAAGCCCCAAGATTTCTGGGTTCAGGTTCCAATTGTTTACTAACTAAAATAAAAGAGCCCACAAAACTGTTCAGGAGGCATTGTGCTTCAAATCATTCTTACCAAACATGTTGATGAGTTAAGTATAAATTAATCAGAAACATATGGTTCAAATTTCTGTGAAAATCCACAGGGTATATTAAGGGAATTAAAGAGAAATGTGTTAGGCCAAACATATTTAAGAATTTAGCAAAACTGAAATCTACCAAAATAGTTTAACATTTTCTGGTGCATCTATTCCAGTTTATTCTTTTTTAATAGTGTGTTTTCTCAGTTGCCTTAAACTTGCATTTTTATGTGATGTGATACATCCATAAATAATTGTAACATATAATAATGAAGTTGCCAATCTAGTTCTTTATATGAATCTGAAGTGATCAGATTTATCACAGCAAAAGATGCTATAGTTAGAAAAAATTCAAATATCTAAAAAAATTAAGGAATTTGGACCAATCACAAATAAGCTAAATTGTGAAATGGTGAACTCAAAGTTATGTAATATATTGAATTTAAGTCATTTCAAGTGTATACATTATTTTAATTTATTCATCAAAATTTAGTATTGTTTAAAGCACTGTCCATAGGTGTTTTGGAACAAGGAAGATTTTTTAAGAATAAATAAATCAAATGTGGCTCATGCCTTCAAGGAATATAGAAGACTTTAACTCAAACTATGCTAAATTATCATAAACTCAGAGATATGATTACTTGCTACATAGTTTAATTATAAATAATATTATAGAATTTCTTTTTAAAGTGGCTCTTCTAAAGTGGGGAAAAGTCTATTATTCCCCAAAGAAAACATTCATAGAGTTAATATTCATGTAACTTAGCATATTACAGAAGACAAATTTTTCTCACTGTAAAAACAAATGGAAATTATCTTGTACATAAAATGCTTAAACATAGTCCAACTTTTTAAAATTCACAGTGCTTCAAGCGAAAGAAAATTGGGTTAATTAGATTTTGTTATTGTCAGACCCTATGATATTTTAGGGTCCTTCAGTGACTCCTTCTAATTTTACTAAAGAATATTATGCAAAAGTGAATGTATAAAGCATAGCGGGGAAGAAAATTTCTTATTTGTTTTCTACTATCAATATATCACTCAGAACCATAGTTCATGTGAATGATAAAAAAAAGAAAAGGAAACTTGAGCTTTAGGTGTCAGAAGATACCTAAGGATAACTCTCAAAAAGCATCTCACCAAACTATATTTCTGAAGGAAACATGAAGTTTTATGTAAGGTGTATGCACTGAGGCACTCACCTCCATACAAAAATATAATTGTCATGGTGTTTATCATTTTCAGACTTTCCAGGTGTCCTGGAGAGATTATTTTCCTTCTTACCTCATCTTTCTTGGAAACTGCAACATGTTAGGCTGACAATATCTTTCAGCCAATGGCATTTGATAGAGGCAACTCCCTGGATCTGAGCCTTTTTTGGGGCTGTGGTAATTTAGGATCCCTGCTTAAAATGGACCCCTTCCCTGACAGAGAACTAAGGCATGGGTGAGGCTGCTGCAAAGAGCCAGGCAAGCAGGACCCAGCCAAACTGTGCGGGTGACATTGCCACCCCAGTGTGTCTGGAAGGCAGAACATTTAGCCAAAGAGGATTGTTCTTGAGGTTTAAGGTTTCATGGAGCTTGGCTTGCTAGGTTTTGGACTTGCTTGAGATCTGTCACTCTTTTTTCTTCTTTCTTATTTTTCTCTTTGGAAATCGGAATGTCTACCCAATGCCTGTCACACAATTGCATTTGGAAAGCAAATAACCAGCACAGCTGGAGAGGAATTTCGCCTTAGGATGAATTGTACCTTGAGTTTCACCCCTATCTAATTTAGATGATATTTAGATGCTAATTTGGACTTTAGACTAGAGTTGATGCTGAAATGAGTTAAGATCTTTGGGGCTCTTGGAATGGAATAAATGTATATTGCATGTAAGAAGGATATGAATTTTGGAGGGCTAAGGTGGAATACAGTGGATTGAATGTTTGTGCCCCCATCACAAAGTTAATATGTTGAAATCCTAACCCCCATTGTAATGGTATTAAGAGGTAGGCTCTTTGAGAGGTACTCAGGTCATTAGGGTGGAACACTTATTAATATTAATGTCCTTTATAAAAGGGACCCCAGAGACCTTTTTCTCTCTCTTCCTGCCATGTAAGAACATAGCAAGAACAAGCTGTCTATGAACCAGGAAGCAGGCCTTCACCAGACACCAAATCTTCCAGTGCCTTGATCTTAGACTTTCTGAGCCTTTAGAACTATGAAAAATAAATTTATGTTGTTTATGAGACACTCAGTTTACAGTATTTTGTTATACCAATCCAAGCTAACTAAGACACTGCCATTAGTTGGCATCTAGGCAGTTATGGTCCTTGAAATATATGTTCTGATTGAGTCCAGTCCTATTGGAGAGATGATTATGTCATGGAAACCTCATTGTTGGAGCTGTTAACTTGAAGTGTAAGGGTGGTAGGAGGGTAGAAAGCAACTGCAGTACTATGAGCAGCTCTGATGAGTGGAGGATCGGAGCCTTGGAGCTCCCAGTCTGTGGAGAAATCAGACAGTGTGTTTATTATTATTATTATCAGTATGTGGGCAACTATAAAGTAGATCATTTGGTGCCCCTGTGGAGGTGTTTAGAGGCATTTGTGGCGAATTATCTGTGTATCAGGAACTGAGGGCTCTCTAAAGACCGTGACTAACTCAGATTCTGGCTTGTCTGGCATCAGTACCTGAGATCTCATCAGTGAGTGTAAGTACAGGAGCTGAATCTTCAAAGAGCTTTGGTTCTTAATGGGGATAGGAGGCTGGGAAGTAGTGGAAACAATAGCAGGAACTAAATGAAGACACCAGAGTCACAAGAATGGCTTCAAAATTAAGGTACAGTTTTATTCCAGGAAAAATGCAAGGAATTCAAATAAGAGTGAAGTAGGGGTAGAATATTGGGGTAGTAGTGAGAAGTAGAAATGAAATTTGGTGAACCTCAAAATCAATTGTCTAATTTAGTTAACTTGGGACACAGATTATGCACCAAGAGATTAAAGATTAACTTTTTCTTAGAGGCAATTCCAAAGCAGCTCAAGAAACCTATTTCATTGAGAATATGATTCAGCATTTCAAAAATTTTAAAAAAGACTTCAATGATTTTAAGTATGAGAGAAACTGATAGAACTAAAAATTTTTCATAGCCTAATCTGTCTTAATATATGGCCATTTCATCATATTATTTTCTATATTTGTCTATATTTTGTTTTTTTCTTTCTTTCTTTCTTTTTTTTTTTTTTTGAGACAGAGTCTCACTCTGTAGCCCAGGAGGGAGTACAGTGGCATGATCTCAGCTCACTGCAGATTCAGCCTCTGGAGTCAGGTAATCCTTCCACCTCAGCCTCCTGAGTAGCTGGGACTACAGGTGACGTGCCTGGCTAATTTTTTGGTTTGTTTGTTTTGTTTTGTTTTTGTAGAGATGGGGTTTTGCCATGCTGCTCAGGCTGGTCTTGAACTCCTGGGTTCAAGTGGTCTGTCTGCCTCAGCCTCCCAAAGTGCTGGGATTACTGATTGAGCCACTGCACCTGGCTGGATTCTTATAAAATAAAGATTCCAGGAAAAAAATAGACCAGATTGTGGTATTTCAAAAATCGCTCAAATAATTTAAAAACCGAGATTGCAAAAACAGACATGTTAATGGTAATAAAGAGAGCTCTGTTATTAGGAAGATAGAGTATCTTGAAGACTTATTCTACAGATAGAATGTAAAAGAGAAAAAATAGTTTTTTGGAGTAGTATCTATATAGTTTAGATTGACCAATCAATTACATGAAACATTTCATCTATTTTGCTTTTTGGTAGAATCACAATACTTGGAATTTGAAATGATGAGGCAGTCACTTTAGCTATCCTAATGAAATTTAATCTACTTTCAGCACACCAATCAATTGCTTAGTTATTATCTCTTAAAGTTAATATGGAAGTCTACTTCACTTGAGGGGAATATATTTTTGGCTTCAGATTAAGGAGGATGAATTTAGCAAATGAATATTTACTTCCTCTGCAGTGAAGTGAAAATAAATTAATGAGAGTTAGTGACTGTACATACTTCTGCTTCGTGTTGTCAGCAGCATTTATTTGTCATCACTCTCTTCCTCAAATGCATGATCTCTCACACCTCTCTGCAAGAATGTCCTTTTCCACCTTACCATCTCAGCAAATTCTTAACTTTCATATAAGAAGTTCCTAACCTTCCCTCCAACTGCTCAGAATTAAGTACATCCTGCCCTGTTCTCAATATGTGTTTTTTATACTTTTAACAATAATTTCAAAAGTATACATCTACCTCCCTGTTTTTGTGATGGTTGCATAACACAGTGGTAAAAAGCCCATGCATGGGCACTAGAAAACTTAGACTCAGATAAAAGGAACTGGCTCTGAGATCTTGGGCAAGTTCCTCAAATCTTGAGGTCTTTGTATTCTCACCTTACATAATGAGGACGATAATTTAATTTACCTTACAGGCTTTTTTAAAGGAATAAATGAGTTAATATATGTAAAGGACCCACTTATATTAATATATGTAAATGAGTTAATATCTGTAAAGAAGATTTGTATTTTCTCATCTATCTATAGATTTACATATATATAATTCTATAGTCTATGTTTATCAAAAAATGTATTGGTATAAATATTGCTGAAAAATCTTAAGTTGTATACTCGTATTTCTCCATGCTGTATTTATATAGCACAACGAGGGCACTTGACAAAACACAGTTAATATTATAGAAAGTTAATTCTAATAGTAAAAGTTAAAAAAATACTTTAAAGCTATCCACATTAAAAAAATTAACCAGAAGACTGCCAGATCTTCAATACATACTGCTTGCCCTCCTCTGAATTTAAATTCTCAACCTTACTTTAGAAAAATAACGTTTACCTCTGTTTTGAATTTTTACTAATCCAACCAGGCAGAAGAGACCTAAATAAGCTTACATCTTAACTAATTTTTTCTTCATTTCTTCTAAAACATGTGGAATATGTTTGCTTTAGTGTTTAAAAGTGTTGTTTTATTGATCTTTTTATATGATCCCTTTACAGCAAGAGATTTTGATGTAGTCAAATAGTGTGCTATAGATTGTGTAATAATAATGATATGTTATTAAGACCTGGTGTATATTTTCCCTTATCATTTGCCTGCCTTTCCATTGATGTTTTAATTTCTATCATCCTACTCTCAAGCCTTTTCCCAGTTATTCCAGGAAGTGGGTTCCCAGTGCTAGCCAGCTGCCTTTCTCTTGGCATTGCTTCTTCAGGAAGTAACAATCACTGGGTCTATTACTCATGTCAATTCTTCTTCCCATCTTCAAATTCTGATTTTGATAGAAGAACAGCTTTTTCATTTGCTCCTTTATTCTGATAATATATTTCAAGAGCCTATTTTTTCAGCTAAAATACTTTTCCTGTGGTTTGGCACTCATTTCTTTCACCCATCGCTAAAGCTAAAATCCCTTATCTTGCTTCTAGTTATTTTTACATATGGCACCTCCAAGTTCACATTACTAGATTTCTTTATATTTTTTGAGGATTTCTGCATATAAAAGTTTTATGTCTCTTTCCCACTTTAGTGTAGTGGCCTATAATTTCCTTGTTCTAGTTGGTTTTAACTTGAAACATTTTCAATTGCTGAATCTTGAGCCCTTTCTTAAATCTATTTCATCTTCCTACAGTAGGCTTCCCAGAAGCCCTCAGAAAACCAAATTAAAATGCTTTTTTCTTTCTTTCAAAGTCAGTCCTCTAATTATTCCTATCATATTCTGAGCTGGATTCATACTGAACTCGTATCTGGTCATCTTATGTATAGTTTCCTAAAAGTTGGATAAAATATATTTATGTTTCCTGCCCTTTTCATTGTGGTTTGTTGGCCTCAAAAACTCTTTACGTAATGTAAGATTGGGCTTCTGAAACCCAAAAATCTTGCATCTTCTCAATCTAGCTGTCACCAATGGCTCTCTCAATCTTTTTTAATTAAACAAAAAGATATGGGCTTATCTCTTACTTCAGAGATATTTTTAAATAAAAGAAAATGCAATCAGATGCAGAAAGAAAATACTATCTTCCTATGAGGCAGTTGGGAGGGCAATGAGCACAGAGCAATTTCCCAGTAATATGGGGCCTCTGATGTAGGCTAAGAAAGCGTGGAAAGCCACGCAGGAATATAATTAAAGAACTTAAAAATCCAGAATAGATTCTCGTACTTCACTAAGAAGATCTCCACCATCAACAAACAAAGCAACAAAAACAATAACAAAAACCACTGTTTCTTTAAGAAAGTCCTCATCCTGGTTCTGCATTAGTCATGGAAGTTACTATATTATTACAGTACTTTTACTGCTAAAAAAAAATTCCCATGTCAAATTCTTCTGCTCTCCTTCTCTCTCTCCTCTACTGCAATTTTAATGTCTATTTCATATAAGCACACTTTACATATTATTTCATTTAATCTTCACAACAATTTACAAATTAGACATTAGTACCTCATTTGCCAGATTCTCAAAACTTCTCAAACTGATTCAGCTAGAAACTTATTTGGGACAAATACTAACACATATATATTACATATACCCTCTATCCCCTTTCCTGCCCCAATGCATTTTTTTTTAAGTGTAGAATTCCATAAAAAAGTCAGAGACATGGAAACTCAAACTGGTAAGCCACGGAAGTATTGGCTATAGTTTAGTATTAAAGGGCTTTCCTGATGACCAGAGATTTGGGACTCCAGGAAGTTTCTTTTTGTAGGCCTATATGAACAAAAACACCTGAGTTACCATAAAGAAAGGATATAAAATATTGTGAGGGGCACCATGCCAATGATTCCTAAGTAAGATAGGAGGAACTGCAGACCAGAGATTCTATTTTAACTATCATTGTATCCTCCCACTAAGCACATTAGCTGATGCTACCCAATAGGTACGTAGTAAAAGTTGAATTAATTAATAATGAGTGTATAAAACAAGGTGAATCAAAGAAAAAAGAATTGATGATTGTTATGGAATCAGACAGAGACACTGAGAACATCAACATCTGATCTAGTATCTGACACATATTAGTGGTAGCAATTGAGATTGAATACATGCATGAGCTTTGGTTAAGTCTGCTTTTAGGTAGACACCTGAATTTACATCTGCCCATCAACCAGTGATGGCTTTTTTTAGCCACCTGAATGGTATTCAGCAATTTACACCTGTGCTTTTTGTTCTTCAGATGCTTCCACAGCCTTTGAGAACTGAAGGAATGGGTAATCACAGGGGAGGCAGGGACTCCATGGCATTATCCACGCTGGTCCTGAGTCTGTTGTCACAGCTCCATAGAATTCATTTGTGACCCCAGGCCCTGGGAAGAGAGGAAATCTTCAAGCTCCCTTCATGCAGTAGAGAATCACTATTCTAGGACTAAATAAAAACCAGCAGAGAAAACCCCCCCAATAATTTGCCAAGACCAGAGGTATGCACATCGCTGTAGCAGGGTCTGCTGAGAAGTAGAGGGACATAGCAGTTATGATCACAGGCTCTGCAGCCAGGCTACCAGATGCTAATAGTGTGACCAATATTAGCATCCAGTGCACAGTGCTTAAATAAGGATCAAATGAGCCAATGTATACAAATTGGCTAAAACAGCGACTGACACTTATTAAGCTCTGATTCCATTAGCTGTTAGTAGTAGTAAGGCAACTATTTGTAAAACAGAGAAAAGGAAACCAATGTGATTGGGGTATACGAGGGATGTGAGATAGGAATTAGAAGTGTGTACATAGAAAAGAGGCAGTAGTAGGAGAGAATGGAATGTAGCCAGATGTGTGGAGACATTATTGTTCCTGATGCTGTCTATATTGCCCTGTTGGCTTGCCTTTGTATTAATTCCAAGCAGGGCCAGGTTGGGGAGTCCATGGTTTATACTGGAAGAGGGGAGGAAGATAAATGTCAAGAATAGGGAGAAGGGCAGTTACTCAGAATTTCTGCTTGGTTCTGGCTTTCTAAATAGACCTACTCAGCTGTTGGGTAGGAAAATAGCTGGTAGGTTTCCAGATGTGTGTCAGGAAAAGGAGGAAAAAAAGTAATGACCTAGCAACCTGACATTAGGATCATGACAGGGACATGAACTATGATAAAAAAGCTGAAAGAGCTCACAAAATGATAATAAACAGCCCAGCACTCTTTCTCCTCAACCCTCAACTCCAACCACATTTCTGGCCAAATAAGTTGTTAAGAGAAGATGCTGATAATTCAAACACAGAAAATTCCATGGCTACTTTAATTCTGTTAGAATTTTATAAAGCCACTTTCATACAATTAAACTGAACTCTATGTACCCAGTGCAAACAAGGGAGAAATTTTACAATTACCTGGTTTGCTTGATCGATTCAGACAGCCAAACTGGGTTAGTCATTTTGGTATGATTACTTGATCCAAAAAAATCCACTTGGAGGCTTGAATTATCTAGTTTAGCTGTCTAAATTGATCAGATTAATCAAATTTTAATGAAGTTTTGGGTTGAATTTCATCCAGGTCTTTTATTCAATCATTGTCTGCATCTCTAGCTGAAAATAGCAGTACAATCAAAGGGAGTTAAAGCAATCTGAGATAATTTAGTAATACTATAAAGCACTTTATCTTTATTCACTTATTACCAAAAAAATGGCAGTGATTATATCTGAAATATACCCATATGGTCTGTTCCCTAGATCACCAAGCTAATCAAATCAGTGTAGTCAGAAATCTGTTTTCCTTGAACAGCCGTATTCTTGCATGCCCTTGATCAAGCTTTTGCTGCTGAGACTAAGAGCATCACAGAACAGCAGCTGTGGCAATTGCTGTGACACTTAAAATATTTTCCATGCTTTTCTTTTTCTCCCACAATCCCTTCCTTCTTTGCTGTATCCTCCATATATTCCTTTTCTCTGTTTTTTTTTCTTTGTTTCTCTTTTTAATTTTCCTTTTTATTCATTCTCTAATTTTGTAAGAGTTCTTGTGGACCTATTTATGTCCAACTGCTAGGGGCATTCAGTGCCTGGGGTCAAGACCAGGGTGCTGACATTCAAAAGCAGTGCAAATATTCAGAAGACTAACAAGCACTGTTCTCACACATCTCCTAGGAAAAACTTCAAAGTGGCCCTTTTTTTTCAATTTTTTTTATTGTAGTAAAATACACATATAATAGTTACTATCATAACCATTTTAAGTGTACAGTGTAGTGGTATTAAATACATTCCTAATAATTTGCAACCATTACCACCATCCATCTCCATAACTCTTTTCATCTTGTAAAACTGAAACTCTATACCTATTAAGCCAAAGCTTCCCATTTCTGCCTTTCTTTAGCCTCTGGCAATGACTATTATATTTTTTGTCTCTATGATTTTGACTACTGTCAGTATCTCATATAAGTGGGTTCACACAGTACTGGTCTTTTGTAACTGGCTTATTTCACCTAGCATAATGTCCTCAGGGTTCATCTATGTTTTAGCATATGTCAGAATTTCCTTTCTTTTTATAGGCTGAATAGTATTTCATTGTATTCGTATTACCACATTTTGCTTATCCTTTCATTCATGATAAACACTTGCGTTGCTTACACGTTTTAGCTATTGTCGATAATGCTCATATGAACATGGATACATAAATACCACTTCAAGACCCTGCTTTCAGTTTTTTGGATATATACCTAGAAGTGGAATTGCTAGAGCATACAATAATTCTATTTTAAATTGTTTTAGGAAATGCCATACTGTTTTCCACACTTGTTATTCTCTGTTTTTGTAAATAGTAGCTGTCTGTATTAGTAAGGATTTTCCAGAGAAACAACCAATGAGAGAGAGAGAGAGACAGAAATTTGGAGATTTGTCATAGAAATTGGCTCATGTGATTATGGAGGCTGAGAAGTGCCACAATATGCCATCTGAAAGCTGGAGGACCAGGAAAGCAAGTGGTGTAATTTAGTCTGAATCCAAAGGTATAAGCTTCAGAGTCTGAAGTTCCCAGAATCAGGAGTTTCTGTGTGTGAGAGCAGGAAAAGAAGGATGTGCCAACTCAAGGAGAGAGAGAAAATTTACCCATTTGACTACCTTTTTGTTCTATTTGGGCCCTCAATTGATTGGATGATGCCTGCTTACAATGATAACGATGGATCTTCTTTACTCAGTCAAATACTATTAATAATTACTTCCAAAAACATCCTTAATGACGTATCCAGAAGTAATGTTTTACCAGCTACTTGAGCATCTCATAGTCCAGTCAAGTTGACACATACAGTTAACCATCATACCAACCTAATGGGTGTAAAGTGTAATCTTGTTGTGGTTTTGATTTGCATTTCCTTAATGATTACTGATGTTGAGGATTTTTTCATATGCTTATTGGCCATTTGTACATCTTTTTGAAGAAATGTCTATTCAAGTCCTTTACTCATTTTTCAATCAAGTTTTTTTTTGTTGTTGTCGTTGTTTTTTTTTGCTGTTGAGTTTTAGGAATTCTCTATACATTCCAAACATTAATTTTTTATAAGATATTTGATCATAAATATTTTCTTCCATTCTGTGGGTTGCCTTTTTACTTTGTTGATATTGTCTTTTGTTGCACAAATTTTAAAAATTTTCATGAAATCCAATTTGTCCATTTTTTCTTTTGTTGACTGTAACTTTGGTGTCATATCCAAGAAGTCATTGCCTAATTCATTGTTGTAAAGATTTTGCCCTAGGTTTTCCTCTAAAAGTTTTATAGTTTTGAGTCTTACACTTAGAATTTTGATCCATTTTGGGTTAATTTTTGTATGTGGTATTAGATAAGGGCCCAGCTTCCTTCTTTGGCATGTGTTTACCCAGTTTTCTCATAACTATTTGTTGAAGAGACTGTCCTTTTCCCATTAAAAGTTCTTGCCACCCTTGTCAAAAATCATTTGGCCATATATGTGAAGGTTTATTTCTGTGCTCTTTATTCCATTCAATTACATGTCTGTCCTTATGCCAGTACCACACTGTTTTGATTACTGTAGCTTTGTAGTAAGTGTTGAAATCAAAAAGTGTGAATCCTTTAACTCTGTTTTTCTTTTTCAAGATTGTTTTGTCTATTTAGGATCTCTTGAGATTTCATATAAGTTTCAAAATGGATTTTTCTATTTATGCAAAAAATATTATTGGAATGTTGACAGGGATTACATTGAATCAATAAATCACTTTGGGTAGTATTGGCATTTTAATAATACTAAGTCTTTTGATCCATGAATATGGAATGTGTTTTTATTTACTTACATCTTTAATTTCTTTCAGCAATGTTGTGTAGTTTTTATTGTACAAGTCTTTCATCTTTAGTTTCTAAAGTACTTAGAAATTGACTTTTCAGTGCTATTATAATGGAATTTTAAATGTTATTTCCTTTCAGATTGTTCATTATTGGTGTATAGAAATGCAACCAATTTTTGTGTGTTGATATTGTATCCTGCTACTTTGCTGAATTCATTTACTAGCTCTAATAGATTTCTTATGGAATCTTTAGGATTTTCTACATATAAGATCATATAATATGCAAACAGAGATAATAATTTTACTTCTTTCTTTCCAAGTTGGATGTCTTTTGTTCTCTTGTCTTCACTAATTGCTCTAGTTAAATCTTTTAGTACTATGTTGAATAGAAGTAGTGAGAGCGGGCATCCTTGTCTTTTTTTCTGATCTTAGAAGAACAGCTGTAAGTCTTTCATCATTGAATACAATGTTTGCTGTTTGCTTTTTATGTATGACTTTTATTATGGTCAGGTCGTTTCTTTCTATTCCTAGTTTGTTGAGTATTTTTATTGTAAAAAGGTATTCTGCATCAATTGGGATAACGATGTGCTTTTTGTTCATTCTGTTAATGTGGTATATTACATTGATTGATTTTGTATTTGAATCATTCTTGCATTCCCAGATTAAACCTCACTTGGTTATTGTATATAATTCTTCTAATATGTCACTGAATTAAGTGTGCTAGTATCAATGTTCACAAGAAATATTGGCTTGTAATTTTCTTTCCTTGTAGTATCTTTATCTGGCTTTAGTATCAGAGTAAAGCTGGTAAAGCTGGCCTCAGAAAATAAATTAAGATGTTTTCTCTCCTCCTCTTTTTTTCTTTTTCTTTTTCTTTTTTGGAAAAAGGTAAGAACAATTGGTATTAATTCTTCTGTAAATGTTTGTTAGAGTTCACCAGTGAATCCATTAGGTTCAGAGCTTCGCTTTGTTGGGAGATATTTGATTACTAATTCAGTTTCCCTACTAGTTATAGGTCCAAACGGATTTTAAATTTCTTAATAATTTAGTCTTGGTAGATTTTATGTTTTTAGGAATTTGTCAATTTCATCTACTGATCCAATTTGTTGGCATACTATTGTCCATGGTATACTCTCTTGTAACCTTCTTGTTTGTGTAGAATTGGTAGTCATGTTTTCATTTTCATTTGAGTAGCTTCTCTTTTTCTTAGTTCAGCCAACTAAAGTTTTGTCATTTTTGTTAATCTTTCCAAAGAAACTAATATTGGGGGGCTTATAATTTTCTCTATTGTGTTTCTATTCTCTATTTCCTTTATCTCTGCTCTAATTTTTATTTTTTGCCTTCCATCTGGTAGTTTTGTGTTTAGTTTGTTTTTTTTTCTAGTTCCTTCAATTGTAAAGTTAGATTGATGATTTGAGACCTTTCTTGTTTTTTAATGTAACCAGTTATAGCTATATGTTTCCTCTTTAGCACTGTTTTTGCTGCATCCCATAATTTTTGGTATATTTTCATTTTCATTCATCTCCAAATATTTTCTTCATTTTTTGATCCGATTGTTGTTTAAGAGCATGTTGTTTTATTTCCACAAAGTTATGAATTTTCCAGTTTTACTCTGTTACTCATTTCTAACTTTATCCCAGTGTTGTCACAGAAGATACTTTGTATGATATCTATCTTTTAAAATTTACTGAGACTTAATTTGTGGACTAATATATGGTATATCCTGGAAAATATCCCAAGTGCACTTGAGAAAAATATATATATGGCTGTTAGATGTGTTGGTGTATTGTGTTAAGTTCTCTGTTTTCTTACTTTTGTCTGGTTGTTCTATTCATTATTGAAAGTGACGTATTGAAGTGTTCAATTATTATTGAAGAACTGTCTATTTTTCCCTTCAATTATTTCACATTTTCCTTAATATATTTTGATGGCCTGTCATTAAGTGCATAAATGTTTATGTTATTATATAAACTGTTATATCGTCTTGATAATTTGACTCCTTTATCATTGTATTATAACCTTTTTGTCTCTTGTGATCTTTTTGACTTAAAATCTATTTTGTCTGGTATTAGAGTAGCCATACTTGCTCTATGTACTATTTGCATGAAATGTCTTTTTCCATCCTTTCAATTTCAATTTTTGTGTGTCTTTGGATCTAAAGTGAGTCTCTTGTAGACAGCATATAGTTAGATTGTGCATGCTCTTTTTTAATCCATTTTGCCAATCTCCCTTTGATTGAAAAATCTAATCAATTTATATTTAAAGTAATTATTGATGAGAAAGAATTTACTTCTGAATTTTGCTATTTGTTTTCTATGTAACTTTTGTAGCTTTTGTGTCACCCATTTCATGCATTGCTGCCTTCTTCTGTATTTAGTTGACTTTTTGTTTAAACTTCTTTCTCGTTTCCTTTTGTATATATTCTATAGCTATTTTCTTTGTAATTGCCAGGGATGTTATATTTAACATCCTAATGATGTAACACTCTGATTTGAATTTATACCAGTTGACTTCAATAATATACAAAAACTCTACTTCTTTAATAGCTCAATTCTTACCCCATTCAATTGTTGATGTCATGAAATTACATCATTATAAATTGTGTGCTGAAAAATATGAAATAGGAATTTTTCTAAATACATTAGTCTCTTAAATTATGTAGAAAACAAAATGTGGGGTTACACATCAAAGTTACAAAATATTGGGTTATAGAGAAATACTTTTTAAAATGTCTCTTAAATAAAAGTAGAGTTGCAAACCATCATTACAATAATATTATACCAGCTTTTATTATTGCCTGTATATTTACCTTTATTGAGATCTTTATTTCTTCATATGGCTTTGCATTACTGTCTAGTGTCTTTTTTTTTAATTTTTTTATTTTTTTGAGATGGAGTCTTGCTTTGTCACCAGGGTGGAGTACAGTGGTGCGATCTCGGCTCACTGCAACCTCCGCCTCCTGGGTTCAAGTAATTCTCCCGAGTAGCTGGGACTATAGGTGCATGGCACCATGCCCAGATAATTTTTGTATTTTTAGTAGAGATGGGGTTTCACCATGTTGGCCAGGATGGTCTCGATCTCTTGACCTCATAATCTGCCTGCCTTGGCTTCCCAAAGTGTTGGGATGACAGGTGTGAGCCACTGTGCCTGATCCTGTCTAGTGTCTTTTTATTTCACCCTGTAGGACTCCCTTGAACATTTCCCTTAAACATTTGCAGGGCAGGTCTGTGTTTATCTGGATATTTTAAAACTAGTCCTTTATTTTTGAAGGATAGTGTTGCAAAATACAGGATTCTTGGTTGACAGATTTTTTTTTTCTTTTACTACTTTGAATATATCAGCCTGATGGCTCCTGGCCTCCAAATTTTCTTATGAGAAACCCAATAATGTTATTGAGGTTCCCTTCTATGTGATGAATTGCTTTTCTTTTGGTGCTTTCAAAATTCTCTCTTTGCATTTGTCTTTCTAAAGCTTCATTATATGTCCTGGTGTGGGTCACTTTGAGTTCATCTTACATGGAGTTTGTGGAGGTTGAAGTACCTCCATCCTGGATGCTAATCTGCCATGTTGACTTCTGATGAACTGCAATTCTGAGAATGCCTCTTAGATTTCTACTTTCACATGCTTACTGCAAATCCTGTCCTTAGGTCAAAACAACTTTGATATTATCATAAACGTATACTTACCATAAATGCTGCCTGTCCTTAGACAGATTTTCTGTGGTAAGTAAGTCCTGGGTCTAGGGGATAATGACATGAGGATCCACCATGTCGTTTTGTGGCCTTCTGAGACATGCCTCCTGTTTCTAAGTCCCTAGTAAGTGTTCCAGCCACACTACCCTCCTAGGTGCTCCTTTGACACACCAGGAGCTACTTGGAGCTTGCTGTATTCCTGTCCACTCTTCCACATGGCTCACTCTTTCACATCTTTCAGCTCTTTCCTCAAATATCTTTTTAGTTAGACTTTCCCAAAAACCTTAATTAAAATTGCTACTGAAATCAGTTTTGCAAAAATTACAACAGTGAGGAAATTACGATGGTGAAAGTGATCTAACCTAACCAACTCCATCTTACTTTTAATCTTCAAACTGCCCTTTGTCATTCCTAGGCATGGGCCCAAGTAACTTTGGGAGAAATTTATAGTTTAAATAATAATAGCCCCTCCTCAAACTAAACTGCCTTTGTAAAACTAATGAAAGGCCACCAGGTTAGGAGGATGAGAGGGGCCTGAATTCTGCTAAGATGTAGATGTAGTTAAATAATTACCAGCTGTTATTCCAGAGGTCACAAGATTCGCAACTTCTTCAATTACTCCTATAAATAACATCACTATTGTAGAACCTAAAATTGGCCTTTTAAGATGTTTTTTCAGGCTTCTGCCTTTTTGACAACCAGATGGTTCCATCCAGACTAGTGACTCCTCTGTGGCCCCCACCCACAAGGGGACTCAGTGCACAATGACTCTTTTCCACACCCCTATGATTGCATCTCCAACCAACCAGCAGCACCCATTCCCTATCCTCTTACCCGCCAAATTGTTCTTGAAAAACCCTAACCACTCGATTGTTGGGTCAGCTGATTTGAGTCATAATAAAACTCCAGTCTCCTGTTTAGCAGACTGTATGTGTATTAAACTCTTTCTCTGTGCAATTCCTATCTTGATAAATAGGCTATATCTGGGCAGCAGGCAAGACTTACACATTTGGTGGTTACACTACCCACTCAACACTTCCTATCCTCACCTGCTTAACTTTTTTTGATACTCTTTGTCACCTTCAGCACACTGTATTTTAGACTTAGTTATGATGTTCAATGTCTATCTCTCCCTACGAGAATATAAGCCCTGAGGACAGAGATTTTTGTCTTTGCCTTTTTTTCTCCCTGTTTATATCCCCAGGTCACAAAGCAGTATTTGGCAGCTTCTTGATTTATAATAAATATGTGTTAATGAGTGCCTATATAATTAAACTAATTTGCAAATGCATTGGCATGAAGACAACTGTATATATAGGAATTTTTAAAGAGATGTTTATTAATATTTTGAGGATGTGTTTTTTGAATAATGCTTAAAATAAGTACTTCTTTTGCTAACAAATAGGCATCTAATGAAAAAAGAAATTGTCATTTTATTTTCTGAATTCCAGTCACCTTCTTTCTTCCCTGCCTGGGCCAGCCAGAAGAAAGGGTAGCATTTTGCTAAGTTCTAAAAAATTCTTCATTCTGCTCTATGTCATTTAGTGTTAAATTCAATCTGATTATTGTCTGTATATTATAGTTATATTCTTATATTATGAATGTCTTATAGAAATGCAGTTACTAGGAATTAATGCTGATCATTTCAGAAAAAAATACAAAATTAATGAATAAATACATGTAGACCTGGTACACCCTGTGTAATAAAGCAATTATGCATATCCTTCAACTAAAGTTTGCCTATGTTCACAATAATCACTTCTGCCCATTTGAGAATATATGTGCTTGCACATCTTGAAGCATTTAATGTTATTCACATCAAGTTTTGGCACCTCATAGAGCATAAGCCATGCCTAGGATAGTTAATCATGGGAGCTGACATTCTTCATTTTCTGTACCTTAAAGTTAAAACTTATTTAAGGTAATCTTTTTTTTTCATATTTTTTCACCAAAGTAAAACTTCCAGAGCATGAAATAATGCAGTTAGTGTAACAGATTTTAAAAAAAAAAAAAAAAAACTACAGTAACTTTTTCTTGTGGTTATATAACGGCAAGGTCAAACTAAGGTGCCATCTGTCTAGATTCCTATCTCAAAATTCAAAAGGAATAACTGGGCATTGGGAAGCCTGCCTCACTGACAAAAATCAGTGACCAACACAAGACAGGGAAATGACGAAAATCCTCATCATTGGCCTGTTTTTTTCTGTGCAAATAGGTCATCAGGAGGAACCATGTATGGTGGCTATCTGGATGTTTGTTTCCTAAGAGCCCAGTGGGAGTTTCTAGTGCCTCCCCAAACTTCCTGCCTCGATTTGAAGTGTCTCTACAGTCTGATTCTCTTCATCAGCTATCCAAACTTATTTCCCAGTAATTTCATTCTAAAGCCTCTGTTTCTGTCATAATGATCCTGACTGTCTCCAGCCCTATTGCACTCACAGCTGTTTCTGTGCCTTATTTAAGTTGTTCCCTCTGCTCATATTCACCCTCTGTTCCACCCTGACACAGTTTTAGAAATTTTAAAAACGCATTTAAGATTTACCTCCTCTAAGATACATTTCCTGGAGAAACCAATTCATACAATCACTTTTCTCGTTCTTTAAAAAATTCATTAATTAATTCATTCACACTATACTTGAAATCTACCCATGTGCCAGATCCTGCTGGAAGTAATGAGGACAAAAGTGAATAAGAATTAATAAACTCAGCTAGGCACAGTGGCCCACGCCTGTTTCCCAACAGTTTGAGAGGCCAAGGCAGGTAGATCACTTGAGGCCAGGAGTTAGAGACCAGCCTGGCCCACATGTGAAACTCCGTCTCTGCTAAGAATACAAAAATTAGCCAGGTGTGGTGGTGTGCACCTGTAATCACAGCTACTCGGGAGGCTGAGGCACGAGAATCACTTGAACCCAGAGGAGGAGGTTGCAGTGAGCTGAGAATGCTCCACTGCACTCCAGCCTGGGTGATAGAGCAAGACCTTATCTCAAAAAAAAAAAAAAGATTAATAAACTCACAATTCATGGTGAAAAATGATGGAAAATAACAGAGTGTTGTATAAGTACTCAAGAGAAGTCACTGATTCCTGTCTGCTGCTCTTTATATACTTTACCCAAATTCACCAATTTCAACATTTTGTTACATTTGTTTTTCTTGCTTGCTTTTTCTCCCTACATTTCCTGAACTACTTGTGAATAGATTGCATATATTATTTCCCTTTACTCTTTAATAATCTGTGTATTATTTTCAAAGAACATTTCTCACATAACCACACTCAAATGGTCAAATTCAGAAAATGTACAATTGATACAATATATACTTTTATGCTTTGCTATTTTCCTTTGATATATTATGGAAGTAACTCCCTACTGCTTCAGTGAATTCTTCTTCATTTTCTTTTATAGCTACATAATACTATACTATTGTATTGTGTGCATGTAACATAGTATATTTAACCAATCTCCTATGCCTGGATATTTAGGTAGTTTCCAATATTTTGCAATTACAAATAATGAGGTAATGAATAACCCCTTGCATGTATTTTCATATTGTTCAGGGTAAATCCCAGGAAGTGGAATGGCTGCATGAAAAGATAAATACATACACAGTTTTGTTAAATATTGCCAAATCTGCCCTTCCATAAGAGTTAGGCCATTTTGCCTTCCTTTCAGCAACATATGAAAGAATCTTGCCAGTAGTGTATTTATATGCTTTTGAGGTTTTGCCAATATGATGGATAAGAAAAGTTATCTCAGCGAGCTTTAGTGTACATTTCTACTTCTGTGAGTAGAATAAGCTTTACATGTAGGGACCACTTGGTTAACTATATCTTTATGCTTTTGCTCATTTTCAACAGGATTTTAAAATCTTTTTTCTCAATTTTCAAAGCTTTTTACATATTAGGAATATTAGCATTTTTCTTTCATATTTGTTGCAGTAATTTTTTTCTGTTTTCCATTTATCTTTGAGTTTACTTATGGTAATTTTTTGTTTGTTCAATTTGTTTTGCCATTCAAAAGCTTTTTAATTTTTTTTTATATAGTTAAATTTATCAATCTTTCCTTTTATTGCATCTAGATTTGGGGAGCATAGTTATAAAGTTTGGCTCTATATCAAGGTTAATAAGGAAGAATTCACTCGTGTTTCCTTTTAGTACTTGCATGATTTCATTTATTACATTTAGATTGCTGGTAACATTTGTAGTTTATTCTTGGTAATGGTGCAAGGAATACATCTAGTTTTATCTTTTACTAAATGATTACCTAGTTGTTCCAGCACCATTTATTAAGGAGGTCTTCTTTGTCCCATTGATAACATCTTTTACATAGCATGTATATATATACACACACACACATATACATGTACATATGTATGTGTATGTGTACATATGTATATGTACGTGTGTGTGTGTGTGTGTATATGTTGAAATTGGTGAGTCTGGGTAAAGTATATAGAGCAGCAGGGAGGAATCAGTGACTTCTCGTGAGCACTTATAACACCCTCCGTTATTTTCCATCATTGTTCATCATGGATTGTGAATTTATTAGTTCTTATCCACTTTTCTGTCCTAATTACTTCCAGCATATCTGGCACATGGGAAGATTTTGTTTATAGTGTGAATGAATTTTTTATAGGTGTGTGTGTGTGAGAGAGAATCTAGTTTTAGACCTAATATTCTACTTAACTGGTCTGCTTATTCTTGCATCAATTCCATACTTAATTGCAAAGTTATGCTTATTTAATATAGTAGGTCTTAGCCACATGTGGTTACTGAAATTTAAATTTATTATAATGAAATAAAATTAAAACTTCAGTTGTTTAGTTGCACTAGGTATATTTTAAGTGTTCATTTAGCCACATGTGGCTATTTTATTGGACAGTGCAGATACAAAAAGTTCCATCATCACAAAAGGTCCACTGGATAATGCTGTTAAAGAGGTTTTTTAGTATGTTCTAATATCTGGTATGGTTAGTACTTTCTTATATCTCTTTAAAAAATATTTTTTCTGGCTTTCCCTTTTGGTCTATTTAATTTTTATTTTTTGAGACAGGGTCTCGCTTTGTTGCCAAGGCTGGAGTGCAGTGACATGATCATTACTCATTCATTGCAGTCTTGACTTCCTGGGCTCAAGTGATTATCCCACTTCAGTGTCCTAAAGTGCTGGAATTACAGGCATGAGCCACTGCACATGGCTACTTTTTAATTTTTTTTACAGAAACAGGGTCTCAATATGTCGCCCAGGTTGGTCTCAAACTCCTGGCTTCAAGAAATCCTTCCCCCTTGGCCTCCCAAAGTGTGGGGATTACAGGTATGAGCCACTGTGCCTGGCTGTTTATTTATTTTTTTATATGAATTTTGTTATCACCTTGCCTAGCTCAGGGAAAAAGCTCCTTGGTATTTTATTAGGAATATATTTAATTTATAAATAACTTTGGGACAGCTGATACAATTGATGATGTTGAGGTGTACTTCCATTTGTTCATGTCTACTTTTGGTTTTTCAGAAGTGTTTTATACAGTAGTTGCCCCTTATCCACCGTTTTGCTTTCCGTGGCTTCAGTTACCCAAGGTCAATTGTAATCTAAAAATATTAAATAAAAAATTCCAGAAATAAACAATTCATAAATTTAATTTAAATTGTGTGTTGTTCTGAATAGTGTGATGCCGTTACACACCATCTTGCCTGGGATGTGAATCAGCCTGTTTCCAGCATATCCACACTGTCTACACTACCTGCCAAGGAGTCACATAGTAGCCATCTTGGTTATCAAATCAGTTGTTATGATATCGCGATACCTGTGTGTTCAAGTAACCTTTATTTGATTTAATAACTGCCTCAAAGCAAAAAAGTAATGATATTGGCAATTCAGAGATGCCAAAAGGAGAATCCAGAAAGTGTTGTTTTTAAGTGAAAAGCTGAAATCTTTGACTTAAGGAAAGAAAAATATTGAATACCACATCTAAAACTTCTATCCATGAAATCATGAAGAGGAAAAAGAAATCTTACATAGAAGAAAAAAGAAATCTGTGCATAGTACATGTAGGGTTTAGTACTATCTGCAGTTTCAGACATCCACTGGGGTTGTTGGAATGTAGTTTCCATGCATAAGCGAGGACTACTGTAACTTCCTTCATGTCAGCTTCACACATTTCTTGTAAGTTTATCCCTCAGGATTTTACTCATTTTTATGAAAGCATTAATGGAATTTTCTCTTCTATTATATCTTCTACCTGCTTCTTATTTATGTACAGGCTTTAATGTTTATCTTATATTCTGCTGTATGACTGAATTATTTTATTGTTTTAGTTTTATTATTCATTTTCTATTGTTATTGGATGTTATTAAAGGCTTTTTCAGCATCTATGGAGATAATTATGTGATTTTTCTCTTTAAGTCTATTAATGTGATAGATTATATTATTTAGATTTTTCAATATTAAACAATTCTTACACTTCTTATATCAATCCTTCTTAGTCATGGTAATGACTTCTTCTAAGATCCCTCTAAAGTTACTTGCTTGCCTGTATTAATGAACATTTTCTGATCTAAATCTTCTTTTTACCAGGCTCCCATCTGCCAACAGAGATATCTTCTGTTATCTCAGCTATAGTTTTTGATACCAAAAATTTCTTCTGGTCATGACATCTGCCACTCATCAGTGTCTGAACTTAGTGTCTTTACTGGTTCAATGCCTTTTCCTATCCTCCCCCACCTTCCCATTATTATCCCACCATAGAGAACACATCTAGTCTGAATCAGCTCCGTGTACATACATATTGTCATGTCTCCTGTGTACGGCTACATCATATATAAGTGATAGCAATTACTTTTGTCCATTCATTCGCTTAACAAATATATATTCAACATGAACTAACGACTGCATGCTGTACCATCTGCTCAACTATCTAAACTCACATTCCCTGTCCTAATTGAATTTAAAGTCTTGTGGGAGTTGCAAACAAACTAACAAAAATTATCTTTAATGAGAGGAGCACTGTGTGCAATTAGGAAGTCAAAAAAGACTTCCTACAGTTAATGATATTTACCCAAATCTGAAAGACAAAAATATGATGAGGGGAAAAACAGAGGGGAGGGTATTATTGGTAGAGTTTATAGTAGGTGCAACAGTGTGAGAAGACCATGACATGTGTGTGGAACTTGGAAAGGTCACTATAAAGAAGGGGGAGGGATGAGGAATGAAGTGATGATTAAGGTATTTCCATGACTGTTCCTATTGTGGTCATCTTTTTCACTGAGTAAATTAATATCTGAAGTGGTCTTCATTTTTACATTATGTCACTTCGGGTTTCATCTGTGGAACCCTTTCCCTGGCTAGGAATCATGTGTTGCAGAGCAGATATCTTACACTCTACTTTTCAAAACATAAACCAGTAACTGCTCCTAATGAAGAAGAGGCCATTGTTCTCTTTCACTAGGAAAAACTTTATAAACCTCAAATATATTTATTTATTTTGTCAAAACTCACTGCCTTGACAAATAGAACCTAACTCAGAGTCCCTAGAGACTCGGTTGGACACAAACTGTGTGTTTCTGGCCAGAGCATGTACGAGCAAGGAGCTCAAGTAGATCCAAGGATGCAATTGAAATTAAAAGCCAGGGAGACAGTTTAAGGGTCAACCTTAAGAGGCAAGGCAGAGAGGGCAGAAACTATCAGTTTATTCAGGAATAAGGCATTTGGAACTAAGGCAAGTGAGTATTAGACTAAAACAAGGGATTTGGACTAAAGAGTGGGAGTGGATTCTGGATAAACTCCATGAAATGTTGGAGTAGCCCCAGGGACATTTTTATAGGGCACATATGGTCTCAGCTGTGAGTGAGGAAGGAGCTGTTAAGGGCTAAGCTAGATCTTGAGGAGGTCTCAGTCTTTTGTGGATGAAACAGTAGCAATGCAGTCTGAGAAGTTGTATGCTCGAGGCATGCTCCAAGTAGGAGAAAGCTTTAGGATTTTAATGAGGACTTCATAGGAGTAGCATTTAAAAGATATAAGTTGGATGATTGGACGAAGGTAAGGAAAGCCTAAGAGGAGCAAATAACATGGGTCAGGGTGGATGTAAAAAGAGCATCATGTTGCATTTAAGAATCAGTGTCTAGACTGTAGAACAGTAACTTATGTGGAATATGCCAAAGGTATGTTGGGTCCTGTTAGGTACAAACTGGTTAAAGATGCAGTAATCCTAGAAGAGTAGGGCTAGGATTAGGACAATTAACTTCAGCATACACTGGCTTCAGATGGCTCATTTGGCGCTATTTGGATTGGCACTGATGTGCTAAAGTTCTGACCTATTGCATACAACACAGCTGTAGGAGTCTCAAGATGATGGTGATAACAAAGTCTCATCTCATGTAAGTGACCATTTAAGTTGGGTCAGATCTCCAGCCAGCTGTGAAGGTCCAGTGATATGACTGTTACTCTAGTTATGTAGCATGCTACAAACCTGTTCAAGCAGGCTAACTTTCAGTACAGAGCTAGAATCCTGGTGTTAGAAGTGGAGGGTGAACAAGGAAATTAAAGCCTAAACATATAAGAATTAGACAAACATTGAAAAGTCAGTGAGACGGCTGAATCTTGGTGGGCTTATACATGCTAAGGGTTAACACACAGCATAACAATGACCAGTCTAAGGGCAGGAAAACTGGACTCTACTGCCTGATCTTCCCAAAGAGTTTAACTGACTCAGGCAGAATCTGTTCCAAACCTTGGTATGGGCTGGGCACAGTGGCTCACGCTTCTAATCCTGGCACTTTGGGAGGCTGAGGCGGATAGATCACTTGAGGCCAGGAATTTGAGACCAGCCTGGCCAACATGGTGAAACCCCATCCTACTAAAAATACAAAAGTTAGCCAGGCATGGTGGTGCACATCGGTAGTCCCAGCCACTCTGGAGGCTGAGGCATGAGAATCATTTGAACCTGGGAAACGAGGTTGCAGTGAGCCAAGATCTTGCCACTGCACTCCAGGCTGTGCAACAGACCAAGACTCTCTCAAAAACAAAAAAACAAAAACAAATCAAACAAAAAAACCTTGGTATGATTGTCTTCTGAGTGAAAATCTTCGGGGTCCATAGCTGAATAGGTTGTAGTTGTATCTAATCAGTGAGTTTTCTATGTCTCGCTGAGAAGTCTGGTCTTTATCCCTTAGGTAACTGAGGATCCTTGAAGAATTTTTGGAAGTGAAGTAACCAAACATAATTTTTCTTTTGGACGATGACTCTGGTGGTAATATGGAGGACCGATCTGGAAACTTGTAATCTCATCAGGAGACTTTTTTCCTTAAGATAGGTTACATAGTAATGGTTTAAATTGACTCAATGACAATGGGCATAGAAGTAGATATAAGGGAATGCCAATTTACTCCTTTATGAATTGTTGTTTCTAACAAGATGTGGCTTATGACTCTTTGAAAAGGCAATTAATTTACCTGTGTTGTTTTGTAAACACTGCCAACCTCACATGTAAATGGAGAGAGGTAGCCTTTATATGTGTGTCCACCTTTCTCCCAAATCCACATGACAATCCTCCTATTTATTGGGTGATAGATACCCTAGACTGACATTAGTGTCTTTTTGTAAGTGCAAGGCATGGCTCTGTTAGTTCCTAATAAGGTATTGACCCTTAAGCTATCACTTATTTTTTTTCTGCATCTGAATAAAATCAAAGAATATATTTGGAACAAGGGGGTCAGTAGACATAAAAAGTCTCGGTCTGCTAGGTGAGAGCAAAGGAGCTACTTATGTTCCCAGATAGGAAGACCGAGTTCACTGAGAATAAAGATTTTTGGCAGCTTCACAGCCTTGACCAGGTGATGCAATAAAGAAATAGAAACCTATCACCAAAAATGGAGTTCAAGCAGATTGGGTTTCACGAGATGATTTGGAAAGTTTTCATCGAGCGCACATGCAGAGATTCCAATAGCAAGTGATAATGGACTCTGAGAAGCTCTTCACATGCACTGTATTTGTACTAGATAATTCACACTAGAGAGAGGCAATGAGCTAAGCTCAGTATTAATTTCAGGCCTCCTCCCTTCTTATTTAAAGGAAACCCATGCTGTTTTACAAAATTGTCAAATTTGGCTGCATTTTGTCTGTTACTGTAATTGACCTTCATCCCAAATGTCAGGTGGCTTTGTCTAAACCAAAGCAAATGGCCTTTTTTTGGAGTGTTTTCTTTCTTTCTTTGTTTATTATTATGGATCACAGTTGTGTGCTAGGTAACTATAGGGTAATATTGGCAAGCATGTCACATTTTGTCCTTTTTGCTATAGATATGCATTATAAAACTAAAGAAAAAAGACTTCATTGGCTATTCTATCTCCATCCTGACCCATGGATAATTTTTTTGTCCCATACTTCTTCCCCCAAATTAAACATTTTAATGTACTCTCAATTTACAAAATGAGAAAAAAATCTATTTACTTTCAAAGATGAAGTACCTGTCTAAGCTGCATATACGTGGAGCCTCTGGCTTAAACATTTCTATCAAAATCTATTTTGTTACCCATTCAAAACCGGAATATGCACATCTCCAAGGGCAAATAAACAGCCCAAGTGAAATTTAAAATTTTGCAATTATTGATTTTGAAGCAGCCGAAATGCTTCAGAAAATACCTAGAAACTTTTATGCTTAATTTCAGGACACTCAAGAAACAGAAAGTTATTTAAGCATGTATCAAGACGCAAAATATTGTAATAACTAGGTACAGTGGGCATCAGCTATCCAATATCTTTGGACCACCATCTTCTACATTTGTATAGTTCCCTACAGTGTAAATCACACTTTCCAAGGAAGAATCCCTTTCTCCTGAAACAAACATTTAATTTGGTTTCTATAAATAAAATACACCTGGGGAAGACTTTGCTTAGAAACTGAATCAGGCAGACAAAACTGAAAGATACGATGCCTTCCTTTCTCGGAGTGGACTGTGGCAGAGCTGTAATCACAGCTTTCTGAATCTCAAACTTCCTTATTTTGGCAGAGGCATCAGCTTCCTTGGTGGGCCAGTTGGGAGTGTGATTCTGGGAGTCATTCCCGGAACTTAGCCTAATGTCTGTTTCCTCAGCCTCACGATGACTCTGTGAGCCACCCAAATCTTGTAACAAAATCCTTTCTTCCTAAAGAAGGTAGAGTGAATTCTGTTATCACAACTAAGAATCCTAGCATATTTGATAATTGCTCTGCAGGATGGATGATACTAGCAGCCAGTTTGAGCTGGGAACGAATCAGATTATATAATAGCAAGAGCCTTGGCATGAAGGAAAATGATTTTAAAAGTGGGAGAGATCTAACTAATTTTGACTGTGTTAATTTAATCTTGTGTGGTCCACAACATGATTTGAGCATCTGAACGACCATGTCTTATATTTATTTAATATAAAATAAAGCCCCTAATGTGATTTAGAATATTGATCTTGAAAATATTTTACCATAAAAAGTAGTCTGATATTAATGTAGTATTTTCATAGTGCCATTTTATTTTTTAAATGATAATATTTAATTATATTTTCCCAGCACATTAGTTGGAACTTGGAATAGTGTGTAGAAAATAACACATGCTTTAGGCATAGAAAAAAAAATACCTACCTACACAAATGTCTTTGTTTCACTCCAGACCTCCTGATTCTGAAATTCTAGTAGTAATCCCTAGTACTTTGCAGTTTGTAATAAACTTGCAAAATTATTCTTAAGCATAATAAAGTACAAGGAGCAGTGTTTTAGAATACCAAAAGAAAATTATCTTTAAAGAATTCTAATAAATTTATTTCAAAATTGTTGAAATTTGTTAATAAATTGACCACCCAGTTTTCAGTTCAGTGACTTTCACTCTAAAAGTTAAACACTGCATAAGAAAAAGTTGTTCTTAGAGATGAAATTTAAGTAGTTTTTTTTCCAACTATCTTCTAAAATTCACAGCCAACAGTTTAAATATTCAAAACAAACAAAAGTTCAACTTTTACCCAATCATCATTTCTCAACTACTTTTTAGCCTTTTTTTCTGATCAGTATAATAAGAAAAATGATCCAGGGGAATGTGGAGCAGTGTACAATTCTCTTCCACTTAATTCAACATTTATTGAACACTTATTGTGTAGTAGTCATTGTGCTAGGGTTTAAACTTGACATAAAGTGAAATAAAGTAAATCAAAAGGCCGTGATTCTTGTGTCTGAGGAATCCAGTCCAGGAGGAGAGATGGACATGTGGACAGTTTTGGGGTGCACACATGGTGTTTAGGAACATAGATCAACGATTCTCATCCTTGGCCACACACTAGAATCCCTTGAGATGCCTTAAAAATACTAATGCCTGGCTCCCACTTCCAGAATTTCTAATGTATTGTTCTGAGATGTGTGGCCTGGACATCAAGATCTTAAAAAGCTCCCCTGCTGATTCTAATGTGCAGCAGCCAATTGAGGATTAAGATTCACAGTTGGTTCCTGGAGGAGATGATACATAAGGCAAGCCTTGACGTAGATGAAGTAGCTGTCATTAATCAATTGGTAGGTCTACATCATAATCTAACAAGTCATTTGTTCAATTTATTGTTTACCAGATTAATAAAACTATTTCAAATAAAGAAAAAGCCATAATAAAGTTATCTCCCGTCTATAAAAATAACTATCTTTATTTTTTATCTTTCCACTTTATTTTAGTATATAAGCAATTTTACCTATTTGATCTCATTTGATTTTTTTCAACAGCACCATGGGAGTGAAAAAAAAATTAGAGGGGCTTTTTTCAAGAATATGACAGTGAAGTTGCTGTGCACGTGAGGGAGTTCTGCTACCCAGATTTCACTGTGTAAGCCTGGGCTTTTTTCCAGCAGCTGTTCTTATTCTTGGGAGAAGTCAAGAAATTCAAGTTAAAATACCTTGGACTTGAATCAAAAAAAGTAGAGACATCTGGAGAAAAGAGTGATGCAAGGCTATATACTTGGGTGGAGGTCAAAGGAAAGGCAAGGGATTCAGTGGCCAAAAAGCAAGCAAAAGGGGTTGATGGGCCATGCTACCATGACTCCGCAATAACAGATAGCACTTGGGAAAATCAGCAGGTCATGTTGAAAACAACACATTCTGAGAAATGATGACAGATCCATTTATTTGCGACTTGGATTTAACTCATAAAAACGAACAAAGGAGCCTGCTGAAAGAAAATGCTCTACAGGAAGAGCCCTCAGAAAATCAGAAAATGCGAACTCAGGTTTTACTTATCAAAGAGCATGCTCTTAGTTTTAAAATAAGTACGGAATCTAAAATCCAGCTGTCAGATGCAGTTTGCATGTCATTTAGCCTTTCTTTTCACTGGTAAAGATATGTATTTTTTGCTCTATAGGATATGAATTAGCTTTATTTTCTATAACTTGTTTGTGTCATAAAATTATCAGGCTTCTTTAAAAAAATTCAGGCTGCAGAGTCATGCTAAGTCATTCATCCAGGCAGAGCCTGGATTACCTAATCAGAAACAGATGGTGCAAGGGTGGTGCCATCAGTGCACATTTAGTTGCACACACTTTCAGATTCATATAGAAATGAGTGGAATATTAAAATTGGGACACACCTATATGTCAGGAAAATAAAATAAAGTAGGAAATCATTATTTTCCATAAATGTCTCCAAAGACTTTATGGAGAAATAACAATAGAAACTATGATCTCTTCCTTCTTTCTTATGTTAATACTTTGTTTAAGATGGATTGCTTCTCTGAAATTTCCTCCCTGACTCCACCTACCCTTCCTTTATCCCTGAACTTACAGTTTCAGTTTGATGTCCCTCTTCTATGCTCTCTCAGTGCCATATAATTATTACTATTATTGGTTATCTCTCTAAATTTTAATTATATGTTTATATCTTCTCAACAATTAAATTTATCCTTTATGACAATTAGTAGCAGTGTAACTTCATAGTTAATCATAAAATTAATAAGCTTTATTTGCTTCTCCTGCTAGAAAGCTACATGTAAGCAAAGACTATTGGTTCTGTTCATCGTATAGTCCTATACCTGCTTGGATCCTGCATATATTAGACACTTAAAACATATTTGGTGAATTGAAGAATGAATGAATGTGAGTGAGCTATTCAAACACAAGGACTGGATCTTATTTCTCTCCATTCCCAATATTTAATTGTCTTCTTGGTAGAGGGACTGAGAATCCTAATACTTTCAAAGGCTAGGCAGATGACATAAATGTGTGAAGCAACCCTGCCCCTTGTAAACCTGTCAAGAGTGATGAGCTTGCAACAACCAGAAAGGCATGTATTGCTTAAAATCATGCACACTAAAAACACTTTTCTTGGTGAAAAAAAAAAAATGTCTGCAAGCTAGATTTTCAACTGGTCCACCAGTTTTATTGCTATTTCTAGGTTTTTAGTAAATATTGGTTAAAAATTAAATATTTTTGTTAATTCTTCTCTGTAGTCTTTGCTCAAAGTATTATTTCTCCATGTAACATTTTACTTTCAAAAACTCATTTATTCCTCTTTGTCATCTGTCTTGGCATATGCCTATTCTATATAGCACTACTGAAATCTATCTAAAATGCTGTCATCCCTATCAAAATATTCTTTCTCCAGGAAAGCACCAAAAAGTAGAGGTTTCAATAATGAGCTCTAGTGCCAGCTGTTCACCTGCTATGCACTAGCTATGGGAGATCTGGACAAGTATCCAATCTGTATTTCACTTTGCCCACCTGAAAATAGGGATACTTTTAGATCTCATAGGGATACTTTATGTATCTCATAATATCATTATGAGATGCATAATGCACAGTGTGTGGAACAAACTAAGTGCAATAGAAGTATTTGTTAAATAAACTTTTTAGAAAATAAAATGAATTAGATGTAATCTTGCCTCCTTTTTTTATATATATGACTTCTGTGAAATTGTTGACTATGGATTGTTCAGTACATATTATTCACATTGCTGTAAAAGTGCAGTAAATTAAAAAATTCAACTGGGGTAAAAGGATACTGAATCCAGATGAAAATCTGGCGGTGGGGGGCGGGGGTGGTGTCAGGAGAAAACATTCTGCTTTATTTTTCTCTTTAGCACTTATGACATAATACATATTTATTTATTTGCTTATCGACCTCACTCCACTAGGATATGTTCAATGAAAGCAGGTAAATTGTTTTGTTCACTGTTATACCTCCAGTGCCTTGCATATATTGAGTGCTTAGTAAGTAGTTCTTGACTGAATGAATGAATAATACATTTGAAAGGCAGTCATATTCTTAGTTGAATTTTAATGAATATTGGATAGCTTGGAGTTTGAGGTTTTCTTCTTTGGACAATATCTAAAATGGAGTTGTGATATCACTCCATTTCTCTTTTCTTTATGATATAAAGTAATTAATTTTTCCTGCTCTGAGGGCCTAGAAGATGCTGCCATGTATATATTTTTTATTTTATTTTATTTTATTTTATTTTTTAAAATTTAACTTCTATTTTAAGTGCAAGGGTACATGTTCAAGTTTGTTAAATAGGTAAACTTGTGTCATAGGGGTTTGTTTTACATATTATTTGGTTACACAGGTATTAAGCCTGGCACCCATTAATTACTTTTCCTGACCTTCTTCTTCCCTCTTTCCCTTCACCCTCTGACAGGCCCCAGTGTGTGTTGTTCTCTTCTTTGTGTCCATGTGTTCTCATCACTTAGCTCCCACTTATAAGTGAGAACATGTGGTATTTGGTTTTCCATTCCTGAGTTAGTTTGCTAAGGATAATGGTCTCCAGCTCCATTCTTTTGCTTAGGATTGCCTTGGCTGTTAAGGCTCTTTCTGGGTCCATATGAATTTTAAAATAGCTTTTCTAGTTCTGTGAAGAATGTCAGTGGTAGTTTAATAGGAATAGCATAGAATCTATAAATTGCTTTGGGCAGTATGGCCATTTTCACGACGTTGTTTCTTCCTATCCATGAGCATGGAATGTTTTTCCATTTGTTTGTGTCATCTCTGATTTCTTTGAGCAATGTTTTGGGGTTCTTCTTCAGAGATTTTTCACCTCCTTGATTAGCTATATTCTTAGGTATTTTGTGCATGTGTGCATGTGTGTGTGTGTGTGTGTCTGGCAATTGTGAATGGGATTGTATTCCTGATTTGGCTCTCGGCTTGACTGTTGTTGGTGTATAGGAATGTTAGTGATTTTTATTGTGATACATTGATTTTGTATCCTGAGACTTTGCTGAAGTTGTTTATCAGCTTAAGGAGCTTTTGGGCCAAGACTATGGGGTTTTCTAGATAGAGAATCATGTCATCTGCAAACATGGGTAGTTTGACTTCCTCTCTGCATATTTGGATGACCTTTATTTTTTTCTTTTGCCTGATTGCCCTGGGCAGGACTTACAATACTAGATTGAATAGGAGTGGTGAGAAAGGGCATCATCATCTTGTGCCATTTTTCAAAGGGAATGCTTCCAGCTTTCGCCCACTCAGTATGATTTTGGCTGTGTGTTTGTCATAGAGAGTTTTTAACATGAAGGGGTCTTGAATTTTATAGAAAGCCTTCTCTAGATTTATTGAGATAATCGTGTGGTTTTTGTCTTTAGTTCTGTTTATCTGATTAATCACATTTATTGATTTGCCTATGTTAAACCAACCTTGCATCTCAGAGATAAAGCCTACTTGATTGTGGTTGATAAGCTTTTTGATGTGCTGCTGGATTTGGTTTGCTAGTATTTTGTTGAGGATTTTTGCATCGATGTTCATCAAGGATATTGGCTTAAAGTTTCCTTTTTTGTTATGTCCCTGCCAGGTTTTGGTATTAGAATGATGCTGGTCTCATAGAATGAGTTAGGGAGGAGTCTCTCCTTTTCAATTGTTTGGAATAGTTTCAGCAGGAATGGTACTAGCTCTTCTTTGTACCTCTGGTAGAATTCAGCTGTGAATTTGTCCGGTCTTGGGCACTTTTTGGTTGGTAGGCTATTCCTTTCTGAGTCCATTTCAGAGCTGGTTATTGGTCTGTTTAGGGATTATATTTCTTCCTGGCTCAGACTTGGGAGGTTATGTGTGTCCAGGATTTTATCCATTTCTCCTAGATTTTCTAGGTCATGTGCAGAGAGATGTTCATAATATTATCTGATGTTTGTTTTTATTTCTCTGGGGTCAGTGGCAGTATCCCCTTTGTCATTTTGGATTGCATTTGTTTGGATCATCTCTCTTTTCTTCTTTATTGTCTAGCTGGTAGTCTATATATTTTAGTATTTTTTTTTAAAAAAACAGCTTCTGGGTTTGTTGATCTTTTGAATAGTTTTTCGTATCTCGATCTCCTTCAGTTCAGCTCTGATTTTGGTCATTTCTTGTCTTCTGGTAGCTTTGAGATTTGTTTGCTCTTGGCTCTCTATTTCTTTTAGTTGTGATGTTAGGTTTAACTTGAGATTTTTCTAACTTACTGATGTGGGCATTTAGTGCTATAAATTTCATTCTTAACACTACCTTAGCTGTGTCCCAGAGATTCTGATATATCTTTGTTCTTATTAGGTTCAAAGAACTTCTTAATTACTGCCATAATTTTATTATTTACCCAGAAGTCATTCAGTGGCAGGTTGTTCAATTTCCATGTAATTGTATGGTCTTGAGGATTTTGAGTGAATTTCTTAGTCTTGATTTCTAATTCGATTCTGCTATGATCCATAAGATTATTTATTATGATTTCAATTATTTTATGCTTGCTGAAGAGTATTTTACTTCTGATCATGTGATCAGTTTTAGAGTATGTGATCTATTTTAGAGTATGTGTCATGTGGCTACGAGAAGAATGTATATTCTGTTGTTTTGGGGTGGAGAATTCTGTAGATGCCTATCAAATTTATTTGATCCAGTGCTGAGTTCATGTCCTGAATATCTTTGTTAATTTTCTGTCTTGATGATCTGTCTACAATTCTCAGTGGGATGTTAAAGTCTCCCACTATTGTTGTTTTTTTTTTAATACTTCAAAGTGGATTTTATTAAGGTACATATAACTATACTATATAAGATTATCTGCAATTGACACTTCATAAATTACATTATTAAAGCATGAATCAAAATTGTTACTTTCACAATAACATTCTTAGTACATTTATTTTAAGATATACCCAAAAATGTGGTTGCTCCAACTTCAAAATTATTATTATTATTATTTTTTAATTAATTCATTTATTTATTTATTATTATTATACTTTAAGTTTTAGGGTACATGTGCACAATGTGCAGGTTAGTTACATATGTATACATGTGCCATGCTGGTGTGCTGCACCCACTAACTCGTCATCTAGCATTAGGTATATCTCCCAGTGCTATCCCTCCCCCCTCCCCCCACTCCACAACAGTCCCCAGAGTGTGATGTTCCCCTTCCTGTGTCCATGTATTCTCATTGTTCAATTCCCATCTATGAGTGAGAATATGCGGTGTTTGGTTTTTTGTCCTTGCGATAGTTTACTGAGAATGATGATTTCCAATTTCATCCATGTCCCTACAAAGGACATGAACTCATCATTTTTTATGGCTGCATAGTATTCCATGGTGTATATGTGCCACATTTTCTTAATCCAGTCTATCATTGTTGGACATTTGGGTTGGTTCCAAGTCTTTGCTATTGTGAATAATGCCGCAGTAAACATATGTGTGCATGTGTCTTTAAAGCAGCATGATTTATAGTCCTTTGGGTATATACCCAGTAATGGGATGGCTGGGTCAAATGGTATTTCTAGTTCTAGATCCCTGAGGAATTGCCACACTGACTTCCACAATGGTTGAACTAGTTTACAGTCCCACCAACAGTGTAAAAGTGTTCCTATTTCTCCACATCCTCTCCAACACTTGTTGTTTCCTGACTTTGTAATGATTGCCATTCTAACTGGTGTGAGATGGTATCTCATTGTGGTTTTGATTTGCATTTCTCTGATGGCCAGTGATGGTGAGCTTTTTTTCATGTGTTTTTTGGCTGCATAAATGTCTTCTTTTGAGAAGTGTCTGTTCATGTCCTTCGCCCACTTTTTGATGGGGTTGTTTGTTTTTTTCTTGTAAATTTGTTTGAGTTCATTGTAGATTCTGGATATTAGCCCTTTGTCAGATGAGTAGGTTGCGAAAATTTTCTCCCATTTTGTAGGTTGCCTGTTCACTCTGATGGTAGTTTCTTTTGCTGTGCAGAAGCTCTTTAGTTTAATTAGATCACATTTGTCAATTTTGGCTTTTGTTGCCATTGCTTTTGGTGTTTTAGACTTGAAGTCCTTGCCCATGCCTATGTCCTGAATGGTAATGCCTAGGTTTTCTTCTAGGGTTTTTATGGTTTTAGGTCTAAGGTTTAAGTCTTTAATCCATCTTGAATTGATTTTTGTATAAGGTGTAAGGAAGGGATCCAGTTTCAGCTTTCTACATATGGCTAGCCAGTTTTCCCAGCACCATTTATTAAATAGGGAATCCTTTCCCCATTGCTTGTTTTTCTCAGGTTTGTCAAAGACAACAGAAAGCAGGAAAGATCTAAAATTGACACCCTAACATCACAATTAAAAGATCTAGAAAAGCAAGAGCAAACACATTCAAAAGCTAGCAGAAGGCAAGAAATAACTAAAATCAGAGCAGAACTGAAGGAAATAGAGACACAAAAAACCCTTCAAAAAATTAATGAATCCAGGAGCTGGTTTTTTGAAAGGATCAACAAAATTGATAGACCACTAGCAAGACTAATAAAGAAAAAAAGAGAGAAGAATTAAAGTCTCCCACTATTGTTGTTTGAGAGTCTAAGTCTTTTTGAAGGTATCTAAGAACTTGCTTTATGAATCTGGGTGCTCCTGTGTTGGGTGCATGTATATTTAGGATAGTAAAATCTTGTTGAATTGAACCCTTTACCAAATGTAATGCCCTTCTTTGTCTTCTTTGATCTTTGTTGTTTTAAAGTCTGTTTTTTCTGAAACTAGGGTTGCAACCCCTGTTTTTTTCTGTTTTCCATCTGCTTGGTAGATTTTTCTCCATCCTTTTGTTTTGAGCTTATACATGTCATTGCATGTGAGATGAGTCTCTTGAAGACAGCATACCAATGGGTTTTTGTTCTTTATCCAGGTTGCTTGCCATTCTGTGTCTTTTAATTGGAGCAGTTAGCCCATTTACATTCAAGGTTAGTATTGATATTTGTGGAATTGATCGTGTCATCATGATTTTAGCTAGTTATTTTGCAGACTTGTTTATGTGGTTGCTTTATAGTGTCACTGATATGTGTACTTCAGTGTGCTTTTATAGTGGCTGGTAAGAGTCTTTCCTTTTTGTAGTTAATGCTTCCTTCAGGAGCTCTTGTATGCCACATCTGGTGGTAACAAATTCCCTGAGAATTTGCTTGTCTGAAAAGGATCTTATTTCTTCTTCACTTAGTGAAGCTTAGTTTAGATGGATATGAAATTCTGAGTTGGAATGTATTTTCTTTAAGAATTTGAATACTGGCCCCCAGTATCTTCTGGCTTGTAGGTTTTCTGCTGATAGGTCCACTGTTAGTCTGATGGGCTTCCCTTTGTAGGTAGGTGACCTGGTCTTTCTATCTTTCTGCCTTTAGCATTTTTTCTTTCATTTGAACCTCTGAGATTCTGATGATTATATGTCTTGAGGATAATCTTCTTGTGAAGTATCGTACTTGAGTTCTCTGCATTTCCTGAATTTGAGTGTTGGCCTCTCTAGCTAGTTTGGGGAAGTTTTCATGGATGATATCCTGAAATATGTTTTCCAAGTTGCTTATGCTGTCCTCATCTTTTTCAAAGACACCAATGAGTCACAGATTTGGTCTCTTTACATAATTCCATATTTCTCAGAGGTTTGCTTCATTGAAACATGTTTTCCAAGTTGCTTATGCTGTCCTTGTCTCTTCCAAAGACACCAGTGAGTCATAAATTTGGTCTCTTTATGTAATCTCATATTTCTTAGAGATTTTCTTCATTCTTTTTTATTTTTTTCTCTATTCTTATATAATTGTCTTATTTTTGAATGCCAGTCTTCAAACTCTGAAATTCTTTCTTCTGCTTGGTCTATTCTATTAATACTTGTGATTGCATTATGAAATTCCTGTAGTGTGCTTTTCAGCTCATCAAATCAGTTACATTTTTTTCCTATACTGGCTATTTTGTCTGTCAGCTCCTGAATTGTTTTATCATGATTTTTAACTTCCTTGAATTGGATTTCAATGTACTCCTGTAGCTCAGTGATCTTTATTCCTATCCATATTCTGAATGCTATTTCTGTCATTTCCACCATCTCAGCCCAGTTCAGAATCCTTGTTGGAGAGGTGATGTAGTTGTTTGAAGGAAATAAGGCATTCTGGCTGAGTTTTCAAGGTCCTTGCACTGATTATTTCTCAGCTTGTGGGCTTATTTACCTTCAATCTTTGAGGCTGCTGACCTTTGGATTTTTTTAAAAATCTTTTATCCTATCTGATGATCTTCAGGATTTGATTGTCATATAAGGTGGATTCAGCTGACAGGCTTCATTTCTGGAAAATTTTAGGGGCCAACCCTCAGCTCCTAACTCCTGGATTAAGCGTTCTTACTCTGGGAGACTTGTATTGGTCCTCAACTTTGTTCTCTTGCTCCTTGAAATTAGGAATCCACTGCACTTGGGGAGCTAAGGTGTTCCCAGTGTTGGGTTGGTTGCTACACTCCAATGGGTGGTGTCAGGCAAAGTGTTTCATAGTGCAGTGACAGCAGGCTCTGTCCACATTAGCCTGTGCCAATAACAGCAGTAGTGGCAGCTGATGCAGAGTGCTAGCAGGTGCCTGGGTGCCCTCCTCTCACTCAGGGGCAGGGCACTGGTAGGCACAGGTCTAGTTTCCTTCTCTATGCCCTGCAGGCAGGGATGTTCACTCAGCATAGGGGAGGATCCATTGTTCTCTGTGTAGTGTTAGTGCAAGGGCAGAGCACTGGTGGAAGTGGGGTTGGCTGGCTCTGTGCCTTCCAAGGCTCAGTCTCCAATGGAAGTCTGTGGGTGATGTGGGAATGGACTGCATTCCTGCCCACTGGTGGGGCAAGGAAAACAAAACCCACCTGCACAGATATGCACCAGCAAAGTGATGTGGGAAGTTGCCATGAGCTGGGAGGAAGCTGCAGTGTGGGGAAGGAGCAGGTGGGCTGGTGCGTAGGGGCTGCCTTGCTAGAGCTCTCTGCTGGTCAGTCACAGTCTGCAAGTGCAAAAGCTATGGCGTGGGCTCCTCAAGCACCTAGAACTGCCCTGCAAGCAGGCATGGCCAGGGTGGGGCCTGGGAAAGGCCAGCACACCAAAGAATGCTCAGGTCACACTGGCCCTGTCTGATGGGCAAGACCACCCTGCAGAGTTCAGGTCTGATAGTTCCCCTAGGTCTAAAGCCTTCTATAGGAACAAGTCAAGCTTAGAGGGATGGTCACCCCTGGCTGTCCTCTGCTACAGATGCTCCCACACCAAACTCTCTGGGCCCTACATCTGCTGGCTTCCTGCCCCATCACTTCACTAAGCAGCTCTCTGCCAACCTGAGTGTCTGTCGTGGTTAAGGGAACTTCTCCTGCTGGGATACAAGAAGCCCATGGTGAGAGGGGGTTTTTCCTTGACAGTTCAACTCACCCATTCCCCTGGAGCCACTGGGGACTGGGAATAAGTCCTCATGTATGGTAGGCCCATGCAGGCTTCCCAGCTTTCTCCCCCTTCAGCTCAGCTTCTGTGTCTTCCCTCTATCCACTCTCAGATCCTTCCCTCTGAAGATCTATTAGGAGCATGCCAGTTGTCTCAGTCCCTCAGTGGGAGCTGTTCCACTTGGTTGTGTCTAGTCAGCTATCTTGCCCTCCTTCTCAATTATTTTTAACAGCATCATTGAAGTATAGTAAAAATACAATAAACTAAAGGGATTTAAAGTGCAATTTTATAAGTTTTGTCATATGTATACACCTGTGAAACCATCACTGCAAGCAGGGTAGTGAACATAATGTATTCATTATTCCCAAATGTTGCCTTGTGCCCTTATGTAATTTCTTTATCCTTTCTCTCCTGTCCCACACTCCCCAGGAAATCATTGCTCTGCTTTCTGTCGCTATAGATTAGTTTCCATTTCTTATAGTTTTATATAAATGAGTAATTCAGTATCTATTCTTTTTTCTTTCTGATATTTTCACTCACCTTAGTTAGAGATGTATCCATGTTGTTGCGTGTATCAATAGTTTATCCATGTTGTTGCATGTATCCATGTTGTTGCACATGTCATTCCTTCTTATTATTAATTAATATTTAATTGTATGGATCATTCATAATTTGTTCACTCATTCACCTGTTTTTGAACATATAATTGTTTCCAGTTTTGAGTTATTATGGGTAAAGCTGCAGTCAACATCTTATACCAGTCTTTGCATGAATATATTTCTTCTTTTCTTTTGGGTAAATGTGTAGGAGTAAAATGACTAGATCATATTGTAACATTTTACATTTCTACAAGTTCTTCCACGTCCTTACCAATACTTGGTATGGTCAGTCTTTTTAATTTCAGCCATTTAATAGGTATGCAGTGGTATCTCATGAAGGTTATGATTTACATTTTCCTAATGAATAATTATGTTGAGCATATTTTTATAATTTTACTTGACAAATATATGTCTTCTTTGGTGAGATGCTTCTTATAATCCTTTGCCCATTCAAAAAACTGGGTAATTTTTCTTTTTGTTATTTAATTTTGAGAGATCTTTATAGACGCTGAATATAAGACTTTTATCAGATATTTGATTTGCAAATATTCTGTCCTCGTTTGTGTCTTGTCTTTTTATGTACTTCACAGTGCCTTTGAGAAGCAGACATTTTAAGTTTTGATGAAGTCCAAATTATCATTTTTGATTTTTTCATGGATTATGCTTTTGATGTCATGTTTAAGAAATATTCGAATGTGGTGTGTCTCATGGCAGCAAAGATGTTTTTGATAAGCAAGTATTGGTTTCAAAGAGGCAATGGGAAGCAAGAAGGTCAAGAACACAATCCTGAGATATAAAGGCATGAAAGGATCAATAATACTCAATTTAGAGGTTTTAATAGAAATCTAGTTTTAAGTGAAGAGAATAGCTACTACCTATAGTTGCTCATTGGAAATTTCTAGTATGCTTTAGCCAAATCCCAATGCCTGATGGACCCCACCCCCAATACATTTAACTATAATATCTATGAATCAAATGCAGGCATTATTATTTTAAATTTCTCCAGACAATTCATATATGTAACCAGGATTGAGTATTATTGAGTTGAAGCAAAAAGATAAAGGAATATTCTGGAGTTACATCAGCAAGATCATGGAATAAGAAGTCCCAGAACTCATTCTCCCACATTTAACAACAAAATGCTAAACAAAATCCCTTTATAAGAGGTTTAGAATATAGTTAAAAGTTTGCAGTATTCCAGATGAGCACAAAGCTGAGAACCTATCAACATGGGTAAAAAGAACAGTTTCACTTTACCCATGCCAGTCCCTCCCACAAGACAGCACAGTTCAGTGTCAAGAGAGCTCATCTGGCCCATGACTTCTCTCTTGAGGGGAAATAGTGAGGCTTCATGTCACTCTTCTTTCAGTGTGCTGTCAAAGAATCTGGTTTTTGTCTCACCTCATATATAGTGTTTATGGATCTGCCATAGCTCAGATGCCTTTGGGAAGTTAAGAACAAAGAAAAGCAGAGAGCTTCTTGCTATGACTGGTACAGCACTGTGAGATTGAGAGAAAGTGCAGAACTGAGGAGTTTTCCATAGCAGGAAGAAAGAAGCAGAGTACATGAACATCTATGGAAACAGTTTAAGAGGCTCCCAGAATCTCTAGCAATAAAATCTGGTTGATGAAAATCTTATCTAAGTTAGTCTATGAACACTGGGAAAGGTGGCTGATAACTCTAATGTGCAGACACCAAGGCAAAGCTACAAGGATCATGATGAATCAGGGAAATGTACCATGACTAAAGGAACAAAATAAATCTTCAGTAAGCATCTCTTAAGAAGTGGAGATCTATGAATAGCCTAACAAAGAATTAAAAATAATCATTTTAAATAAGCTCATTAAGTTATAAAAGAATACAGACAGACAACTAAACAAAATCAGGAAACTAACACATGAACAAAATGAGAATATTAACAAGGAGATAAAAACCACAAGTAGAAAACCAAACAGAAATTCAAGAGCTAAAGAATGCAAAAACTGAATTGAAAAATTAAATAGCTTCAAAAGCAGACTTCAGGAAATAAAAGAATAGCAAACCCAAAGACAAATCATGTAAAATTATCTGTCAGCGAATCAAAAATAGAAAATGAAATGCAAAAGAGTAAAGAAAGCCTAAGGGACTTATAAGAGACTATAAAAAGAAGCAATATGCATTATGGGGGACTCAGAAGGAGAAGAGAGATAGAAGAACAAAATTGATTTTTTAAAAAATGACACGTTTTAGTAAGAGATCTGGGAAATAAAAACAAAACAAAACAAAAACAAACAAACAAAAAAAGAAATAATGCCTGAAAACTTCCAGAATCTGGAAATGTAAATGGACAACCAGATTCATGAAGCCCAAAGAATGCAAAAAATAGTGAACCCAAAGAAGTGTACACAGAGACACATAGGAATCAAATTATCAAAATTCAAAGACAAGGAGAATTACGAAGGGAACAAAAGAAAAGTGATTTGCCATGTACAATGGAAACACCCTCAAGACTAGTAGTGGATTTACCAACAGAAGCCTTGCAGGCCAGGAGAGAGTAAGATGATGTATTCAAGTTGCTAGAAGAAAAAACAAACAAAAATCTATCAACCAGAATACCATATTAAGCAAAACTATCCTTCCAAAATGAGAAAAAGATAAAGACATTTTGAGGCAAACAAAACCTGAGAGTTCCTCACTACTATCACTGTCTTATAAGAAATATGAAAGGGAATTTTTCAAGTTGAAATGAAAGGATGCTAAATAGCAACACAGAAACATAAGAAAATGTAAAACTTATGGTAAATGTAAATATATAGACAAATACAGAATATCATGATATAATGTTGGTATGTAAATTGCTTTTAATTTTAGTATAAAAGCAAAAGACAAAAGTATTAAGAATAACTATAAATACAAAATTTGTTAATGGATATACATAAAAAAGATGTAAATTGTTTCATTTATAACATAAAGTGTAGGGGGTTGCTAAAGTGTAGGTCTTTTGTATTCCATTATATTAGGTTGGTGCAAAAGTAATTGTGGTTTTGGACCATGGATTTTAAGTCATTATAACTAGGCTCAAACACATCTTTATTAATCAAAATAGGAACCATTACAATCAACACATTTTTGCCAATGACAAATAAGTTTGTTTATTCCCGTAGCATAAAATTCTGTGCTTTGGGATTTGACGAACTCTTGGAAACCATTTTCTGCATCATGCTCATTGTGGAAATGTTTTCCCTGCAAAATGTTTTAGAGATGCTTGAAGAAGTGGTAGTTGGTTGACAAGAAGTCAGGTGAACATGGCGGATGGGGCAAAATTTCATAGCCCAATTCTTTCAACTTTTGAAATGTTGGCTATGCAATGTGTGGTCAGGCATTGTCATGGAGGAGAATTGGGCCCTTTCTGTTGACCAACGCTGGCTGCAAGCATTGCAGTTTTTGGTGCATCTCATTGATTTGCTGAGCATATTTCTCAGATGTAATGGTTTTGACAGGGTTCAGAAACCTGTAGTGCATCAGACTAGCAGCAGACCAGCAACCAGTGACCATAACCTTTTTTTGGTGCAAGTTTGGCTTTAAGAAGTGCTTTGGAGCTTCTTCTTGATTCAACCACTGAGCTGATCACTGCTGGTTGTATAAAATCCACTTTTCATCGCACATCACAATCCAACCAAGAAATGGTGCCTTGTTGTTGCATAGAATAAGAGAAGATGACACTTCAATATGACAATTTTTATCATTTTCGTTCAGCTCATGAGGCACCCACTTCTTGAGCTTTTTCACCTTTCCAATTTGCTTCAAATGCTGAACAACCATAGAGTGGTCGATACTGAGTTCTTCAGCAACTTCTTGTGTAGTTGTAAGAGGATCAGCTTTGATGATTGCTTTCTGTTGGTCATTGGCAACTTCCAGTGGCCAGCCACTATGCTTCTCATCTTCAAGGCTGTCATGTCCTTTGCAAAACTTCTTGAACCACCACTTCATTGTACATTTCTTAGCAGCTCCTGGGCCAAATGTGTTGTTGATGTTGCGTGTTGTCTCTGCTGCTTTACGGACCATTTTGAACTTGAATAAGAAAATTGCTCAAATTTGCTTTTTGTCTAACATCATTTCCATGGTCTAAATTAAATATAAAATAAACAGCAAGTAATAACTCATTAACAAAAAAGAAAAGCAAGAAATGCACATTAAAACAACGGATAACATAACCATATTTACTTAAAAATGTATTCCAATATCAAATGGCAAATTTCAACAATGCAAAAACTGCAATTACATTTGCACAAACCTAATAGTTATGTTTCTGATGAGCTTAGACTGTTATACCTATAAGATGTTTTATGTAAGCTTCATGGTAACCACAAAGAAAATATCTATAGAAAATAAACAAAATAATTAACCAGGTAGGGTGACATGAGCCTGTAATCCTAGCTACTCAGGAGGCTGGGGCAGGAGAATCACTTGAACCTGGGAGGCGGAGGTTGCAGTGAGCTGAGACTGAGATGGTGTCACTGCACTCCAGCCTGGGCAACAGAGTGTGACTCTATCTAAAAAAAAGAAAAAAAAAAAAAAAAAGGAAAGAAAGAAAGGAAGGAAAGGAAGGAACGAAGGGAGGGAGGAAAATAGGGAAAGGAATCAAAGGCTATCACTAAAAAATCACCAATGGAACACAAAAGAAGACAGCAAGAGAAGAAAAGAAAAATGAAAGAACTACAGGACACTTAAAAATTTAACAAAATGGCAATAGTGAATCCTTCTGTATTAATAATTACTTTAAATGTAAATAGATTCAGCTGTGTAGTTGAAAGATATAGTAACTGAAGCCAAATGGATTAAAAAAAAAAAAGACCCAACTATATGCAGTCTATAATAGACACACTTTAGATTTAACGACACACATAGGCTTAAAAGGGGAAGGTTGAAAAAAGATATTCCATATAAATGATTAACAAAAGAGATTATCTATTGCCTCTAAGGGTGGCTGCCTTTGAGACTTCATCTACATAATAAGAACCTTCATCTGCACAACCATTCATCTTAACTCAGACACTCCTTTCTATTGTTTTCAGGTCTTTAAATAATGACTCCATCAACCAATTGCCAATCAGAAAACCTCTGAATCCACCTATGACCTGGAAGTCCCTGTTTTGAGTTGTTCCACCTTTCTGAACCAAACCAATGTATACCCTACATGTATTGATTGATGTCTTATGTCTCCATGAAACACATAAAATTAAGCTGTAACCCAATCACGTTGGGCACATGTTTTCAGGACCTATGTCTTATACTTATATAAAACAAAATATACTTTAAGTGGAAAGATCCAAAATTGACACCCTAACATCACAATTAAAAGAACTAGAAAAGCAAGAGCAAACACATTCAAAAGCTAGCAGAAGGCAAGAAATAACTAAAATCAGGGCAGAACCGAAGGAAATAGAGACAAAAAAAACCCTTCAAAAAATTAATGAATCCAGGAGCTGGTTTTTTGAAAGGATCAACAAAATTGATAGACCGCTAGCAAGACTAATAAAGAAAAAAAGAGAGAAGAATCAAATAGACGCAATAAAAAATGATAAAGGGGATATCACCACCGATCCCACAGAAATACAAACTACCATCAGAGAATACTACAAACACCTCTACGCAAATAAACTAGAAAATCTAGAAGAAATGGATAAATTCCTCGACACATACACTCTCCCAAGACTAAATGAGGAAGAAGTTGAATCTCTGAATAGACCAATAACAGGATCTGAAATTGTGGCAATAATCAATAGCTTACCAACGAAAAAGAGTCCAGGACCAGATGGATTCACAGCCGAATTCTATGAGAGGTACAAGGAGGAACTGGTACCATTCCTTCTGAAACTATTCCAATCAATAGAAAAAGAGGGAATCCTCCCTAACTCATTTTATGAGGCCAGCATCATCCTGATACCAAAGCCGGGCAGAGACACAACCAAAAAAGAGAATTTTAGACCAATATCCTTGATGAACATTGTTGCAAAAATCCTTAATAAAATACTGGCAAACCGAATCCAGCAGCACATCAAAAAGCTTATCCACCATGATCAAGTGGGCTTCATCCCTGGGATGCAAGGCTGGTTCAATATATGCAAATCAATAAATGTAATCCAGCATATAAACAGAACCAAAGACAAAAACCACATGATTATCTCAATAGATGCAGACAAGGCCTTTGACAAAATTCAACAACACTTCATGCTAAAAACTCTCAATAAATTAGGTATTGATGGGACGTATCTTGAAATAATAAGGGCTATCTATGAAAAACCCACAGCCAATATCATACTGAATGGACAAAAACTGGAAGCATTCCCTTTCAAAACTGGCACAAGACAGGGATGCCCTCTCTCACCACTCCTATTCAACATAGTGTTGGAAGTTCTGGCCAGGGCAATTAGGCAGGAGAAGGAAATAAAGGGTATTCAATTAGGAAAAGAGGAAGTCAAATTGTCCCTGTTTGCAGATGACATGATTGTATATCTAGAAAACCCCATTGTCTCAGCCCAAAATCTCCTTAAGCTGATAAGCAACTTCAGCAAAGTTTCAGGATACAAAATCAATGTACAAAAATCACAAGCATTCTTATACACCAATAACAGACAAACAGAGAGCCAAATCATGAGTGAACTCCCATTCACAATTGCTTCAAAGAGAATAAAATACTTAGGAATCCAGCTTACAAGGGACATGAAGGACCTCTTCAAGGAGAACTACAAACCACTGCTCAATGAAATAGAAGAGGATACAAACAAATGGAAGAACATTCCATGCTCATGGGTAGGAAGAATCAACATCACGAAAATGGCCATACTGCCCAAGGTAATTTATAGATTCAATGCCATCCCCATCAAGCTACCAATGACTTTCTTCAAAGAATTGGAAAAAACTACTTTAAAGTTCATATGGAACCAAAAAAGAGCCCGCATCACCAAGTCAATCCTAAGCCAAAAGAACAAAGCTGGAGGCATCACGCTACCTGACTTCAAACTATACTACAAGGCTACAGTAACCAAAACAGCATGGTACTGGTACCAAAACAGAGATATAGATCAATGGAACAGAACAGAGCCCTCAGAAATAACGCCGCATATCTACAACTATCTGATCTTTGACAAACCTGAGAAAAACAAGCAATGGGGAAAGGATTCCCTATTTAATAAATGGTGCTGGGAAAACTGGCTAGCCATATGTAGAAAGCTGAAACTGGATCCCTTCCTTACACCTTACACAAAAATTAATTCAAGATGGATTAAAGACTTAAACGTTAGACCTAAAACCATAAAAACCCTAGAAGAAAACCTAGTCATTACCATTCAGGACATAGGCATGGGCAAGGACTTCATGTTTAAAACACCAAAAGCAATGGCAACAAAAGCCAAAATTGACAAATGTGATCTAATTAAACTAAAGAGCTTCTGCACAGCAAAAGAAACTACCATCAGAGTGAACAGGCAACCTACAAAATGGGAGAAAATTTTTGCAACCTACTCATCTGACAAAGGGCTAATATCCAGAATCTACAATGAACTCAAACAAATTTACAAGAAAAAAACAAACAACCCCATCAAAAAGTGGGCGAAGGACATGAACAGACACTTCTCAAAATAAGACATTTATGCAGCCAAAAGACACATGAAAAAATGCTCATCATCACTGGCCATCAGAGAAATGCAAATCAAAACCACAATGAGATACCATCTCACACCAGTTAGAATGGCAATCATTACAAAGTCAGGAAACAACAGGTGCTAGAGAGGATGTGGAGAAATAGGAACACTTTTACACTGTTGGTGGGACTGTAAACTAGTTCAACCATTGTGGAAGTCAGTGTGGCGATTCCTCAGGGATCTAGAACTAGAAATACCATTTGACCCAGCCATCCCATTACTGGGTATATACCCAAAGGACTATAAATCATGCTGCTATAAAGACACATGCACACGTATGTTTATTGCGGCACTACTCACAATAGCAAAGACTTGGAACCAACCCAAATGTCCAACAATGATAGACTGGATTAAGAAAATGTGGCACATATACACCATGGAATACTATGCAGCCGTAAAAAATGATGAGTTCATGTCCTTTGTAGGGACATGGATGAAATTAGAAATCATCATTCTCAGTAAACTATTGCAAGGACAAAAAACCAAACACCGCATATTCTCACTCATAGATGGGAATTGAAAAATGAGAACACATGGACACAGGAAGGGGAACATCACACTCTGGGGACTGTTGTGGGGTGGGGGGAGAGGGTAGGGATAGCATTAGGAGATATACCTAATGCTAAATGACGAGTTAATGGGTGCAGCACACCAGCATGGCACATGTATACATATGTAACTAACCTGCACATTGTGCACATGTACCCTAAAACTTAAAGTATAATAATAATAAAAAATAAAAATAAAAAAATAAAAAATTAAAAAAAATAAAAATAAAATAAAATAAATAAAAATAAAAATAAAAAGGATCACAAGAGACTCCAATTAACAGTTATACACCAATAATTTGGATGGTGTTCAAGTTAAATGTATAAGAGTTACAGGAAATAAAAACAACATACAAAAATTATTTGCATTTCTATATAACAACATTAAACTCTCTGAAAAGGAAATGAAGAAAATGATTATATTGATGAAAAAGCCAAACTGTGTAAAATATCTAAAGAGATTTATTCTGAGCCAAATATCAGTGAACAAGGCCCAAGACATAGTCTCAAGAGGTCCTGAAAACATGTGCCCAAGGTGGTTGGGTTACAGGTTAATTGTATATGTTTCATGGAGACATAAGACATCAATCAATACCTGTAGGATATACATTTTTTTTGGTTCAGAAAGGTGGAAGAACTCAAAACAGGGACTTCCAGGTCATAGGCGGATTCAAAGATTTTCTGATTGGCAATTGGTTGAAAGAGTCATTATTTAAAGACCTGGAATCAATAGAAAGGAGTGTCTGGGTTAAGATGAGTGGTTGTGGAGATGAAGGTTCTTATTATGTAGATGAAGTCTCAAAGGCAGCCACCCTTAGAGGCAATAGATGGCAAATATTTTCTAATTCAGTCCTTTTAAGGGTGGTAGATTCTCAACTAATCTCCTCCGGCTCAGAAAGAGACCTGCAGTTCTCTACAAAATGTAAATTTCCCCCACGAGAGAGCTTTGCCAGGCCACTTCAACATATGTCAAATAAGTATATTTTGAGATTAAATACTCAATTTCCTTTAGGGCCTGCTATTTGTCATGTGATGCTCTGCTAGGATCGGATTGAATTTGGTATCATATTGCTACAAATAATCAGGTTGTCAGTGTAAAGATCTCTGTTTTAATGTTAATGCTGGTCATTTGTGCCTGAATTCCAAAGGAAGGAGAGTATAATGAGGCATAACTGAACCCCCTTCCCATCATGGCCTGAACTAGTTTTTCAGATTTTTTTTGGAATCTTCTTGGCCAAGAGAAAGGGTCCATTCAGTCAGTTGGGGGGCTTAAATTTTTACTTTTGGTTTATAATTCTATTTATGATAGCATCAAGAATAATAAAATACTTAGGCATAAACTTAAATGAAGAAGTGAAAGACCTGTACATTGAAAACTACAAAAAAATGCTGAAAGAAATTAAAGAAAACCAAATAAATGGAAAAACACCCCATGTTAAAACCTATCAAATTTTATATATTAATTATGTGCAGCTTTTTGTGCATAACAATTACACCTTAATAAAGCTGTTAAAATAAAGGGAACATTCTGAACAATAGTAGAGGATTAAGAGAGTTGGCTGACTGCAAAGGAGAAGATTCAAGAGTTTCAGAATTCAGTGGAGAAATAAGAACTGGATCAAGGGTCAGCAAAGTCAGTTAAATGAAATAAAGAAAACATATAGAATAAGCTTTGAGATCACAACACCTTTGAGGAGATGAATACAGTAGCTGATGACCAAATGATGTAATTACCCTGGGATGGAGTGATGCTAGTGCCCGTTCACCTCTTTGTTGGCAACCGGAGACACTGTCAGTTGGATTGGATGATCACTATGCTTAAAATGTTTCTAGCATTATTACTGCAACTGCTGTGACTCTAAGGACAGACATGACAACAATTACAAAATGCCTCTTGAATCTTTTCATTTTCCTCCACATTTACCATTTTATTCTACTCCAGGCCACCATCATCTCTTACCTGGAACGTTGCAATAGCCTCCAGACTGTAATCTCTGCTTTTGATCTTCCCTAGTTCTAGGATAATTCACCAAAAGTCAACCAAATGTGGGATGGTTTATTTGCTAACTCTCTTTGAAGTATTTATTTCTTTTTTTATTCTTTTTTTTACCATTTACAGTTATGTTCACCTTGTCTCTGCCTCAGCTTCCTGGTGCAACTGTAGCCAGAAGAGGAGAGAGAAGAGGACATTGGAGTGCACGAGAAGAATATATTATAAAAGAATATTGCTTGATTAAAAAGCATTTTTTACTGGATAATACTTCTTAATTTAGAAAAATACCAAGGAGGGCTTTAAAATTGTATCTACACATTGTGGATCTCTTTCACAGTCTCTGCACTTTCCCCACATTCCCTGTGAATTTTTTGTTTCTTCTTCCTTTTGACTTATTTTTTTTTTTTACAGACAGGGTCTTGCTCTGTCACCCAAGCCAAACTGCAGAAACATGACCATAGCTCACTTTAACCCCCAACTCCTGGACTCAAGTGATCCTCCAGCCTCAGCCTCTGGAGTAGCTGGGACTATAGGCACACACCACCACAACCAGCTAATTAAAAAACAAAATGTAGAAACAGGATCTCACACTGTTGCCCAGGCTGGGCTCCACTCTTGGCCTCAAGCAATCCTCCTGCCTTGGCCTCCCAAAGTGCTGGGATTATAAACATGGGCCACCATGCCCAGCCTCTTCATCCTCTTTAAATAGTATTGTTATCACAAATGCATGTATGCCTAAAGTAGCTGTATATTTAGTTGAGCTTGTTTTACATTTCTACACACATAATATTGTTACTGAAAAAGCAGAGGTTCGGTTTAGGTCCTGTCGCTTGCCACACAGAAAGCCATTCACTGAGATGCCAATTATTGACAAGGAAGAACGCTTTAATTGGATGCTGCCGCTGACGAGATGGGAGCTCAGTCTCAAATCCATCTGCCTGACTGACTAAAACTATGGGTTTATATAGTAGGGAACAAATGCAACAATATGCAAGAAACAAGAACTAGGGAGGGGCAAGCAAGCAATCATAATGAATGAAGGATCTGGCATCTCATTGTCTGGATGTGGTGCTCTGGTGAGCTTCAGTTCTTTGGTACTTTGAGAGGCTTGAAGGTCATTTACTGAGGAAGGAACTCAGATCGAACAGATGTAAGGTTCAAGCTTTAAGACCATAAGAGTCAATTTCTATGTTTACCCAAACAACTATCTATGGGACTATTGGGTTGTTTTCAGCATTATATTGTATGTAGTCTTCTGAGTCTTGATGATTTTTATTGAACATAGGCTTCTGCGGTTTATATATGTTACTGCACACAGTAGAAATTTTTTTCATTTTCACTGTCATACAATATTCAAATATGTGACAGCACCACAATTTTTCATCTATTTCCTGTTAGACTCTGGGTGACTTTCAGTTTTCTGATAATATAAAGAGTACTGGTATACACATTTTACATATCTTGCAGTCATTTGAATAGTTTTTCTAGGATATATACCTAGGAGTGGAATTTCTGAGTTATGGTATATACAATGCTCAACTTTGGAAAATAATGATACACAGTTTACCAATGCAGTTGTACACATTTATGCTTTCAAAAGCAATGTATATAAATTACTCACTCCAACACTAGATGTAGTCAGACTTCTTAATTTTTGCCTATCTCTCAGATATAAAGTTTCTCATTCTTAATATTCATTTCTCTGATTGCAAATGAGAGGAAGCATCTTGTATATCTAGCAATTCCTTATCCATGAAATATATATTTGTGTCAGTTTATCTATTAATTTGTTTGTTTTTATTATTAATTTGTGGGAATTCTTTACAAATACTTAATTTGAACTCTTTGTTAATAATGTATGTTACAAATATTTTCCCTTGGTTTATGGCTGGTTTTTTACAATCTTTCTTTCACTGACATATCTTTTGCTGAACATATGTTCTTAATTTTAATGTAGTTAAGTTTATCATATTCTTTTGATTAGTGATTTTTGTATTTTATGTAAAAAGCCTTCCTTAACCAAAGGTCAGAAAGATATTCTCCTATATTTTCAACTTAATGCTGTTTTTCACATTGAATTTCTTACCTACCTAGATTTTTAAAAAATATTTTCCTTTCTGGATAATGACAATCATACTACCATTTACTGATGAGTCCCTTTCTCTACTGACCTGCAATACGTATTTGTCATATATGAATGTTTCATAAATATTGGGTCTATCTTATATTTAATTTCATTTCATTGGTGAAGTTTTCTTTCTCTGACTTGCTCAGTGTCCTACTTTGTAGTTTTAAAATAATATATCTAAATATCTGCAGGGTAATTTACTTATTTTCTTCTTTTGTTTCAGAATGTCTTGGTTATTCTTGATCCTTTGCTCTTTCACATAAACTTTATTATTAGCTTGTCAAGTTCCACTTGACTCCACTCTAGATTTGGCAAGCATTAATGTCCTTACAGTTTTAAGTCTTCTTATCCCAAAACTCATGTCTGTCTCCAAGTTCTTTTTTTTTTCTTACATTTCTTTAGCAGATTTTTATAATTTTCTGCATATAGGTACTGTCTACATTTCATTAGATTTATTCTCAGGTTTTATATAGTTTTCATTGCTGCTATGAAAATGTCACCTTTTAAAATTATATTTCCTACTGAGGACATATATTGATTTTTGCCTATTGATCTTATAGCTAGCTCTCTTGCTAAACACCCTTATGATTTCTGATTATTTGTCTTTGGATGTATTAGTCCATTTTCATACTGCTATGAAGAAACACCTGAGACTGGGTAATTTATAAAGAAAAAGAGGTTTAATGGACTCAGAGTTCCACATGGCTAAGGAGGCCTCACAGTCATGGAGGAAGGCAAAGGAGGAGAAAGGCAAGTCTTACAAGGCAGCAGGCAAGAGAGTATATGCAGAGGAACTTCTTTTTATAAAACCAATAGATCTCATGAGACTTATTTACTAACATAGAATGGCAGAGGATAACCCAACCCCATGATTCAATTACCTCCCACTGGGTCTCTCCTATGACACCTGGGGATTATGAAAGCTACAATTCAAGATGAGATTTGGTTGGAGACACAGGCAAACTATATCATTACACCCCTTGCCCCTCCCAAATCTCATGTCCTCACAATTCAAAATACAATTATGCCCTTCCAACAGTCCCCCAGAGTCTTAACTCATTTGAGCATTAACTCCAAAGTCCAAGTCCAAAGCCTATAAAATCAAAACAAGTTAGTTACTTCCTGGATACAATGAGGGTACAGGTATTGGGTAAATAGACCTGTTACAAATGGAAGAAATTAGCCAAACCAAAGGGGCAACAGGCTCCATGCAAGTCCAAAATCCATCTGGGCAGTAAAATCTTAAAGCTCCAAAATGATCTCCTTTGACTCCATGTCTCACATCCAGGTCACACTGATGTAAGAGGTGGGGTCCCACAGCCTTGGGAAGCTCCACCCTTGTGGCTTTGCAGGTTATAACCCCACTCCTGGATGGTTTCACGAGCTGGCATTGAGTGTCTGCAGCTTTTCCAGGTGCATGCATGGTGCAAGCTGTTGGTGAATCTACCATTGTGAGGTCTGGAGAATGGTGACCCTCTTCTCACAGCTTCACTAGGCAGTGCACCAGTGGGGACTCGGTGTGGGGACTCCCATCCCACATTTCCCTTCTGCACTGTCCTAGCAGAGCTTCTCCCTGAGGGTTCCTCCTGTGCAACACACCTCTGCCTGGACATCCGGCCATTTCTATACATCCTCTGAAATCTTGGAGGAGGTTCCCAAACCTAAGTTCTTGATTTCTGTGTACCCACAGGGCCAACATGACGTGTAAGCCACCAAGGCTTGGGGTCTGCACCCTCTGAAGCAACAGCCTGAGCTGTACATTGGTCCCCTTAAGGCATGGGTGGGACACAGGGCACCAAGTCTTGAGACTATACAAACCAGCAAGGCCCTGGGCCTGGCCCATGAAACCATATTTTCCTCCTAGGCCTACAGACCTGTGATGGGAGGAGATGCTGTGAAGACCTCTGACATGCCTTAGAGGCATTTTCCCCAGTGCCTTGGCAATTAATAGTTGCTTTTAAGAGCACCAAAGTCACCTCTTGCATGCTTTGCTGCTTAGAAATTTCTTCCACCAGATACCCTAAATCATCCCTCTCAAGTTCAAAATTCTACAGATCTCTAAGACAGGGAGAAAAATGCCACCAGTTTCTTTGCTAAAGCATGAGAAGAATCACATTTGTCCCAGTTCCCAGTAAGTTCCTTATGTCCATCTGAGACTACCTCAGCCTGGAATTCATCGGCCATATCACTATCAGCATTTTGGTCAAAACCATTCAACAAGTCTCTAGGAAGCTTCAAACTTTCCCACATCTCCCTGTCTTCTTCTAAGCCTTCCAAACTGTTCCAACCTCTGCCTGTTCCAAGGTTGCTTCCACATTTTCTGGTATCTTAATAGCAGTACCCCATTCTACCAGTACCAATTTGCTGTATTAGTCCATTTTCATACTGCTATGAAGATATATCTGAGACTGGGTAATTTATAAAGAAAAAGAAATTTAATGGACTTACAGTTCCACATGGCTTGGAAGACCTCACAATCATGGCAGAAGGCAAAGGAGAAGCAACCACATCTTACATGATGGCAGGCAAGAGAGTGTGTGCAGGGGAACTGCCCTTTATAAAACCATGAGATCTCATGAGACTGTTTCACTATCACAACAACAGCATGGGGAAACCAGCCCCCTTTATTCAATTACCTCCCACCAGGTCTCTCCCATGACATGTGGGGATTATGGGAGCTGCAATTCAAGAAGAAATTTGGGTGGGGACATCGCCAAACCATATCATTGGATAATCTGAGATTTTGAAAGCAACCGATATCACTTGAAAATTATGATAATTTTGAATTTTTTCCTTTCTAATTCTTATCCATTTATTTGCATTTTCTTGAATTACATGCTAACTAAACTTAAAGGAGAATGTTGAGTAAAAATTGTAATATGAAATATACTTGTATTAATTCTAAAGGGAACTCTTCTAATGCTTCTCCATACTGAAAGATGTCTCATTTTTGGTAGACATACATTATAAGACTAAGGAAGTCCTTTCTTGCTACTGTTTGGTAAGAGGTATCATCATGATGGTAGGTTAAATTTTATAAATTATTATTCTTCATATAGAATAAAACATTTCAAAATTTATTCTGTTTATTTGCTTAATGGCATTTATTGATTTTCTGATTTAAACTGCCTTGCAAGTTTGTGATAAACCCCAACTTGGTTATATGTGCTTGTATTTTTTTAGCTTGTTAAATTTAGTTTTGTAGTATTTTTAACAAAAACTTAAATCTTTTTGTGAGTGAGACTCACCCACAATTATCTTCTCTATTGTGTTTGTGTGGTTTTGATACTAGGGGAATACTGACCTTATAGAAAGAGTTGAGAAATAGCCCCTCTTTTTCCATATTCTAGAATTGCAATACAATAGAATGGCTGCTCCTTGTAAATCAACTAAACAATCTTAGTGTGATATTTTCTTTTTAGGAAGATTTTCAACCCCCAATTCATTCTCTTCAGTATACACAAGATTAATACAGGCTCTCAGTTTGTGTCTTGAGTAAGTTTGGTATGGTTTTATTTTTAGAAATTTTCTTTATCTAAATTGAAATTTATTGTTTTTATGTATTTTATTTTGCTTTCATGTTTTAAAAATCCCTGTTATGTTTGTGATATACCCACATTTTCATTTTTAAAATTTTTCATTGAGATTTCTTTATCTTTTTGATTAAGTTATCAGAGGTTTATATTTTTTATTTCAATGTAACCAACTTCTGATTTATTTATATTTCCTATTATATCTGTTTTCTGTTCATTGATTGGCATTGATACATTCATTCTATTTTTTTTAACATGACAATTACATCATTAATTTTCAGCATTTATCTTTTTCAAAAAATAAGCACTTTAAAGCTATAAATTTTTCCTCAAAATATCAATTCTGCTTTATCTCTTGCTTTGATATTTTCATTCTTATCTAAGTATTTTATAATTCCTATTATGGTTAATTTTTTATGAGGTATCTTAACTTATCAATGGTTTTCTATTTTCTATTTTTATTTTTTAGGAATGCATAGTAGGTATATATGTTTATGGGGCATATCAGACATTTTGATAAAGGAATACAATGGGTAATAATCACATCAAGGTAAATGGAGTATCATCATCTCAAGCATTTATTACTTTGTTGTGTTACAAACATTCCAGTTATACTCTTATGATATTTAAAAATGTACAAATTATTGACTATAGTCATCATGCTGTGCTATCAAATACTAGATCTTATTCATTCTAACTATATTTTTGTACTCATTTCCTTCCCAACCTCTGGTAACGATTATTTTACTCTCTATTACCATGAGTTAAATTGTTTTAAGTTTCAACTATCAAAAATAAGGGAGAACATGTGAAGTTTGTCTTTTGGTGATTGGCTTGTTTCATTTAACATAATGTTCCATCCATATCTTGGCAAATGACAGGATCTTATTTTTTAAGGCTGAATTATACTTCATTGTGTATGTGTACCACATTTTCTATGTCCATTTGCCTGTTGATGGAAACTTAGGTTGCTTCTAAATTTGAATATTGTGAATAGTGCAGCAATACATATGGGAGTACAGAAATATCTTCAACACACTGATTTCATTTTCTTTGGATAAATATTCAGAAGGGGAACTGCTGGATCATTTAGTAGTTCTATATTTAGTTTTTTGAAGAACCACCATACTGTTCTCTATAGTGGCTAAACCCATGTACATTCTCACCAATGGTGTTTGAGGATTCCCTTTTCTCCACATCCTTGCCAGCATTCATTATTGCCTTTATTTTGGATAAAAGCCATTTTAAGTGGGATAAGATGATATTTGATTTGCATTTATTTGATGATCAGTGATGTTGAGCATCTTTTCACATACCTATTTGCCATTTATATGTCTTCTTTTGAGAAATGACTATTTGGACATTTTGCCCATTTTTAAATTGGATTATTAGATTTTTTTCCAATTGTTTGAGCTCCTTATATATTCTGGTTATAAATTCCTTGACAGATGGATAGTTTGAAAATTTTTCTCCCATTCTGTGGGTTGTCTCTTCACTTTGTTAAATTTTTTTTCTGTGCAGACGCTTTTTAACTTGATGTGATCCCATTTGCCCATTTTTGCTATGGTTATCTCTGTTTTTGAGGTGTTATTCAAGAAACCTTTGCCCAGACCAATGTCCTGTGGAGTTTTCCCAATGTTTTCTTTTGATAGTTTAATAGTCTTAGGTCTTAGATTTAGCTCTTTAATACATTTTGATTTGATTTTTGTAGATGATGAAAAATAGGGTTCTAGCTTCATTCTTCTGCCTATAGACGTCTAGTTTTCCTAGCACAATTTATTTAAGAGATTGTCTTTCTCCACTGTATGTTCTTGGCGCCTTTGTCAAAAATAAATTCAACATAGCTGTATGGATTTGTTTCTGATTTATCTATTCTGTTTCTTTGGTCTATGTGTCTGTTTTTATGCCAGTACCATGCTGTTTTGGTTACTATAGCTCTATAGAATAATTCAAAATCAGAGAATGTGCTTCCTCTCATTTTGTTCTTTTTGCTCAGAATGACTTTGGCTATTCTGGGTCTTTTGTGATTTCACATGAATTTTGGAATGATTTTTTTCTATTAATGTGAAGATTGTATTGGTATTTTAATAATGATTGCACTGAATCTGTAGATTACTTTGAATAGTGCAGACATTTTAACAATATTGATTCTTCCAATCCATGAGCATAGAGTATCTTTTCATTTTTTTCTGGTCTCCTCAATGTCTTGCATCAATGTTTTATAGAGTGCATTGTAGATATCTTTAAATTCTTTAGTTAAATTCATTTCTAGGTATGTTATTTTATTTGTAGCTATTGTAACTGGGATTACTTTCTTGATTTCTTTTTCAGATTGTTCACTGATGTAATATGTAAATACTATTGATTTTTATATGTTGATTTTGTATCCCTCAACTTTGCTGAATTTGTTTATTGGTTCTAATAGATTTTTGTTAAGGTCTTTAGGTATTTTTCAGATATAAGACCATATCATCTGCAAACAAAGATGACTTACTTCTTTTCAATTTGGATGTTCTTTATATCTTTTTCTTGTCTGATTGCTCTAACTAGAACTTCCAGTACTATGTTGAATAATAGTGGTGAAAGTGGATGTTTCGGTTTGTTCCAGATCTTAGAGAAAAAGTTTTCAGTTTTTCTGTATTCAGTGTGATGCTAGCTGTGTGTCTGTCATATATGGTTTTTATTGTGTTGAGATATATACTTCTATACCACATTTTTAGGGCTTTTATTATGAAAGGAGGTTGAATTTTATCTAATGCTTTTTACCTTCGGTTGAAATGATTGCATGTTTTTGTCCTTCATTCTTTTGAAATGATATATCACATTGATTTATTTGCATTTGCTGAATCATTCTTGCATCCCTGGCATAAATCCCTCTTGGTCATGATGAATTATCTTTTAAATGTGTTGTTGAATTTGGTTTGTGAGTATTTTGTTGAGGATTTTTGCATCAGTATTCATGTGGAACATTGGCCTGTAGTTTTCTTATTTTGATGTCTCTGTCTGATTTTGGTATCAGGGTAATACTGGCCTCACAGAATGAGTAAGGAAGTATTTGCTTCTTTATTTTTTTGGAATTGTTTGAATAGGATTAGATTAATATTAGTTCTTTAAATTTTGGGTGAAATTTAGCAGTTGAAGGCTTTGGGTCTCTGATTTTTCTTTACTGGGATACTTTTTAATATGGTGTTGAACTCATTACTTGTTATTGGTCTATTTAGATTTTGGAAATCTTCATGATTCGGTCTTGGTAGGTTGTATGTGTCTAGGATTCAATCTATTTCTTCTAGGTTTTCCAATTTACTGGCATGTAGTTGCTCATAGTAGTCTCTAATGATTCTCTGAACTGCAGTATCAGTTGTAATACCTCCTTTTTATCTCTCATTTTATTTATTTGGGTCTTCTATCTTTATGTCTTTGGCTAAATGTTTATCAATTTTATTTTTTTAAAATAAGCCACCTTTTTGTTTAATTGATATTTTGTATTGTTTGTTTTGTTTCAATTTCATTTATTTCTGCTTTGATCTTTATTATTTCTTTTCTCCTACTAATATTGGCTTTGGTTTGCTCTTTGTTTTCTAGTTCTTTAAGATGCATCATTAGGTTGTTAATTTGAGGATTATCTGCTTTTTTGATGTGGAGTGCTTATTGCTATAAGCTTTCTTCTTAGTATTGCTTTTGCTGCATTCCATAGGTTTTGATATATTGTGTTTCCATTTTTGTTTGTTTCAAGGAATTTTTAAATTTTATTCTTAATTTCTTCATTGACCCACTGGTCACTCTAGAGCATATTGTTTATTTTCCATGTGTTTGTATAGTTTCTGATATTTTTCTAATTATTTATTTCTAGTTTTATTCCATTGAGAATAAAACTGGAAAGATGAGACACTTGATATTTTTTCAATTTTTTAATTTTTTAAGACTTGTTTTTTGTTCTAACATGTGATCTATCCTTAAGAATGAGCCATGCCTTGAGGAGAAGAACGTGTATTCTGCAGCTCTTAAATGAAAGATTGTGTAAATATATATTAGGTCCATTTGGTATATAATGTAGATTAAGTCCAATGTTGTTGTTGGTGGTGGTTTTCTGTGTAGTGGTTCTGTCCAATGCTGAAAGTGGGGTGTTGAAGTCTCCAGCTAATATTGTATTAGGGTCTATCTCTCTCTTTAGCTCTAATAATATTTACTTAATATGTTTGAGTGTTCCAGTGTTGAATGTATATATATTTACAAGTGTTACACCCTCTTGCTAAGTTGACTTCTTTATCATTATATAATGACCTTCTTTGTCTCTGTTTATAGTTTTTGTTTTGAAATCTATTTTGTCTGATGTAAATATAGCTACTTCTGCTTTTTTTGTTTCCATTTTCATGCAATATTTTTCAGTTCCTATATTTTAAGTCTAAGTTAGTCTTTATAAGTGAAGCGTGTTTCTTATAGTTACCAGATTGTTAGAGCTTGTTTTTTTATTATTGTTATTGTTCAGGCTCTCTATGTCTTGTGATTGGAGAGTTTAGTCCATTTACATTCAATGTTATTATTAGTAAGTAAGGACTTACTACTGCCATTTTGTTATTTGTTTTCTGGGTGTTTTATGTGTGCTCTTCTCTTTCTTCCTTCCTTCTTCCCTGTATTCCTTTTTGGGAAGTTAATTTTTTTTGGTGGGTTGTTTTAATTTACTGATTTTCAGTTTTTTGTGTATCTGTTGTAGGTTTTATGATTTGAGGTGACCATGAGGTTTGGAAATAACATCTTAGAACTCATTATTTTAAACTGATCACAACTTAGCACTGGATACAAAACAATCCAAACTCACAACAACGAAAGAGAAAACTAATAAAAGCTCTACACTTTAACTTAATCCCCCTGCTTTCTAACTTTTTGTTGCTTCCATCTACGTTTTATTATACTATGTCTTAAAAGTTGTAGTTATTATTTTTGATAGGTTTATCTTTTAGTCTTCGTATTCAAGATATCAATAGTTCACGTACCACAATTACAGTGTTATAATATTGTGTGTTTGTTTGTGTACTTACTATTACCAGTGAGTTTTGTACCTTCAGATGACTTCCTATTGCTCATTAGTGTCCTTTCATTTTAGATTGAACAGCTCCCTTTAGCATTTCTTGTAGGGCAGTTCTGGTGTTGATGAAATCCCTCAGCTTTTGTTTGTCTGGGAAAGCCTATTTCTTCTTCATGTTTAATGGGTATTTTCACTGGGTGTACTCTTCTAGGATAAAAGTCTTTTTTCCTTCAGCACTTTAAATATGTAATGCCACTCTCTCCTAGATTGTAAGGTATGTTATTTGTGTCTTTTCTCTTGCTGCTTTTAGAATCCTTTCTTTATCCTTGACCTTTGGAAGTTTGATTATTAAATGTCTTGAGGTAGTTTTATTTGGATGAAATCTACTTGATGTTCTACAACCCATCTATACTTGAATTTTGATATATTTCTCTAGGTTTGAAAAGTTATCTGTTATTATCTCTTTGAATAAAATTTATACCTTGATCTCTGTACCTCCTCTTTAAGGCCAGTAAATCTTAATTTGCCCTTTTGAGATATTTTCTAGAACTTATAGGCAAGCTTCATTCTTTTCTATTCTTTTGTTTCTTTTGACTGTGTATTTTCAAATAGCCTGATTCTTTCTTCTGCTTGATCAGTTCTGCTGTTGGGAGACTCTGATGCATTCTTCTGTATGTCAATTCAATTTTTCAGCTCAGAATTTCTACATGTTTCAAAAATTATTTCAGTATCTTCGTTAAATTTATCTGATAGGATTCTGAATTCCTTCTCTGTGTTATCTTAAATTTCATTGAGCTTCCTCAAAATTTCTATTTTGAATTTTCTGTCACTCTTGGATTGATCAGTGGTGACTTTTTCAGTTTGTTTAGTGAGGTCATGATTTCCTGAATGGTCCTGATGCTTTTGGATGTTTGTGAGTGTCTGGGCATTGAATAGTTAGATATTTATTGTAATATTTGCAGTCTGCACTTGCTTGTACTCCTCTTGTGGAGGGGTGATGCAAGCTCCACTGTGACTACCACACTGAGACTGTGCTGAGTCACACCCAAAGATAGCACAGCACTGGGTCTTGCTCAAGACCCATGGTGACCACTGCCTAGTTACTGCCAGCGGAAGGAAGGAGTCTCCCCCAGGTTACTGAGCTGCACTGCCTGGGTTGGGGGAGGGGTGATGCAAGCACTCCCTTGTCCACCTGGCTGGTGTCTCATTAGGTCAACCCAAGTCTACTGCCTTCTAGCCCAGCACGCACCAAGACTTGCCCAGGAATTGCAGTCCTTGTCGCCTAGACTGCCTTTGAGGTTTATGTAGTATCCCAGAGTGCTTTGGCCCATGGTAGTGGGGCTAGCCAGAACTCTAGTTCCAACCACTGGGAAGGGCAATTCCTCTCTTGCTGGGACGGATATAAGGACTCCCTCCATGGGCACTGGCTGAGTTCTGCCTTATCTTGTTTTCTACTGTGGCTGGGCTGCACTGAGTTCCAATGCAAAGTCCCACATCACTGCACTCTCTCCCCCACAAGAACACAGATCCTCTCCGCAGCATCAGCAATTCAAGACTATCTTTCCTAACCTCTTCAATGCCTCTTTCTTTGATATGATGTTAGAACCTGGTACTGTGATCACTCACTTGATTTTTGGTTCTCATAAAAGTGCTTTCTTGTGTGGATAGTTGTTCGATTTAGTGTTCCTGTAGGGGGACTATTGTTGGAGAGTTCTATTAGGCCAACCTGCTCTGTGTCTTCCCCTATAGTTTCTTTTTGACTCAGTTACATTCAAATTTATTTTTTACACTTTATAGAAATATTAGGGAGGTTAAAATTTATCCTTTATTTACTGAGCTCTAATTTAACAGAATTGAAATTGTGGTCAGAGAATGTATTATGTTTGACACTAAGTCTTTGAAATTTATTGAGATTTGCTTTAAAGCCTAGTGATATGCTTAATATCCCATTCTATTCCTATGTGGAGGAATCATAAGGTGAGAGACAGACCCTCTCTTTCAATATGTAGCACAAGGGTTCTTATTTATCCTCTGGACAATAGCATACAGATACATGTCTCAAGTTTATCTAGTAAGATTCTCTTGCCTGTAGCTTTGAATAATGAGGGTTAGAGATTTTTCCCAGCCAATGTGGAAGGTTTGAGAGACTACTGGTGTGGCAGCAAGAATCCAGTAGCAGCAGTATCAATTCCTATGTCCTAAGCAGACTTCAGGCTCATAACCTGCTTTCCTTATTTTTCTGCCAGAGTCTAATTCTCAACTGTTGATTAATTCTCTAAGTTATTGATATCTTGCCAATACATTCCTTTTCTGATTAATGTAACCAAAGTCAGTTTCTGTTGCTTAGAACTCAGAATTCTGACAACTGTGAAACACAATGCTTCTGAGGGAATTACAGCATATTACTTTTTGCTTTATTTTATTTAATCTTCTGTTTCTCTCCTCAGGAAGTGTTATTTATTATCCTCATTTAACAGATAGGAAAACTGGGGATTCAATATTTGAAGCACTTTATTCAATACCACACAGCCTGTAAAGTGTGAAACCAGAATTCAAGCCAGCTCTGCCTGATTCTTGAACTGCTACTCTTTAAGCCTTCCAGATATTCAATGGGTGATTTTAAACCTTTCTTTCTGACCCTAATATTCTATGAACTGAAGAATAAATACAGATTGCCAAGTATAAATCAGGAATAGCTTAGGTACTGAGAGGTCAAACTCTAGAAGCCACAAATATTCATATATTCTTAAGTTTTAATTGAGAAAAGTACTTCTCCTAGGCTTTTTACTTCATATACTCTGTGAGATGAATTTTTAGAAACTGACCTTCTCTTATTCACTGCCCCAACTCTGCAAATTTGCCACACGTGCCTTGGCAACATGAACCACCATAACACAGAGGGGCTGGTGACTTAACATACTTTGTCATCCCCCTGGCATAACAGAGGGGTTCTTTTAGGTCATGGGCCACTTTTCTTCTTGTAGGTTTATTGAAAGTTTGTGTGTTCATGCTCATTAAGTAACTTCTAGCAACCTTGGCTAAATAAGTTGGTAAAAGGCTGAACTCATAGTCAGTATTGCTTCATAATACACACATGCAGAGCTCATAATATATGTGACAGTTGATTCACTTAAATCACCTAATTAACTTTTTGCAGTCTTGTATAAATATAATAAAGTAGCTATAGAAATGAAAGATGTTTTCAAGTTAAATTTAACTCCACTGAACTCATAGAATCAGAGTTAACTTATATTTCATTTTAGGTGATTTTAGAGAAAGTTGTTTTAAAGGCAAAACATTCTTAAAAGACTGAATTTGTTTCTACCCCCATTTTTCTTAATTACTTTCATGAAAAACCTATTGATTTTATAATCTATTAATTTGCAGTAGAGAAACTGTGCTCTTTTGTTGATGTAGAACTAATAACGTACATAAATGTTTATAACTTTTAACCTCATCTTAAATATTTTTTGTTTTAAATCACACATAGCTGGCATTTTAAGGTATTTCTTGTTTTTTTTTTTCCCCACTTGCAGAATGCTTTGATGTCTTAAATGGTACATCCAAACTTAAGTGAAATAGAGCTGTGAGGACATTTTGGGGAGAAGTGACCTAGATAAGCACTGACTGTTGCATTCATCTCTCTTCTTGCTGATTGTGATGATTTCCTGTGCCATAGCCATTCAAAGTCTGCCAAAAAAGGTAAGTAATTAGGGTCTCACAAATAGTATCCAGGTACAAAAATGAAATTAAACTATCTCTGGGAACAGGAGTTTGCTTTTTGAGAGGAGCAAAATAAAACAGAGTTAAGGAAGAAGTGTTAATTTTAGCTGTCACATACCAGTTGAACAATTCTGATAGTGATACTGTTGTTTTCCAGGTGAGTAAAAGAGTCATGGAAATTAGCATACAACATAAAAATCTGTAGAAATCAAGGGAGATGTGTTACAAGAGTGGCCTAAGGAAATCCATCTGGGGATGAACAACAGGAATTCCTCATTTGGACTGCTTCTGTTATTACTCACTCAGAGACTAGAGGAAATTGTTAGATTGTCTGTGGTGTCCTTTATCTATCCTAAAATGTAGAAAGTGAAGTAGGGAAGGATGAGGAGTTGATATGCAGAAGAGGAAGCTGAAATAACCTTCCCTCAATTATTTTTCTTAAAATTGGCCTCTGAAGGGAACCCGAATGTTTAGGCATTATTTCACTCTGTCTTACACTCTATTTGTGACAGATAAATGAAATGGTAGACTGTCCATTCTTTGGCTAATGTCAGCAGCCAAATTAATCAAACTGTGGGAAGTTGCTGATATATTTATATGAAAATAACTTTAAAAAAGGCCCAATTGTACACCTGGTTTGTTTCATGGTTCAGGCTGAATATATTTATCTGATATATCATGTGATAATATTAGTAACGAAAGCCCCTAAATTAGCAAGTGGTTTGCCTACATCTCCAAGTCCTTTTTCTTTCCATCCTATGCCACTGATATTCCACCTGAATTGGGGAAATTAATTATCAAAAAGTGCCTATTTGTTTCCATCTTCTTTCTTATTCAAATACTATTTATTTTAAATTACTGTTTACTAATTAATGCTAAATAAATGTAATGCACTGTTAGCTAACCAGAGATTTATAAATAACTTTATTTCTTCATTTTCTCCCTGGGTTTTCTGCTATTTATTATTATTTAAGTTTTAGTGCTTTGAGAGTACAGCCGGCATTTCAACAGCACTTTCCTCTAATGCTTAATCCTAACTCATAACAGAAATATGTATTAAAAGCTTGAGTACATGCATATAAAGAGGAAACATTTTTCTCAACCATCAACACTTCACATTAAATCTTTGGAATATTTAGTGCCTTATCGTCATTTTAATTCTTATTCTGAGTCACAGACAGCATGAACTGAGTTTACAGGGTAATCACTGCGGTAACATTTTCTTCCTCTAGATTATCTTTCCTGGGATTAATTATATTGAGATCACTGCCCTGAGTCATAGTCTTCTGTATTTTAATAGGGTATCAGGCATGGTTCAGATAAAGAAACTTTATTGGGGCTATTTTTGTATCCTCTGTGGATTGGATGAAGATGGAATGTTCTTTGAAGAAATTGTGAGGAAGAAAGAACACAGTTTTCTCCATTACTATTTAACTTAACAGAAATTTTGATCAGTTGGATTTTAAAATCCATATTTCAAAACTTTCTTAAAAGTTTGCATACTTTAAATTCAACATTTTAAAAATTAAAATTAAAAATAAAGTATGTGTGTATGTATATATTCCTTAAATAATTTTGATAAAAATTTTGTTTATATTTGTCTAGGTTTTTTGAAGTATAAATTATATTATAGTATTATTTTAATCTCTCAGATGAATGCTTTTTTATGTACCAGGTAATTTTCTCGGTACTGAGATACATCAGCAGATAAAAAACCAAGAACATGTTAAATATCTGTTCTCCTGGAAGGTATAGTCTATGACAAACGGGGGAGGCTGAAAAATAAATAAACAAGTATATGGATATTATGTCAGATGCTAATGAGTGCTGTGAAAGCAGGAGAACCCAGCAGGGTTAGAGGAATAGGGAATGTGTACGTGTGTTTTTTTATTTTTTCTTTTTTGTTGGGTTGCCATGGAAGGTAACAGAGTACTAAGGCAAATTAGAGAGTGAATGGTTCACGTAATACACACAAAATGGAGGAAATAGCAAGACTGAAGTGTCTGTGGTGGTATCTTGCTTAGTATTCCAAGGAACAATAAGCAGCCTAATATGACTGGAGTGAAGTGGGTTAACAGGAAAGTATTAATAGATAAGAGATGAGGACAAAGAGTTATCAGGGGGTCAGATTTGCAGGCCCTTTTAGGTGCATGTGAAGGACTGGGTTCTGTACTTAATGAGATGGAAAGCCATTGAGAGTGACATGATCTGATTTAAATTTTAAGAGAATCACTATGGCTGTCTGCCATGGGGAAAAAAGTGGTGTATGTATCTTTCCATATTTTGGTATAATAGGGAGTTAGGCGCTCTAGAAAATGTATCTTAAACTATAAAATCAGAGAATGAAATAATTACTCAAGCCAGTCCTCTTATTTAATGTTCTAACCTAAATCACTACTAATTACAAGCAGAATTTATTTTTGCATGAAGCCTTTTGTATGATCACTCTTCAAATATAAACACAGAAAAATGCCTCATATAATACCATGTAAATTAATTAAGAAAAAATATAGTGAATCTCAAAAGGAAGAAAGGAAATCACTAAGTGCCAGAAACAAATAAAGAACTCAGTTCCAAAAGGAACCTTGAAGTGATACCCTAGCAGTTCATAAGACTGTCAGATGCAGCCTTGAGTCCCTCCAGGATAGTGGATTAGAAAAAATATCTTTGAAGATTTTGAAGACAGCCCTAGCGAAATGCAAAAACAATCTTACAGACTTCCCAGGCTCTGGAAGTAGCTATAAATCATCTCCTGAGAGAAAAGTCAAGAACCCAAGCTGCACCAAAAGTATGTGGTCAAAATTTGTAGTAATACATAAAGCAGGAATAATAAGCTTTGAAATTCATTTTTAAAAACTGGTCTGATACCAGAGGAATCTTCTGTACTGAGGCAAAACAATAAAACCTCAATAACTCTATAAAGAAAATTCTGCATCCCTGGATGTTTGGGACACACAAAGGAAAAAATAAATCACCCACTGAAAGTGATCTCTCTTTGTGCATATACAACTTATTTATTTTTTACAGAGACACAATCTATAGAGAGAGTTAACAGAGGAAAGCAGTCACCAACTGAAGATAATATGTCACATGTATACATATACAGACACAGATGCGCACGCACACACACACACACAAGTTTTTTTTAGAGAGACACAATTTTGAGAGAGAGAGTAGGCAGAGAAAAGCATGAAAATAACATACTAAAAACAGAGATAATAGAACAATTTGGAAGAGATTAATAAGTATGTTCATAGTTCTTCAACAAAATATAAAATTATCAAAATATTTGAAGAAGAAATAATAACCTAATGTAATGACAGATCATAAACACTAAAGAACAAAATGAAACTATTAGAAATAAAAGTAATATAGTCATTGCTAAAACAAAACCCTGGGGAGGAGGTGGAGTAAGATAGCCGAATAGGACCCTCCAGCAATTGTCTTCCCCACAGGAACACCAAATTAAACAACTGTCTACACAAGAAAAAGTCTTCACAGGAACCAAAAATCAGATGAGTGATCATTGTACATAGTTTTGACATCATATCAAGGAAAGAGGCACTGAAGAGGGTAGGAAAGACAATCTCGAACAGCCAACACCACCCCAACTCCATCCATCAGCAGCAGCTATATGGAATGGAGAGAGAATATGTGTGCTTGCAGGAGAGACAGCTCAGTGATTGTGGGACTTTGCATTGGAATTCAGTTCTGCCTGCCACAGTGGAAAGCAACATGTGCAGAACTCAACCAGCAACCACAGAGGGAACATTTAGACCAGCCATAGCCAAAGGAAAATAATCCATGCCAGCGTTTGGAACCTAGGTTCCTGCTATTACCACCACTGCAGGCTAACGCTCTCTGGGGTCCTAAATAAACTTGAAAAGCAGTCTAGGCCCCAAGGACTGCAATTCCTGTGCAAGTTTTGGTGCTGTGCTGGGCTCAGAGCCAGTGAACTTGGGGTGCACACAACCTAGTAAGACACCAGCTAGGGTGGCTAAGGGAGTGCTTGTGTCACCCTCCCACAGCCCCAGGAAGCGCAGCTCACAGCTCCTTCTTCCCACTTGAAGAGAGAAGAGGGAAGAGAGTAAAGAGGACATTGTCTTGCAACTTGGATACCAGCTCAACTACAGTATAATAGGCCACCAGACAAATTCCTGAGGCCCCTATTTTAGGCCCTAACTTCCAAATGACATTTCTAGACACACCCTGGGCCAGAAAGGAACCCTCTGCATTGAAGGGAAAGACCCTGTACTTGCAGGATACATCACCTGCTGACTAAACAGCATTTGAGCCTTGAAAAAACATGAGTGGTAACAAGGAAGTACTCACCACAGGCCTTGGGTGACACCCAATGCTGTGTTGGTTTCAGGTGTGACCTAGTATATTCCCAGCTGTGGTGGCCACGCAGAGAGACTCCTGCTTGAGGAAAGGAGAGGGAAGAGTAAAGACGAGTTTGTCTTGCATCTTGGGTATCAGGTCAGTAAAAAACAAACAAACAAAAAAAACAACGGGCTTCTTTTGTTCCAGGCCTTGCCTCCTGGATGGCATTTTTGAACCCACCCTGGGCCAGAGGGGAGCCCACTTCTTTGAAGACAGAAACACAGGACTGGCAACATTTACCATAAGCTGACTGAGCAGCCATTGGGCCTTGAGTGAACATTGGTGGTAGCCAGGCAGTACTTGTCTCAGTACTTGCCTCAGGCCTGGGGTGTCGGTGACCACAGGGAGAGCATCCATCTGCTTGAGGAAAGGAGAACAAAGAAAATAAAGGGCTTAATCTTGCACTTGATTGCCAGCTCAGCCATAGTAGAATACAGCACCAAGTAAATTCCTAAGGATCCTGATTCCAGGTCCTGGCTCCCAGATGACATTTTAGGACTTGTCTTGGGCTTAGGGGGAGCTCGTCATACTGAAGGGAAAAACACAAGCCTGGCTGGATTTGCCACCAGCTGAATAAAGAGTGCTTGGGCCTTGAGTGAACATTGGCAATAGCCAAGGAGTGGTCACCATGGACCTTAGGCAAGAAACCCGGTGCCGTGCTGGCTTTGGATCTGACCCAGCATAATCTCACTGGTATTTTACTTCTTGTCCATTTACTTTTTAGTTTATCATACACACCATGTTTACTAGTACTAAAACTGTCTTAAAATATTGCAATTTTGACCCTTTTTCTAATTGACCTTTATGTTTTTACAAGCACATTTTATTACATATGAATGAGACTTTACTATGTTATATGTAACTCTTAATTCTGTAAATAATAGATTGCTTATCTGAAATATAGCTGATATTTGTTTCTTAATTATTTGGCTATTCCCTATATGTTATACTCTACTAAAGATCATGGGATTTAGATTCAGAAAACTTACTTCCTAGCTCTTATTATTTCTGTGATCTTGCAAAAGAAAACAAAAATGAACCATTGTTTTTTTATCTGTAACAGGAAATGTACTTCACAGGATTGTAATGAGAATTAAATTAGATAATATACATGAAAATCACTTCTGAATTGTCAAGTAATTTGTTAATACTGTCACTATTATCCAGATGTTTGGTAGACTTAAATGGTTTGCCTTTGCCTGTATACTGAGTAAAGAAGCAGCATTTTGGCATTACCAGTTCCAAAACCCAAAACGATACAGAAATCCCGTAACAGAAAATTAAACAGTCTAACCTGGATTCCTCCTACCCCCCTGCCCACCACCTTCATGCTGTGATTCCCAAGATGATTGGAGGGAAAATGCCAGAAACAGATCCATAAACTGCCCATGAGACATACTATAAACAGAAAATGAACCCGTCTTATGTCAGGGCAGGTGATTGAAAAATTAAAAGAGCTTAAGAATAGAAAACTCTGCAATTCCAGATGGTCTCCCTCTAAGGAGTGCACAGGCGATAAGTGACTTGGGGAATCTGTGATGAACATGTGCGAGTCATCTCTGAAAACGGAGGACGCACAGGTGGCTGGTTTTGAATTGAACACCACACCTGTCTTTGTAATAATGCTTGCAATTCGGCATTGCCTTTCATCAGGGCTTCTTGACAGGTTTTGCAGATATACCACTGCAGCTTTTAGAAGGGATGTTAAACCCATTTTGGAGAGAGACATCTTAGAATTGTATGATAAAATAAATGAAGGTTGCAGAGTGGGCTAGAATAGAACAAAGAAATCCTGATAGCCCCCTTTAGGGAAATATGTTGTATGCTTTCTTTTTTTTTTTAATTAAAGCTGATCTCTTTTAAAATTTCACTCAGAAATTAAACAAACATTTACAAAGCACCTACTCTGGGACAATACACGAGGCACAAATAATATACAAAAATGAGTAGAGATTAGTCCCTGCATACAATAAATTTATATTTAAGAGCTAGAGAGGCATTCATTTATAACATGGCTATAGGCCATCATTTTTAAGTAGAATAATATTGGCATAAACAAATGTTAGGTAATCATGGAAGACAGTGATTTTGGTGGAGTAATTGTGGAAGACTTCACAGAGTAAACGGCAATAGTGTAGTTAATCGCATTTTTACAGAAATGTAAATAAGGAGAGAATGGTCCAGACAGAAGCGGTGGCTTAGGTAAAAGTACATGCATGTGAAAGTTTCTGACAAGTTTATAAATGTTCAAATAGTCTGGGATTAACAAGTATCTAACAAATCTGTATCGTCTAGATTATAGTGCAGGCATGTATGGCTGTGTAGATGAGTGTGAAAAAGAAGAGATAAGAATGATTGTGGGAAGTAAGCAAGATTGTGAGGGTAGGCTCTGGTTATATTGTGGAGACTTTGAAACTATGAATAAGAATTTGTTTTCTATAGAAAATGGGGCAGGGATCAGGGATAGGAGGGGAATGTGAACATAACAATGCTGGTGGAAATGTGGACAGTGAATTAAGGAGGGAAAGGAAGAGGGTAGTAAAATGGCTATTAAAATGAATCAGCTGAGAGATGGGGCTTGAAAGGAGAAGATGGAGTCAAGATATTTCAGACATAGAATATATTTTATCTCTGATTAAATGCTGAGGGTTAGGGAAGAGAAAAGTTGAGAATGACTCCAAGACCTATAGCTAGAGACTGAGTGGATAGTGATGGCATTAACTAAGGGAAGACACAAACATAGGCAAGTAGCTTTAAGATGAGGAGGAGAATATCAACTCAGCTTTTGATATTTTAAGTTAGATATGCAAATGAGGCACCCTTAAAGAGAAGACCAATAGGAACTCAGAAATTAATCTGGCCTTAGAGAGAAAAGACCCAGCTCTTTCTCTAAGATTTGTAGGTCCTAAGACAAGACTGCAAATGGAGGACTGTGTACCATATGTTAAATATTTAAAAGTTATAAATCAAGCCACAAACTGTTAAATAAAATATCTAACCTCCTACCATGACAAACATGCTTTCATATCAACCTCAAAGGCCAAGTTCGAATTACAGTTCCATGATAAAATATAGTGGCAGTAACTCAGAAAGGACCTCTTCTCCTCCCACTTTACCCTCCTTCCCGCTAGCCCTATCCATGCACAGGCCTCAGGGTCACACATGGAAATCCCAGGCTTAGGAGCTATGTGAAGCCATTATGAAGATCTTGAAACTATGAGAAGAAATTTGTTTTCTATTCTATAGAAAATGGGGCAGGGATAGGGGCAGGGAAGGAATGTGAACATGATGATATCTCCACTTCATCCCTGCTTCTCACAAACAACCACTCCTTTGTCACCACTTGGATCTTGGGATACACTGGATGTTTGGAAGTATAGTCCTGAAGTCAAGAAGCCACTAGGCCCTGGAAGTAGATTCAACGAGATAGAGAATGTGAATAGGAATTATGATGGTCCCAGGTACCCAGCATCTGAATCAGAAGGGATAGTGTGAGCTGGGAGACAACTGGCCCTGGAGGGGGAGGATGGGAGATAGAGCAAATGTCTAAAGCTTGGAGTCTAGAAGGGGACTTCTCTTGCCCTGGTCTAAAAGGGTTGATGAGAAGAGACTCCTAGAAAAGTAGATTTGACAGTCAAATATTTATGGGAGTGAATGAAATAAAGAAAGCATAGAGGAATAGGAAAGATAAAGTATTAAAAGGTAATTTAAATTACAAATAAAAGGTCATTACCACTTGTTTTAATTTCAATTTTAAGTTCTGAAGTACATGTGCAGGTGTAGGATGTGCAGGTTTGTTACATAGGTATACGTGTGCCATGGTGGTTTGTTGCACCTATTAACCTATCACCTAGGTATTAAGCCCAGCATGCATTAGCTATTTTTCCTAATGTTCTTCCTCCTGCTTTCCCCCAACAGGCCCCAGTGTGTGTTGTTCCCCTCCCTGTGTCCATGTGATCTCATTGTTCAGCTCCCACTTATAAGTGGGAACATGCGGTGTTTGGTTTTTCTGTTCCTGTATTTGTTTGCTGAGGATAATGGCTTCCAGCTCCATCCATGTCCCTGCAAAGGAAATGATCTCATTCCTTTTTATGACTGCATAGTATTCCAAGATGTAGCTGTACCACATTTTCTTTATCTAGTGTATCATTGATGGGCATTTGGGTTGATTTCATGTGTTTGCTATTGTGAACAGTGCTGCAACGAACACACATGCGCATGTATCTTTGTAATAGAATGATTTATATTCCTCTGGGTATATACTCAGTAATGGGATTGCTGGGTCAAATGGTATTTTTGGTTCTAGACCTTTGAGGAATTGCCATACTGTCTTCCACAATGGTCGACATTACCACTTTTAAGAAGTAGATCATATAGTACCCAAATATGGAGCTGGGAGGGGAGGAAACAAAGGTAGCAAGTGCAGTGTACCCCTACAAGAAATGTATCAGAAGAAAGAAGCAGCTACAGGAAGAACTTACAAAGATCAAGAATTAGGGATTTTTTTAAAAAAATAATAAAGGGTTAGTTTTTCTTGTTAAAATGTCTCGTTGCAATAGTGAAAGCTACCCAAAAAGCAGATTAAAGGGTTAAAAACCAGATGTCATTTAGAACAAGGAGTTTAAATGATGAAGCCTAGGTTTGTATACATGAGGGAAAAAATACAAATGAGGCAGAAATATTAATTTTTATGAAAAATGTAGCTGTACTGACTACCATTAATGTCAACATTAATAAATAGTTTCTGTGAAGGATGCAGTTTATGTTATTTCAGTCAATACATGGAGTTGATTGTCTAAGTACTGGCGTGTCTAATTTTATATATGAATCAAGAATGTCTATCCTGGGAAGAAAAGTCAGCAATCATACTGTGAACCCAGTTCTCTGCTCAGAGAAGAGTGGAAGAGCATAAATTACACCCAGCCATGGAACAGCCACACTCAGTGTATTAGACAAGACACATATGTGTAAATAACAAAAGACACTATAGAATCATCAATAGGAAATTGTAATTATTTTGGTGATAAACAAAATAGGGATATCAATGTAGCTGGGCTGGCAGTCCAGAGATCCTAGGGTTTTAGCTTAGTTTGCTAGATTGTTTGTGAATCAGGATAAAATATTCAACTCAGCCTTAGTTTCTTCATTCATCATGTTGAACTGTGGATTTTTATGATCTAAAGCTCTGGAAACTTTTGTTCAAACAATGTCTTTCTGGGAAAGGTAAATAATTAAAATGATGAAAGCAGTGCTGGATTAAAGTAGGTGAGAGCTCCAGAACTCTGTTGCTCACTTTACTTCCCTTCCCATTTCTAACTCTCTTTCAAAAGCCTTCTAAGTGTCTCTATGTTGCACAGTTGGAAAATATTTGAACTAGATAATCTCTAAGAGTTATTCCAAGTATAAAATCCTGTGACTCTACTAAGTCAGGTACAGCTTTGCAGATGAAGTGGCGCTTGAGTGGGCCTTTGAAACTAGGCCATATATTTGGATTAGTGGGTAGGAAGAGTGAAGATATTTAAAACAGGAAGAAGAGCATAATAAAAGAAATAGTGAAAGGAATAATACTGGTTTCCTTGGCAGAGGATGTGTGGAATAATAAAGAGACTTTTCTAACTAAACTGCAGGGATTGTAAGGTAGAGCTGTGGGAAATAAAATTTAAGTGCAGGGCACTTGCTTTTCATATGAGAGAAGTGTTATTCCTGGATACTCTGCATAACTTAAAACTCAAATAATTCAAAACAAATTTTCCCAAAGGGGGAATGCATTTTTGGAACTTAAGAATTTCTAATTCTTTAGTATATATTTAGTATATATTTGCTTTGAAATTGCTTTTTACATTTTCTTTATTATTTTGCTGAGGACTCTTTCCTACATTAATATTGGTGGTTGTTTGCTTTTCTTCATAGTGCTTTATCACATCATATGTCTATTCCAGTTATTAACTTTATTCTTTTTTTCTCAGCACTAACTTTAGCAGCACCATTTAATGAACTTGAGTAACACTGTGCAAGGATATGAAAAACAAGATTAGAAATGATAATAAGAGTGCTTGCTTAGATTCTAAAACCAAGACTCACTTTCAGAAATTCTGATACAAAAAGTAATCGATAATGGTTCTCCTAATACTGACAAAGGAGAGTTTGTGTTTCATTTTCCTAGTGGCGTGGGTGATGACAATAACATAAACACAGTTTGCAATTAACTATGTTTTCAAATTATGCTATTTTGCAAGAATTATATAAATTGTATTTCTCATCAGTTCAAATTTGGCATGAACATTTCTTTAATCCCACAGTTTCATAATTTACAATCTTACTTCTGTGTATTGTGAAAATGGTCTGAGCATAGGGAATGTATGCTATTTATCTTTGTAATCCCTGAGGTATCTTAGCACTCTGCCTCTCAAGAAATACAGCATCTGCTAAATGGAATTGATTTGTTCCACAGATAGTTTGCCCTGGTCAGAGGTAAGATTAGGGAGTGGAAATTCATAACTTAGGTTCTCCAGATCTGGTTGCACGCTAAACATAAAGGAAACACAGAGTAAATGCTTATTGATTTCTGAACTAGGAGGGTGGGCTTTTCTAACCACACCAATTTTAGCCATTGCTATATCTTGTAAAGCTATAAAGGATTGATTAAACACACTGACTTGTTACTGAGCAAGATTCAAGGAAGATGTGTGTCTTGGACAGGGAACAGCTAGAGACTTTGTGCTCAGTTAGGCTGGGATGACACATGGAGAAAAACATATGGAGTCAAGGGTGACTGTAGCCAAGAAGAAAGGTGAAGCAGAGTGTGGAGCAAAACATGCAGCTGGAAGCAAGTGGCTGACTACAGCCCAAAGTGCTATAGCTCTGTCTAGGCAATGCCAAAAGTCTAGGTGAGGAGTGGAAAAATCAAATCAATCATCAGGATGGTTCAAAACATCCCGATGTGTGTTGTCATCAGGGCCATCACTAGGGGTATGTGGGGATAAGGCAAATAGTCTTCCCACACTCCCCCAGCCCAGATATTTTTATTCAGTTGAAATCATCCTGGAAATGGAGGCTTAAATAAAACTAAGCCTTCAAAGAGCTCTGCATATTCAATCTACAAAGAGCTTATGTAAAGGTGGGGAGTAGTAATTCGTCTTAGTGCCTTAGGGGCCCTAAGAACCATATCAGGGTTTCAAATTGTTAGATTCTAGTGATAGAATCAGATATGATACATTATAAATGGTTGAATAATTCATTTTTAAATATGAATGTTATCTAGTACTTTAAGCCTATTGTCTGAAAGTCAATTAAGTGGGTTTATCCAGTACATAATGTCAGCAGAAATATAGGAAAGCAGCTATAAATGAATGGAATTATTTGGAATAGTTCAACATAGGCCTGTACAATGTGATAATTAAAAGTAAATCTTAAGGTCAAACACAGGGAAAATAAGTACACCCTCAGAAATGAGGTGACAGATTTCTTTTTTTCAGAGATCTCTATGACTAGTTTTCCTGAGGCCACAGGCTGTGACTTGCATATCCCTAGAATATTTGGTTTGGCCAAAATATGCATTTGGAATGAACAGTAGTAGATAAGAGAAAGACCTTTAGCCTTTGATTTGGCCACTACAGCACTCATAATCAGAATTTATTTCCAGGTTAGAGCCTAGATTCCCAAGCCAAACTATCCAGCATACATTTCAGTTGGGAATAAGGGTTACATTTCTAGGCTTTCGGAAACACTTGACGAGATCTTTGAGTGAAGCGGATACAGAAAGCAGAAGATGAAGGTGGGAACACTGACATTTAGAGCGCAGAGGGCCAGGCATGTATAAGAGCTCAGTTTCAGAGGCCACAGGAATATGTGCAAGTCCCTATCAGAAGTGAGAGGGCTCAGGGGAGAACTTGACACTCTTGGCTTTAATTATTGGATAACTCTATTTTTTATTATTATTATTATACTTTAAGTTTTAGGGTACATGTGTACAATGTGCAGGTTAGTTACGTATGTATACATGTGCCATGCTGGTGTGCTGCACCCATTAACTCGTCATTTAGCATAAGGGAGGCACTGCACCAAGTATTGTTCCAGGTGATAGGAAAACAGCAAGGAACAAAACCAGCTTTCCTGTCCTGTGGGACTTAAATTCTAAACAGGGAGATAGGCAATAGATAATCAAATAAAAATGAAAAGACACATGATATGTCTCATTTTTATAGAAGAAAAATCAAGAGGAGTAAGCCAAGGAAGAGTAAAGGATTGTGTACCTGGAAAGGTGACTGTTAAATTGGAAAATGATGATTGTGTACACTGGTATGTACTACTCAGATTGTATCCAGAAACTTTTTCTAGGAACCATTTTGACCTACTAGGTACACGAGGCATTTCTAGATACAATAACAGATAAAGATATCACTCAATTGAATCCTTATTTTGCATTGAATCAGACCTGGTTGAAGAGGGAATTGCTAGTTTTGGTCTAGATGGGTTGAGACATGGAAATGGCAACTAGTATTTTTAAAAATGCTTTAAAAATTGTGATCTTATACACTTCTAGTGAGAATGTAAATTACTACAACTTTTATGGAAAGCAGCAAGGAGATTCCTAAAAGAACTAAAAATAGATCTACCATTCAATCCAGCAATCCCACTACTGGGTATCTACCCAAAGGATAAGAAGCCACTATATGAAAAAAACACATGCACACACATGTTTATTGCAGCCCAATTTGCAATTGCATAGATATGGAACCAACCTAAATGCCATTGACCAATGAGTGGATAATGAAAATGTCAAGGAATACTACTCAGCCATAAAAAGAAATGAATATGTCTTTTGCAACAACTTGGATGGAGCTGGAGGCCACTATTCAAAGTGAAGTAACTCAAGTAACTCAGGAATGGAAAACCAATTATTGTATACTCTTACTTATAAATGGGAGCTAAAGTATGTGTATGCAAAGGCATACAGAGTGATATAATGGACTTTGGAGACTTGGAAGGTGGAAGGTGGGATGTGGGCAAGGGGTAAAAAACTACATATTGGGTACAGTGTACACTACTCAGTGACAGATGCACTAAAATCTCAGAATTCACCACTACATAATTCATCCCTGTAACCGAAAGCCACTTACACATTAAAAGCTACTGAAATAAAATAAAATTCTTAATTCACATACCGTAAAATGTGTACATTGCTTGATTTTAAGCATATTTACAAAGTTGTGCAACCATCATTACTAATTCCAGTACCTTTTCGTTACCCCTGCAAAAATTCTATACTCATTAGCAGTCACACTCCAACGTCCACTCCCCTCATCTCCTAGCAACTACTAATCTACTTTCTTTCTCTATGGATTTTTCTCATATCAAAGGAATTATACATTATTTGGCCTTCTATGTATGGCTTTTTTCATTTAGTATAATTGTGTTAGTGAGTTTTCACGTTGCTGATAAAGACATACCCGAGACTGGGCAATTTAAAGAAGAAAGAGGTTTAATGAACTTGCAGTTCCAAGTGGCTGGGGAGGCCTCACCATCATGGTGGAAAGCAAGGAATAGCAAGTCATGCCTTACATGGATGGCAGCAGGCAAAAAGAGAGAGCTTGTTCAGGGAAACTCCCCCTTATAATACCATCAGATCTCATGAGACTTAGTTGCTATTACGAGAACAGCACAGGAAAGATCTGCCTCCATAATTCAATTACCTCCCACTGGATCCCTCCCACAACATTTGGGAATTCAAGATGAGATTTCGGTGGGGACACGGCCAAGCCATTTCTTTCCACCCTTGGCCCCTCCCAAATCTCATGTCCTCACGTTTCAAAATCAAACATGCCTTTCCAACAGTCCCCCAAAGCCTTAACTAATTTTAGCATTAACTTAAAAGTCCACAGTCCAAAGTCTCATCTGAGACAAGGCAAGTCCCTTCTGGCTATGAGTCTGTAAAATCAAAAGCAAGATAATTACTTCCTATATACAATGGGGGTACAGGCATTCGGTAAATACAGCCATTCCAAATGGGAGAAATTGGCCAAAACTAAGGGGCTACAGGCCCCATGCAAGTCCGAAATCCAACAGGGCAGTCAAATCTTAAAGCTCCAAAATGATCTCCTTTGACTCCATGTCTCACATCCAGGTCATGCTGATGCAAAAGGTGGGTTCCCATGGTCTTGGGCAGCTCCACCTTTGTGGCTTTGCAGGATACAGCCTGCTTCCTGGCTACTTTCACAGGCTGGCATTGAGTGTCTGTGGCTTTTCCAGGTGCACGGTGGAAGCTGTCAGTGAATCTACCATTCAGGGGTCTGGAGGACGTTGGCCCTCTTCTCATAGCTTCACTAGGTGGTACCCTAGTCTGGACTGTGTGTGGGGGCTGCAACCCCACATTTCCCTTCTGCACTGCCCTAGCAGAGGTTCTCCATGAGGGCCCTGCCCCTGCAGCAAACTTCTGCCTGAGCATCCAGGCATTTCCATACGTCCTCTGAAATCTAGGCTGAGGTTCCCAAACCCCAATTCTTGACTTCTGTGCACTGGAAAGCTCAACACCACATGGAAGCTGCCAAGGCTTAAGGCTTTCACCCTCTGAAGCCATAGCCCAAGCTCTATGTTGGCCCTTTTTAGCAATGGCTGGAGCAGCAGAGACACAGAGCACCAAGTCCCTAGGGTGCACACAGCATGGGGACCCCGGGCCCAGCCCAGGAAACCATTCTTTCCACCTAGGCCACTGGGCCTGTGTGGGAGAGGCTGCCACGAAGACCTCTGTCGTGCCTGGAGACATTTTCCCCATTGTCTTGGGGATTAATATTTGCCTCCTTATTACTTATGTAAATTTCTGTAGCCAACTTGAATTTCTTCTCAGAAAATGGGATTTTCTTTTCTATCGCATTGTCAGGATACAAATTTTCCAAACTTTTATGCTCTCCTTCCCTTATAAAACTGAATGACTTTGACAGCACCCCAGTTGCCTCTTGAATGTTTTACTGCTTAGAAATTTTTTCCGACAGATACTCTAAATCATCTCTCTCAAGTTCAAAGTTCCACAGATCTCTAGGTCAAGGGCAAAATGCCACCACTCTCTTTGCTAAAACATAAGAAGAGTCACCTTTGCTCCAGTTCCCAACAAGTTCCTCATCTCCATCTGAGACCATCTCAGCTTGGATTTCATTGTCCATATCATTAGCAACATTTTGGGCAAAGCCATTCAACAAGTCTCCAGGGTGTTCCAAACTTTCCCACATTTTTCTATCTTCTTCTGAGCCCTCCAAACTGTTCCAACCTCTGCCTGTTACCCAGTTCCAAAGTCGCTTCCACATTTTGGGGTATCTTTTCAGCAGTGCCCCACTCTACTGGTACCAATTTACAGCATTAGTCAGTTTTCATGCTGCTGATAAAGACATACCTGAGACTGGACAATTTAAAAAAGAAGAGGTTTTATGGAGTTACAGTTCCAAGTGGCTGGGGAGGCCTCACAATCATGGCAGAAGGCAAGGAGGAGCAGTCACGTCTTACATGGATGGCAATAGGCAAAAGAGAGAGCTTGTTCAGGGAAACTCCACCTTATAATACCGTCAGATCTTGTGAGATTTATCTGCTATCATGAGAACAGCATGGGAAGACCTGCTCCCATGATTCAGTTATCTCCCAAAGGGTTCCTCCCACAACATGTGGGAATTCAGGATGAGATTTGGGTGGGGACACAGCCAAACCATATTAATAATGTTTTCAAAGTCCATTCATATTACAGCATGTATTAGTGCTAAATTTCTTTTTATGAATTTTATTCCATTATATGGATGTATCATATTTTATTTATCCATTCAGCAGTTGATGGAAGTTTGTTTCTACTTTTTGGTTATTATGAAGAATGCTGGAATGAAAATCCATGTACAAGTTTTTGTTGTATATATGTTTTCAATTATCTTAGGTATATTGCTAGGAATGGAACTGTTGGGTCATATGGTAACTCTGTGTTTAACTTTTTGAAGATTTGCCAAACTTTTCCAAAAGCAGGTGCAACATTTACAATCCTGGTTGCAATGTATTGAAGTTGAAATTTCTCCACATCCTCCTCAACCCTTGGTATTGTTTGTCCCTTGATTATGGCCTTCCTAGTGGGTGTGAAATGGCATCTGATTGTGGTTTTTAATTTGCTTAATGACTAATGATGTGGAACATATTTTCATGTACATGTTGGCTATTTGTATATCTTTGTAAAAATGTCTATTCAAATTCCTTGTCCATTTTTGAATTGGCTATTTGTCTTTTTATTAATGCATTGTAAGATTTCTTTATATATATACTATACATATAAAGTATATATAAGCTATATGTATACATGTATATTTTATATGTGTGTATATATATATCATATATATTTTTAAAAATCGTGATTATAAAAATCCCCACTCCAGGTACCCAGAGGTACAAATATATACAAGATATAATTGGCACCAAGTGGAAGAATAGGCTAAGAATGAATCTACCTAAAGTCAATTAGTCAAGATAGATTGCCAATGCTGTACTCTAACAGGTCAAAAGGATCTCCCAAGCTGAATCCTTGTCAAAATTTACTAGTTGCACCCATAGAATGCCAGAACATATTTCAAATCATATGTCTGATAAGCCTAACATCCAAATACTGTCCTGCACCAAATAAGGACATTTCAGTCATTGACTAACCACATATAAGACAATGGTCCCATAAGATCATAATACTGTATTTTTACTGTACCCTTTCTATGTTTAGATACACAAATACCATCGTGTCACAATTGCCTAAAGTATTCAGTGTAATAACATGCTATACAGGTTTGTAGACTCAGAGCAATAGGCTATACCATATAGCCTAAGTATGTTGCAGGCTATACAATCTAGGTTTCTGTAAGTACACTTTATGATGTTTGCAGGAGGACGAAATCGCCTAACAATGCGTTTCACAGAATTTTCTCCATCATTAAACAACACATGACTGCTTATATCCTATTATCGTTGGCTTTGTCCTGATCACAAGTATGAGGAAACTTTGGAGGACACCAAATTTAAATGTGAATGATGACATTAATAAATACCATTTTGGACAGGTAAGGTGGAGCAAAAAGGAGTTAAGGAAAGAAAATGGCAAGGAGAAGGGAGGAAAGAGCAGCAATAAAGACAAACCACATTTCCCTTATATGTTTACTTAGGATGCAGCTTTAACCTTTCTTTGACCATAAATTAGATCCACTATTCATGACTTTGTTTGCAAAATTACTTCCATGCCACACTTACGATGCATAGCATTGTGATTATATATAATGCTAGATGTGTCTTTTTTTACAGAGAGCTGAAAGATGTAATAATTTATTTTGTTCATGGAGAAAAGTCTTTTCTTATAGGTGCAGAGAAGGCCATTTCCCATCTAATTTTCTTATTTCAGATTAATAAAGGAGAGTATTTATATCCAAATATATATCTACAATTTAACCTAATAAGCATAGACATTGGAGTCTTTAAGATGATTTTGCCTGAGTGTCATACTTAAAAACAAAGCACAATGAAAATGGGGAAATTGGCCAGGTGAGGTGGCTCACACTTGTAATCCCAGCACTTTGGGAGGCCAAGGCGGGTGGATCACGAGGTCAAGAGTTCAAGACCAGCCTAGCCAAGAGGGTAAAACCCCGTCTCTACTAAAACTACAAAAATTAGCCAGGCGTGGTGGCAGGCATCTATAATCCCAGCTACTCGGGAGGCTGAGGCAAAAGAATCGCTTAAACCCAGGCAGCAGAAGTTGTAGTGAGCCGAAATCACGCCACTGTACTCTGGCCTGGGTAACAGAGTGAAATTCTGTGTCAAAAAAGAGAGAAAGAAAGAAAGAAAGAGAGAAAGAGAGAAAGAGAGAGAGAAAGGAAATGGGGAAATTGACATTTGTTGATTATTTCTTAGGTGCCTGGGGTCTGCCCATCCTGTAAAAGTGGCACTGACGCTACACAATCTAGTTTAATCTGTATCCCTGTATTATCAAATCAAATCATTCCTCAATCCACTAATAAGATAATCAAGCTGGTAGTTAGCTTTGTGCAAATAATATACCTTCTGCTTTACTAAATCATAGAGTTTTTAGATGAAATACATTCTGAGGAGATAGATGTGTTCATAATAGGTAGTCAAAAATAGGGTATGTTTTAAAAGGTAAAATGCTACTTTAAATACATAGGATTATTGAGAAAATTCAAAGAGATACTGTGTCCACTCAAAGCTTTTTTTAAAAAGAGAGATAATAATAAGACTATATTGATTTTATAAAATGGATGACTAAAGAGTAAAAATGAAGATTCTATAGTATTGACTCGACACAGCAGAGGAATCAAGATGGTCTCCCTGAACTCCTTTTATCTGATAATGTTCCATAGCACTTACCCCAAATCACCAAATTTTTAGCCAGTTTTTAAAAAACGAACTTTGACACTTGGCAAATTCATGAGGAAGACATGTATCCAGGTTTTATGGCCCAGCTCAACATTGGACTGTCTTGGGCCTAGCACTCTTTCGGCTCTTTAATTCTCTGAATAATGTCCGCCTATACAGCTGAGAGAAATTTGTCATCTTCTCAGTTGTTATAAGTCATCACTTTCATGCCCTACCTACAGCACATGTGAATTGTGGGGGCTTAAGGGAAAGTGCGCTTGTGCATGTCAAATTGCCTACAAGAATGGACATGGGGGTTGGAGGCAAGCCCTTTCCCACCTCTCCAAAGAGCAGCAGAGATGAGATTCCTATAGTTATTTATTGAACTTGGATTTTCAATCATTGCTGAGGTATAATCATGCCTTCTCTTGTTTTGTTTTTTTTCTTTTACAATTACAGTACTTCATTATTGCCACAGGGGGAACTGTTGGCTTAATTTTGCTTTGGAGACACTGCTGCTGAAATTATTAAGCTAATGATTTATGCCCTGTGTGATACAGCAATCTCTTGTGCTTAAAATGGTTACTATGTTTTGTTTACTGTTTATAACTACCAGTGGTTGTGCCACAAGAAACCTCTGCCAGCTTGCAGAGTTTATTTATCCCTGTGGATCTTTAGAAACCACTGATTAATATAGAAAAAATTTGAATGGTTTATATTAAAAAAATCCCATAAGCTATGAATTAAACCACTGTGCTCTGCTATATAGGAAGAAAAGTTAAGTGAGAATGAACAATGGATGTCAAAACCTACTGACTCTCATATTTGCTTCTGATTTTATCAAAGTGGAAAATATGAGTACTTTTCAGGAATACAGTGCTGTGACTCCATCAGTTTTGGGCAATGAGATCACCAGTATTTCCCCTTGGGTGCTGCACATTTTACCATATTAAGGAACCAATTTGCTTAGAGAAATGTTGCACATGTTTAAAGGCTGTTAAGTTTGATGGCTGGCAGAACTCTCCCATTTAGCCCTGAGGCTGGGCCTTCGTGAATGAAGGCTTTACAACTGGCCTGCATTTTTTGTTCTGAGGGCTTTTTGTAACCAAAAGCTTACACGGGGCAATCATAGGGCAGGGAGGGACATGGTTTGCAAGTGTTGATTTGTTTAAAATGGCAAAATGGTTCTTATACAATGTTTAAGTCTTGACACTGCTCTTTCACCAAGAGAAGCAAAGAAAATATCACTGTTGTTTTGGGCAGCTTTAGCCCAATTCCACACCTTCAGTCTTAAGCATCACTTGCTTACACTTCAAGTATACCTTCCTGCTGGTTTCTTAACCTCATCAGTTCTTTTGGCTTGGTTTTGACTTCAAACTAGTTCTCCACCTCTCTCTTTTGGACAGCTCCACATTTCTGTTCCTCCTCTGATCAGCCAGTTCTGATTATTCCCAGGGCACCTTTTCTCTATGGTCTCAAGTGATTCAGTCAAACAAAGAGTACCCTTCCCTGAGCAGACCTTGGCCATCACACACAACCAGCCATCCCAAGTACAAGACAATGCTGACATTTTTGCAACAAAGCTGAATGTAACGCTAAAACTTTTCTCAGTCAGGGATCTGTAAATGTGATGAATGTAGACAACTCTGCCTAAAAGACAGAACTTGAGCAATTCAGTTTCTAAGCAGGAAAGTGAGGGACAGACCTTAATTATGGGAACAAAACTGTCCTTATGTTTTAATTTCATAATTTGAGCATCTGTATATAGCTTTAGCCACAGATATTCCCTTTATATCAGACTTCCTGTACTAAAGTGCTGTCAGACATTTAAGAGGAAGATATGGGTAGATGGTTAAAACACCAAAGAATAATAACATCTGTTTTATTTCTCCTCAGAACCCATTAATTTTCTTCACAAAGATGCACACTTTGGACATAAAGAATATTTATGATATTACAGTGTGTGGGAGTATGGAAAACATATTAGCCAAGTGGCAACTTTAATTAAGTATACCTGCCTAATTTCATAGGGGTTTTCATTCAGTATGTGTTTTCATCTAGAGCCTTAGAACACTTCCCTCTTGTGTTAGAAAAATGAAATTAAAGAAACAGAAACTCTGATGTAATTTAATTTAAATTACATCAGAATTACACTAAATGTTTTTTGATGAATTCTGTTTAAATTTTAACACAAATTTAGAAACTAAAACCTATACAGCTTAAGTGTCTTGCAGATTATTTTTAAAAACTCAAAAAATGTAATTTAATTACAGATCTTTAAGTCACAAAATCTAAAACCAGTGTGGTATATGATTTGAAATTTCATACTAACCACAAAACAGATTAAAATATAATGCTTAATAAACATGGCAGGCAAAATATCTATGATATGTAAAATTTTATAATATGAAAAATTCTAAGCTATAGTAGATAGATACGGAGATTAGACTTCTTAGTGTTAACCAACTGAATAATTTTCAAGTATTTCCAGTGAAAAATATTGAAAAAAACTGGAAAACCAAACGCTTTTTCAGGGAAACCGGAGACCAAGAGTTAAATATATCAACAAAAACAATTGATATTATATTTTTAAACATTATGTGTGATGGTACATTTTCTGTCCACAAAATTGTAATATTGGGAATCATTTTGTGAAATTACCCTATACATAACCATATTAGGAATCTATTTGTACCCTAGCAGCCCCTCTTGTTTTTTGAAGGCTACATTCTGAGGGTTGAAGGGAGATTGTGCAGTCAAAAGTTATCAGAAACACCTCAAGATTTTAACTCAACTCCAGAACACACATAAGACTTCCTTTACAAGAAGAGTATTAAAAGTACTGCACTTACTTGGTTATTTTGGGGGATTTTAAAGTAAATAGTACATGACAGAGTAGTGATCCTACTCTAATTTGTTCATGTAACTAGCTTTTATTGAAGTATAATATGTATACAAAGAATGTACCAACCTTAAAGGAGTAACATTTGGTTAATTTTGACAAATTAAGTTGTGTAACCACCACCACAATCATGACATAAAACGTTTCCATCAATCCAAATTTTCCTTCATGACCCTTGCAGTCAATCTTTACACCCTCAATCCTTTTTCAGCAAACACTGATCTCCTCCTTTGACTCTAGTTCTGTCAGAATTTCATATAAATGGAGGTGTATAGGTCATGTAATATTTCACTAGGCAGTCTTGGTACTGGGTTCCTTTCATTTATCATAATGCTTTTGAGATTCATGTATCGAAAGTTTATCTTCTTTTAAACTTCTTTTTTTAAATTCTTGAGCCTATTATATGATTATAAAAAAATGAGTTTATCCATTCACCATATGATGGACATTTTGTTTGTTTCTAGTTGGACCTATATTAAGAATAAAGCTCTATGAAAATTCCAAGCACACATTTTTCGTGGCTATATGTTTTCCTTTAAAAAAAAGTAATACCTAGAAGTAGGATTGCTAGAACATATAACACCTTTCTAAAAAACTGCCATATTGCTTTCTAAAGTGGATGCAATATTCTGCAATATACTAGCAATATATGCAATATATGCAATCTCCAGTCACTTCGTATCCTTTTCAGCCCTGGGGATTATCAGCTTTTAAAACTGTAGCCATTTTAGTGGTCATGTAGAGATATGTCATTGTTCTTTTAACTTTAATTTTTCTAAACATTACTGATATTAAGTATTTTTTTGTGTGCTTATTTGCTATTTGTTTGTCTTCTTTGGTAATATGTCCATATATTTCTCCCTTTTTAAATTGCAAATTTTTTATTGCAGAGTTGTGAGAGTTCTTTATATATTTAATATATACCTCCTTTATCATATTATGTCATGAACATACTACCTCTTAGTATGTAACTTACACTTTCATTTTTAAAACAGTATTCCCTAAACAACAATTTATAAACATTTTGATGAAGTTCAATTTATCATTGTACGATTTGTGCTTTTCATTCCTATCTGAGAAATCTTTTCTACTCCCAGCTCAGAGGAATTTTCTGTTTTATTCTGAAAGTTTAAAAATTTTAGCTGTTCTATTTAGATCTAGCATGCATTTGAAATTAATTTTATATATAGTATTAGGTAAGGGAGGTTTATTTATTTTCTTGCATACGAATATCCTCAATTGTCCTGAAACATTCATTGAAAAGACTATCTTTTCCCTTTTGAATTGCCTTGACACCTTAGTTGAAATTAATTGCCATATTTGTATGTGTCTATATCTCTTTTCTGTATTCTGGCCCATTGATCTGTATATCTTTGTTCATACCGATAACCAGTATCTTGATAGCTATAGCTTTAAAGTCTGAAATAAGATAGCGTAACTCCTCCAGATTTGTTCTCCTTTTTCAAAATTGTTTCAATTATTCTAAGTCTTTTGCATTTCCACATAAAATTAACATCAGCTTGTCACTTTCAACAAATAAGCTTGTTAGAATTTTGTGATTGCCAATTTTAATGAATAAGTTCATTGACCAATTTGAGGAGATGAATTTGAGGAGAGAATTTGGAGAGACATCTCAACAATATCATGTTTTCCAATCAACAAATATGGCATATACCACGCTTTATTAAGTCTTCTTTAAATTGCCTTAGTATTTATTTATAGTTTTAAGTGTAGAAGAATTGCATGTATTTGGTCAAGTTTATCCATAATTCATACTTTATGCTATTGTTAATACCCCAATTTAATTTTTAAGATACAAGTGTTAGCTCACTTATTAGTTCTAGTAGGTTTTTGTTAGACTTAAAATTTTCACCATAAACAGCCATGGCATCTATTCATAAAGAGATTTATTTTTCCCTTTCCAATTTGTATGTCTTTCCTTTCTTTTCCTTGCCTTTTGCTCTGGCTGCAACTATCAGGATAATGTCAAAAAGAGCTGGTGAGAACAGTTATTCTTGCCTTGCTCATGATCACTCAGTGTTCCACCCCCAAATATGATGTTAGTCGTTGTTTTTTTCTAGATTTTTTTTTTCAGAATATCTAAGTTGCCTTCAATTTTTGGTTTGCTGAGAATTTTTATATTATGAATAGGTGTTGATTTTTGAGGGGAAGCTTTCAGTGTTTCACCATTAACTATTGTGTTACTTGTATAAACACACACACACACACACCCCAAAAACCAAAAACCAAAAAATATATATAAAATTTGTTTAAATTGAGGAAATTTCCTTCTTCTTTTAGTTTGCTGAGAGTTTTTAACATAAATGGGTAATAAAATTTGTCAGATACTTTTCCTGCATCTATTATGGTTGATAAAAGAAAAACTTCAGCCAAATTAAATTTAAAAGAGTTTAATTGAGCAATGAATGATTCACGAATCGGCAGCCTCCTGAGTCAGAGTAGGCTCAGAGACGCTAGTGCAACCATGTGGCAGAAGAAGATTTTATGGAAAGAAAAAGGAAAGTGAGGTACAGAAACAGCTGGATTGGTTATAACTCAGAGTTTACCTTATTTGAAAATGGTTCAAAGAGTTGGCTACATTTGATTGGCCAAAACTCAGTCACTGGCACAACGGTAGGCTAGGGTCTGTTTACACCTCCACTTGTTATAATTCAAGATGTACAGTTAAGTCTTTAGGCCGAACTTAAAATATGTAAGGAGGCAGCTTTAAGTCAAACTTGATTTAACAGGGCTTTTCTCCTTTATTGTAATAAACAATGAGATACATGGATTGATTTTCAAATGTAAAATCAACCTTGCATTCTTGAGATAAAGCCGGTTGGTAAAGATGTGTTATCTTTTTAAATATTTTCCTTAATTTAATTTTCTGAAAGTAACAATTGTTGTGTCTGTGTTAACATGGGATACTGGTCAGCAATTTATTATTTTTTTGTAATATCTTTGACATTTTTGACATCAGGGTACTGCTTGCCTCATAAAAGGAGTTGGGAAGGTTTTCCTTCTCATCTATTTTCTGGAAGTTTGAGGAGAACTCCTAGTATCAATTTTCTACTTAAATATATTTCTTTAAATTCCCCAATGAAATCAACTGGACCTGAAATTTTCCTTGTGGGAAGATTTTTATCCATAAATTTAATTAGTTACTAGTATAGGACTATATTACTAACATTCCCTTATTATCCTTTTAATTCCTGTAGAATCAGTATTAATGTTCCCTCTTTCATTCCTGATATCTTTTTTGGTATGTTCAGACTGACTAGTTGTTTATCAGTTTTATTGACCCTCTCAAAGTAGCGTCTTTTGGTTTTATCCGATTTTCCCTTGTTTTTCTGTTTCCATTTTCAATTATTCCCATACTTATTTTTATTTTTTTCTATTTTATTGCATATTTTGGTTAAATTTCCTCCTTTTTTTCCTAAGGTGGAAAAATATATCACAGATTTTTTTTTGAGAACTTAAGGATGACATATTACAGATTTGAGACCTTGTTTATCTTCCTGATACAAGCATTTTATGCTATAAATTTCACTCTAAATCCTACTTTCTTGCTTCAGTCTATAAATTTTGATATGTTATTATGCTAGTTATTAATTGATTCTCATCTCACATCCATCTATTTTTGTCCTGATTTGGGAAACTAAAAACGAACCCTGTAAAAATTTCCCTTTAGACAGCTGCTTAATGTTAGCCTTAGTGGTTGCTGGGGGATCACTGCAAGACAAAGCAAAGGAAGAGGCTTCTTTCTGGTGTGATTTTTCTTTTTCTCCCATAGTAACCAGTGATGTGCAGGCGGCTCAACAGTACTCAGTCAGTGAGTTTCTCCAGCAGTTCAGAGGGCTGCTTCTGGTGGAAGAGCTCTAGGAAGACAGTGCTACATGAGGACCTCTTTGTTTTTTTTTTGAGACAGAGTCTGGCTCTGTTGCCCAGGCTGGAGTTCAATGGTTTGATCTCGGCTCACTGCAACCTCCACCTCGTGGGTTCAAGCGATTATCCTATCTCAGCCTCCCAGTAGATGGGATTACAGCCTCCAAGTAGCTGGGATTACAGGCACCCGCCACGAGGGCCTGTTTCTGCATAGTGGCCGTGGCCCTCCATTATTTCAGCAATGGATTGTTTCTTTGGACCACCTTTGACCAGCCTGTCACTTCATGGACACTCTGCAGGGAGTTTCCATAGAACAGCTCCAGCCTACCCGACCCTCTACTGAATTTTCCAGATACCCAGTGGATTCCTCTTATGAATGAGCTCTAGCTGCAACCTCTGGCAAGTTTGTTTGCCATAGGTAGATTGTAGTTGCTTGTAGTAGTCATACTCTCTCTAATAAAGTCTGTAACTTAGACAAGCAAGGGGAGGGGAATATCTTCCAACTTCTAAACTCCTTTCATCTGTATTCTTACTCACCAGAAATAATGGATGGTTTCTGCATTTATTACTCCTATATTCCACTAGTTACCTATATTATTAACCCTTTACTAGTTAATAGTTCTTCACCCTAAAATGTTCGTGTTGAACATATTGCTGTGGTTTCTATCTACTGATTGGAACTTGACTAACTTGTGTTTCTATTTACCTTTAGTTCAAAATATTTTCTAATTTCCCTTATGAGTCCTTTTTTGACCCAGAGGTCATTAAGAAGTATGTTGGGCTGGGCGTGGTGGCTCACACCTGCAGTCCCAGCAATTTGGGAGGCCGAGGTGGGTGGATCACCTGAGGTCAGGAGTTTGAGACCAGCCTGACTAACAGGGAGAAACTCCATCTGTACTAAAAAATACAAAATTAGCTGGGTGTGGTGGCACATACCTGTAATCCCAGCTACTCAGGAACCAGAGGCAGGGGAATCGCTTGAACCCGGGAGGCGGAGGTTGCAGTGAGCCGAGATCGCACCATTGCACTCTAGCCTGGGCAACAAGAGTGAAACTCGTCTCAAAAAAAAAAATGTTGCAAAAAAAAAAAGATGTTGCCTTATTTCCATATATTTTAGTATTTTCAGGATGAATTCACATTATTTAATTTTAGTTTAATTTTGTTGTGGCCAAAGGTGATACTTTATATGATTTATATTTTTTCTTTATTGTGGTAAAAAAAACACATAATATGACACCTACTCATTGTTGTACAACACATCTCTAGAGCTTTTTCATCTTGCGTGACTGAAACTCTAGATTCATTGCATAGCAAATCTCCATTTCCCCCTACCCTGAGTCACTGGCAGCTAACATTAAACTTTCCATTTCTATGAGTTTTTACTACTTTTGATACCTCATATAAGTAGAATCATGTGGTATTTGTCCTTCTATAACTAGCTAATTTCACTTAACATAACATCCTCAAAGTTCACCCATGTTATGGCATAGGATAATTTTTTTTTCTTTTTAAAGGCTGAAAAGTATCCCATTGCATGATTATGCCACATTTTCTTTATCCATTCATCCATCAAAGGATTTTAGTTGTTTTTACATCTAGGCTATTGTGACTAATGCCAAAATGAACATGAAAGTGAAAGTGCACATATTATTTCAAGACCCTGTTTTGAATTATTTAAATAAATACCTGGAAGTGGGATTGCTGGATCATATGATACTTCTACTTTCAATGATGAGAAACCTCCATATTGTTTTTCATAAAGATTATAGAAGTTACATTTGTACCAATGGTGCACAAGGGTTCCCTTTTCTCCACACCCTTGCCTAAACTTGTTATTTCTTGTTGCTCTCTGTTTCATTTTTGTTGTTTCTTTGATAATGGTCATCTTGAGAATTATGAGGTAATATCTCATTATGGTTTTAATTTGCATTTTCCTGAATATTAGTGATATTGAGAGTCTTTTCATGTACATATTGACTACTTGTATGTCTTCCTTGGAGAAAGGTCTATTTAAGTTCTTTGTTTATTTTAAAAATCAAATATTTCATTTTTTTTCTTATTATTTAGTTGTAGGAGTTCCTCACATGACTGGATATTAACCCCTTATCAGATATGTGGTCTACAGATATTTTCTCCCATTCTATATGTTCCCTTTTCACTCTGTGATTGTTTCCTTTGCTTTACACAAGCTTTTTAGTTTGATTTAATCCGGCTTGTGTGTTTTTGCTTTTGTTGCCTCTGCTTTTAGTGTTATATCCAGGAAATCATTGCTAAGATCAATGTTATGAAGCTTTCCTTCTATGTTGTTTTCTCTGAGTTTTATAGTTTTAGGTATTACACTTAAGGATTTAATACATTTTGAGTTGATTTTTGTGTAATGTGAAAGATGAGTCCAGTTTCATTTGTTTGCATGTGGGCATCCAGGTTTCCTAAATTCATTTGTAAAACAGACTATCATTTTCCCATCTGTGGTCTTGGTGCCCTTATCAAAGATCATTTGACCCACTATGTAAAGGTTTATTTCTGTACTCTCTATTTTCCTCTGTTGTCTATAGACTTGTCTTTATGCCAGTACCATCCTATTATGATTACTCTACCTCTGTAATATGTTTTGAAGTCAGAAAGTGTGAGGTGTTTTTAGCTATCTGGGTTTTCTTTTTTTGTGGTTTCATATAAATTTTATAATTTTTTTTCCTATTTCTGCAAAAAGTACTATTGGGATTTTTATGGTAGTTGCATTGAGTCTGTAGATCACTTTGGCTACAATGGACAATTTAAAAACATTAAATTTTTTATTCCATGAACCTGGGATATCTTTTCACTTATCTGAATCTTCTTTAATTTTTTCATGAATAAATTGTGTTTTTCAGTGTACACATCTTTCATTTCCTTGATTAAGTTTTACCTAAGTATTGTATTCTTCTTAATAGTATTGTAAATGAGATTGTTTTCCTTATGTCCTTTTTGGATGTTTATTATTAATTAATAGAAATGCAACTGATTTTTGTATACTAAGTTTGTATTCTGCAACTTTGCTGAATGTGTTCATTAGCTCTAATAGGTTTGTTTTGGTGGACTTATTCATGGTTTATATATATAAGATCATGTCATGTGTTAATAAGGACAATTTTATTTCTTCTTTTACAATTTGCATGCATTTTATTTGTCTTTCTTGCCTAATTGCTCTGGCTATGACTTTCAGTACTAGAAATAGTACTGAATAGAAGTGGTGTGAGTGGGTATCCTTGACTTGTTCCTGATCTTAGCAGAAAAGCTTCCAGATATTTTTTAAAGCATTGATTATGATATTAGCTGTGAGTCTTTCACATATGGCTTTTTTATGTCGAGGTAATTTCTTTCTATTCCTAGTTTGATCAGTGTTTTTGTCTTAAAGAGGTACTAAATTTTTTTCAAGTGCTTTTTCTACATCTACTGATATGATCATCTGGTTGTTATCACTTGTTCTGATAATGTGAAGTTTCATATTGTTTGGTTTTCATATGGCAAACTATCCTTGCATTCCAAGGATAAATTCCACTCGGCCATGGTGTATATCCTCTTAATATGCCACTAAATTTGATATTAAACTTGGTTTGCTACTGTTTTGTTGATTATTTTTGCATCTATATTTATCAAGGATATTGGTCCATAGTTTCATTTTCTTGTAATATTTGTTGGCTTTCGAATCAGAATTCTAAATTGGCCTCATAAGTTTGGACTTCCCTCTTCTTCAATTTTTTGAAGAATTTGAAAAACACTGATGTTAATTCTTCTTTAAATGTTAAGTAGAATCCTCTAATGGTTCACTTGACTGTATTCTGTAAGTCCCTTAGGCTTTACTTACTTTTTTTTTTTTCTTTGCTCCTCTGACTGGTTAATTTCAAGTGACCTGTCTTCAAGGTTGCTGATTCTTTCTTCTGCATAACTGAGTCTCTGTCGAGCCCCTCTAGTAAATATTTCAATACAGTTATTGTATTTATCTACCCCAAATTTTGTTTCAATGTTTTCTCATGTTAATTTCTCATTTTTTTGATTCATTGCTTTCCTGAGATCATTGAACATTTTTATGGCAGTTATTTTGAATTATTTGTCATTTAATTTATATGTCTATTTCTTAGAGTCATTAACATATTTAAATTGAAACAAATTAGAGTGCCAATTCCAGAAACCCTTGAATCAATTCAGAAAAGTCATCTTTAAAATTGTGTTCCCCTAAAACCACTCTTAGTACCAAAATCTGTGTTAGTCATGGTTCTCCAGAATAACTGAACCAGTAGGATATATGTATATATTTTATATATATTTTATACATATATTTTATATATATATATAGTGTGTGTGTATATGCTTCATATATGTTCATATTATATATATGGAATTGGTTCATGGAATTATGGTGGCTGAGAAGTTGCAAGCTGGAGAAAGAGGGAAGCCTGCACTGTAATTTATTTCAAGTCTGAAGGCCTGATATCTAGGGTAGGGTGATAGGGGCAATGGTGTTAAGTTCCAGAACACTGATGTCTGAAGATAGATGTCCCAGCTCAATATCAAGATTAAGTTCTCATTCCCTGACCTTTTGTTCTATTTGAGTCCTCAGCAAATTGAATGATGCTCAGTCAATTGAGTAATTATCACATCTTTATTTACCTGTAAACAGTTAAAATATGGTAATTGGTCATTTTTAAAAAGAAATATCTTACTAAAATTTAGTTTGTCTGGCTAGATTGCTTTAAACAAAGTCAAAACTTAGACACACATACACACATAAAACAAACAAAAAACAAAAACAATTGCTTAGGTAAATGTTTCATAGTAAATATAGGATGCTTATCCCAGTGACTTCTGGCCTTTCTGGGTAGAATTGCTGAGTATGCACTGCATGTGTTTAAGGAGAATTGGAAGATCTAAATATTCTTCCATGATCTTTATTCCCTCTTTTTCCTTATCTTTTTCTCACTTCTCCACCTCCTTTTTCCTTCCTCTAATGTTTGGATTCTTTTCTAATTCTTCTCTGTGGCATAAATTGCTGTTCACTTAAAAACAAAAAATCAGATGCAAAAAAAATACTCTTAAAACACATGTCACTCACTCTTATTTGTACAAATCTGAATAAAGTATGTGCTTTTAAATGTTTAAATGGTAGTGACTAGAGAATATGCTGGTAGCAAATGAAGGTAAACTATAAATATATCTCTTGTTGATATTTTACTTTAATATTTTAGGTGAAAACAGTTATTATAAACACAAAATTATCCATACAATCACTTAATTCCTTTACATCATTTGCTAATATATCTCTTGTTGATATTTATTTTGCCTACCATCAGGCTTGCCAATCTAAGCTCAAAACTGGTGTAGTTTATCATTTAACATAGTAGTTGACACATAGTCCAAATCTAATAAACATCTATTGAGAGAATAAATATAACTTTTAACTCTAGAATTTTTCTTCCATTTCTAGCGTATTCAGCTACCCCATTCATTTTATCTCATGTCCTAAAGATTTTTGTTGGTTTGAGTCCCACCTTTGAAATATTCCTTGGGTTGGCATTGTGAAGCTTGTCAAGATAACATGGGCCTGTCAGGATTCCATGATCTCTATGTATTTTTACAATGTTTCTTCAACGAATACTATAGAACCTAGCCTTCTAACTGTCTCCTATCTCCTCCCTACTTTTCTTACACAACTCCACAGAAGGAAAAATGCATGCTGTGAAGATGAACATTTAGTTGATTGCTTTTTTACTCTCAACTTTGTGTCCTCAGGAGGATCTATTAAGGACCTGCTCTCATGTCAGTTGTAGATGGGGCTCATTTCCAAGAGTTAAATAGAGTTAGACTCATCCTCTAGCAATATATTCTCTGATGATTAATCAGAAATTTAGAATGAAAACTTACTTTCTTACAATTTTCCTCAGTTCTGTAATTATAAGCAAATCAAGAAAATGCTCTCCATGGCTAGCAGAGAACATAACCTAAGGTACCTTGTAAGAAGACCTCATGGCATTTTTTAAGAATCACAGACAACCCCGCCTCTACTAAAAATACAAAAAAATTAGCTGGGCGTGGTGGCATGTGCCTGTAGTCCCAGCTACTCTGGAGGCTGAGGCAGAAGAATCGCTTGAACCCGGGAGGCAGAGGTTGCAGTGAGCTGAGATCACACCACTGCACTCTAGCCTGGGTGACAGAGCAAGACTCTGTCTCAAAAAAAAAAAAAAAAAAAAAGAAAGAAAGAATCACAGACAATTTAGACTACCTAGCTTTCCTTATAAAAATATAATATTGCCATAGGGAGGCTGCTGAGCATAATTCATGCTCATCTGAATTGTCTTGTTAATATATTCTTTTCAAGGGATAAGTCAGAACAACCTGCCTGTAGGTTTGTACTTAGTGCCTATATTAGTCAGGGTTCTCAGGGAAACAGGACCAGTAGGATATTTATAATATTCCCTGGGTTGGCATTGTGAAGCCTTTCAAGATAACATGGGCCTGTCATGATTCCATGATATCTATGTATTTTTACAATGATGTATGAGTGCGTGTGTATACATATATACACATATATACACACATATTATATGTATATACACACATATATACACATGTGTATATATATTAGGGTGGTACAAAATTAATTGTGGCTTTTGCCATTGAAAATAATGGCAAAAACCACAATTACTTTTGCATCAATCTATATATACACATATATACACACACATATATATGTAATGTGTATATATGTATATATACACACATACTTATCATAAAAATATTTATTATAAGAAATTGCTTGAGAAAAAATTGTGAGACCTGAAGAAAAAAAATTGCTCACGTGATTGTGGCAGCTGGCAAGTCCAAAATGTGCGGGGTGGTCTGGCGGGCTGGAGACCCAGGAAAGCCAAAGCTGCAGTTCAAGTCTAAATGCTGTCAGCTGTAGAATTCTCTCTTGCTTGAGAGAGGCCAGTCCCTTTGTTCTCCTAAGACCTTCAACTGGTTGAAGGAGGCCCACTCATGTTATGGGGGGCAATCTGCTTTACTGAAAGTCCCCCAATTTAAATATTAATCTTATACAAAACCACCCTCACGGAAACACCCAGAATAATCTTTAACCAGATAACTAGGCATCCTGTGGCCCAGCCAACTTAACACATAAAGTTAACCATCACCATGCCCAGGAAAACTTCAGGATAATTTTCTTTGCCAGATACACATTCAGAAGACAAATCAAATGTGAAATGAATTACTTATTTTACAAAGAATGCTCTAGTATAGAATGTTCTTCTGGGGGATTTCAAGGATAAGAAAATCCTAAATGAAGAGAACTTATAAGAGAAGTATACCTCATGAGTAAATCACAGTAGTGAGAAAATCTCCAAAGAGCTATAATTATAGCTAGATGTTTCTGTGAGGGTGTTTTTGTATAAGAGATATATTAGCAAATGATGTTGTCAGAGATAAAATGAAAAGAAGCTGTCAGCAGGCAAACTAGATAATTTATACCAGCACCCCCAAAATTCCTTTATCCTAAGTTTTGTGATAGCTCATCATACAGATCTCTTCTGTCCAGGTAACAGCTGAACTTAGCTCTGCAATTCATTTTGCAAAGGTATTTTTAAAATATTTGAGACTGAATTACTTTAATATTTTAGGTGAAAATCGTTATTATAAACACAAAATTATGTACACAATCACACAACTCCTTCACATCATTTGCTAATATATCTCTTGTTGTTATTATACCAAAGCATTTTTAACTTTAAACAAAGTAGCAATTCCTTTTACACACTTTTTTTTAAAGTAGATCTTTGTTATTCAGGTAGAAAAGGACTGTGAAAATTCTCTAGTGGCATGTTTTGCTACTTCTGTTGAACAGTATAAAGACAGCACAGAGCAGTGTTTTTATTTTTCAAAATACATTACTCTTTTAAAGTATTAATATGTTTTGTCCTTTGTTTTTTATTTCTGTCTATAAAATCCAAATTTTACATAAATAATGGTACCTTGGGCTTTTCACTAAAATATCAGGGCCAGGACTCTTAGCTTCCTGGAGTCCTATTATAGTACATAAATAACTTTGCAAATATGGCTCTTAAAACTTTTAATTGAATAGTGTCATAAAAATACACCTGGCATACTTATTTTCAAAAAATTTAGTCTCGAACACTAAAGTCACCTTATCCATTGAGACTTTCAGTATCATTCCTTTTATATTTCTTTTTCCCCTAAAGGCGTTTCTGTGCTTTAGATTATAGGACCATTATAGTCCCTAAAGCAAATCTTTGGTATTTCAATGTCTGCTCCTAAAAGCTTCAAGACATACAAATCAACTTGTATGTCATTATTATGACTTTAGTCCTTGACTTCTCATTTTCTAGTCCAGTGTTTTGTTTTGATTTTAAATATGTGCTTGGGCATTTGTGTAGGACAATGAAGATCTTCGGTTCTTTTGATAATTTTGTATTTGGATTTTGTCACTACCTTTTAGATGTCTAAAGTATAAAACATCCTTAAAGAATTTTTCGAATAAAGTTAACAGTGTAGCCTAATCACTGTGCATTTATCTTTCCACTCAACTTAAAACCACTAGTGACTCAGGTAAACATGAAATAATAGGATAATATATTGTGTAATAATTATAAAAGGAAAAACAATACTGAGATAAATATTAAATATTGAGGCATTGCTCAAATGTAAGAGAGGGCCCCTGAAGTGTCCAAGTGCCACTTGGTGGCATCACCATTCCTACCTGCATCATAGTTGTTATTTCAAAGGTTCGTTTTGTATTCTGCATCCTCTAAAGAGAAGAATCAGCAGAAATTTACTCATTGTGTTTATATTTAAATGTTTAGCTCCAGCAAACAGTCCAGAGTGTTAAGACCATATAGTGAATATACCCTTCAGATAACAATAAATAATGCCAAATTGGACGTAAAATACAAGTCCTATGGCTAAGAAACAACCATGGTGCCAGGCTGGAAAATTAAGACAAAAGAGGAATGAAATATTTTTTAATTGAGAGAGCAGACCTCACTGCCATGTTAAGGAATTGGAATAACATGATTTTATGCCCATTACCAAGGAGCTATGCATCATTTTGGTCACTGCAGTAATGAGGATTATGCTAGGCAATATTACAATAACAAACTACACATTCTCAGTGGCTTAACACAAGACAGACTTTATTTCGCATTTATGAAAATTCTGATGCCGGGTGGAGGGCTCTCCTTCATGTGGTCACTTCACCACTCGCTGCACATCGCCTTCAGGGCTGTGGTGGCTGAGGAAGAGAGAGCTGAAGGCTTTATAGGTGGGCCTACAAGTGTCATTCATCACTTTCTCCTGTGCAGTGACCAGATCACAGCTACATGGTTTCAATCTAACTGGAAGGGAGGCTGGGAAATATAGGGAATACATTTGATCTATTGCATGAAATATCTCCGGCATACAGACTACAATTAGATAATAAGACAATGTTGTGCTTTATTAATGTGTGTACAGGGGAAGCAGATTCAACCAAACTTTATTTATTCATGTGTGTTCTTCCACCACTTATATGGCAGAAGGTAATCATGACAATAGCCATGACTTACTAAATTCCCAACACCGTTCTAAGGACTTTACTTGTGTTATCTCATTTAATCCTTGTTTATTACCTTCTGGTAGGCATTAGGATTATTATCTCTATTGTACAGGTGGGGAAATTGTGCCAGGAGATGTTACATGACTTGTCCAATGTCACATGGTGGAGTAAGTGGGAGAGCCAATTTTGAATTCAGGAAGTCTGGCTCCCGAGCTAGGTGTTTTGCTTTTTGTGTTTTAAGGTGAAGAGTAATAGAGAGCCACCAAAAAGCAAATCAGCCCAGGTCAGTGGCTTTATTCTCACTAAAAACCTCCCATTTCTGCAACTAACAACATCTTATAAAAACAGCAGTACATCAGTGGACAAGTTAGTGTAGATGGTAAATAGGGAATGAAGAACACATTACAGCTGTCTCCACCATTAACTATCATCTCTCTAAATAAGAACGTGCAGTCAACTGGGAACTCAGAAACAACTTTTTGTACACATTTTACCTGTATGCCTTGCACCTTAAGTTATTTCTAATGTCATTAGAGAATAAAAATGTACCATCAGAAACTGCATCGTGACACTCTCAAAGTTACTGTTGAATAGAACAAAAGGAAAATAAAGGTAAAAACCTCTCCCCTTGGTCTTCTGTATTTCACTCTTTATTCATTGATCTTTTTATTCCTTCCTTTCCCTCCCCTTCTTTTCACTCCCCTCTTCTCCCCTCCCGTTTTCCCCTCCCCTTTCTCCCCTTCCCTTCTCTCTCCTCTCCTTTCCTCCCCTCTTCTTTCTTCCTTTCTCCTGTCTTTCTTTTCTTTCCTTCCTCCCTCCATCTCCCCCTCCCGCTCTCTCTTCTTCCTTCCTTCTTTCTTCCCTCCCTTCCTTCTTCCCTCCCTCTCTCCTTCCCTCCCTCCCTTCTTTCCTTCCTTCCTTTCTTCCTTCCTTCCTCCTTCTCTCCCTTCTTTCCTCCCTCCCTCCCTCCTTCCTTTCCTTTCTTCCTTTCTCTGAACTCTTCATTTTTGCTAACACTCTGTTTCCTATGTGCTTGCCAAATTTTAGTCTATTTTAATAGTCTAGTGTTGGTTGCACGTAGTTTCTGACTTTTAAATCAAATCTTTAATGAATTTTGTTAAACCCGTAAATCTCACATAATGAGTTTTTGTAATTGTGTTTATGTGTTCAGAAGGAATAACAAGTGTAATTAAGGTTACTATTATCTGTGGAGAATTAAACCCTTCTTTTAAAAGCAATGGAGTTCCTTCATCATATTAATAAAAAAGACTTAAATACTTTCTAAAATAATATATTTTCTCACAGCACATCATAAGCAGGTCTGTTAACTAAGATAATTGTAAATATAGCTTTTCCATGAAAATAACAATTTCTTTAACCCAGGACCATATCGGTCTATGCTGTGATTTGAGCCATGTTTCACTTGCATTTCTTTGTCCAAACTGTAATGTTTACATTTATTCTTTAGTATCTTACTACATCATGTTTAAATGTAAACAATTGAGATTTGTTTCTCTCTGTTGGAATTTCTGAATAACAGTTCTGCATATTACAACGTTAAAGATGTGTCATGGCAGCTGCAAATAACTTTTAAAAAGAAACTTTGTGCAGCAAACTATCACATTTCATCTGCACTCTGGCAAATGGTGCTTTCTTTTTGGCCCCAATTCAGCCTTCATTTTGCAAAACCAACTTCCTGCGGCATGAGAATATACATTTTCTTGGGCCAAATATTCCAAAGTGGACACCAATTTGGTACTCCCAGTGTTTTTCAGCTCTCCAGCTTTCGGACATATGAGCATTGAAAAATGCCAGATTTCTATATTCGTGCCAAACATTTAGGCTTTGGAGGCTGAAAAGTCAAGCATCTCTATTTTAGTATAAAATGCCAGAAGCAAGCTGTCCTTATGAAACAATTACTTCCAGTCAATGGATCAGCAAACAGCACCACGTTTTCAGGCAAACTTTATGTTGTCTGCTCAGCACCCCCAAAATAGTCAGTTACTTCTAGCTCTGGAAGGGAATTTGGATCACATGATGAGAGATGAAGAGGTTGATGGATGTCAACAGTGTGGAAATTTGATAAAATGGAAGTTAGGCTTTCTACTTTTTCATTTTTGTTCTATTTTTCTTTTTCAGCTAGCATGTAATTTTCTTTCTCTACTTCTCTACATTTGGAGGATGGAAATGTAGATGTTCTTCCATTGTGCCAGCCTCCTCATTCTTCTTTCTCCAATGCCGCATCTTCCTGCAAACTTCCTGCCACAACTCAAACAACAGGAAAATAAATGATCTGAAATCCTCCTGAACTGCAGCCTACCTATCGTGGTCTCTATGGGTGCAAACTTCCTTCCAGAAGCTTGTTCAGCTGGCTAAAACAGGACATTTGCCAATGCAGCCAAAAGTTGGGTCTTATACTGGCTACCTCCTATGCAGAGTGAAAAACTTTTCTTTCTCCCACAGCCACAGACATCGCTCCTCTTCCAGCTCAACATCTTTCAAAGGGATGGCTCTCAGTCCCGAAATGAAAAGAAAAGGTGGCTTGGTGCAAATCATTCTCTTTATCAGCAAAAGAAATACCAAAGCCTGTGTCCTTCTGACATAGTGAGCTGTCGAGGTAGTCCAGGGAAAAGATGACAGTGAATTGAGTTATGGGATGGCAATGGAGACTGAAAAGAATCTGTGTTTATTATATGTATATATATCATTAAGGTAGAACTAGTGGATTTTCTCTGGCACTGCACATGGGAAGCAAGTGAAGGAGAGTGATCTAGAATGACGCCACCATTTTTGCCTGAGAAATTCAGTACTCAGAGGTGTCTGTCATTCAGAGAGATGGAGGAAACAAGAAGAGGAGCAAGTTGGGGGAGAGGGTAAGCAGAATCAAAAACTGTGTTGATACATTAACTTTAGGATGCATAGTAGACATCAGAGTACAGATGGAGTTTAGGAGCAAAGTTATATAGAGAGATAAATTTGAGAACCTGTAATTCTTTTATTTGTGGCAGATAATTAGACAAATGATTTCTAAATATTCCCATGACTACTACAGAACATCAATAAATTCCTTAATAATACTAGAAGGAGAAATGTGGTTTAAATTTTCCCAGGGGTTTTCTAACCTTTCAGCAATTCTCTTTCTTTTCAGCAAATGTTTGGTAATTATGCTGGAATATTGGGGTGGGGGTGCTTTCTTTTTAAGGCCGCTATTTCTTTATGTATTTCTCTGGTCTTTAAGCTCTCAAGTAGAGTCATCTGATGTGATTTCTCAGCTAATATGGGCATTTTATAACTTGCCCAGAGCCTCATTGTTTTCAATTCTGTTTTTTTTCCCCCATTAGTTCTTTAACCATATTTGTGACTTTGTATTTTGAGACATTCTGGAACATTCTCCGGTAGAATAAAACTATAATACTATGGGAATAAAAAATACAATACTAAGAAAACAACCATAGGGCTGGGCGCAGTGGCTCACACCTGTAATCCCAACACTTTGGGAGGCCGAGGCAGGCGGATCACAAGATCAAGAGATTGAGACCATCCTGGCCAACAGAGTGAAACCCCATCTGTACTAAAAATACAAAAATTAGCTGGGCATGATGGCGCCCACCTGTAGTCCCAGCTACTCGGGAGGCTGAGGCAAGAGAATTGCTTGAACCTGCTCTTTTTTTGACATGACCACACCCTGCAGCAGCTCGCCCACTTACTCCACTATGTGACATTGGACAAGTCATTTAGCATCTCCTGGCACAATTTCCCCACTTGTACGGTAGAGGTAATAATCCTAATGCCTACCAGAAGGTAATAAATAAGGATTAAATTAGATAACACAGGTAAAGTGCTTAGAATGGTGTTTAGAATTTAGTAAGTCATGGCTATTGTTATGATTATCTTCTGCCCATATAAGTGGTTGGAGAACACACATGAATAAATAAAGTTTGGTTGAATCTGCTTCACAGTTAGAAGAGTGTTATTATAATCTCAAGATGCTTAGGGTGTAACAGTGGGAATATACACAAATATATAGGAACCAATATTCAGCATGTGATTAATCTTTCATCCACAGCATGAAACACAGAGCCTGGCACAAAGTATCTTCTCAATAATTAGTGTTAAATGGAAAAGCAAAGTAGATGTAGAGAGATAGGAAAATAAGAAACTTAAAAAGATTCCTAGTTTTCTGGCTTGAATCACTAAGTTGATGCTTCTGTCATAACACTTTGAGAGGCTGAGGCAGGAGGATCACTTGAGCCCAGGAGTTCAAGACCAGCCTGGGCAATATGGTGAAACCCCATCTTATACAGTTTGGCTCTGTGTCATCACCCAAATCTCATATCGAATTGCAATCCTCAATGTTGGAAGGAAGGGCCTGGTGGAAGGTGACTGGATCATGGGGGTAGATTTCTCCCTTGCTGGTCTCTTGATCATGAGTGAGTTCTTACAAGATCTGGTTGTTTAAAAGCATGTACCACTTCCTCCTTCACTCTCCCTCTCTCCTGCTCTGCCATGTGAAGATTGTGCCTGCTTCTCCTTCACCTTCTGCCATGATTGGAAGTTTCCTGAGGCCTCCCCAGCCATGCTTCTTGTACAGTCTGTGGAACCATGAGCCAATTAAATCTCTTTTCTTTATAAATTACCCAATCTTGGGTAGGTCTTTATAGCAGTGTGAGAATGAACTAGTACACCATCTCGACAATTTTTTTTAAATTAGTTGAACATGATGGCACCTGTGTTTGGTTCCAGCTACTCGGGAGGTTGAGGCAGCGAGATTGCTTGAGCCCAGGATGCTGAGGCTACAATGAGCTGTGATCATGCCATTGCACTCCAGCCTAAGTGACAGAGTGAGACCCTGTCTCCAAAAAAAAAAAGAGAGGTATAGAAGGAATTATGTATTTCAGTGAGAAGAAACCCATGAGATTTGAGGTTATATTTAGTTTGAAATGCTCATAAGACATTCACGTCTAGATGTTAGGCAGAAAGTTTGAGATATGGCACTCAAAATGGAGATATAAATTTGGGAGTGTGAAAAGAAACAATTACAATAATTGTTGTAACAATAATTACAACAGTTACTACACATTTGCCTTAAAGATCTTAATTGACTTTTATATGCAATTCTAGAATCATAAAACACCTCCTTATATAAAATAGAATGAGTGTTCCAATGAGCTGAACAGAGATTGGTTTATAGACAGAAAAGGGCTGAGGAAAGCAGAAACAGAGAACAAAAAGTGGATTGGTTGTTTCAAAGTTACTTTCCTTGTAAAGGTTAATGCAGAGGGGGCTTCCTTATCACACTGGCTAAAATGGCCTGTTTGCGGATTTGGCTATTTTCTCTCATTCTTTTGAGGTCAGATAAACAACTTAGTTTTGACTTGGAGGTGTGGAACTTTAGCATGAGTGCCTCCATTTTGGTTTGGTCTGTGGGGCCTAGGTGAAAGTGTGACCAAAGCTTAGGGCATTATTGCTACTCTCAGTTGTCAAAATTCTGAGTTTCCATACTCAACATGCCTATAGATTACAGTATCCTTATGATGATGCATTTCTTTGAATTTTTGTTGTTCTGGCTAAAGAGAGATCGTTTGACATTAGACATATGACTGCATGCAAACATTTAAAATATTTGAGAGAATACAGCACACCAGGGAGAATACTATTATGGCTCTCTGGATAATAATATTAGGAGTTTGGAGTTTGTCACTTAGCTAGGATCCCCATAAACTAAACCAACAAAAATCAAATAGGTGAAAGAATGAACCAGATGAGGAATCTACCCATTTTAGCCAAGCAGCCTGTCTCTTCTACTTATTCATGTGCAACAAGAAGTGTCAGCTACTGTGCAGATTCCTTCCTGTTCAGCCAGTAGGTAGCGATTCCATTATCTAGTATCCCATGACTTGGTTACGTTAAAGCAGGGAGTCAGAGCAAGTGGGTCCAGAGGTCTGACTCGATAAAAAGGGGCCACTGGTACAAGTCAAAGGATAATTGCATTGGAGATATTGCTACAGTTTACCCACTGAGTGGGCTAAAAAGTCACTTAGTTCATGTAAAGATCTGGGTTTGGCATGACAGATCTGACATTTTGTCAAATTGCCTGCATAAACTACTGATTCTGAAATTTTAACCACAGCATTATCCTGCCAAGTGAGAAAGATAGGCATAAGCAAGGGAACATTAAGAGAGGTAAGGGTTTCATTATTGATAGGAAGTCTTAGTTCAACATCTTGAGAAAAGCTGTCCACCGCATGAAGTCATCAACTTCTCATTCTGGTTTACAGTTTAAATGTCTCTGGTTAGGGCATCAGGCATTTTGATGAACTATCTGTGTATCCCATACATCAGGCATGAGACTAGTTCCTTGAAATTTACATTGAATTGTCCAGCTTCAGCTTACAGGGCTTCAGGAACAGAGCAGTTCTTGTTCTTGGTTGAAGAGTTGTAGCCAGACATTGGAGAAAATGAAAATAATTCAGAATCTAGTTCATTCTATAGGTAGATGTTAAAAACTTGCAAACAATTAACAGCTAGATTGTTTTAAAGGTGAACTATAATTTTTATTTAGAAAAATATTTTTTTCTCCATAGTCACCCCTATTTCTACCAAAGATAATCAGAATAAGACAAATTTGTTTACAAAATATATCTAGTTGACTAAACTTGGCCTGATTATTTACGTAAGTATGCCCAAAATAGCAATTGACCACATAGACTCTTTTTAAGTTTGCTTCATTGGAATGTTTGACAAAGAATCTCAGATTGGACTTTGAAAAACCTCTAGATGTTAGGAAGCCAAACCAAGGCCGACTTCAGACTTCACCTGTAGTGTCTGTAAATTCATCCTAGCCACGTTCACAAATGTGTCATTCTAGCCTGCGCTTTAATATAATCAATATTTCCAATTTTATTCTGTTAAAAAAAGAACATATTCTTATTGAACTTATGCAAATAACTATATTGCCATAAAAGTAAAATACTCAATGATTGTTTCCAAATCTTGGAAGGAAGGGTCAAAGGGAGAGGAAAAAGTAAATGTTTTATTCTGTTTAGAGAAGTATAATTTGCCAAATTATTCTAAGGTATAGACAGATAGCTTAAGAGAAAAAAATGTTAATTTAGATCTGGAAATTTTTTCATTTTCCAGCAAGAATGAGCAATGTTTCAAATTAACAACATAAAACCCCATAATTCTTCATTTTCTCATTTAATCTCATATAATTAATTTTTGTTCTGCTTGATCTTAGCAGTTTCCCAAACTTATCAGTTTCTTCACTAGAGTTCTAGAAATTCTTACCCAGTCCCATGGTATGATCTTAAAGTTATCAGAAGCCTGCACTTATAATTCCATTCTAACCTTTTCATTAATCTACTTGAAAATATAGTACTATAAATCTATAAAATCTATAGTACTATAAATCTATAAAATCTATAAATAAAGTATAGATTTACATATCATGTATTTAGGAATTTCATACAACTTTTGAGACAGTCAATCAATAATGTATCCATAAATATAACCTAAGGTTTAGCATCATGTATTATTTTACAATGCTTTCTATATCAAGTAAACCTAATTAGTCCAATATCTCTCTTTTACAAGGTGAGATATCCTTTAAGGTTTTTCAGGGGTACAATTGGAAAATTCAAAAGTTATTCAAGGTTGAAAAGGCCTAAGTTAGAATTTGATTTAGGGAGATTTGTCAAAAATATCAACAGCTTTAAAACACTTGATCTAAATAGGATTACAGGTTACTATGAAATAACAATCATTCATTTAGCCATAGTGACAATTTTAAAAGCTCCTAAAGGCAAATTTAAAAAGTTAGATAGTTGTCGAAAACCTTAGCTCTTTAGTAAAGAAGACTCAGTTTTCTTAAATAATCAAAGGCTCAATAAATTCAACATGAAGGATGAGGAATCATCTTGATAAAACACAGAATCTTTGTTTCCTAGGCCAATTATCTAAAAGGTAAAGAAAGACCTTCTGCTGTTTCCTATTAAGAACACATCAATACTCCAAGAAAACTTTATTGTTTTAACTCAGAGAATGAAATTCTAGTTTTGCATTAGCATTTGATACTAATGGTCAATTTTTAGAAAAACTTATATAAATGTCTTTGTGATTTTTGCCAGCTTGATCCCAAATAAAATACATTTTATAGGATTAATCTTCTATAAACCTACAGCATTCTGATTCATTCAATTTTTGTTCTTTACCTTTCCCGTTTTCAAATTTTGAAACAGCTAGTCACTCTACTTTAGGAAAAAAACTACTCTCTCCCTTAACAAGAACATTCTTATACTTTATAATATGCTGTATAAACATGCCTTACTTCCCTCACACACAGAGTTGTTTCCTTATTATCCCTAGGTTTACTTACCATATACTAACTAAAATTTTTAACACTTAGTGACCTTAAGGTCAGTGAAAACTAGCAAGTAAGCAAATTTCAACTCTTTTATATCAGGATTTTTTTAGAAGGGGAACCATTTCATAATTTTTACAAATATGTTTTCTTATAATACTATTTTTAAACGTTTATTAACAGAATTAAAAATACTTAGATTTTCTATATCATATAAAAACAAGATGCCAAAATTTATATTCAGGAATTAGTGTTTCAGTATTTTCCTTAGAAATGACCCAGAAATTTCATGTATGTTTTTTATTTTGCATGACATGACATTAACATTTCAAGTGACTGAAAAATATTTTTGAAATTATGACAAGTTCATCTATAAACTTTTACAGTAGTGTAATTGCCTGATGGGTTCATCTTGCCCACTGCCCAGAAAAGCCAATGTACTAAGAACAGCAGATTTTTGCAGCCAAGAATGAGTTTAATAATTGTGGTGCTGGCTAAGTGGAAGAACAAGAATGTATTATTATTCAAATCAGCCTCTCTGAGAACTTAGAGGCCTGGGTTTTTATGGATAATTTGGTGGGCAGGGGGCTAGGGAATGGGTGCTGCTAATTGGTTGGGGATGAAATTATAAGAATGTGGACAATGGTCTTCAGGTGCTGAGTCAGCCTCTGGGTGAGGGGTCACAGGACCCATTAAGTTATGGGTCAACTGTCCAGGTGGAGTCAGTTGTGTCTGGAAAACATCTCAGAAGACCAATCTTAGGTTTTACAATAGCAATGTTATCTATAGGAGCAAGTGGGGAAGTTACAAATCTGTGACCTCAGGCTTCATGACTCTTGAGCAGTAAAGGATTACAGGAAAGCAGGCTATGAAACAATGGCTGGTTATCATTTGACTACACACACCAACATTTTATCAGAATTCAGGCTCCTTGCATAATCCTAATCTTGTGGCCTTTCATTAGTCTTACAAAGGCAGTTTCAGTCCCCAGACAATGAGGAGATCAGTTTTAGGGAGGGATTATGACCATTCTTGTTTCAAAGATAAACTATAAGCTAAACTCCTCCCATGGTTACCTTGGCCTATGTCCAGGAATGAGAAAGGACAGCCAGCCTGTGAGGCCGAAAGCAAGATAGAGTCAGCTATGCTAGACCTCTCTCTCTCACTGTTATAATCTTTGTAAGGGTTATTTCAGTAGCCACTCCTTATCCACAAGAGATATGTTTTAAGACCCCCAGTAGATGCTTGAAACCGCAGATAGTACTGAACCCTATGTACACTATACATAAATTTCTTTTTTCTTTTTCACAATTTCATAAATAGGAGATTTGTTATTGTCATAGATCTTAGCAACCTCACACACATTTTTTTTCCTTTATTAAGTCAAAAACTTTTACCTTCTGATCTTTCAAACAGGTATGCTTCTCGTTGGCATACCTGAATTGCCAACATCACTACTCTTGCCCTTTGGGGCCACTATTAAGTAAAATTAGGGTTACTTGAACACTAGCACTGTGATATGAAAACAGTTAGTTGATTTGATCATTGAAATGGCTACAAAGTGACTCACCAGTAGGTAATGCATACAGCCTGTTTATGCTGAACTAAGGGGTGATTTACATCCTGGGTGGGCTGGAACAGAACAGCATGAGGTTTCATCATGCTACTCAAAATGGCAGGCCATTTAAAATTTATAATTTGTTTATTTTGGGAATCTTTTATTTAATATTTTCAGACTGCAGTTGACCTTGGGTAACTAAAACCACAGAAAGCAAAACCTTGGCTAAAGGAGGACTAATGTATCCCATAATGTCCACCTAATTTCCTCATTCTTAACAATTATACTTGAATTTCTTCTTAAACAAAACTAGCCGTTGAAGGAGCTCAGGGCACAGGACATGCCATCCCAAAATATACTGCTTTGATATATTATTTTGAGCTAAACGCACTTGGAAGATAGTACAATGCAAGATGAGTCTTTCTGAATTTCCCTTATCTGCCTAAAGACAGATTTTCCCAAAGGGCCTCCATTGTCATCAACCCTTTCCCCAGGGAGTTACAGCAACCAGAGAAGAATTTTATCACAGGACAGGAGACTTCATCACACTCACACAGAACTTGTTAAAAATTATGATCTATTCTTTGAAGGTCCCATTTATCCTAAGCAAAGAAAGGTGTAGGTAGAAAGCCTGGTTAAGGCAAAATGGTCAAAATTGAGGCTTGTTTAGATCCAGGTTCTCTCTTCAATGTAAAAATTTCCAGGAATTTTCCTTTATAGATGTAAATTTTTACAAAAACCTTCAGAACAGCCAGCCAAATGCCAAAAAGGTGTATTTTGGAGACTGACTTCGTTTCATGAGTGGTCTTTTCAATTTAGTTTATTTATTTACTAGATTAATGACTCCAGGGAGGAGCCCATTAACAAATAGGACAAAGAAAGCATTCTTTATGCCTGGACTCAGCATGGATAGCTCTGATAAAGAAGCAAACCCACTTGACCTGAGAGCCTAACCTTTATAAACACTTTAGCATTCTTTTGGCCTTCTTCTTCGATAGGATAGTAACTAAGCAAAAGATTAGCCAATTCCATTTTTGTTATCAGTCACTTAAGCTTTTCATTTGCTTTTGAAAAGCATTCTTTAAAAGACGCAATAAAATATTTGGAAATCTTTTCAGAAGCTTCGGCACATCAATAGGCGTGACCCTAGATGGACCTAATTTGGGAACCCTCATTTTTAGAGTCACTTCTTTAAGTGCAATGTTCTTCATCTGGAATATTCCACCTAATGGCCATGGTAATTTTAAATTATCTTTAGTAAAATTTCATCATTTTTGTAAGTATTTGCATTTTCTGGTTCCTAATACTTTTATATGTGAAGGCAGAAATAGCTGGAAAGTGTAGTACTCAGTTCTTTAGAAATTAAGGATTCTAATTTTTCACTGAATCTTGGATCTCTCAAAGCCAAGATAAAAGCCTGAGAGGAAAACCCCACTGGGTTGGGTTGTGTAATGCTTTCACAATGTAGTTTGTTTAAAGGGCATTTTCTTGAGCCTCACAGGCAGTAACCCATTCTGTGTCCAGTTTATCCTAAAACGGGAGATTTATTTTTTGGTGGTAAGCACTCTATAGCTATTAAGTGCCCAACTCATGTCTACCAGTCAAGTTGTGGTTTTGGCTCTGAGATCCCCTTGATCCACTTAGCCAGTAATTTTTCAGTTTCCATCTGACCCAGTCAGACACCTGAAGACTCCCTTACTTAAGTGTGCAATAAAAAGAAACAAACAGATAACACCTGTATTAGTCCGTTTTCACACTGCTATAAAGATACTACCTGAGACTGGGTAATTTAATTACAAAAGAGGTTATTTGACTCACACTTCCACATGGCTGGGGAAGCCTCAGGAAACTTACAATCGTAGCGTAAGGCGAAGGAGAGGCAAGCACCTTCTTACATGGCAGCAGGAGACAGAGCACGTGCTGCAGTGGGGGTGAGGAGTGCCACTTCTAAAACCATCATATCTAAGAGAATTCCCTCACTATCATCAGAACAGCATGAGGGAAACCACCCCCATGATCCAATCACCTCCCACCGGGTTCCTCTCTTGACACGCAGAGATTACAATTTGGGATAAGATTTGAGTGGGGACACAGAGCCAAACCATTTCAGTACCCAAATGCCTGCAAATTCCAAGAGCTGGTGTTTGTGCCTCCTGAAGTAAAAACCACTTACTGCAATTGCTGTCACTTACCTTTAAAACTGCAGTTCTTGCCAGTAATTCATTAGCTCCTGCAAACCCAAAGGTCAAGTACCCTCTCACAACACAAGCTAACGCTGGATTTGAAAGCCATAAGATCAAACAGCTCAATGAAAAAAGGACAGAATTTGACCTAAGAGAAACTTGCAATCCCCAGGCTCTGTGAAGACCGAGAACCTTAAAAGGGGTCAGCAGTGTCTCTCTTGTGTTCCTCAAGGGACATGTCACTGGGGTCCCTTCATGGTTGCCAGAACTATAAAAGATAAAATTACAACAAATTTAGTTTCAAGATCTTAATTGGCTTTTGTAATTCTAGAGTTAGAAACACCTTATTCTATAAAATAGAATGAGTGTTACAATGGGCTTAGTAGAGGAGATTGGTTTTGTAGAGAGAAATGGGTTGATGAAAGCAGAAACAGAGAACAAAAAGTGGATTGGTTGTTTCAAAGTTACTTTTCTTGCAGAGATTAAAAGCAGGGAGGGCTTTCTTATCATACCAGTTAAAACTGGTCGGTTTGGGGTTTTGGCTATTATCTCTCATGCTTCTGGTTTCTCAGAACGTCAGATGTGAAGTCAGTTTTGGCTTGGGGTGTGGAACTTTAGCATGAGTGCCTCCATTTTGGTTTGGTCTGTTGGGACTAAGTGCAGGAACTTAGTCCAAACCAGTGGCTTCCTATGCATTTTATTTAACAAGAGTTATGAGCATATTTGTTGACAACTTACTCCATAGCAATAGACAAGATGTAGAGAGAGAAGAAAAGTGAGCCAAATGGTATACAAAGCATACACCAGTCTCCAAGTCTTTTCAGATGCTTTCTCTTTGCCTGAGTGGCCTTCCTTCAGATAGCTCTTTTTTGTACCCTCACTTCCTTAAGTTTTAATTACCTGCCAATCTTACTAATACTATGCCCCTTCCCAGGACTTTCATCCCTCTGCTTTAGTTCTCCACATAGCACTTAGAGCTAATATATTGAATATTTAAATTATTTGTATTGCTTATCTGCTTACTCCCAATACGAGTTGTGTTTCATGAGAGCAGGATTTGGGGTTTTCTTCCTTTGTTTATTGCTTTGAATTCGGTGCATGTAACAGTGCCAGGCACACAAAATGTGCTCAATGTACATGTACTATGTGGATGAAAAGTCCGGAAAATACCAAATAATGCAGGATCATTCAGAGTAAACAAAGGTCAAAGCAAAAATTGATAAGATGTAACTGCAACTGGAGCATCAAGAGATGAAGTATTTCTAGATGGAGTATTGAGAAAAACCAATGCCACAGAGGATTAACAAAGAAAGAGCTTCAAGGAGAGAACAGCGACCAAAACTACTAGAACATAATAGAGATACTAAGCTTTCTTCAGATGAGAAGATAAGTTCAGATAAGAACTGAAATTTCAACTGGGTAAAAACAATATCGAATTTGAATTTGAATGGATAAAAGTCCCTAGGCATCATGCATTCAGACTTAATGCATGTAAAAATTTCTGTGGAAACCTGTTTCCCACAATGGAAGCAGGAAGTAAAGAAAACCTACAAGAGCATCTGTTCTCATGAGATTTTCAGGCTTGAATCACAAATTAAAGGAAGTTTGGATAGTTCGAGTAAAGTTCAGATGACAAAGTTCAGGTACTTATCTGAATTTTGATGGGAGTTACTAAAACCAAAATATACGATATACTACAGTTTATCTCCTAAAGATAAAAATTTATTTGAGAGCACTGACCATAATGGTAGTCACATCGAACGTGTAGTTACAAAGCTTTCATATATGCTCTACATACTATAGTTGAAATGGAGAAAACACATAGGATTTTTTCTATTGTTATAGTTATTAGAGGCAAAATTAAACAAATCACATTAATCTGTTTGCCTGATATTTAACAAGCCAACCTGTTTGTATACTTTTTAGTTTTAAAGTAACATTTCATTAGCTGTAATATAAGTGAAATTTGAAAGTAAGATCAAAGGCATTAAGACAAATGACACTGAGAATAACTTTAAACCTTTTACAGATGCACATCAATAGAGTTTTTATTATAATACAAAACAATAGCTTTTTAGGTACTAAAAAAACATTTTTTTTACTACACAAAAAACAAGCCCAATGATATAGAGTATAAATTATATGTTAGATTGCATTTCAGTTTTGATGCAGAAGAACAAAATATTCCTTTCTGTTTATATCATTTTTTGCTAAAATTGATCTATATTTCAAAGCAATCAACAGATAATGCACACTCTGGGAAGCAACCCAATGGGAAGAGGACTTAAATCCGTGGTATAAACCAGAATTGGGTAAATTTAACTGAATTTTGGTTTGGCTAACACTTTAAGCCATTTCAAAATTTCTATATTCAGCAAAATCTGAAATGCATATTGTACAGCCCAGTTCTCTCCTTTCTTTTAAACTTATGTGCAGTTAATAGGACATAGAATCCATAAATCCTTATGCTTTTATAGCTAACTCATTGTCATGCCTCATGAAATCTATGCAATCTTCAGAATGCCGAGAGATCCAAACTTTCTCAAAAAGTGACTCTCATAAGGAATACCCCAAACTGAAACCTTAAGCTCTAAATATATGAAATGTTCAAACCTAAATTGATTACTAGGGCATTATGCTCTAAGTAACACTCTTCTATCTTGAATTGAAATATGATACCTAAAGAAGGGACCTCTGGCAGAAACACCAACCTAAAAAAGATGTCTTTCAAAACAGTGCTACACTATTTTTTTTCAGTAGTCTCTAGGCAGCTTTTTTGAGATGGAGTCCCACTCTGTTGCCCAGGCTGGAGTGCAGTGGTACAATCTCAGCTCACTGCAACCTCCAACTCCTGGGTTCAAGTGATTCTCTTGCCTCAGCCTCCCAAATAGCTGGGATTACAGGTGCCTGCCACGATTGCCAGCTAATTTTTTTTTTTTTTTTTTTTGGTAGAGACGGGGTTTCGCCATGTTGGCCAGGCTGGTCTCGAACTCCTGACCTCAGGTGATCTGCCAGCCTCGGCCTCCCAAAGTGCTGGGATTACAGGCATGAGTCACTGTGCCTGGCCTTTAGGAAGCTTTTTATCTTGGTTCCTAAAAAGCTCATTTCAAATAATTTTGTCACAGACAAATTAAAAATTAGGATTACAGGCAATGGCATGATTCTGTTCTAACGGAAGAGGCTTTAGTACATTTTAGTTTGTCCATGAGAGGTCAGGGAATGGCTAATGCTCCACTTCCTCACTGTTCTAGTGAACTTTTCATCTCAAAAGATCTTAGGGAAAGAGGGTTTAATAGGAAATGTTAAGAGAAAATGTGGAAAAGAAAAGGATTGCAAACAGGAAGCTGTGGAAATCAGTTAGGCAAAGAAAATAAGGCTGTGAATTCATCTAATTAATGACATTTTTCTATGATTCTTTTTTAGCACTTATTAGGAAGTGAAGGTTAAAAATGTGTGGGAGCTCTAGAGATTCAAGAAGGGGATTGAGGACATTACAAATAATTAATTTGTGAGCATTTGTGTTGAGGCTTTAAAATATCTTTGAGCGATGACAAGAAACTTGCTGTTAAAACTGCATTTTGAGTAGTTATACAGCTGTATTAAGTCATGACCTTGTTCTTTGATTTTCCTGAGCATACATCTCTGAGGATTAAAGAGTAAGAGAAGGTCACCAATATAAATGAAGAATGGAACCTAATGGTTAGCCAAAAGTCTCAGCTTCATATTTCTTCTAAATTACTACAAATACTCTGATACATCTTCCCAATTAGATAGCACTGTCATAATCAGCAATGAAGCTTAGTTGTTATTGATAATATTTATGAGAAATATTTTAATATAAACTATACCCTCCCAATTCTTCCTTTAAATAACTAATCTATTTAGTTATTATTTCTATAATGTAGTTAGTCATATACAGCTAAAATATGCTTAAAGGATGAAAAGTGATAGAAAATTAGGTGGTCTACAAAATTTAAGAAGACAAATAGGGATCATTTGAAGGAGAGATAATAATTTAAAAACTAGTTGAAATAACTCTAAACAAACCCCCAGAAAGCTACCTGCTTGACATTCAAATTTCCAAAAGGAGCACTCAGGTCAATTTTCACCTCAATTTTGCAAAATTCTGATACAATATCTTGCTTTATCTTTTAGCATAGCAATTACTGCTATTATATGTACATATTTTGTTGTTTTAAGTCATTAATTTGTCAGTTATACAATCACATAATATGAAGGATCACATAATTTTACTAGCTTTGTTAAGAAAAAAAGAAGCAGCTACCCAAACTCACTCTCCTTGCTCTATTTTTCTCTTCCAAAAATAAACACCTTCATTTTTTTAGATAATTCTTTTGTCATTTAGCCTGTATCCTGTGTCATTTAGCATGACTATAGGTGCATGCCACTGTGCCCAGCTAATTTTAAACTGTTTGCAGAGTTGGAGTCTTGTTTTGTTGCCCAGGCTGCTCTTGAACTCGTGGGCTCGAGTGATTCTCCTGCCTCAGCCTCCCAAAGTGCTGAGATTACAAGTGTGAGCCACTACTCCTGGCCAGCACTATATCTTTAATCAATATATACACTCTTGATTTTTAAATTATTTAATAACCTATTGTATTCCCATGATTAAAAAAATTAAAAATCAAGGAGCTGGGTATGGATGACTATTTTTTCAGATTGCTCAAATAATACTGCATGACAAAGGACCCCCTAAATATTATTGGTTATATAAGCAAATGTTTGCTTCTTGATTATAAGTCTACAGATTGGTGTGAGGAGCTCTGCTTCAAGATGTGGAGTTATTTTCAGATCTGCTGCATGGGTCATTCTGGAGCTAGTGAACTACCCAGGCCATGCTCTGCTTATGAGGAAATACATGTGACAGTCAAGTCAAACCACACAGGCACCTAGAAAGCCTCTGCTCACATTGCTTCTATACATGTTGCGTTGGCCAAAGCACATGATATGCCCAAGTCTACATCAAAGGGACCAGGCAACAAAAAAAGTGAATATTTGCTGAATACTAATATAATCTACTGCAGAAGACCCTCCCTGCCAAAATACGTACACACTGGCCTCACCCAACACTCTCTCAATTTCCCTATCATCTTGTTATCATTATACTAAAATAATTTTAGTGAGATCAGTATTATTTACATTTTTATGACTATGTAAATGTAGTGAATGTTTCATAGCTATACCACTTAGTATACTTTGAGTACTCTCTTTTGTGTACAGATTGTTTTCTTTTGTAATTAATTATTAATTTGTTTTTAAATTTGCTTACTTTTTGTGTATTTTTATATTGCTAAATCATTCTCATACACCCCACAGATTGTCCGTATCTTTTTGCAGTACATTCAGTAAATCAGTTATTCTACCAATGTAATCTTAGAGTTTTCTGATCTGCAGTTGTCCTCAATCTGTTCTGGTACACCAGCTGTCACCTATGATCTTCCACACTCCCCTAGGAGTTTCTTTGACTCTTTCTTCTGAAGTGGATCTGCCATTTCCTGTATCCATGTATTCCTCCTTCTTGGTTTGCAATATCGTTTTAGTAGATAACATTCTCTGGTAAATTCCTGAGAAAAGGTGCAATAGAGATGTACTTTTGAGACCCAACTTGTTTAAAAATATATTTTCTTTTTCTAAAAGTTAATATTTTCTAAAAGTTTTTAATATTTTGTTCTTTGACAGTTCCTTTTTATATTTTTATTTTTTATTATTTCTCTGAATACTATATATTTCCCTTATCTCCCTGAGAATTTATTTATGCTTCAGAGCCTTTCTTTATAAATTAATATGTATTAATAATTCACATACCATAAAATTCACCATTTAGAAGTGTGCAATTCAATGGTTTCTAGTATATTCACAAGATTGTGCAAACATTACTAACTCTAGAAGATTTTCATGAACCCAGAAAGAAACCTTATGTTATCAGTCACACCCCATTCCTACTTCCCAAGTTGCTGGCAAATAATCTCCTATCTCTACAAATGTTCCTATTCTATACATTTCTTATCAATGGAATCATATAAAAAATGGCCATTTTTCACCTAAACTAATATTTTTGAGGTTCATCCAAGTTGTAGCATATATTAGTACTGTATTTCTTTTTTTGTGATCAAATAATGTTCCATTGCATGGATACACAGTCAAGCAACATTTACTAATGGGATGCATTGAAAAATGCATCATTATGTGATTTTGTTGTCCTGCAACATTGTAGAGTGTAGTTACACAAACCTAGATGGTATAGCTTACTATACACCTAGATTATATGGTATAGCCCATTGCTTCTAAGCTACAAATTCATACAGCATGTTACTGAAGTGAATACTGTAGGCAAATGTAACACATTGCTAAGTATTTCTGTATCTAAAGATAAAAAAGGTATAGTGAAACTACAGTATAAAATATAAAAAATGATACCTGCATAAGGCACTTACCATAAACGGAGCTTGCAGGACTGGAAGTTGCTCTGGGTGAGTGAGTGAGTGAGTGGTGAGTGAATATGAAGGTCTATGACATTACTAAACATCACTGTAGACTTCAGAAACACTGTACACTTAGGCTCCACTAAATTTATTTAAAATTTTTTCTTTCCTCAATAGTGAATTAACCTTAGCTTACTATAACTTTTTAACTTTATAAGCTAATTTCTTAAAACTTTTTGACTCCTTTATAATTACAGTTGCCTTGAAAACATTGTATAGCTATACAAAAATATTCTTTCTTTATATTTTTATTGTGTAAGCTTTTTTCTATTTTTAAATTATTATTATTTTTTTTACTTTCGAACTTTTTGTTGAAAATGAAGACATAAACACACACATTTGCCTAAGCCTACACAGGGTCAGGATCATCAATATTACTGTCTTCCACCTCCAAATCTTGTCCCACTGGAAGGTCTTCAGGGGCAATAACACATACGGAGCTGTCATCTCCTGTGATAACAATGTCTCCTTCTAGATACCTCCTGAAGGACCTACCTGAGCCTATTTTATATTAGACTTTTTTATAAGGAGAAGGAGTATACTTTAAAATAATGATAAAAGTATAAGATAGTAAATACATAAACCAGTAACATAGTTGTTTATTATCATCATCAAATGTTATATAAAGTACATAATTATATATGCTAGAATTTTATGTGACTGGCAGCACAATAGGTTTGTTTACACCAGTATCACCACAAATGCATGAGTAATGCATTGTACTGTGATACTACAACAGCTACAGTGTCACTAGGCAATGGGAATTTTTCAGCTCCATTGTAATCTTATGGGACTACTCTCATATATATATGTGGCCTGTCATTGACAGGAACATTAGATGTTTCATGACTGTGTCACTTTTATTTATCTCTTCATCAATTGATAGACAATGGAATTATTTCTACTTTTTGTCTATTACAAATACTGCTGCTATAAACATTCTTGTACAAGTTTGTATATTAATATATGTTTTGAGTTTTCTTGGATGTATACCTAAGAAGTGAACTTGCTGGTTTATATGGTAACTCTACATTTAACTTTTTGAGGAACTGCCAAACTGTTCTCCAAAGGTTGCACTATTTTTCATTCCTACTCACAAATGCATGAGGTTCTAATTTCATCACGATTTCACCATTTAAAAAATTATTGTAGACATTTTACTGTGTGTGAAGTAGTATTTGATTATGGCTTTGATTTGCATTTTCCTAATGAATAATTATGTTGATCATCATTTTACATGGTTATTTATCATTTTTACATGTTTAGAGAAATATTTGTTCAGATCCTTTGCCCATTTTAAACTGGATTATTTGGGTTTTTTTTTTAATTGTTGAGTTATATAGAGTTCTTTATATATTCTGGATATTAATCCCTTATCAGACATATGATTTACAAATATGTTATCCACTTTGTGGGTTTTTGTACTTTCTTAATAGTGTCATTTGAAGAACAAAAGTTTTGTATTTGAAGCCCAATTTATCTATATTTTATTTTGTTGGCTGTGCTATTGGTGTTATGCCTATGAAATCATTGCCAAATCCAATGCTATGAATATTTTCCTCATTGTTTTCTCCTAAGAGTTGTACAGTTTTAGTTAATAGTCTTAAGACTCTGATTTATATGAAGTTTTTTGTATACATTGTGAGGTATGTGCCCAAATTCATTTGTTTTCATCTGGATATTCAGTTGTCCCCAAACAATTTGTTGAAAAATATTCTCTTTTGATTAAATGACCTTAGTGCCATTGTCAAAACTAAATTGCACAGGTTTATTTACAGACTTTGAGTTCCATTCCATTAAGTGATATGTCTATCTTTATGTCAGTATCACACTGTCTTAATTACTGTAGCTTTGTATGATAGTGTGATACCGTCATAAAGATAAGATATGTCTATCTTTCCCCAAGATATTTTGGCTATTTTTGGGACTCTTGCAGTTCCATATGGATTAGGATCAACTTTTCCATTTCAGTGAATAATACAGATGGAATTTTGATAGGGATTGCATTGAGTCTGTAGATTAATTTGAGAAGTATCACCATCTTAATAATATTTTGTCTTCAAATCCATGAACATGTGATGTCCTTCTGTTGATTAGGTACTTTTCAATTTTTTTCAACATGAATTTCAACAATGAATTGGGGTTTCCAAAGTATTAGTTTTGCAATTCTTTTTTTAAAATTATTCATAAGCATTTTACTTGTTTTAATGATATTTATATATGGAATTGTTTTCTAAATTTTATTTTCACATCATTCATTGCTAGTATATGTACAACTGACTCTGTATATTGAACTTGTATATTACAACCTTGCTGTAAATATTTATTACTCTAACAGTTTTGTGTGTGAGTGCATGTATGTGCATTATTTAGGATTTTTATATAACATGTCTCTAGCAAATAGAGATAGTTTTGTTTTTTCTCTCCAATCTGGATGCTTTTGGGTTTTCTTTTTTCTTTTTTTTTGTCTAACCTCCAGCACAATATTGAATGAAAGCGGCAAGAGTTAATATCTTTCCCTTTTCTCATGATCTTAAGTGACAAATGTTCAGTTTTTTCATGATTAAGGATAAAGTTAACTGTGGGTTTTTTGTAGATGAGATTTATTAGGTTAAAATAGTTTCCCTCTTTTTTTGATTTTTAAGTGTTTCATCATGAGGAGTGTTGAATTTTGTCAAAAGTTTTTCTGTCTGTTGAGATGATCATGTGTTTTTCCCCTTTATTATATTATTATGTTACATTATATTGATCAATTTTCATATATTGAACTATGCATACATTCTGAGATAAATCTCATAGTTTATAATTCTTTATATGTGCTGATAAATGTTTGTTTCATCTTGATTTTCTAATTTGTTGGCCTATAATTGTTCATAATATTCTCTTATTTCTGTGATGTTTTTAGTGATGTCTCTTCTTTCATTCCTGGTGGTAGTAATTTCTCTTCTCTTTTTTCTTCTTGGTTTGTATTGCTAACATTTTGTCAGTTTGTTGATCTTTTCAAAATAATCGGCATTTGGTTTCATTGATTATTTGTCTAGTTTTCTTATTGTCAATTTTGTGTATTCAGAATCTAATCTTTGATGTTTTCTTCCATCTGCTTTAATTGGGTTTAGATTTTCTTTTTTTTTTTTGTTTCATAAGGTAGAAGTGTAAGTGACTGATTTGCGAACTTCTTTTTAATGTAGGTGTTTACAATGAGAAATTTCCTTCTGTGTCCTACTTTCACTTCATTCCTTAAGTGTTGATATGTGTTGTTTTTGCTTTATTCATCACAGAGCATTTTCTAATTTACTTTATGATTTCTTTTTTGACCCATTTGTGGTTTAGAAATGTTATTTAATTTCCCTGCATTTGTGAATTTCTCAGATTTTCTTGTTATTTACTTTAAGTTTCCTTTCTTTGGGGTCAGAGAACATAATTTGTATGTTTTCAATTCTTTCGAATTTGTTAGGATGGGTTTTGTGGCCAAACATATGGCCTGTCTTGGAGAATGTTCCACGTGCACTTGAGAAGAATGTGTATCGTGCTGTTGTTGATGGAGTGTTCTACAGGTGTCTTTCAGGTCTAGTTCATTTACAGTATTGTTCAAATTTTCTACATCCTGGGTTCTCCTGTCTAGTTGATTATCTAGTATTGAAGTCACCAACACTGATTATTGAGTTGTCTCTTTCTTTGTTCAATTCTATCATTGTTTACTTTATGGATTTTTAGGGCTCCACTGTTCTGTTTATAATTGTTATATCCTTTTGATGGACTGACATTTTTATCATTATAAAACACCCTTTGTTTCTCCGGTAACAATTTTTTTTTGTCTTAAAGTCTATTTTTTATTTTTGATATTAGTAGAACCACTCCAAACTCTCTTTGTGTTACCGTTTACTTGGTATACATTTTTTCTGGCCTTTTATTTTCAATCTGTTTGTATCTTTAAATCTAAAGTATCAACATCACCTAGATGGATCATTGTTTTAGCCATACTTTCAATCTCTAACTTTAATTGTAGTATTTGATCAATTTACATTTAATGTAATCACTGACATGGTAGAATTGACATCTACCATTTTGCTATATGCTTTTAACCTTCCATGTCTTTTTTTGTTTCTTATTTTCTTCATTACTGCCATTTTTTTGTTAAATTGATTTTTTTCTTTTTGACATTTAATTCCCGTATCATCTTTTACTAAATATTTCTCAGTTGTTTTCTTAGCAGTTGTCCTTGGAATTTCATTAAGGATCTTAACTTATAATAATCTAGTTTCAATTAATACCAATTTAATAGTACATATTATGGGCTTATGTTCCCCAAAATTAATATGTTGAAGTTCTAACACTCAGTTTTTCAGAATATGATATATTTGGAGATGGGGTCTTTAAAGGGGTAATTAGGTTAAAATGGGGTCATTAGGATGGACTCTAAATTAAGATGTCATGTTTTACTATTAGAAGAAGAAATGTAGACACAGATACATATAGAGGGAGAAACATGTGAACACACAGGGAGAAGATGGCAATTCACAAGCCAAAGAGAGAGGCCTCGGAAGATACCAGCCCTGCCGACACCTTGATCTTGGACTTCTAGCTTCTAGACCTGTAAGAAAATAAATTTTATTTGTTTAAACAACCCAGTCTGTGGTGCTTTATTATGGTAGCCTTAGCAAACTAATATGGCATACAAATATTTTGCTTCTATATTGTTTTGCCCCCACTTAATGCTTTATTGTTTCAAATTACATCTATATACATTTTATGTCCATCAACTTAAGATACATTATTAAGATAGGAAGCAAAAGTTACAAAGGATATATTTATACATTATACAAACAGAAGGTATATTTCTATATTCTTTGATATTTATCTATGTCATTACATTTACTGTGCTTTTTAGTTTTTCATGTGGTTTTGAGTTACCATTTAATATGTATGATGATTAATTTTGTATCAACTTGACTGGGCTAAACGATGACCAGATAAGCTGTAAAACGTTAGTTCTGTGTGTGTCTGTGAGGGCACTTCCACAAAATATTAGCATTTGGATCAGTAAACTGAGTAAAAATGTTCTGCCCTCACCAAAAGTGAGTGGTCGTCATCTAATGTATATTGAGGGCCCTAATAGAACAAAAAAGTAGAGAAAGAGCAAATTTTCTGTCTTCTAGAGCTGGGACATCCATCTTTCTCCTGCCCTCAGATGTCAGAGCTCCTATTCTTAGGCCTTTAAGCTCCAGGATTTACATGGGTGCGCCACCCTGCCCCTTGATTCTCAGGCCTTTGAATTTGGACTGGGAGTTACACCATTGGCTGCCTGGTTCTCAGGGCTTCAAACTCAGACTGAATTACGCCACTGGCTTTCAGCTTATAGAGAGCAGATGGTGAGACTTCTCAGCCTCCTAATTACAAACATCATGTTCCATAATAAATTACACACACACACACACACGTAGGTCTTCTACTGGTTCTGTTTCTGTGCAGAATGCTGACTAATACAATGTGCTCTCATTTCAGTGTGAAATACACTCTTTAGTACTTTTTATAAGACAGGACTGCTAGGGACATATATCAGTTTATATTTATCTGGGAATGTATTCATTTCTTCTTCATTTTGGAAGGATAGTTTTGCTAGATACAGAATTCATGATTGTCAGCTTTCTCTTTCATCACTTAGAATATGTTATCTCACTGCTTTCTGACCTCCATGGTTCCAGAAGAGAAAAAAACTTGTCAATCTTATGAAAGATCCCTGTCCATAATAAATCATTTGTGGCCTTCAAGATTTTATCTTTGGCCGGATGCAGTGGCTCATGCCTGTAATCCAGGCATTTGGGGAGGCCGAAGCGGGCAGATCACTTGAGGTCAGGAGTTCGAGACTACCCTGATCAACCTGGCGAAACCCCATCTCTACTAAAAATACAGAAATTAGCCAGGGGTGGTAACACATGCCTGTAGTCTCAGCTACTTGCGAGGCTGAGGCAGAAGAATGGCTTTAACCTGGGAGGCAGAGGTGGCAGTAAGCTGAGATCATGCCACTGGACTCCAGCCTGGACAATAAAGGGAGACTCTGTCTCAAAAAAAAAAAAAAGAGTTTTATCTTTGTTTTTTTTCGCTTTCCACAGTTTGATTGTGATGTATCTAGGTGTGGATTTGCTTTAGTTTGTCTTACATAGAGTTTGTTGAGTTTTTTGGATGTGTAGACCAATGTTTGTTTATTTCTATCATAACTGGGAAATTTTTAGCCATTATTTCCTCAAACTACAGACTAATTCTACGTAGTCTCTACTGCCTGACCTTTACTACCTCAAACATTTTTCTCCTTCTGTTCTTCTGGGACGTGTATTATGTATATTTACATACTTTTGATAATGTCCCATAGTTCTCTGAAGCTCTGCTCTTTCTTTATTGCTCCCTCCTTTTTGTTCTTCCTTTTTACCTTCCATTCTTTTTGTTGTTGCCGTTGTTTCTTATGCTAGATAATCTTAATTGATCTATATTTAAATTCGCTGACTCTTTTGCCTGATCAAATATGCTGCTGAAGCCCTTTATTGAATTTTTCTTTTTTTATTTTACTTTTGTTTTTAATGTTTATGGGTAAATAGTAGGTGTATAATTTATGGGGTAAGTGAGACATTTTGATAAGGCATACAAAGTGTAACAATTACATCAGGGTAAGTGGGATATATATCACCTCAAACATCTATCATTTCCTTGTGTTACAAACATTCAGATTATACTCTTTTCATTATTTATTTATTTATTTAGAGACAGAGTCTCACTCTGCTGCCCAGGCTGGAGTCTAATGGCTTGATCTCGACTGACTGCAACCTCTGACTCCCAGTTTCAAGCGATTCTCCTGCCTCAGCTTCCCAAGTAGCTGGGATTACAGGCACCCGCAACCTCGCTCAGCTAAGTTTTGTATTTTTAGTAGAGATGGGGTTTCACCATGTTGGTCAGGCTGGTCTCGAACTCCTAACCTCACGTGATCCACCCACCTGAGGTCTCCCGAAGTGTTGGGATTACTGGCGTGAGCCACTGCGCTCTGCCTTTTTTAGTTATTTTTAGAAGTACAATAAATTATTCGTGACTGTGATCATCCTGTTATACTATCAAATACTAGATCTTATTATTCTATCTAACTATATTTTGTCATCATTAATCATCCTCATTTCTTCTCTGCCTCCCACTACTCTTGCCAGCTTCTGGTAACCATCATTCTGCTCTCTATCTCCATCAGTTCAAGTGATTTAATTTTTAGATTTCACAAATGTGTGAGAGTGTGTGAAGTTTGTCTTTCTGTGCCTGGTTTATTTCACTTAACATAGTTGATTTACAGTTCCATCTATAATGGTGCAAATGACAGTATCTTTTTTAGGACTGAATAGTACTTCATTGTGCACATATACCACATTTTCTTTATCCATTTGTCTGTTGATGGACACTTAGGTTGCTTCCAAATCTTGCTTTCCTGCAGTATTGGTGAACAGTGCTGCAATAAATATGAAAGTGTAGATATCTCTTCAATATACTGATCTCCTTTCATTTGGGTATATACCTATCAATGGATTACTCAAGCATATGGTAGTTTTATTTTTAATTTTTGAGGATCCTCCGTACTATTCTCCACAGTGGTTGTACTAATTTACACTCTCACCAACAGTGTTACAGGTTTCCCTTTTCTCCACATCCTCCCCAGAATTTGTTATTGCCTTTCTTTTGGATAAAAGTCATTTTAACTAGGGTGAGACAATATCTCATTGTAGCTTTTCTTTATATTTTTCTGATGATCAATGATGTTGAGTACCTTTTTATATACCTATTTGCCATTTGTATGTCTTCTTTTGAGAAATATCTATTCTGATCTTTTGCATATTTTTGATTAGATTATTAGATTTTTTCCTTTTGAGTTGTTCAAGCTGCATATGTATTCTGGTTACTAATCTTATATGGAATAGATCATTGGCTATTGCATTTTTAATCCATTCAGCCACTCTATGTCTTTTGGTTAGAGAGTTTAGTGCACTTATATTCAATGTTAATATTGATAAGTAAGGACTTACTCTCTCCATTTTTGTTATTTGTTTTCTGATTGTTTTGTGTTTTTCTCTTCCTTCCATTCTTTCTGCTTGTCTTCCTTTTAGTGAAGGTGATTTTCTCTGGTGGTAAGTTTTAATTTCTGGCTTTTTATTTTTTTATGTATCAGTTGTAGGTTTTATTATTTAAGGTAACCACAAGGCTTGCAAATAACATCTTAAAACCCATTGTTTTAAATTCTTGACAACTTACCACATTGCACAAACAAACTAACAACAGGCAAAGTGAAAACTAATAAAAAATCCACCCTTTAACTTCTTGCTTCCACTTTTCAACTTTTTTGTTGCTTCTATTTATATCTTATTATACTATGCCTTGAAGTTGTTGTAGTTGTTATTTTTGGTAGGTTCATATTTCAGTCTTTCTGCTCAAAACATAAGTAATTTATATACCACAATTACAATGTTATAATATTCTGTATTTGTCTGTGTTTACTATACTTACTATTACTAGTGAGTTTTATACCGTCAGGTGATTTCTTATTGCTCATTAATGTCCATTCAGATTGAAGAACTTGTTTTAGCATTTTCTGTAAGACAGGTCTGGTGTTAACAAAATCCTTCAGCATTTTTTTTTTCTGGGAAGGTCTCTATTTCTCCTTCATGTTTGAATGATAATTTTATTGGATGTACTATTCTAGTATAAAAAGTTTTATTTCTTCAGCACTTTAAATATGTAATGCCTCTCTCTCCTGGCCTGTTAGGTTTCCACTGAGAAGTCTGCTGCCACATGCATTTGAGTTCCTTTGTATGTAATTTATTTCTTTTCTCTTGCTGCTTTTAGGATCCTTTCTTTGTCTTTAACCTTTGGGAGTTTGATTATTCAATGTCTGAGATAGTCTTGTTTGGGCTCAGTCAGCTTGGTGTTCTATAATCTTTTCATACTTGAATCTTGATATCTTTCTCTAGCTTTGGGAAGTTCTCTGTTAGCATTTCTTTGAATAAAATTTCTACCTTGATCTCTCTCTCTACCTCCTCTTTAAGGCCAATAAGTCTCATATTTGTCCTTTTGAAGCTATTTTCTATATCTTGTTGGCATGCTTCACTACATTTTTTGTTTTTCATTTGACTCCTTTGACTGTGTATTTTCAAATAGCCTGTCTTCAAGATCTTTAATTTTTCTGTTTGGTCCATTCTGCTGTTGAGAGTCTCATTCTTCAGCGTGTCAGTGGAATTTTTCAGCTCCTGACATTTCTGCTTGATTTTTAAACATTATTTCTGTCTCTTTGTTAAATTTATATGATAGGATGCTGAATTCATTCTCTGTGTTATCTTGAATTTCACTGAGCTTCTTCAAAACAATTCATTTGAATTCTCTCTCTAAAAGGTCACATTTATCTGTAACTCCAGGATTGGTCACGGGTGTTTAATTTAGTTTGTTTGGTGAGGTCTGTTTTCCTGGATTGTCCTGATGCTTGTTGATGTTCATCAATGTCTGGGCATTGAAGAGTTAGGTATTTATTGTAGTTTTTGCAGTCTGGGCTTGTGTGTACCTCTCCTTCTTGGGAAGAGTTTCCAAGTATTCAAAGGGAATTGAGTGTTGTAATCTAAGTTTTTGGTCACTACAGCTATATATGCATTAGGGAGCACCCTAAACTTAGTAATGTTGTGGTTCTTGCAGACTCAATTAGGTACCACTTTGGGGGTCTTAGATATAATCTAAGAGAATTCCTTGGATTACCAGACAGGGATTCTTGTTCTCCTCCCTATTTTCCTCCAAACAAATGAAGTCTCTCTCTTTGTGATGAGCTGCCTGGATCTGGAAGAGGGGTGACACAAGTACCCCTGTGGTCACTACTACTGGAACAGTGCTTGGTTTAACCTGAAGCCACTACAGCACTGAGTTTCAACCATGGCCCATAGGAATCACTCCCTGGCTACCATCAATATTCACTCAAGGCCCAAGGGCTCTTCAAACAGTACATGGCAGACCTAGCCAGGCTTGTGTCCTTCCCCATCCAGGTGGCAAGCTTTTCCCTGGTTCAGCACAGATCTAGAAATGCCATCCAGGAGCCAAGGCCTGGAGTGTGGAACCTTAGAAATCTCCTTGGTGTTCTATTCTGTTGCAGCTGAGCTGGCATCCAAGCCACAGGATCAAGTCCTTCCCACTCTTCGCTCTCCTTTTCTCAAGCAGAAGAACTCTCTTCCCATGTGCACTGCCACCCCAGGCCCATGGCTACCACTGATGTTTACTCATGGCCCAACAGCTCTTCAGTCAGCTTGTGGTAAATGCTGCCAGGTCTCTGTCTCTCCCTTCAGAGAAGTGGGCTCCCTTCTGGCCCAGGTCAAGCCCAGAAATGTCATCCAGGAGCCAATGCTTGTAATTGGGGCTCCCAGGAGCCCACTTGGTGCTCTGTCTCACTGTGGCTGACCTGGTGCCTAAGCTGCAAAACAAAGTCCCCTTTACTCTTCTCTCTCCTTTTCTCAAGCAGAAGGAGGCTTTCCTCATGGCCACCACAGCTGGGAAAGTGCTGGTCACAGCTGAAGCCAGCACAGCACTAGGTCTTACCCAAGGCTCACGGTGAATACTGCTTGGCTACTATTGGTGTTTATTTAAGGCCCAAGGGCTCTTTAGTTAGCAGATGATGGATCCCACCAGAATTGTGTTCTTCCCTTCAAGGCAGTGTGCTCCCTCTTGGCCCACAGTATGTGTAGAAATGTCATTCAGGAGGTAGTGCCTGGAATGGGGGCCTCAGGAATCCACCTTGTGCCCTATTCTACTGTGGCTGAGCTGGTATCCACGTTGCAAAGATAAATTCCTCTTTACTCTTCTCTCTTCTCTCTCAAGTCCAAAGAAGGTATCACTCCCAAAGCTGCATTGCCTGTGGTGGGAAGAGGCATGATGCAAGCACTTTGTTGGCCACTTTAGCTTGCATCTCACTAGGTCATGTGTACCCCAAGATTATTGGATCCCAGCCCAGCACAACTTCAAGACTTGCCTAGGAATTACAGCCCTTGTTGCCTAGACTGCCTTTGAGGTTTATTTATGTCCCCAGAACAATGTAGCCGGTGGTGGTGGCATTAACAGGAACTCAGGTTCTGACCACTGGGGTGGACAATTCTCCTCTGGCTTGATCCAGTCAAAATGCTCTTTTCTGGGTGCTAGCTGAAGTTTGCCCTGTGTTGCTTTCTGCTGTGATAGGCAGCACTGAGTTCCAATGCAAAGTCCCAAAATTACTGAACTTTTCCTCCTCTAGACAGACAGATTGTCTCTCCATGCCATGCAGCCACTGCTAAGGGATGGAGGAGAAGTGGTGTCAGCAATTCAAGGCTTTCTTTTCTACCCTCCTTGGTGACTCTTCCATTGATATGACGTTGAAGCCAGGTACTGTGATCATTCACCTGATTTTTGGTTCTTATGAAGGTGCTTTCTTATGTGGAAAGTTGTTTAATTTGTTATTCCTATACGGGGATGATCACCGGAGAGTTATAATTGGTCATTTTGCTCCATCTCTGTACCTGAGTTTTTCATAGTGGTATATTGTACTTTGCAACTCCAAGTGTTTATTTTTTTAAAAAATTTCCATTTCTGTATTGATATTTTCTCTTTAGTGTGATATCAGTCTTAAAAAAAATTTTTAGAACTAGTTTTCTCTGGGTCTTTGAATATAATTGTAAATGCTGACTTAAGGTATTTGTCCAATAGGTCAAGAATCTGGGCCTCCTCAGGCACAGTTTCTAAGAATTGCCTTTTTTTCCTGTCTATGGTTCATATTTTCTTGCATTTTTGGCAAGTCTCATTTTGTTGTTGTTGTTGTTGTTAAAAACTGAGTATTTTAAATAATATAATGTGGCAACTCTGGAAATCAGATTCACCCTGTTCCCCAGAGTTTTTTTATAGCTACTTGTTTAATTGTTGCTGTTGGTTTGTTTAGTGACTTCTGAACTAATTCTATAAAGTCTGTTCTTTCTCATTTGTGGCCACTGTAATCTCTACTCAGTAAGTTTGATGGTTAGCTAATCATTAGAAGAGGTTTCCTTAATGCCCTGGAACCAATAAATCTCACAGTCTTTGCTAAGGGGTCCTATATACATGATGAAGTATGCTTTCAACACTCAGACAGACAGTTTACAACTCTGCCTTAGTCACCACTTCCTTTGCTCAAAGACTCAAGGCCGCTTAGAATATGAGGGCTTAGGGCCTTCTCAGATGTCTAATGAGCTTGGCACAGTGCTACATATTCACACAGTCTTCTACGTTCCCAAGTATAAGTCAGAGCTTTTCAAAGCTCTTATATACATCTCACACATAAGCTTTTCCTTTAAGGTTTTTGGCTACTCTATAGTTTTTCCCAACTGTTGTCTATTGTCCCAAGCAAAAATGGATGTCAAAACATTCCACAAACACTTCCCAAAGAGAGGCTTCAGTACCTCATAAGTTTGAATAGGGTCAAATAAAGACATGGCTTGATTGGGGTCATCCTAAGACCCACGAGAGAGACCTGATAATCATTCTTTGAAAAAAGAGTCTTTTAAAGGGTTCTAACTTTGTTTTACTCCCTTAGTTTTTAGGAATCTGGAGTGTAGTTTTCAGTATGACAGATGAGCTTGGGAGCAGAAATGAAAGGAACGTTAGTTAGAGTACCACAAATCATTTTGGCATATTTTTATTAAATCATTGTCTTCTTTTCTTCCAAAGTGTGATTTTTTAATTTTCTAATATGTACATTCAAAGCTATGCACTTCCCTCTAAACACTGTTTTCATTGCATCCTAAAATTGTATTAATTTTTGTTTTTATTTCCATTTAGTTAAAAATATCTTGTTTTATTGAATATTTCTTCTTTGACCCATGTATTATTGAGAAGTGTGTTGCTTAATCTCCAACTATTTTGGAAATTTTCTGTTATATTTCTATTACAGACTTCTAGCTTAATTCCATTGAGTTCTGTGAGCAGATACTTTATGATTTCTTTTTCCTTAAATTGGTTAATGTGTGTTTTATAGCCCAGAATGTGATCTATATTGGTAAAGGTTTCATGTGAGCTTGAGAAGAATGTGTATTCTGCTGCTCTTGGATAAAATACTCTGTAGGTGTCCCTTATATTTAGTTGATTGATGGTGTTTTTCAGTTCAACTATGTTCTTACTGATTTTCTCCATACTGGATCAGTTCATTTTTGATAGAAGTTCTGAGGTCTCCAACTATCACAGTGAATTAATCTATTTCTCTTTGCAGTTCTATCAGTTTTTGTTTCATTTAGTTTGGTGTTCTGTTGTTAGGCATATATACATTTAGGATTATTATGTCTTACTGAATAATTGAACCCTATATCATTATGTAATAGTCTTCTTTATTCTTGATAACTTACATTGCTGTGAAGTCTGCTCTGTCTCGAATGTATATACTCTTGTTTTCTTTTGATTAGTGTTAGCATGACATATTTCCACATCTATTTACTTTTATTCTATATATCTTTGTATTTAACGTGGCCTTCTTGTAGACAGCACATAGTAGCATCTTATTTTTTGTTCTGTTCTGACCATCTCTGCCTTTTAATTAGTGTATTTAGGTTATTGATATTCAAAGTGACTACAGATATATTTGGACTAATATTTACCATATTGTTACTCTTTTCCCTTTGTTACTCTTATTCTTTGCTACTACTTTTCTACTTTTGTCTTCCACTCTTTTTTCTTTGCTTTTTGTGGTTTTAATTGAGCTTTTTATATAATTTTGTTTTCTCTCCTGTTTTAGCATATCAGTTATATTCATTGTTTACTTGTTTTAGTGCTTGCTTTATAATTTGTAAAAAAAAAACCCTAATCCAAGTCCACTTTTAAATAACAGTATACCATTCACAGTTAGTGTGAGTGCTTTATGTTAACCAGATACATTTAATGCCCCCATTCTTTGTATGATTCTTATTATTCATTTCATTTGTATGCAAACATGCATATATATGTATATGACATATACGTAAGCATACCTAATTGAATACATTGTTGCTATGACTCTTTTAAATAAGTTGTTATCTGTTAGAACAATTAAGAATAAAAAAAGCTTTTATTTTACCTTAACTTATTTCTTCTTTAATGCTTTCTTCATGTAGACCAAGTTTCTGACCTATAAGATTTTCCTTCTCGCTAAAGAATTTTGTTTTTAACATTTCTTGCAAAGCATGTCTACTGTCAAAAAATATTTTCATTTGGGTTTGTCTAAGAAAGACTTTATTTCTCTTTCACTTTTGAAGAATAATTTTACATGATATAGAACTATAGTTTGGCAGTTTTGCTCTCAACACTGTAAATAGTTCCCTCTACTCTCTTCTTGCTCACATGGTTTCTGAGGAAAGTCATGCAATTCTTATCTTTGTTTCTCTGTAGGTAAGGTGCTTTTTTTTCCCCTCTGATCTCCTTCAAAAATTTTTCTCACTTGTTTGGTTTTATATAGTTTAAAAATGATATGCCTAGGTGAGGGTGTGGGTGTGTTTGGCATTTATCCTCCTTGTTGTCCTGTGAGCATCCTGGGCTTGTGGTTTGGTGTCTGACATTACTTTGGAGGTTATTTTCAGTCATTATTGTTTCAAACATTTCTTCTGTTTCTTTCTCTGTTTCTTCTCTTCTGGTATTCTCATTATGCGTAAGTTACACATTCTGTAGTTGTCCCACTACAAAAGTCCTTAGATGTTCTGTTATTTTTTTTCCCTCAGCCTTTTTTCCTTTGCATTTCAGTTTGTATGTTTCTATTGACATATTCTCAGAAATTCTTTCCTCAGCCATGCCCAGTCATCTCAGGAGTCTACAAAAGGCATTCTTCATTTCTGAAACAGTGTTTTTCATCTATAGCAATTTTGGTTTCTTTCTAATTTTTCATCCCTCTGCTTACATTACCCATTTTGTTTCGCATGCCATCTACTTTATCAGTTAGAGCCTTTATCGTATTAGTCATAGTTGTTTTAATTCCCAATCTCATAATTCCAACATTTCTCCTATGTCTGTTTCTGATATTTTCTTTGTCTCTTCAAATTGTATTTTCCCTCTTGGGTATGGTCTTAATTTTTTGGTACAAACTGAGCATAATGTACTAGGTAAAGTGATCTGTGGTAAATTAGGCCTTTAGTAATGTGATGGTAAGCTTTGGGAGTAGGGGAAGCATTTTATAGTCTTACGATTAAGTCTTATTCTTTTGGTGAGCTGGTAAACTGATAATTACCAGTTCTTCTCATTTTCCCACCCCACCCACCTACCCCTTATGTGAGATAGGATAGCTAGTAGGGGCAGAAGTTGGGTAGTTTTATCCCTTTATGTGAAAGGCTGGTGTAAGCTGGACTTGGGTATTTTACATCCCCCAGATGGAAAGAAGGTGATACTGGGCTAAAGTTGAATATTTTCCTTCCTCCAAGTCAGTTATGCACTGATAAAAACATAGTAGGCTAGGCTCAGGTAAAATAATTTGTCTTGTGGTCAGGCCTTGTTAAAAAGAACAGAATACTCTGCCGTATCTCAAAATAGTTACTTTTCCCCTCCCCTTTTTGGAAGCATGATGGAATTTTTCTCTGGTATTTACAATGAAAACCTAGTAGTTTCTGGAGGTAAAGCTCTCAAAAATGTATTGGCCTCCCCATTACTAGGTCTTCCTGGAGATTGTAACCCCTAGAATTGTCCTCATGAAATCTCTATTTCTCAATTACAGTTCATATTTTCCTACTTCAGTCCTCATTCCTGTGAGGTTCCAGCTCTGGTCAGTTGTGATTCTCTGTAACTTCCTGTCTGTCTCACCAGTTTTGGGGGCAATTGTTGACCCTGTGACCTCATTTCTGTGAGGTGTAGATACCTCTTAGAAGAAGAGTTATTGATTTTGCAGTTTGTTCAGATTTTTACTTGTTAGAATGGAGTGACAGCTTCCAAGCTCCTTACATGCCAATCTGGAAACCACTCTCTGTCCTTTTATTTCAATGATTAAAATGATAATTTTCGTAATCTCTTATTGTTTTTTTCCAAGGTTTTGCTCAGTTATGCCTATGCTGTGTAATAAATGTTTACCTTTTTGAATAGAAATTATTCTTTAATTATTGTCTATGAGGATACTAATTAATTTGTCTCAAATTATTTGCTAGACATCTATAAAATCAATTTCATTTGAAGTGAAATATCTTTTAATTATTGATTTTGATACTTTTTAACTTTAAATTTTGTTCAATTCTTCATGTATTTTGGAATTTTTGTTTGCAGGTTTATTTTTTGTGGAAGATATCTTTTGATTTTCTTAATTTCTCTGTGTGTACTTTCTAACAACTTTTTGGTTACCTTCCTAGTTTGCAGTGCTGCAAGTCCAAACTAGGTAATATAAAAACACTCAGGACTATTACTTTATGATATTAAATATATTAAAAATTCAATTACCCTGCCAGTGGGTCACTGTTCAGTTCCTGAGGAGGAGGCTGTGCATTTCTTCTACACATTTAGATATGCCGCTTATTAAAAGCTATAGCCTCAGGCAGTTGTTAACACTTTTTGTTTTAGTCTACTTTTCTTGAGATAGGGCACATAACTCAGTTCTTTGATCCAAGTAGTAAGCCTCATTACTCCCAACTTCTGTACGTTAATTCTATCATCTATACAGTTTTATCTAAATTCACCAACTCCATAAAGATGTTAATACTTTGAGCCACTCTATGTCTTTTTTTCTCCCATATTTTCCTACTTCATTAGCTACTGCTTTGCATTTGGGTTGAAGGAAGTGAGTCAAACATGAATCCAAGACATCGTATTTCTAACACACCTTTTGACTAGTTACCTAACACATTCTTTTACTCCTTAACCCCTGGTTCATCATGCTCTTCCATATGTTTTTATTTTTTTAAAAAAAAGAAATCCTTGAATATGTCAAGCTCTTCTTCATCTCAAGGTCCAAATATACAGTTTTCTCGACCTAAAACACTCATATTCAACTTCATTCCATGGCTGGCATCTCATCTCCCAGGTCATAGCTCAAGTCACCTTGCCAGAGTGGCAGTCCCTGATTACTAAATACAAGTGGATCCCCCTCCTCTTCCCCATTATTTTTTTTTTTACCTTAGAATCTTGATAGATTCCCTGGGAACGTTCCTTAAAATGCGTAATTAATTTATTTGCTGGTTATTGGCTGGTATGAACTCATCCCCCTATCAGAAGGTAAACTGTATAGAGGGCATTTCCATGTAAGTTCTGTGGTTCAGTCACTGTCTGGCATTTGTTGAATGAACACATAGAATATGGCTTTTTAATGTATTAGGTGGAGCACTGCTAAATGGGGATCTACTTTAAATACACAAACATTATAAGACCCTAAATCATTAAAATACCCTTTTTTTAACTCTTCATAAATCTAAAGGGCCTATTAAATTCTAAATTAGTAAAGTCTATAAATAGTGTAAGGTAAAAAGATGTACATTTATAGATTACAAATCAGGCATAATTATTGAACTTTTATTTAAAATTATCATAAGAAACAAGTCTTTGCTTCCAAAGGTAATTCCTTAAGTTGTTTACACTGAAGTTCTCTGCGTTGCTTTAGGTTTTCAAGAGAACTCTATTGTGTCAACTCAAGGACAGTCAACTTTGAGGGTGGGTGATAGAAAATTATTGTCATAGTTATTTTAAGCTCAGAAGCAAAACTCTAGACATGTGCTCAAGCCTTATCTTCATTAATGAAACATATCACCTTAACCTGAGTAAAAGCCTGCAGTGACTAATTCCCACATGAATTTTCTATTATTCTTTTACTTCAGAAATATTTTGAAGCCTCTTAAAGGTGTAGACTAAGACAAAAAAAAAGGAATAAGTACTTAGAACTTCAGTTTCTGAGAGCTTCATAGGAAAGAGTTTGATTTTCAGATCAGTCAATACTTAAATATTATTCAATTGCATCTTTTCCTGTTGACAAAAATAATTGATGGAAAATATGCTTGTTCTATTTTCTTACCAAAATATGTAAATTATTAGTGGAATTCTATGGTTTGGAACAAGCACAAACTTGAATAAGGAAATTTAATTAAATGTGAGGCTGTGGGGAAATTGTGTGTGGGGCAACCAAAACTCTAAACTCTTTCAGCGTATGCAGTATTTACTAAAACCTGCCAAATTTTGAATCCCTGTATAACCTGTGATGAAGCACAATAGGAAAATTCAGCTTCTGTCTTAGTCTTCTATTCATACACATAATATTAGCTTGGGATGTTAAAGAAATATTTTAGTAACACTGCAAGAATTGCAGCCAACAATCTTTTCTGGATTATGTGCAAAACAATAACTAAAAGGAAATCTTATTCAGTAAGGGAACTTCTAAATTTTATAGCTATCACTTTTGGTAAAGGGCAAGAAATAAAATTAAATTTCTAGTCTGTCAGTGAATTCTGGTTTTGCTTCAGCCTAGTATCATTTCACCACGAAGATATGCTGCATATCCTTTAGCATGATAACATCACAGAAGAAAAAATCAGGGTTGTTCTAATTTGAGCAGGAACATTAAACAAACTATTTGTGGATTGGCAAATGAAGTGTTTGCACACCAGGAAATGGATTTCTTCGAAGGCAAGGTGGTTTCAACTCCTTTCTACTATTAAGAGGAGCCAGTGAGTAGATTTTGCACCAAGAGAGATTTTACAGAAGAACTGGACATTTTAGTATTCCATGTTATTTTTGCTCATATATTTTGAAGATAATTTTATGTTTTCATGCCCTCTTGTAGGTTATCTGTGTCATTCCTACTTTAGGCACTGAGAATAGAAGCTTTATTTAGTTATTTTTGTAAAGCACCTAGTAGTGTTGTCAAATAAATTATGGATACTTTTTAAATATCCAAAAATGTAAAAAGATGATCAGATTCTTCATATGTTTGTATTGTTTGCTTTAATTTTTCAAAATGTTGTTTATATTCCCTACTGAAGTTGAAGATATATCAGTCCAGCAGAAAATGTTCATTGTCACTGTTATTATACCCCTATATTGTAAGCTCTTGAATTTCATTAATACCACAGTAGTCATTTCCCTGGAGGTCTCCCTACATTTCATATATGCTGGTGTGTGTGTGTGTGTGTGTGTTTGTATGTGTGTGTGTATAGGTAGTACATATATACTATATATGATGTCATATAATTATATAATTATATGTAACTATACGTATAATAAGAAAACATGCTGATTATATTTCTTCAGGTTTTCCACTCAGTACTTAATATTTATGTTGCTTCTCATTGAGATAGATATTATTGTAATAATTTTACGTATCCAGGAAAAAAAGGTAGACTCTAAACAGCTTCATTGTTGATATAGGATATTTGCCTCTGTGCAGGTCTCTGATGTTCTGAACTTCGGTGTTATGATTTTTTTTACATTATTATCCTGATTTATTTTATCTTCACACTCACTCTCATATCTGTGGATGCTCATTTCTAACAAGAAAGACTGAATGGAAGTCAAGAAAATATTTACCTCATAACCAAGAATAGAATTGGCTTTCACTCTGAAAACCCATCACATATGGGACCAGAGAAAGACAAATAGGCCACTGGGCATCAGTAGTAGTCATTTAACCTTGTTGCCCCAAACCTGGGAGGTAGCATAGCCAAGTAGTTGAGAACTCAGATTATGTACTATTTTGATAAATGAGAATTTAATCCTGTCCCTGCCACTTTTTATCTGGATAACCTTGGACTTATGTTGTAGTTTTAAAAATACAAGGGCCTGCTTACAAGATTCCTTACAAAAAAAAGAGGGTATAGCATCTCTTCTGATTAATAATTATCAACTCTCCTAATTAATGATTAGCTTCTCTTTACATCTTCCTAAACTGAGCCTTCATAACCTGTACTTTAATATTACATCTCTTTTCCGTTTTTGTACTAGGATTGTTTTGCACACACACAGACACACATATATACACACACACACACACCAAACACAAATAAAAACTAAAAAGCAGATTATGAAAGAATATTCTTTGTATATATGAAAAAACAGCTAAAACATAATATGCCACAGGAAAAGTTTAAAAGTCTTACTTTAATAAGCAAATCGAGAAATTAGAAATATTGAAAAATCTCATTGAAGAGAAAACAATGGGATGTAATCATATATATATATGTTATGACAAGATTCTAAAGGAGAAAATCAAGAGAAAAAAAGAAAGACAAATAATATAGTTATATGATTGAATATTGATCTTGTCTTAGGTTTAGATGTGGTGAATGCAAATGTGTAAAGGACTGAAAACTTAATCACAATAAAAATCTCAGTCATAATTTTGCAGGAAATGATGTTATCTTGAAAAAGACTCCTCTAGCCTTGAAGTTTTAAATTGAAAATATCTGTTGTCTTCTTGCCTGAACATTTACCTTCATTATTGAGTAAATAATGAGTAAATATAGTGGAAATAGATGCCTGAAACTTAGATTTTCATTATAATGATAGGTAATACTCCTAATGTTAACTCTGTTGTCTGAAAAAGTCAGAAAAAATTAACAAAGAAATGTTTTTTGTGAATGTGTGTGAATTATTAGTACTTTATTTTGTTTGAGAATATTGAGAATAGTTGAATTTACTCATACTTTAAAAAACTTTTTCAATCAAAGCATGAAAATAATTATAATACTTTTAACATGAAAATAAACCAAAACAACCAGTTTTATGCAATTTGGCAAATGTGTTATAAAATCACAGGTGTAAGAATAATAAACCTTATTCTGAGACATCAGATATCATTTTTACTGATATTGGCAGCTGTTCTCAGTCCAATACAATTTTATAATATGTGAATTTTTAAGCTGCATGCTATGGTCTAATAATCTTGTGTTTCATTCTTTTCTCATAGTATTTTCTGTAATAATTAAATTCAAAACACAACCAGATCCTAAAAATTAGCACTTAGTTAAGTGATAGGAAAATACAATCAACCCTAGAGGACTTTTTTTTAAACAAGATAATTTCATCTGGGTTTAATTTATTTCTCATTGATGAGCGAATACAATTGAATCAACATGTATTTCGCTCATTTAGTGATCAGAATTTTAATATTTGAATTACTTAGATTTATGAGAAAGAAAATGTTCCCTGACATCCCATTTATTCTTGAGGTGCGATTGTTTACCAAATTGCTCAGTCTATGACTATGAGATCATAGTACCCTGATCTGGCATCAGTAGACGGTAATAGTGTCAAGAAGGAGGCCAGAGGCCATTTGCCACTAACCCTGCAACTTTTGGAGTCTTATCCATGTTTCCACTGGCAAAAACATTTGCTTTTGCCTGAAGATACTGTTTAGAACTAAGAGAAAGTTTATGGACAGAAAGTCAACTGGCCAGCAGTCGTAGATCCCTCAGAGAAGTGAGGTCACAGGGCAAACCACTGCCCCCGGAATGGGAGCATCAGGTGAACGTAGAGAGTCACAAGGTACTGCAGCAGAAACCCATAAGCAGAAATCTCCATGGACCAGGGCCAGAGTTAAGAGCTCCTACATGGTAAATGATGAATTTCTGTAGGCTGAGTGTGGACAAGTTTGAGTTAAAAACTTCAAGGGACCCAGTCATAGGGGTGCCTTCACACTTTTGTGAGTTTTACTTCTGCAAGCTTGATTAGATTCTCGCAGAATATTTGGGAAAAAAATCCCCGTATAGCACAGGCAGAGGGAAGGAGAAAGTGCTCAATTTGAAAGACTTCAGATCACTCTGTTTTTCACAAGGCCTCTCTTCAAGAGAAACTATTTTTACCAAAACCTAACCTACTAGGGTTTTTTCAGAGCCTAACTGACCTGAGGGAAGGGAAGTACCCAACTCCAGCCCACTCTAGTCATCCTGTTCCACCTAAGGTGAGGCAAATAAATTGAAGCACTGGTGAACTTGACAGTCCAGGGGTACAGGCTCACAGTACATCATGCCCAGCTTTTAAAATATTAAAAGGCATAAAGAAAGGAGAAAAAGCCCAGTGTGAAGAGACAGAGAAATAATCAGAAACAAATATGGAAGGAATGTTGAAATTATAAGATCAGGAATCTAAAGAAACTGTGGTTAATATGTTAAGGACTCTGAAGGATAAATACACAACATGCATGAACAGATGGGCAATATGAGGAGAGAGATAAAAATTCTAATGAAGAACCAAAAAGAAATGCTAGAGATGAAAAAACAACATTACACAAATGAAGCATGCCTTTGATGAGCTCAGGTTTCTGGATATGGCTAAGGAAAAGCTCTCTGAGGATATATCAGTTGGAACTTACAAACTGAAAAGCAAAGAGAGAAAAAGACAAAAACTGTGAGAGAACTAGAAAAGGTGTAACTTGTGGATAATGGGAATACGAGAATAAGAAGAAAGAGAGAAAGAAACAGAAGAAATATTTAAAACAACAATGACTGAGAATGTTCCCCAAATAAAGTCAGAAACCAAATCACAGATGCAGGAAGCTCAGAGTACGCCTGTTATTTTTGTAGGAAAAACAGCAAAAAGACGAAAAAGGAAAGAAAATTCTAGGTGTATCATTTTGAAACTACAGAAAATCAAAGATAAAGAAAAATATATTAAAAGATTCCAGGGGACAAAAAAACCTTACTTCTAAAAACCTTACTCCTAAAAACATTTTAGGAGCTGGCTTTTGGTTTTGTTAGTTTTCTCTCTCTCGATGTCCTGTTTTCAATTTTATTAACTTATGCTCTAATTCTTATTTCTTTCCTTCTGCTTACTTTTGATTTACATTGCTCTTTTTATCTAGTTTTTAAGATGGGAGCTTAGATTATTGATTTTACATTCTTTTTCTTTTGCAATATATACATTCAATACTATAAATTTCCCACTAAACATTGCTTTTGCTGCATCCCCCAAATTTTGATGTTACATTTTAATTTTAATTGAGTTCAAAATGTTTTTAAATTTATCTTGACAGTTTTTTGACCCATGGATTATTTAGACATGTTGCTTAATCTAACTGTTTGGGGAATTCCCAGTTATCTTTCTGTTATTGATTTGTAGCTTAATTTCATTGTGGTCTGAGGGCAAACATTGTATGATTTATATTCTTTCAAATTTGGTAAGATATGTTTTATGGCCCAGATTGTGGGTTATCTCAGTGAATGTTCCAGGTGAACTTGAGAAAAATGTGTATTCTGCTCTTGTTGGATAAAGTAGTCTAGAGATATCCATTATATCGCACTGATTGATTATGTTCGTTAGGTCAACTATGTCTCTACTGATTTAATGCCTGCTGGATCTGTCATTTCTGACATAGGGGTGTTGATGTCTCCAACTATAATATTGAATTCAACTATTTCTCCTTGCAATTCTATCAGTTTGCCTCACGTGTTAAGGTGCTCTGTTGTTTTACATTACAGTACATTTTGAGAAACTTTTAAAAACACAGCCTGTAGCAGGTTATAAACAGGTTTTCAATTTCTCTCCCCAGCTTCTCAATAAAGTATGGTCAATAGGCATTTATACATTTTCAGAATTATTTTCTTAATTCTGCAACTCTAGTCAAATACAAAAGTAACTACCTAATGAATATATTATAGTAACTTGTAAACTATGCTAATACTTCATTTATACATTTCACAGTGGTAGTAAGCACAATACTTTCTGTGGTTAAATACATTGTGTTTCAAATAAAATATAGTAATTTTCTGTGTATACAATTACAACAACACTCTCATGGCAATAAATCTGTCATGTTTACTACACAAAGAATGCAATAGTAAGTTCTAGCTTACATGTACAAGAAATTTATATTTAAATTACTACAGAAAAGCAGACTGCTATATTTTACATGCACCACAATTCTAATTACAGGAAAAGTTTTTGTTTTATCAGGTATGTTTGTATATTTTCCAATTTGTTCAAACAGCTAATTATCACTGGAATTATTTAAAAATTATAAAAAATCAGTGCTTCTTTTAGGTGATGTAAGATTCAGCCAAAAACTTAACTTTGAAACTTTACATTGATATATTCTGTATGTATCATATTCTAATGATGCAGACTGACTTTCCTCATTTTACATAAAGTTGTGTATTAGTTATAAAACACTAAAATCTCAAGGCAAAATTAATTATACTTGAAATTGTCATATTCTTTAAATATATGATAAAGTAAATGTGTATAGCCATATTCTTTGATTCTCAAATGAAGGTAATAATGAATCACTATTTGTATCTCTGAAGTGAAAACAAGCAAAAAATTGGATTCGTGTCAACTCTTTAGCTTGAGAGGTTAATATCTATAGCAAAGGAGAGTTGACAAATTTTATATGTGAGCCAAAAGTATGAATTTTTTACTTATTTTAGAGAAACAAATAGCTAACAGCAGAAAGCTTGTGTCATATTCCATGTAGATATTTCTCTAAGAGTTGTAGGTATTCCATTATCCATTCACTTATTCATTTACTAACATCTAATATGTACCAAGAACAATGGTAGGCGCTATAAAAGTTTTTTTAAAAAGATCTTCAGCTTCTAGTAACCTTGCTGATAACAATTACAGACTCTAGACAAAGTGAAACAAAACAAAACTCTTTGAAGGAATGGAAGAGTGAATGAAAAGGCAGAAACTTGGCCAGGCACGGTGGCTCACACGTTTAATCTCAGGACTTTGGGAGGCCGAGGCAGGCAGATAACCTGAGGTTCGGAGTTTGAGACCAGCCTGACCAACATGGAGAAACCCTGTCTCTACCAAAAATACAAAAATTAGCCAGGTGTGATGGTGCACGCCTGTAATCCCAGCTACCTGGGAAGCTGAGGCAGGAGAATCACTTGAATCCAGGAGGTGGAGGTTGCTGTAAGTCGAGATGGCGCCATTGCACTCCAGCCTGGACAACAAGAGTGAAACTCTGTCTCAAAACAAAAACAAAACAAAACAAGGCAGAAACTTGAAGGAGGGGAGTTACACTAGGTGAGATCCACATTTAACCAGCTTGTCAATAAGGACTCTCCTGGTCTATTCCATGTGTGGAGGATAGAGCTAAAGGAAAAAGTGTCATTCTTATTGGCTGACAAGCCAGAGATTGGAATATGGTACTTCCAGAATGTCTAGAAACAAACAAACAAACAAACAAAAAATCCCTGCAAAGAGGAATTCATAATGTTGTGAAGCTGAAAAATCTGCAAGCAAATTTTTCCAACTTTTATTTTGACCATTAAATAGTGAATGCAAATTACAAGACCAAGGAGCCTACATTAAAAACAAAAACAAAAACAAAACAAAGCAAAATAAAAAAAAAAAACAGCTGGAAGGTTAATAGAGATGAGCAGACAATTCAGTAGTCACAGTCACATACTATAAAGAGTTTGGAATTAATTCCAACCAAGTTAGAGGGACTTGGAAAACACATCACACTTTTGTAAACTGATGTGTATTAGGAGCAAGAATTATGTCATGTTCACTTTTAAAGTTTTGTCCTATAAAGTAAGGAAAATATTAAAATAGATACATTATATGAGAGTAAAACAAAAGGTAAGTTAAGGTACATTTATTTAATATACAATCAAAAATTAGTAGATATATGAAGAAGCAGAAAAATGTAACCAATAATCAAGATGACTATTAATCATTAGATATTAAAATAATTAGTTGACAAATAATCTTAAATAACTATGATGGCTAGAGGTTCTGCAGGGAAAAATTGAATAACATGGGTGAAGTGATGGGTAATATCAGTAGAGATAAAAAACTCAAAATAAATGAAATGGAAATAATAGGACCCAAATATATATATGATATGGTTTGTCTGTGTTCCCACCCAAATCTCATCTTGAATTGTAACGCCCATAATTCCCACCTGTCATGGGAGGGACCCAGTGGGAGATAATTGAATCCAGGGGGCGGTTTCCCCCATACTATTCTTGTGGTAGTAAATAAGCCTCACAAGACCTGATGACTTTATAAAGGGAATTCCCTTTCACTTGGCTCTCATTCTCCTCTCCTGTCTGCTGCAATGTAAGATGTGAATTTCACCTTCTGCCATGATTGCGAGGCTTCCTCAGCCATGTGGAACTGTGAGTCCATTAAAAGTCTTTTTCCTTATAAATTACCCAGTCTCAGGTATGTCTTTATCAGCAGCATGAAAATGAACTAATACAATATATATAGATAAAATTTGTGTTAGATTAAAAAATGAAGAAGAAAGGACCAGTGAACTTTAAAAGAGTTAAACAGAAAGCATTCAAACTGAAGAAAAAAGAAAGAAAATTTACAAATAAACAGCACTTTATGACCTGTGTGACAGTATCAAGTGATCTAAAAACACTTGATTGAAGTCCTAGAGGCAGAGGAAGGTATGTGTCAGTTTTTATGCCAGTACTGTGCTGTTTTAGTTAATAGAACTTTGTAGTATATTTTTAAGTCTGGTAGTATGATGGATCCAGTTTTATTCTTTTTGCTCAGGATTGCTTTGACCTTTGAGGTCTTTTCTGGTTCCATACAAATTTTAAGATTTTTATCTATTTCTGTGAAGAAGGCAATTGGTATTTTGATAGGGGTGCATTGAATCTGTAGATTGGGTAGTATGGTCATTTTAACAATATTAATTTTTCTGATTTATGACCATTGGGTGGATAAATTAATCTATGTGTCTATAGCTAACTAATTTTTGACAAAGGTGACAAGAACAGTCATCAGGGAAAGGATTATCTCTTCAATAAATGGTACTGAGAAAACTGGATATTTCATGCAGAAGAATGAAACTAGACCTGCATCTGTCATCCTATACACAAATCAACTCAAAATGGATCAAAGACCTAAATGTAAGACCCCAAACTGTAAAACTACTAGAAAAAAAATATAGGAGAAACACTTTAGGGCATTGGTTTGGGGAAAAATTTTAAATAAGACCTCGAAAGTACAGGCAACAAAAGTAAAAATAAACAAATGAGATTGTATCAAACTAAAGAGCTTCTGCAGGGCAAAGAAAACGATCGACAACAGAGTGAAAAGGCAACTATAGAATGGGAGAAAATATTTGCAAACTATTCATCCACTGGGAAATTAATATCCAGAATATAGAATAAACTCAAACATCTCATCAGTAAAAAAAAACCCAACAATCTGATTTAAAAATGGGCAAATGATTTGAACAGATATTTTTGAAAGAATACATACAAATGGTAAACAAATATATGAAAAAAAGCTTAACATCACGAATAATCAGGGAAATGCAAATCAAAACCACAATAAGGTATCATATCACCCCAGTTCGGATGGCTATTATCAAAAAGACAAAAAAATCCACTAATGTAAAGGAAAGGAAGTCAATATTTCAAAGAGACACCTGCACACCCCATGTTCATTGCAGTGCTACTCACAATAGTCAAGATATGGAGTCAACCTATGTGTCCAACGACAGATGAATAGATTTTTAAAAACGTGATATGTACATCATGGAATACTATTCAGCCATAAAAAGGCTGGAATTATGTCATTTGTAGAAGGCTGAATGGAACTGGAGGACATTGTGTTAAGTGAAACAAGCATGTTAACAGAAAGCTAAACACTGTATATTTGTATTCATATGCAGAAGCGCAAGTATGTGGATCTCATAGAAGTAAAAAGTATAGTAGGGGATACTAGAGGCTGGGAATTGCCAAGAGAAGGGGAGACAGGGAGAAATTTGTTAAAGGTTACAAAATTATAGCCAGATACAAGATATAAGTTGTAATGATATACAGCTCTGGAGGATGACTGTGCTATCTATCTATCTATCTATCTATCTACCTATCCGTCTAGTTTCAAATAATGAGAAAGAAGATATTGAATGTTACCAACACAAAGAAATGATAAATGTTTGAGATAATGGATATGCTAATTACTTGGATCTGATCACTATACAAAATATGTATCAAAACCTCACTATTCACCCCATAAATATGTAGAGTTATTATATGTCAATTTAAAAAGAACAGAAAAGAAAAGAAAGTAGCCAGAGATAGTGGGAGGTACTTATTTCATCCTACCTGCAAGGGAACAATGGTAAAAAGTTGGCTGATCTCTTATGAGAAACATTCTATTCAGAATAAAACAGAGCTATATTTTTAAGCTACCACCCTCCAAAAAACAAACAAACAAAAACCCAAAACAATAAAAAACCCTGTCAACCTATAATTTTATATCCAGCAAAAATATCCTTCAAAAATGAAGAGAGGATGAAGTACCATGTTTGCATTAAAAGAAAAAATTTAAAGAATTGTTGCAGACTTGTACTATAAGAAGTGCTAAAAGGAAATTTTAGGTTAAAAGGAAATTATGTCAGATAAATGTACCAAAAAAGTGAACACTGGAAAGAAATAAAACATTTTTAAACTACTACTTTTTGTTAAATTTCTTAAAAGTTGATTGGCTTATTAAAGCAAAAATAATAACAGTGTATTTCTAATAAGATATAAAGAGAAAAATATGTATATATGTAACACATATTTATATATCTGCATATTGATATCTGTATATAGTAGCAAAATATATAACAATAACAGTGAGAATTATAAAAGGGACTATAAATTGATTTATATTGTTTTAATGTTTTTATGTATTTATGAGGTATTATAATATTAATACTGGGTAGACTGTGATAATTTAAGTATGCATATTGCTCTCCAAGAGAAACTGAAAATATAATACACAGTGATATGTCTAAAAAGTCAATAGATGAAAAAGTGGGATTTTAAAAGATGCTTGATTATCTTAAGAAAAGAAAAGAGAAAAAGATTAAAAAAGAGAAGGACAAATTGAAAACCAAAGGCAAGATGTAGATTTAATCCCAATCATATCAATAACTAACTAATAACCAAGGTAAATTAATAACTAATGTAAATAAATTGTTACAATTAAAAGAGATGTCAGTCTGAATATGGGAGCAATATTCGGCTGTATGTTGTCTAAAACAGATGTCCTTTTTATATAAAGACATATATAGGTTGAAAGTAAAAAGATAGTAAAATAATTACCATACAAATATCAAGAAAGAAGGAGACATTAAGACAAAAGTATTATCAAAGATAAAGAGAGTCATTTCACAATATTGAAAAGATCAACTCAACAAAATTATTGCAATTTTAACTTGAAAGATGTGGGTTTAAACTATGTGGGTCCACTTCTATGCAGACTTTTTTCCCTCCTCTGCCATCTTTGAGACAGCAAGACGAACTCCTTCTTTTCCTCAGCTGACTCCATATGAAGATGATGAGGATGAAAACCTTTATGAGAATCCACTTCCACTTAATGAATAGTAAATATGCTTTCTCTTCCTTTTGATTTTCTTAATATAATTTTCTTTTTTCTAGCTCACTTTATTGTAAGAATACAGTTTATAATACATATAACAGAAAAAATACATGTTAATAGACTGTTCATGTTATTGGTAAGGCTTCCAGTCAATAGTAAGCCATTAGTAAAGTTTTGGAGGAATCAAAATTTATACATGGATATTCACTTGTACTAGGAGTCAGTGTCCCAACCTTCATATTGTTCAAGGGTCAACTGTATAACAAAATAATAGAACTTAAATATATATGAAACAAAAGTTTACATATCTACAGTTAAACAAATCAACTGTATCTATTAAAGACTTTAGCACCCTTCTCTAAGTAATTAGTAGAACTAGAAGAAGAAAAAAGTGACAGGAATATACAAGATTTGAGCAATGTCATCAACTAATTGAGAATTCCAGAACACTATTGCAACTTTCTTTTTATGTAGATATAGAACATTTGGCAAGAAAGACTATATTTAGCTGTTTCAGTAAAATTCAAAAGACAAATCATAGAGAGTGAGTTCCCTAAGTTAATAGAATTAACTTAGAATTTAGTAACAGTAAGATATATAGAAAATCTTCAAGTATTTGCAGATTAGTCAACACACTTATAAACAATTTACAGATAAAAAAGAAACAAGAAAGTTAAAAATATGATTAACTGAATAATACAAATACATCAAAATTTGCAAGATGAAGCTAAAACATTACTTAGAAAAAATGTATAGGTTGAAATGTGTACGTCTGAAAAAACAAATGTTTAAAATCAATAATATAAGCTTCCAGCTTATGAAGCTTGGAAAAAAGGAGGAACTTAAACTCAGAGTAAGTAGAAAGAAGGAAATGAAATCCTTACACTAAAACCTTATTAACCTCTATCTCTATTACCTGAAACAACATATCTAGTTTAAAAAAATTATAAGCATGACAAACGGGAATAAATAAAATGGTCTGAAGAGAAATCAAATATCAGAACCATGCTTTATTATGAAACAGATGTTGCAATTTTCAGGGAGGGAACAAAATAACTAAAGTTAATATAATAAAGGATCTAGTGAAAAAAGTATACAACATGTAAGAACAGGTGGGTAGTGTAAGCAGAAATATGTAAACTCAAAGAAAGAATTTTTTTAAAATGCTAGAAATAAAAAAATACTGTAACAGAAATAAGCGAGGCTGAGGCTGGAGGATTACTTGAGGCCAGAAATTTGAGACCAGCCTGGACAACACAGCAAGACACCATCTTTACAAATAAAAAATAAATTTAAAAAAGTAAAAAATTTAAAAAAATGTTAAAAAGAATGTGTTTGATAGGCTCCTTAATAGACTGCACATGGGCAAAGAAAGACTCAATGAGTTTGAAGATATATTAACATTAATAAACACTTCCTAAATTGAGAAGGAGAAGAGAAAGAAAATAAAACCAGAACAGCATATCCAAAAATTATGAGGCAATTTGAAAGTATAACATATGTATAGTCAAAATACCAAAACAAGAGAGAAGGAGCAGAGTACATATTTCAAGTAAAAATAGATGACAACTTTTCAAAACTAATGATAGACAAAACACATGGGTGAAGTATAGGAGATTTTTAAGGGTAGTGAAACTCTTCCGTGTAATACTATAATCGTGAATAAATAGCAATATGCATTTGTCAAAACCCGTATCAGCTTAATCTGTGCAAACTTTCAAAGAATCATTTGATAGGTTGGAGGATACCAGAATGAAATGCAGAATGTGACAAAGCAATCCAACTCTATTGTAAATGTATAAGACAAACTTACTGAAGTGGGTAAGCAAAAAGGTGCTGACCTGAGTAATTTTGCAACTGAGTAGTGTGTGAGAATAAGAGCTAAAGAAACTCTACATAAAGCACTGTACTATAGTTGATGAAGTGGTTTCCTAGGGAAATACAAATGATGAGTTCTGATACTTTTATACATATACATTGTAATTGAACAATTAAGTAAATGGATAGAAGAGAGTAGGAGCCAGGCTTCTTGCTGTTGGAGTGCAACCTTAAAAATAAGCAACAGGATGAGGATATAATCATCCCTGTGGTAATGGATTACAGTTGGAGACAGCAGTATGAAATCATGATTAACTAATTACAGATACAGATGGTTACACATAGAAATATATATGGGTTGGGGCTAGGCGCGGTGGCTCATGCCTGTAATCCCAGCACTTTGGGAGGCTGAGGCACGTGGATCACGAGGTCAAGAGATCGAGACCATCCTGGCCAACATGGTGAAACCCCATCTCTACTAAAAATACAAAAATTAGCTGGACATTGTGGCCCGTGCCTGTAGTCCCAGCTACTCGGGAGGCTGAGGCAGGAGAATTGCTTGAACCCAGGAGGTGGAGGTTGCAGTGAGCTGAGATTGCACCACTGCACTCCAGCCTGGTGACAGAGCGGGACTCCACCTCAAAAAAAAGAAGAAATATATATGGGTTGCTATACACACGTTTCTCTTACTTTTTCAGCTAAGAGGACTTAGAAGAAATGACACCCCAGTAGAAATAAGCATACCATCTAGTACCCAGATTTTGTTTTTTAATAGCAATTTCCAGTAAAAAGGGAACAAGGTTTCTTGGTGAAATGACTGTTTACACTGGTGATTCATTTACATTGGTTATTCAAAGGACTGGGGCAGAAAAATGTGCAAGATAAGCCTGGAGCATTTTGTAGTGCCAGAAACAAAAAAGTGCTAAACAAAAGAAAATCCCACAATGATGGAGATATGTCAATGGAGCACAGAAGCCCACTGAAAGAGCTCCAATGGCCAGAGCTGGAACAATTGAAGCAATGAAATAAATGAAAGAGTATTGAATTATCAACAAAAGTATAAGATAACTATCTATGAGTCTATACTAATATAAATACATAATTGAAAAAATAAGGAATTGGGGAGATTAAACAAACCTGCCATGCAGAATAAGACCAAATAATTTATATAAAGTAGTTACTCTGACCTCAAGGAAGTGGAGCTTAACTCCCCACTCCTACAGTGTGGGCTGTACATAGATACTGTCTTCTAAATAGTCTAGTATGGAAAGGGGAAAAATATTAACTTCACAGTGAAAAAGGCAAACTTTACATCAGCCAGGTGGTCAAGATTAACATCAACAGTGACAATTCACATTAATAGTATATACACTTTATATGATGTAATGAAAAGAAATACTTTAGCTTTTTAATTGTTCCTGACAAATCTCATAGCGTCAGTCAAAGCATGAGAAAAACAATTTAAATCTTGATTGAAGGACATTCTTCAAATGCCTTCTCAAAACTGTCAAGGTCATCAAAAACAAGGAAAGTCTGAAGCACTCTAGAAGCCTAAGGAGACATAATAACTAAATGTAATGTGGCATCCTATATGGGATGTTGGAAAAGAAGGAAGAATACTAAAATTAAAGAAATTTAAAAATGAAAGAAAGCTGAATAAAGCATGGACTTTAGTTAGTAAAAATGTATTAATATTGCTTTATTAATTGTAATAAATCTGCCATTCTGACATAAGATGTTAATAATTAGGGGAACGGCATGTGGAGTACATTGAACCCTCTGTCCTATCTTCACAATGCTTCTGTAAGTTCCAATCTATTATAAAATAAAAAGTTTATATAAAAGTGAAAATAAATTATAAGAGGATCTCGGTATCTGGAGTAAACTGATTTTTAAAAATAAAAATTTGAATACATGTATATTATGTTAATCTGTCAGGAGTTATATACACGTATCATTTTGGGAATTTCAGGGGATATGAAATCCAACGATAATATTACTTTTACTGAGCACAATACTAGAACTCTGCAGGCATTATCTTACATATCAAAAAAGGCTGCAATGCAAATGCTCTTATGCTAAACAAACTGAAGTTAATTTTTTTGGTTCTAATTTCAAAGTTAGTGGGAATATACTCACTTCTGGTTTCCTTTATCATGCACCATTTCCAGTTTTGGTTTCTTTTATCCTTGTTTTTCTCCACATAGTAATCACCTTACAGATTATATTATGCATCTGAGAAATATGTAAAGCCTCTATAGTTTCTAAGATCAACAGTAATATAATTCAACTCAATTAGAATTATTGTTCACTACAAATAAAATGTGCTTCCCTTCTTTAAAAAAAATCTAATTTTCTTTCTCTTTCGCTATCCAGTTATATATATTTTATATATATATATAAAACAATACACCTTGTCATCAGTGGTTTGCAATAATGCCTTTCTTGATTGCATAAGTGATCAATGTATTGTTTTTTTCTGTTACAATGGTCTGTGTATTTATGTACTGATACTGCATTATTTTAACTATAAAGCTTTTGTGATATGCTTTAATATCTGGCTAAGTATTCTTCATTTCATTTCTTGCTTTTATTTTTCTGGGATTTCCTAGCTATTCTTGCTTTTTTATTCTCTCTAATGAACTTTATCATTTATTTGTCTAGCCCCAAAGGGGAAAAATAAGCCCAATGGCATGTTTAAGGTTGTGTTAACAACAATTTGCTGCATATTTCACAATAGCAAGGAGAGATTTGTAGTGTTCCCAAAACTAAGGTAAATATTTGAGGCTACACTATCCCAATTATCCTAATTTGATAATTACACATCCTATACATGTATAAAAATATCATGTGTATCCCCAAAATATTCACACCTAATAATATCAATACACAAAAACTACCAGTCATGGGAAAAGGCACAAAATTACAACATTTAATGAAGATAAACATCAATAAATCAAACTGATAGAGAAAAAATATTTCATTAAATTTGTAAATTAGGAAGACTAGCCTGACTGACATGGAGAAATGCCATCTCTACTAAAAATACAAAATTAGCCAGGCATGGTGGCACATGACTGTGATCCCAGCTACTCGGAAGGCTGAGGCAGTAGAATTGCTTGAACCCGGGAGGTGGAGATTGCGTTGAGCCGAGATCATGCCCTTGCACTCCAGCCTGGGCGACAAGAGAGAATGGAGCATTTCTTCCATTATATCTTCTTTCATGGTTTTAATATATTGAAGACTATTCATTTTTATAATTTTATAACTCCTTATTTAACTATATTATTTTGCTTATGTTAGTACTGAATTGATACTTTCAGGTTTTTCTATATATGCCATCATATCATCTGCAAGTAGAGATAATTTTACCTTTTTCTAACTTTTATGCCTTTACTTTCTTTTGGCTATTTGCATTGGCTATTACATCTATACAATATTAAATAAAAGTAAATATAATGAACATCCTTATTTTCTTTGACGTTATTGGAAAAAAATCCAGTGTCTGTATATTAAATAAGATGTTGGCCTTGTGGTTGAAAAATACATAAATACGTACATATACATATGACACACTGAATGGCACAAAGTAGGCTTGAAGAAATAGAAAGGTTAAATATGTTCTTGCATGGTAATACTCAACATCATAAAGACAAAAATTCTTCCTAAATTAATTTACAAATTTAACAAAATTTTTTTTCTGGATCTCTTTGACTTATTGATGTTTATCCTCATTAAATGTTGTAGTTTTGTACCTTTTTCCATGATTGGTAATTTTCTTTGGTATTGATATATATTAGTTGTACATATATATACATATGTAGACACATACATAAAATATGTATACACACAAATTAACTCAGCATGTCAAAAAACAATGATATATAATTGAACTGAATGCCCTTTAACATTGATGAATATTCACGTTAAACTCATTTTACATTGATATGTAAAATATATATTGCATTAATATATGATTGAATTTTTAACATGAATGTGTATTGAATTTTTGTTAAATGCCTGTTCACATTTACAAGTATATCATATGATCTTTATCCTTGTCTCTGCTAATAAAATTGATTACATTAATGAATTTCCTTAGTTCAAATCACCTTTGCTTTCCTGGAGTGAACCCTTCTTAAGTAGAATGTGGGATTCTTGATGTGCTGCTAGTTGTTTGCTAATATTTCACTTAAGATTTTCAAATTGATATTCACATGTGAGACTGGCTTGTAGTTTTCTCTTCCTCAAGGAATGTGTCTGTCACCTTTACTAAACTGGAAGCTCTTGAGGGTACGTTCAACAGTAATTTTCTTATACACGCTGAGTGTCCAACAATTCAATTCAATTCTAACACCAACTACCTGGAGTCAGCACAGACCCCACAGGTTAAGGGGCTCAGTCCACCATAAGACTGTCCTCACTTCAAATACTAGCTGCAAGTTCAGCGTCTTTAGGCTATTTTTCATTCTGATCATATTCAAGGGATCCCATGACCTACCTTCGGTTTTGATGATCTTCTACAATCACTCACAGAACTTACAGAAGTCACCGAAAGCGCTGTATCATATAACCAAATGGAAGATACAGATGCGGCAAGATATTTATTGAGGAAACAAAGGGGATACACAGCTTCCATGTCTTCTGTAGGCATACCACCTTCCTGGAACATCAATGATTTTACCAACCCAGAAGCTTCCTGAACTTAGTTGTTTCAGAGTTTTATCTGGATGTTTGTTACGTAGGCATGGTTGGCTAAATCACTGGCCATGTGATTTGAGATCACACCAGCCCCTTTCTCTTTCCTGGAGACCAGAAAGTGGTGCTGAAAGTTTCAACTCTATATTCAAGTGTTTGGCATTATTTCTGGAGTGGCCAGTTTCTCCCTGGAAACTGTCTAAGACCCCACCGTGAGTCAGCTTGTTAGCCTAAGCTCAGGTATGTTACAAACAGGGTCACTATGAATAATAGAAGACACTTTTATCACTCAGAAAATGCCAAGTGGTTTAGAAGCTCTGTGCCAGGAACTAGAAACAAAGACCATATATATATATATTTTTATTATACCACAGAGATCATACTGTGTATTTTTTTAGTGGCTAGCTAATATAGTGACTAGCACCAGTAGGGGGTGCAAATAATTATATATTAAATGAGTGAATACAAGAGTGAATGAGCTATATTAGTTTCAACTAAGCTGTGGTTTATTTCAGGGAGGAAATTTGAACTTGCTCTGTGTACATGATATTTGGGAATGTTAATTCATTGAATATCCTTTAAGAGTTCCCCAAAGAACAGGTCACTGCAATCCAAGGACTTGCAATCCTGATTTAAGAATTGCCAATATGAGGCTTTTCATCAAAGTTTTCATTGTAACTTATCAAGTCTACAGTTATTTGAAAGCATGAACCTTGCATTGATTCAAGTAAGAAGACATTCGGGATAGGTCCAAACATCACATTTTCTTACTGCTTTCTTCTTACACAGGTACAGATTAAGAGGGCTTTTTAAATTCTATTTTATTTTATTATTTTTATTATTTTAGAGATAGGGGTATCAATATGTTGCCCAGGTTGGACTCCAACTCTTAGGCTCCAGCAATCCTCCTGACTCAGACTTCTGTATCACAGACGTGTCACTGCACCCAGTGGACATTTTAAGCGTTTTTAAATGTGTTGTCTTTAAAGGTTTTAAATTCTAGATTATCTCTCTTTCTCTCCCTCTCTACGTGTATGTATATGTATATAATCTCCCATGTATACCAATGTGAAAAGTTCTAGTTTTCAGATCAGTTTGAGAATAAAAACTAATTCAATTTGACAGCCATACCTGATACTCAGTTTTTCCTCCACATTTTTAATCATCTGGATTTTGTAATTCTGTTGTGTTTTGCAGGAAAAACAACTGTGTTATGTGAGAGATAAAACTTTTCAGTTTTCCCATGTTTTATTTTTTCAAGCCTGTCAGAATTTTTCCATCTGGATAAGTAATGCAGAGGGATTTTTTTCTTCCATTGCTATCATCCCTTATGTGAATTATTAATATATGTTTTTATTTATAATCCATTATCTTTAAAAAAAAAAAAAGAGTCATGGCTGAGCAAGATCCAGCTGCACTTGGGCTCATCGAATGTCCCTAAGTATTTTTCAAAGTTTTAGCATATTCCCAAACATGTTTCCATGAACATTTTCCCTTTATTTACAATCTCTTGTGTGTTTAAGGGAAATGTAAGCCTTATGTTTCTATTTCATTTATATTTAACTCATCAAAATGTTTTGTAAAGCAATTTAAATGTCCAAGAAGATTTTTATTGCTGATTTTCTAAGAAACAGAAAGTCCTATTTTGCCAACAAAACCAATGACTACAATTTGGGCCAGAACTTGAAATCAACAAGGTTTGAGTAGGTTCTAAACTTGGCGAATGTTTCTCTAAATCACTTGTTAGGAAATCTTCATTTGACAACTACGAAAAGGCAGTTTCATGAGCAAACTGGTCATTACAAGACTTACTGCTCAATTTCCTTTTGCTAGTATCTAGCAGTGGACCAAACTATAGTTTTTCAGAAGTATAGAATGACATACAAACCATGTGGGCATATTGTAGAATGCACCTATCAGCTGACATGGAATGAATAGTACTTAAATTCTAGTTTGTGAGGAAACATTAAGGAACTAAATTATTCCATGTCTTCATAGAGTTTTCCATGCTAATTCAATAAGCGAGTAAGATTGAGGCAACTTACAGATTCTTCACTTATTTAAAAGCTCAAAATGCTTCTCAAATCTTTTAGCAGATTTTACATAGGCAATCAATACAGCAACTCAGATTAGTCTAGTCTTGGCTAGTCATTAAAGTAAGCTAAGACTGATTTTGCAACAATATTAACAGGTCAAATGAGTATATTGGAGGGTAAAGTAGAAACACTTCCTGAGCTGATTGAAAATTAAAAAAAACTGCCTTTTATGAAGCATAATTGATTTATCTTTCAGTTTATTCAAATCAGTAAAATAAATTTTGATTTATTGAATGAGGTTCTTAAGCAAATAGAGAAGAAATTTATTCTTTCATAAATTTGAGGGTTCAAGTTTGTGGTAACACTGGGAGTTACAGCATCATTTTTTAATGTTGTACATACTTGATTTTAAATACTGGTTCAGCCGTTTGACTACTCTGAGCTGATTTTCCTATCTTTAAATAGGAAAAACATATCCCCTTTTCAGGGTTGCTGTGTAAAGGCAGGTGTTTTAGAAATGCAAGTTCTCATAGCATGAGAGCTCATAGTATCTGGTGGTGTTCAAGCCTGGGGGAGACCACTACCTGAAGGAGATATTGTAAAGATGGTTTTAGCATCATCTGGGCATCATACTTGATTTCAATGCATTTTCCAACACTAGTCTATTCCTTTCTGACTCCTTCACCCAGGGATGTGTCTATTTTTTTTTTAAGTGTGCCCTAGACTCACATAGCATCATTCTGACATATGATCTGTAATCTAACAACCCACTAAATAGCTACTAAAATTCATTTGAGAAACTGCATTTGCCATTTTGACAGAGAAGTTAACACTTCAAGTAAGGGAGTCCTTGTTTTAATAAGACCTGAAAATATGCAGAAGGAGGCTTAGGGAAGTGTATGAGTCTCAAAAAGCCACATATTGAGTACCCCAATGCTGGTTGGAGAAGAGTATAGCTCATGGGAGCTTTTTGATTGTTTGTTTTTGTCTAGGATTTTTAAAAGCATTAGTTCATTATAAAACAAAACAAAAAACATTTCTTTATAAAACCATAGAAATAGAATAGATTCTAAAAGGAACCAATAAGAGGATATCCACTGGGCACACATGCCACTCCCTTACTTCACATTCCCAGGACAACCTTGACAAGTCAGTCACAGCTGTTTTTGCCATTGAACTCTTGCTGAGCCTCAACGTTATTTACAATGTCTCATTCCATTAAGTTATTATAAATCTATTGGTGCTAACAAGTGCACTTTTGTTTTTAATCTAGGCCATTCTTTTATTCAAGAACTATTCTTAGACATACCATTATCAACTTCATCCCTAACATTATTAGAAAAACAAATTGGGGTCTTTCTTTATTACAAAACTTCTCAAAGGAGAAATTCTACAAAGAAATTTATATTTGGAAGTGGACATAGTTTACTCTAATTGGCCACCATAACTAGTAAATATCATGAAGATACTAGCAAGATGAAAGAAATCCTGGATCTGTCTTGACAAATATGAACTTACTAATGGAAATGTATGCTTTCTTATTTGTATAAAAATGAAAATTTCTTGTTATATTTGTTGCACGAGAAACAACTCTTCATGACACTGATGAATTGTGTTGGTTGTTTCTGAGAGGTGGTTAAAACAAGTTTGATGAAAAAGGCCACTGCAGCATGGAAAACAGGAAGAAACCACAAAGGAAAGAAAAAAAGAATAGTTTTAACTACCTGAAAATCTAAAACTCACTACCTCAAAAAAACCAAAATCAAAGTTTAAAGACAAAAAGCACTAAAAATATTTTGTAGTATTTAATTGAAAAATAGAAATATGCTTGCTTAATAAATGTCACTGAACAATCAATAAGATAAAACAACACTACTACAGAAAAATGAGCAAGGAACATGAATGACTGCACAATTCACAAAAACACGTGATAGAAATACACTCTGAAGTGATTTAACATGTCTAGTTTCTTTAATAATAAAATAATTTCTAATTGAACGATCAGTAAAATACGTTTTTCACATATCCAATCAATCAAAAATGTTGACATGATTGTCACCAGCATTGTTAAATATGGTAAACCAGGCCGGGTGCGGTGGCTCACGCCTGTAATCCCAGCACTTTGGGAGGCCGAAATGGGTGGATCACGAGGTCAGGAGATCGAGACCATCATGGCCAACACGGTGAAACCCCGTCTCTACTAAAATACAAAAAATTAGCCATGCGTGGTGGCGGGCGCCTATAGTCCCAGCGACTCAGGAGGCTGAGGCAGGAGAATGGCGTGAACCTGGGAGGCAGAGCTTGCAGTGAGCCGAGATCGCGCCACTGCACTCCAGCCTGGGTGACAGAGAGTGACTCTATCTCAAAAAAAAAAAAAAAAAAAAAAAAAAAAAAGGTAAACCAGAGACTGTACAGCTTACTGGAGGGAAGGAGAACTTACTTTTGAAAGTCACTTGAGAAATATGTGTCAAGGAGCTTTAAAAGTTTAATGCTTTTAATTCACTATTTCAAAATATAATAAGTGTCCTTATAATCAGAGATGATAATCATTAGAGGTTCACAGCAATACTATTTATAGAAGTGAAAAAATGAAAACTATCTAAAATGTCCAATAAGGGAAATTTTCAACACAGAACTCCCGTGTAATAGGATATTATAGACCTATTTAAAGTGATGTTCTTAGCATTTTTTAGTCACAGAGACAATGACGGTGATATGTGTTCAACTGGAAAAAAATCAAATTAAAAAGCTTTACTGTAGCTGACATTTGCTGACTGTTTATTACATGGCAGATATTTATCTTATTCATTCTGTAAAATATCCTCATGTGATATGTGCTATTTTTATTACCAGTTTACAAGTGAGGAAACTGAAGCTCAGAGAGGTTAAGTGGCTGGCCCAAAGACACACATGTAAAAAGAGGCAGAATCAGAATGTTTCCCCATGCAGTCCAACTGTAGAACCTGCGTGCTTTTCAACTCACAGTCTTGCCTCAATTTTCTAACCATTAACAAAATTGTATGTGTATGTTTAATACAAAAGTATGGGCGGGGGCATGGTGGCTCACACCTGTAATCCCAGCACTTTGGGAGGCAGAGGTGGGCGGATCACCTGAGGTCGGGAGTTTGAGACCAGCCTGACCAACATGGAGAAACCCCGTCTCTACTAAAAATACAAAATTAGCTGGGAGTGGTGGCGCATGCCTGTAATCCCAGCTACTCAGGAGGCTGAGGCAGGAGAACTGCTTGAATCGGGAGGCGGAGGTTGTGGTGAGCCAAGATCGTGCCATTGCACTCCAGCCTGGGCAAACAAGAGCAAAACTCCATCTCAAAAAAAAAAAAGATGTATATATAGCAAAAAGAGTGAAAGAAAACACAGTATACTATTAATAATGTATACCTCTCTGCAGCAAGGCTTTTTACTTCTTCTTACGTATTTTATATTTTTCAAAATTCTCACATAAATATGTATTAATTTTATATTCAAAGACAATTAATATTAAATATAAAGAGAAAATTATAATTCCATCCTAACATATTTAGACATTGGTGTAATTGTGTATGTCACATGCTCATTCTTATTATTTAATTTTAGAGTGGAGAAGGAGCAGTTTTTCCATTTCCCTGAAAAGAATTGAGTGAAGTTGACAGCAGGATTGCAGAAGTGGGAGGACCCAAGGTGAGGGAAGCATGGTTGGGAATTTCTGCTATCTGTTTGTCATTAGGATTTGTTTTTCTTTCCTTCTAAGACTTAAATGTCTTTTAATTATAGGTCAGCTGATTCTGTAACTGAAGAGTTGAGTAGCGGATTAAATACAGCCTGCTGTTACTGTAATAAGGAATGATTAGGATCTAGAACAGTTTTCTCTCTTGCATGGAAAAAAAAGCACCAATTAGTATTAATGAATCACTGCTTGTATAAGGCAGCCAGGTTTCTAGTTTCCCCAAAATACGAGAATGACCTAATTTTGCCCAAGAAATTTTGTTTTCTTATTATTATTACTGTAGTTGCACTTTTTATAAATGAAATCTTTGTATAAAGGACTATCTAAAGTTTTTAGGTATACTGTTTAGAAATAATGATTAAGAGTATATTTAAATTTCTTACATTAAATATAAATGTACTGAGGCTGAAAACAAGAGCTTATTTTTGGTTACATATCTGAATTAAACCTGTGTACTCTTATTTTGGTAGCTTAGTCAAGGATTGATTTTATTGTCTTAATGGAAGGAGAAAGGAGGATACTGTTTGTCAGGGACTGTTGAAATAGTCATGCTGTTCATTTGTGGTGTGTGATATAAATGTAAACCTTTCGGAAGGTAATTTGGCATATTTGTCCAAAAGCCTGAAAAATGTTTGTACTGTTTGATAATATACAAGCATTTCTAGGAATATATAACTAAGAAATAATTATAGGCACAGGAAAGATTCACAGTTACAATGTGTAAAGTTGGAAACAGCCCAAAATGATCAACTAGGGATTCCTGTTACAGAGGAAGAAACTTTCTTCTGTCTTGTTCAGGGCAGTATCCCAAGTGTCAAAAACAGTGGCTGACTGGCCTGAACACATGCATGGAGGGTGCCAGCCCCATGCCTGCCAGTGCTCTGCCCCCGTGCCACCACCACTACTGGTGCAAACACACCCATGGATGCCAGAAGCCCCACACCCCTCTCCCATGTCACTCTGTCACCACCACCACTGCAAACACCCTGATGGAGGCCAGCACCCATGTGCCTGCCAGTGCCACACCTCAGTCAACAAGGGTGCACCCTGCCATGCTGCTGCTGTTGGTGGTAGTTGCAAATGATCACAGATCCCACTACCATCACTCAATGAAGCACTTTGGCTGGCACCACCCAGCAGAATGTTGTGACCAGTGGTCTGGGAACACCTCAGCCTCTACAGTACAGTAGATCCCTAACCTCAAGGGGACAGAGAACAAAGCCAGGGGCCTGATACCAGCTCCCCAGAATTAGAGGATGCAGCCCAGGAATCCTGAGCTGGGGCTTGGCCCCCTAAACCATTCCAGAAACAAATCCAGTCAACCAACTCACTTTATACCACAGTCAAACCCCCAAGGACATAAAAGAGGTTAAAAGAAAAAAAAAAAAGAACCCATCCAAAGGACAACAACTTCAAAAAATAAAAGAACATCAGCCCGCAAAGATGAGAAAGAACCAGCACAAGAACTCTGGCAACTCAAAATGCCAGAGTGTCTTCTTACCTTTAACAACTGCACTAGTTTCTCAGCAATGGTTCTTTACCAGGCTAAAGGGGCTGAAAGAACTGAAATAGAATTCGAAGTATGAATAGGAATGAAGATCATTGAGATTCAGGAGAAAGTTGAAACCCAATCCAAGGATTCTAAGGTATAAAAATAAAATGATACAGGACATGAAAGACAAAATTATCATTTTAAGAAAGAACCAACCTGATCTGATAGAGCTGAAAAACTTACTCCAAGGATTTCAGAATACAATCAAAGAATTAATAGCAGAATTGACCAAGCTGAGGAAAGAATCTGAGAGAACAAACACTGGATCTCAAAAATAACTCACTCTGGCAAAAATAAAGAAAAAACAGTAAAGAAAAAGGAAAAAAATCTCTGAGAAACATGGGATTATGTAAAGACACCAAATCTGTGACTCATTAGTGTCCCTGAAAGAGAGGGAGAGAAAGCAAGCAACTTGGAAAACATATTTTAAGATATCATCCATGAAAATTTCCCTAATCTCACTAGAAAGGCCAACATTCAAATTCAGGAAATGCAGAGAACCGCTGAAAAACTCTTCACAAGAAGATCATCTCCAAGACACATAGTCATCAGATCCTGCAAGGTCAAAATGAAATAAAAAATGTTAAAGGCAGCTAAAGAGAAGGGGCAGGTCACCTACAAAGGTAACCCCATCAGGCTAACAGCAGAACTGTCAGCAGAAACCCTACAAGCCAGAAGAGATTGGGGGCCTATATTTAGCATTCTTTTTTTTTTCTTAAATAATATCTTAAATAAAATAATTTCCAACAAATAATTTCATATTCATCAAAACTAAGCTTCATAAGTGAAGCAACAATAAGATCCCTTTCAGACAAGCAAATTCTAAGGAAAGTTATTACCACTAGATCTGCCTTAAAAGACGTCCTGAAGGAAGTACTAAAGGAAGTACTAAATATAGAAAGGAAAGACCATTACCAACCACTACGATAACACACTTAAATACATGAACCAGTGAAACTATACAGCAACCACACAAACAGGTCTGCATAATAACCAGCTATTAATAATAACACAATGACAGAATCTAGTCTTCATATATCAATACAAACCTTGAATGTAAATGGGTTAGCCCCAGTTAAAAGGCACAGTGTGGCAAGTTGGATAAAGAAGCAAAATCCAATGGTATGTTGTCTTCAAGAGACCCATCTCACATAAAGTGACATGCATAAGCTCAAAGAAAGAGATGGAGAAAAATATACCAAGGAAATGGAAAACAGAAAAAGCTGGAGCTGCTATTCTAATTTCAGGCAAAACAAACTTTAAAACAATAAACATAAAAAGACAAAGAGGGCCATTATATAATAATAAGGGCTCAATTCAACAAGAAGATCTAACTATGATATATGTACAATCTTATATATATTATATAAGATCTTATCTATATGATATATATTATATATCTTAGCACCCAGATTCATAAAGCAAGTTCTTAAAGACCTAAGGAGAGACTTAGATAACCACATAATAATAGTGGGAGACTTCAACACCCAACTGACAGCATTAGATCATCAAGGCAGAAAACTAACAAAGATATTCGGTGCCTGAACTCATCACTTGGCCAAATGGACTTATTACACATTTATAAAACTCTCAACCCCAAAACAACATACTATACATTCTTCTCATCTGCACATGGCATGTACTCTAAAATTGACCACCCAATTGGTCATAAAACCATCCTCAGCAAATTAAAAAAAAAAAAAGTTGAAACCATACCAACCACATTTTTGGACCACAGAGCAACAAAAATCGAAATCAATGTTAAGAAAATCACTCAAAACCATAAAATTGCAGGGAAATTAAACAACCTGTTCCTGAGTGACTTCTGGGTAAATAATGAAATTAAGGCAGAAATCAAGAACTTCTTGGAAACTAGTGAGAATGAAGAAAAACATATGAGAATCTTTGGGACACAGCTAAAGTAGTGTTAAGAGGGAAGTTTATAGCAGTAAATGTCTACTAACCAAAAAGTTAAAAATATCAAAAATTACGAACCTAATATTTGAACTAGGGGAACTAAAGAAACAAAAGCAAGCCAACCCCAAAGCCAGCAGAAGAAAGTTTAATATCCAGAATTCATAAGGGGCTTAAACAAATGTATGAGCAAAAAAAAAAAAAAAAAAAATCCCAGAATGTATAAGGAGCTTAAACAAATTTATAAGAAAAAAAACACTTAAAAGTGGGCAAAAGACATGAAGAGATTTTGCAAAAGCATATGACCAACAAGCTTATGAACAAATACTCAATATCACTAAACTTTAGAGAAATACATATCAAAATCACAATCAGATTCCATCTCACACCAGCCAAATGGCTATTACTAAAAAGTCAAAATTAACAAATGCTGGCAAGGTTGTGGAGAAAAGGGGACTCTTATATACTGCTGTTGGGAATGTAAATTAGTTTAGCCACTGTGGAAAGCAGTTTGGCAATTTCTCAAAGAACTTAAAACAGAACTACCATTTGACCCAGCAATCCCATTGCTAGGTATATATCCAAAGGAATATAAATTGTTCTACCATAGAGACACATGCAAGCGTACGTTCATCACAGCACTTTCCAGAATAGCAAAGACATGGAATCAACGTAGGTGCCTGTCAGTGGTAGACTGGATAAAGAAAATGTGGTGCATATACATCATGGAATACTATGCAGCCATGAAAAAATGAGATGACATCATTTGCAGCAACAAAGATGGAGCTGGAGGCCATTTTCCTAAGCAAAGTAATGCAGGAAAAGAAAACCAAATATTGCAACTTCTCACTTGAATAAATAAATAACATATAATTAATAAAAGTAATTTTATCTGAAAATATTTAAGAGAAAATTAAAAATTTAGTTAAATAGGCAGGATAAATCAGTATGTGCAGTATATTAAGTTTATTTAAAGTGAATTTATTTCTACAATTTGCATACTTTCACATGCCAGTGAACATTTGGAAGAGTACAGAATTAAATGCTAACATGGGTTGCTCCTGGGAAACAGGATTAAGGTTGTGAGGCAAAGGAGATAGATTTACTTTCAATATATAACTTTTTGTATTATTGGTCCTTGATCCAGACATATGCTTTTCAGTTTTAAAAGGCTAGCTAAAAGTGTATGTATATTTTTCTTTCTGTGTAATGTTTGAAAATTAAAAGTCAATTTGAAAGCCTCATACCAAAATAAAAATATTTCAGTTTTCTGTTTTGTAGAATTACTGTAGGATTTTTTTTTCATCATGCTCTTTTTGTATTTTTCTAATTTTTTTAATAAGCATGCATTACATTGTTGTAAGCCTTAAAAGTAGTTAAAAGTTACAAAGATATAAGTCGAAGCAAATGATCTCCTTATAAGTTTGTCTGAGCTGTGGATTATAATTCCTGGGAGGTGCAGGTATGATACAAAGAGAACATTGGTATTCTTGAGATTCAGATATCCTGGCAACTAAAACTAGGGATTAATAGAGAAAGTTTCTCATGCTGACAAAATGTGATATATCTCTAGGTTTTATTGGAGAATAAAGAACTGAGGGAAGAGAAGAGATTTAAAAAAAAAAAGGTTTTATAGCTTGATACAGGTTGGTATCTCTACATCCCTACTAGATCCACAGCACTTAAGGAACTCTGAACTCTTTGCTGAATGCTGTAACAAATGTAGCAGAATCTGGGCAGGGGACTGAGATTGAGCAAAGTGATGGGAGTGAAAATGGAAATATGGAAGCAGAGTGAAGGTGACAGAATGGTCTGTGGGGGCCATGACCCTAGGGAGACATTGTGACCTACTACAGTATTAGTCCATTCTTACACACAGTGATTTGCAAAAGTGTTTTCATTGATGCTTTTCCAAAATTTCATGCACTCCAGAGTAATGCATACCTTTGTGCTTCTCTTCTCTAATTATACCTTGATTTATAACATGATATTCAGGCAGGAGGAAATTAGCAGCCTAATTCCCTCGTGGGCAGCAAAGTTGCCCTTATGCAAACACTTTGGTGACAGGAAAAATGCTAAATGTTTGCAGTTGTAAATCAGGAAAAATGCAATGGGCTTCGTTATTGCTAAGCAAGACCTTCATTGCCTCACCTTTGTCACCTTGCTTTCACTGCTCTGCCAAATGCACTCTGGCTTCTGGCTTCCCCAAACATCACTCAGCTGCAGCTGATCTCATCCTGGTCTCAATCACCTCTAATTTTCAAGTCAGGAAAATGGCATTTTAAATTCTTCATCTTACTGGATCACTCTGAATAATTTGGCACCACTGACCACTTTCTCATTCATTATATTTCTTTTTTGAAAATTAAAGAGAGATATTCCCAAGTGGTCCAATACCAGTTCTTTTTCCATTGCAGATACTTTGGGAAATCTCAAACACTGAAATGTAACTCCTTTATATCCTTTCAAATCTCCACGGAATCCTAATATCTCTTCTTAGTGCAAGGCTCATAGTTCTAAACACATTCCTACAGTGTGATCCAAAAACCTTATAGACATTCAAATCTCATATTTTTAAATTGTGCTAGTTATCTTCTAGCAAATATGCTCCTCTATCTTTATTTCTCTTAATAAATGTAAAAATAATCTAGCCATTCTTCCAAGCTAGAATGGTAGAGGCTTCCTTCTCTCCTCTGTTCCTTTTATCCACCTGCCTTACTCTAACCCACCTGTATATCACGAGAGTCACCATCTGGCCTCAAACCACATCAGCTTCCTACCACTACTCCTCTCATGAGAGTTTAAGATTCAGCCTCCCGGAATATCTCTCTGGCCCCTGAAAACAGCACATTTTGTAATGACACATGGTGCCCTTAAATATGTTCTTTCTTCTGCCTAAAATAACATTTGCTGACTTGTTCAACTGATGGAAACATACTTGTCTTTCCAGAGCTATGCCACGTGTACCTCCTGCCTGATGTCTTCCCAGATGTATACTTCAGGAAGAATTAAATATTCCTGCAATTCTGGTTTCACAAAATATTATATGTAGTTCTATTAATTTCCATTCCATTGTATTTTCATTGCTCTTTTCATGACTTTATTTCCCATAGTTTCATGAAAACAGGAATTAAATCAACTTGAGAGGTTTTCCAAGAATATAAAATAAAACAAATAGATGAAAGTGATGAAAGAAAATATGAAAGATGTGGAGGACAGAAAACACACATCTAATATAAGGATTCTGGGTTTTTTTTTCTGGACAAGAAATCAAAATAACAGGAAGAGAAGAAATAACATAATTACAGAAAATTTTGTGGAACTGAAAAATGTTTACTTATGAAATTGGAAAACCTCAGCAAATTCTTGGCAATACTAATAAAAAAGAATTTGCATGTTATTTGGGTAAAAATATAGGACAGCAAGAAGAAACAAAAAACAGGCTGGATTTTCATTTTTCTGCCATAGTTACACTTTTTCAAGGAGAAATGTTGAGATATAAGCATTTTATTCACAAATTAGTTTTTCCTATATGAAAGCAATAGAAAACTATCATCAGATAGGCAAGGGTTCAGAAAATACGTCATAAACATTTTGAAAAAAATGTCCTAATATGTAGTTCACCTTAACTGTGCTATGAATGAAAATAAATGCTCAAAGTAGGATGAGCAATGACGGCAGGTGGTCCATCAGAAGAAGCCACTAGGGGGACACCAGCTGCAGCAGGGGAGGTGTGGGCCAGGGCTGCATACTCAATGGAGCTGGCAGGCCAGAGACAACACTGCTGAGTTGGTGGGGTGGGAACCCTGCTCTCCCAGCTGGGTGGCTGCAGCTGCAGACCGGGCATCTGTGTACTCCCAGGGACCCAGAAAGCCCCCCATTTCCTGTAGGCTCAATAGTGCCTGCTTCCGCTGTCTGGCTTCTCCCTGCTCCTGGCACTCACTCCGATTTTGGAGCAAAATTGAGGCCAGTCCAGGTGCTGTCATGATCTGACCAGGTGTATCTGTGCTTAGGGCAGTGCTGACACGCCAGCCCCCTTCCATCTGGGACCCCTCTGGACTTTGGGCACTGATAAGCATGGGAGGGAGGCTGAGGCGGTGCTGAGGGCAGCTCAGCGTAGGCCTGCATGTGCCCCTCAGCACAAACAGCCTGGGTGCCATGCGCGTCATGGATGGTAGGTTGATGGCAACAGGAGGCAGGCAGGCTCCTAGCGGAAAGGTGCAAGTCCCTAGTCAAGCCCCACCTTCAAGCCAGGGACGGCCTGAAGCCAGGTGGCTGGACTGCCAGTTTCATGGATTGCAGTGAGAACTTATGGTGCTTTTTCCGGGCTGCCCATGGCTGCCCAGGAGCCAATCAGCATCCACTTCCTCCCTTCTGAGCCTGTAAAAACCCTAGACTTAGCCAGACTTGGACAGCGATCAGGACTACCAGCTGCGAGAAGGAGCTACCTACTTTGGGTTTCCTTGACTCATCAGGACCACCAGCTGCGAGAAGGAGCTACCTACTTTGGGTTTCCTTGACTCATCAGGACCAACTGCCTGTGGAAAGGTGCTAGAAGCTACGGACTAGAGGTCTCCTCTCTGCTGAGAGCTGGACACTCTTTGGGACAACCTGCCTGTGGAAAGGAGCTACCCACTTCAGGTCTCCTGAGAGCTGTTCTGTTCCTCAATGAAGCTCCTGTCTGCCTTGCTCACCCTCCGGTTGTCTGCAGAACTTATTCTTCCTGGATGTGGGACAGGCTACGGATGATAAGGAGAGAAGAGAAGAGTTGTAGCCTTTGGGGAGCCCAGACCTTAGGGGCTCTCCAAGCCAGAGTTGGGACACCCTCTTTGGGGCTTTGTGGTTCCTGGCATCTCCAAGTTTCCAGGCGCCACTGCATTCCCCTCATCCAGATGCAGGTGCCCACAGCAGAAGCTGCATGCAGTACCTCTGGTCCAGCCATAGCCTTGAATGGAGCTGGCACCTGGAGCTGACAATCTCATCGCAGCCACTGGTGTGCCTGGTTGTGTGTAGTGGCAGGACCCTCCATTGCCGTACCCACACACCCCTCACCACTTTGTGCCTGCTAGCCCTTGGCAGCTGTGGGATCCCGGCCAGTAGCACGAGCCAAGTGCAGCCTGCCGGGCTGAGTGGGTGGAAGGAGTCCAGCAGGTGTGAACAATACTGAGGCAGAAGGCACTGCCAGCCACAGAGGTTTCCAGTTGGCAAAGCAACACCCCAAGGATCTCATGACAGTAATATTATAAAAGGTGATAGATTAACCTACAAGATTATCGCCAACTATGATGCACTATTATCACAAAAGTTATAACAACAATTTGTACCTCAGAGTCACAAATCTTTTAAATGATCACCAAAATGAATTTTAAGAAAGTATATAGCATGTTAATGGCTTTCATAGTGGTACCTGGATAAAAATTAAACTAAAACAATTGTAATTTCTTTAATTTATTATTGAAATAAACTGGTGATTTGGTGCAATTATTCCCAATGTAACAGAAACATCTCTGTTAGTCAGAATGTATCTCCAGATCTATGGTTTCTACTAAATAATATTATTAAATAATATTACAACTATCTATTTTTTTGTGCTGTGGTAGAGACTGTTTTGCTTAGTAAATCCATAATAACCTTTTCTTAGTTACACAGCAAGATTGTAGTTTCCAGGTTCCTTGCTTTAGGTATTGCCACATGACTGGGTTCCAGAATAAGTAGAATATTCTGGAGCCTGTACTGACATACAGCAGTTCCATGTCAGACCCATATAGAACATGCAGTCCTCACTTTCTTTACTCACCTACTGGCTGAATGGAGAGGAATCGAGTAAGCATGTAGAAGAGGACAGAGCCTCAAGATATAAGGAAACTTTGTCACTAAATGACTGTGTAGAACAAAGTCCCTCATTCGACTGTGAATTATTGAGAGTTAAGCCACTGAAATTATGGAATCACTCGTTAAAGTTTCTCTTTATTCTTATAAATACAAACACCTGAAAAAAAAACAATAAAAGTAAGATACCAAGGTGTCATGGTTGTGGGGTTTTTTAAATGCTTTTCTTCTTTCCATTTGTTCTCTATATTCCATAGTTCCTTTTATTAGTAATTTAAGTGAAAAAGTCTAGAGTCTTGCATATGGTAATAAACTACATTTATTTTATATCATCTCAATTGCTCCATGCTTGAACTTCTTGTCATATGTTTTTCCCATTCTTTAGAGCTCTTACTACAGTGCTAAATATGTGGTAGGAGTTTAGTAATTGATGTTAATTTATCTTATAATTGTCTGTATGAAAGACTTACATTTTTTGCAACTTGATATCAAAGCTTTGTTTCAGGGATGATAAAGTTTCAACTAACATGTTGAGTGTTCACTTTGGGAAAGTACAGTTGTAGCACTGGAGATATGATAGGAAATAAAACAATGTCCCTAATGTCAAAAAACTTAACATTCAATGGGGAGACAGAGAAAGGACAGACAAGCAAATAAACAGATAGCATAATTTCAGGGAGCAATAACATCTATAGGAAAGAAAAATAAAGCAGAGTTAGGGCTCGGAAGAATTCTGGGTGAGTGACAGAGACAATTTTATTTTAGGCAGAAGTGATGTCTGAGCAGAGACTGAAGGGTGATAATTGAGTGTATCTTGTGAATTTTGGAAGAAGAATGTATCAGGCAGATGGAGCAGCAGGTGTAAAGTTCTCCAGGCAGGAAGAAGCTCAAAATGTTCATAGTAGAATGAGTTTGACCATAAGTTACGAAAAGAATGGGAGGAGATGATATCAGAGAGACAGTGACTTGTGGGCCATATCAAGGAGTTCAGACTTTATACAAGTACTAAGCAGCATTAGAGTTTCTTTACACATAAAACCTCATTTGATTGTTACAACATACTCGAAAGCTTCAGGTTACAGTTTCAAATACAAAGGAGAAGGTAGGAGAATTTAAGTAACATACCCCAAAGAAGAAAATAAATGAGAAACAGAATCTGGATTATATACCAAACCTGATTGGCTCCAAAGCCTGTTGTTCAAATAACTGCTAAGAAATACTGCCTCTAGAATTTGGCTAAGCCTTTCAATGTATGTAAATATATGTCACACAGCACCTCACATATTCAAGATTGTGAGCAATCCCCTTCTAAATCTTTCTGGTACTCTAAACATTTATTCTTCCTTGAGGAAAGTCAAAAGTTTCTACAGAAAAATACAAAAAATTAGCCGGGCTTGGTGGTAGGTGCCTGTAGTCCCAGCTACTCTGGAGGCTGAGGCAGGAGAATGGCGTGAACCCGGGAGGCAGAGCTTGCAGTGAGCCGAGATCGCGCCACTGCACTCCAGCCTGGGCGACAGAGTGAGACTCCGTCTCAAAAAAAAAAAAAAGTTTCTCCTCCACACAAGAAGGTTGAAGGAATCTGCTGTGAATCAATGACACCCAATTTCTTTGCCTTTTTCACTAGGGCATACGGGGGTTTAGGGGGTGTATTAGTCTGTTCTCACACTACTATACAGAAATGCCCGAGATTGGGTAATTTACAAAGACAAGAGGTTTAATTGACTCATGGTTCTGCAGGCTGTGCAGGAAGCATGGTGGCATCTGCTTCTGGGGAGGCCTCAGCAAGCTTTTACTAACGGTGTAAGGCAAAGCGGGAGTAGACGTCTTACATGGCAGGAGCAGGAGGAAGAGAGAGAGTGGGGAGGCATCACACACTTTTAAACAGCCAGATCTCATGAGAACTCTATCACAAGACAGCATCAAATGAATGGTGCTAAACCATTCATAAAGGATCCACCCCCTACGATCCAATTACCTCCCACCAGGCCCCACCGCCAACATTGAAGATTACAATTCAACATGAGACACAGATGGGTGGCGACACAGATCCAAACAACATCAGGGAGTTTGTTACAAAACTTTAAAAGTTACATTTTGTTTTTGTGCTATTTTTAAAAAAATGATTAACTATATCCTGGGTTATATGACCTCCTTAGACCCAAGAGCAACCTGGTGAATTCAGTGCCTACATTTGCATTTATATTTAGGATGATGCTGGCACCCAAGCTAAGTTGTGCTACTTTTTTGTTGGGTTAGTGGAGGTTGGGGAGTGAGTGGCAGCCAGTACTCAAGTGATGAACACCAGCAAAATGAAGGCTAAGCAATGTTTAGGTGGCTTGTAGGAAAGAATGTTTTTCAGTACTCAAGCTGAAAAAAGCTTGAGGAGAACAAAGCCATTGCAGGATACACACAGTCTTCCATGTCTGCCTAGTAGAAGGCGAACTTGGCCATCACTCTACAAGCAGCAATTCACTTTTAGCAAAACAACACCAGGTGGCATATTAAATAACTTTGTTTGAATTGCATTGGTCCTGAAGTTTTACCTATTTTGTAAATTCATTTTGGTTTTATAGTTGTATAGAGCTGTAGCATTAATAATTTATACGTACTTTATGTTACTAAATATTAAGAAGGCACTTGATAAAAAAAATTAAACACAAATTGAGGTCTGCAGAAATGTTTTCTTTTAAAGAGATTCACATATTTTTTAAATTTAAGAAATACTGGGCTGGATGCAGTGGCTCACGCCTGTAATCCCAGCGCTTTGGGAGGCCAAGGCGGGTGAATCACCTGAGGTCAGGAGTTAGAGACCAGCCTGACCAACATGGAGAAACCTCATCTCTACTAAAAATACAAAATTAGCCGGACGTGGTGGCGCATGTCTGTAATCTCAGCTACTCGAGAGGCTAAGGCAGGAGAATCGCTTGAACCCGGGAGGCAGAGGTTGTGGTGAGCCAAGATCGTGCCATTGCACTCCAGCCTGGGCAACAAGAGTGAAACTCTGTCTGAAAAAAAAAAAGAAATACTGATTTATATTGTACATCACATGTAGAGGAGAGAATTGTGAATTTACTTTGATGACTTTGTTAGCGTCCAACATATATACAAAAAACGTAGCTCAAGCTAGATGACGTGCAAATTTAACTACAAGGTTGTTCATTGCAGTGCATTTTATGACAATAATGATTAAAAACATTTAAAAAATAGAAAATTTAAATGTTTATTATTACAGAATTAAATAAATGATAAACATTACACAGTTGAATACATTTTACACTTCAAAATGATACTATAGATACATTTTTGTTGACTTGGAAAAATGTTCAGTATATATTGCTAAGTGAAAAGACAAAATGTATAGGCAATATAATCCTATTTGGTGAAAATATGTATGTTTGTGTGTGTGATGTGTAGTGAAAATTTATGCATGAGAAAAGGCATAGATATACCATGGGATTTAGAGTCATCCTCTCTGGGCTGTGGGATTATGGGACGTATCTTCTTTTTTGATGCACCTGTGTTTTCGAACTTTTCCACATTGATCAGAAATTGATTTTGCCATTAAAAAGAATTAAATTTTAAAATGTAGTTTAAACGTTCCAAAGAAATATTCAAAATAACCATATCGGTTTGGAAAGAAGCATCAAGGAGAACTTTCAACAGATTACACATGAAAGATTGAAGAGTGGGTGAGGCAAAAGATGGTTCATAGATTGTGATAATCCTTTGAGAAATATGAAATAACATCAGAAATAGTCATTGGAAATAACAGGATGGGGCATCACAAAACCACCCCTGGGAATAACTCACTTAAACACTGAAATGTGGATAGTTTCTCACAGTTCTAGGATGTAATTGTACTCTTTTATCTTTCCTAAATGAAAATAACAGATACCACTGGAGTCAGGTTGTACTTTTCTACCAAGAAACTAAAATTAAAGAGTAAAACTTTAATCATGATTTCCTGATGATTCATGGTTATAAAAAGAAAAATTATAATCATTTATGTACCTCATCATTTTGAGAAATTAAATGACATGCATAACTCCAAAAAACTAAAACTTGAAAGGATTATACATTTCCTCCCCAATTATTTCTGTAGAAAATTTAGAAAGTATAGAACATTTCAAAATATAAGCCAAAATATTTGCATTTTCCCCACCCAGGGAAATGACTATTAACATTTTAATGCATGCATTTGGTCTTTCTCATCATTATATATATTTTAAAACTATTTGGATGTAGTAAACATACCATTTTATAAACTATTTATGTAAAATATGCTCAGGGCACTTTTCTTCATGAAAAAATCTTAGCAAACAAAAATATTAACTACTTCTAGTAATCTTTTATTAAATAGTTTTCAGGTTGTTGTAGAGTATTCTAATTTTTATTTTTCTATTACAAACAATACTGAGAGAAACATAACCCTTTGAGCTTCTCTTTAATTATTACTTTTTAGAATATAGTCCAGAATTAGGGTAAATGGGTTAAGATGTAGACAGTTTAAAACTACTTTAAATGGCAGGAAGGTCATTTTTAAAGAGAAGAATTGGCTTGAGATCATGGAAGTAAAAACATCCAACACATCAGGTTAATCTTCATATTACATTATAAATATTTACAGTTTCCTCTTCTTAACAAGAAGTGGGAGTAGTTTTATCCTTGTTTGTTTCTTTATTTTCAATGCTGAGAAAGAGAAAATGTGTTCCTCCATTCCCTAATCCTGATTCTGGCCCCACCTGTGGGATGGTTTTAATGAGAAGCCCTACTATGGAAACATACCTTGTATGCCACATGCATTCCAAAAGACTGGATTCTGGCCTTTCTAGCCCGTGTCTACACCACAGGGTTCAGATGAAGAGTTGGGTAATGAATGTGGGTTCTACCTGACAGCTACACCCAAAATCCACCCTGACTATTTTATTTCTATCTGTGTTTGTGGTGCTTTCCCCACAGACCTTGAGTTCCATGGGGGCTGGGTCTGTCTTTCTCATTTACTGTTGTATCCTCTACACAGAAATACTGACGAACCAGCAGAGTAGAAGAGTGTCTGCTTTCCCATAATCTTCCATCACAGGGAATTCATTTCAGTTTTTAACCTTCACCAATTTGATGGCCAAGAATGGAACTTACTGTGTGATACTGGTACAGTTGAATTTAAACTCTTATGTTTATTTTCCTTTTGTAATTTGCCTCTTTGTATTCTTTGCCTATTTTTCAATTAAAGAATTCTTCTTTTTCCTGTTGATGTAAAAGAACTTTTTTTATGTATCAGATAGTAACTCTCTGTCTACCATGTACGTTGCAAATATTGCATCCTGGTTTCTTATTTATAGTGTTTTTAATATACTAATAATTTTAATTTTTTTCTCAAATATATGAATGTTTTCCTCAATGGTTTTTGCTTTTTACTTAGAAAGCCTTTCTCTAATGCTTGTCAAATTTTTTGTGGCTTTATTTTTAAAAATTTCAAGCTTGCTAATCTGCAAATGTCATTATGATGAGCATTCAGTACTGGAAGATCTTCTTATTGGTCCCAAATGCTAAAGAAGAATAACTCTACTTATTATTACTGGGACCCTGCATGACTTCCTCCTTGCATGGAGTTACTTCAAAAAAGCCTTAAAAATAATGTTGATTTTTTTCCTATAGTTTAAAAGAGTGTAAGCCAGGGGTTTTACTCTGTGCAATATGAGAAAAACTTCCTATAAATACTCCAAATAGTTTTTTCTTTCCCTGAAATTCCATACTCATAGTGATAGCTCAAAGTAGCTATCACAGTTGTTCTTATTCAAATAGCCCCCTATATTTGCTGTATCCCTGTTCCTTTGAGACTAGGTGCCAGAGAGTCAACTTTCCACTCTGCCACTCACTGACTACCTGGAGAATCTTTTTGTTAGCCAGAACTCAGTGTGACAAAAAAAGCATAAATTATGACATTGCAACCTACAACTCTTCTTTTTGGAGAAATTTGGAAGAAGGAAATCTGCAGATATTGATCCAGTAATAATTTTCAGTGCCACCACAAAGTAAAAGCTACTATTCTTACACAGAAGGTAATGGCCATTTAATGCCATCTATGATAAAAATGGTAAAGCTCATAAGCTTTGCTTGTTAAATCATTAGCTAAAGTCTCTTTAACTCTGATTCTCTTACAATGTCACTATGACCCTTTCCCCAAAGGAGATGCTTCACAATAAGTTTATTAATTGTTTTATAAGCTTCCCTGATATCATTGTGCTCAAAGGTGAGTTTACTCAGAGGTGGGCCAGGCCCCAGCAAGCTCATACAGCTCCTTTGATCTAACGAAACAAAAAGGTGCTCTTCTTCCAGATGAGTGCCAGGTGAATTCCTGAATGTAGGACAGATTTCAGCCTCAAGGTAGTCTTCAGCCTGTCCCTCTTATGCAGAGCACAACCTATACAATTGTACAGAGTGGCAGGGTCTTTGATGCCTTTTATTAATATATATGGCATACAATTGAAAAGTGGCAACATGGAGAACAGCCTCCATATTCCTCCATGAAGTTCCTATGCCAGGATCTTGAGCTGGATGAACCATGGCTCTGACGAACAATTTGGGATACTCTTCCATAGAAGACAGATACATTGAAGAAATTAAATTATCATTAAAAACTAGTGGTGCCATTTAGGCCCCTCTTTTTCTTAACATGTAATTAAAAGCAAAACAAAACAAAACAAGTTTCTCGTGAATGTAGTACAACTTTGGTTTTATTTTGCCTCTGATGTGCTTTTATATTGAGAGACTGAAAGAGTTGACATTTATTTTTAGTGAGTGTTACATGAATTGGAGCTCTACTTATATTAAAATGTACAAAAAGACAATTAAAAATGTTTATATTTTTGCTTTCTAAGGGAGATGCATGGAGCGCCATAATTAATGCAAGTATCTGTGGAGGCAGTGCTCCTAAGACTAGTAGAAACATCTACCTAAGCTGGAACCAGGGTCTGGTAACTGAAGTCCATTAATTTGGGATGAATTTCTTTGATGCCTGACTCCTGTCACATGCCTTTTGCTTGAGATTTGGATAGACTTTGTTTTTTAGGACCATATAGTCCAAAATCACTAGGTAAATCTTCATGGAAAGAAGATATTCTGCATTACTACAATTTTGTCTTTAATATTTTGGGGCAGGTTGATGGGGCAGAGAGAAATTGGAGACAGGTGGCCAAGGCACCAAGCACAACTGTGAGGTATAGGCTGCCTGGGAGCAGTGGGAGGAGCTGGCAGTGGGACGTGCTGTGCATTGGATGAACTCAGTCACAAGGAACTTTCTTGCATGACTGATGGAAAGACTCTGCAGGTGTGTGTGCCAGGAAGAGCCACATCTGTGCCTCTAACCAAATAACCTTTCTCTTGGGCTTCACATTTAGTGTAAACTTTATCCTATTCACTGATGTCTTAATGGAAGTGTGTGAGTCCTCTTAGGCAACTCACAGCTTTTTGAACCCTGACTGATGGCTATGGCAGAACTTCTGGTTAGCAGTGCCTAATTAGCTCTGCTGCAGACTCATCAGTAAAGATGAAATCATTCCCACACAAGGTTTGAAGGGACCATTTAAAACATTTAATTATACTAGATTGTATTTCCTGAAAGAAGCTTTATGTTCTCAAGGTATTTATTAATATAATACTTGAGAATGACAAGTATTATCTGTACTCCTCTCACTCTGTCATCAGAGTATGTCATGGTCTCTTAGTGGGTCCTGATCCTCAGTTTTAAAAACAATGCAATGCATCTACATCTCCAAACTTATTTTCTTTGAGGTTTGGGTTTGGGTGGGAAGGGTGTATCAGTCCAATATCACACTGCTATAAAGATACTATCTGAGACTGGGTAATTTATAGAGGGAAGAAGTTTAATTGACTCACAGTTCTGCAAGGCTGGGGAGGCCTCAGGAAACTTTCAATCATGGCAGAAAGGGAAGCATGCATCTTCTTCACAAGGCACTAGGAGAAAGAAGAATGAGTAAAGGAGGAACTTGCCAAACACTTATAAAACCATCAGATCTCCTGAGAACTCACTCACTATCATAAGAACAGCATGGGGGAAACTGACCCCATGATCCAATCACCTCCAATCAGGTTCCTCCTTCAACACCTGGGGATTACGGGGATTACAATTCAAGATGTGATTTGGGTGGGAACACAAAGCCTAACCATATCATTCTGCCCCAGGCCCCTCCCAAATCTCATGTCCCTTTTACATTTCAAAACCAATCATGCCTTCCCTGCAGTCCCCCTAAGTCTTATTTCATCCCAGCATTAATCCAAAGTCTAAGTCCAAAGTCTTATCTGAGACAAGGCAAGTCCCTTCTTCCTTTGAGCCTGTAAAATCAAAAGCAAGCTAGTTATTTGCAAGATAAAATGGGAGTACCAGCACTGGGTAATGCTCTTATTCCAAATGGAGACATTGGCCAAAACAAAGGGGCTATAGGCTTCATATAAGTCCAAAACCCAGCATGGTAGTCATTAAATCTTCAGACTCCAAAATGATCTCCTTTGAGTCTGTGTCTCATATCTGGGGCACACTGATGCAATGGCTGGGCTCCCACAGCCTTGGACAGCTCTTCACAGGCTAGCATTGAGTGCCTGTGGTTTTCCAGGTGCATGGTGCAACCTGTCAGTAGATCTACCATTCTGGAGTCTGGAGGATAGTGGCCCTCTTCTCACAGGTCCATTAGGCAGTGCTCCAGTGGGGACTCTGTGTGGGGGTTCCAACCCCACATTTCCCTTCTGTACTGCCCTAGCAGAGGTTCTCCATGAGGGCTGTGACCCTGTAGCACACCTCTGTCTGGACATCCAGGCATTTTCACACATCTGAAATCTAGGTGGAGGTTCTCAAACCTCAATTCTTGACTTCTATGTACCCACAGGCCCAATACCATGTGGACGTCATCAAAGCTTGGGGCTTGCACCCTCTGAAGCAATGGTCCGAGCTGTACCTTGACCCCTTTAGCCATGGCTGGGACACAGGGCACCAAGTCCAGAGGCTGTACATAGCAGAGGGGTCCCTGGGCCTGGCTCAAAAAACCATTTGTCCTCTGAGGCCTCTGGGCCTGTGATGGGAGGGGCTACCACTAAGCTCTCTAACATTCCCTGGAGACATTTCCCCCATTGTCTTGATGATTAACATTTGGCTCTTCATTACTTATGCAAATTTCTGCAGCTGGCTTGAATTTCTCCCCAGATAATTGGTTTTTCTTTTCTATCACATTGTCAGGATACAAGTTTTCCAAACGTTTATGCTCTGCTTCTCTTGTAAACATAAGTTCCATTTTCAGATCATCTTCTCAAGTTTGAACTTTAACAGATCTCTAGGGCAGGGGCAAAATGCCACTAGTCTCCTTGCTAAAGTATAGCAAGAGGGACCTTTGCTCCAGTTGCCAATAAGTTCTTTATTTCCATGTGATACCACCTTAGCCTGAACTTCATTGTCCACATCACTATCGGCATTTTGGTCAAAACCATTCAAACAAGTCTCTAGGAAGTTCCAAACTTTCCCACATCTTCCTGTCTTCTTCTGAGCCCTCCAAACTGTTGCAACATCTGCCCATTACCCAGTTCCAAAGTTGCTTCCACATTTTCAAGTATCTTTATAGCAGTGCCCCACTACCTCAGTACCAATTTTCTGTATAAGTACAATTTCACATTGCTATAAAGATACTACACAAGACCAGGTAATTTATAAAGGAAAGAGGTTTAATTGACTCATGGTTTCTCATGGCTGGGGAGGTCTCAGGAAACTTAAAATCATGGAGGAAGGGAAAGCAGGCACCATCTTCACATGGCAGCAGGAGAGAGAGGAATGAGCAAAGGAAAAGTGTCAAACACTTATACAACCATCAGATCTCATGAAAACTCACTCACTATCACAAGAACAGCATGGGGGATATCGCCCCCATCATCCAATCACCTCCCACTAGGTTTTTCCTTCAACACCTGGGGATTATGGGCATTGCCATTCAAGATGAGATTTGGGTGAAGACACAAAGCCTAACCGTATCAGAGGTGAACCTGATTCGTGATAAATTCTCTGTTCTAATGATAGCTGCTCATTTTTAATAGTATGTTAGAATATTTATCCCAGTTTAGGTAGTCACATAGGAACATAGATCAATATTGAGCTGGGTGTCAAAGGATGTTAGATCTGATTCTGGCAAAGTCTCTAATAAACCTTGAGAAAGTCATCTGGCTTTTCTGTTTCAGTTGCTTCACGTGTTGAAGAAGGAAAAGAATGCTTGTCTTACCCACTTCAGAGGCTTATCCTGAGAATCTTAAATGTGAGAGTACTTTGCAAACTACATAGCACTCCCTAAGTGCATGTTTTTTTATTAGGAGGCCCTGCTACCTCCCTACCTGAGGGAGTCTTTCCAGAACCTCCCTGCTCCCACCCCTCACTGGCACTCCTGCTGCTCTGTTTGGAGAAACACATTTTATGGCAGCACAGATACAGACCTGGATCATGGGGTCACTGCTGTGTTTCCATTACAAATACACAGGCTTCAAGCTTCAGCCCTTTCCACATGCTGAACTTCATCGGAGTCCCATGTGTTGAGAGCCTTCTGGAAGAGACCCAACAATTACAGAGGGCTGCATCATACAGACTTGGCCTGCATGTAATTTCAGCCTGAACTTTTGGGGGATTGTTATGGGGTCCCATCCTGCAATCTTTCAACATGGAAAACTCTCCTGGGCCTGGAAGGTTTGGAAATTCTTCAAGAGTGGGAGGTATAGCCTCTAGGATTGAACATCAGGGAGGACCCTGTAACCAGAATGGAACTTAAATCTTATTTCACGAGCCTTCTAATTTTCTGTGTCTGTGTGGCCTTTTACTTGAAATAAATAAGCAAAGGATATAGTTTTAAGTATAGTGGTTTCCACGCTCCTGGGGCTGATTTCTCCTTTGCCCCCCAGGTTGATAGTAGATCACAGTTGCAGAAATGGATCCAAATGGATTTTGCAGAGATAGTCGAAAGCCATGCCAATTTGGCCTCTTTTGTGCAGTAAGTACAGTGTGAGTAGCTGCCAGATAGAGAAGAGAGAACCCCAAGTCAATTATTAATTACTTCAGCTCCCCTTAGGGTCAGCAAATCACAGCTGCGCAATGTACTACAGCACCTAAAGTGTGACCGTGGAGAATTAGGGGCACATGTATATACTATTCTGCAAAAGCAAGGGTGTTAGCCATGGTGTCGAATGAATAATGGAAGTAGTCTTTAATCCATGTTTCCATGAATCAGTCTGTTTTTGTCACATTGTTGTCCAGTATCTGTAAGTGGTAGCATTATTCATGAGGCTTAAGTAGACACACAGACCCAGGGAAAGGCTGGAGATGAAAACAAAACTGTAGTATTCATTCATCAGCTTGTGGTGACAACACTGCTGTCAGTATACTGAAAGTCAGCGTGGAGGGGCTGAGACCAGAGCCCCTGGTTCACTGCCTCCATTATAGTATCCTTTGCTGATCTGTTCAAAGTTCCCACTGTGGCTAGCAGCGTGTCTCTGTACCTCATAAGCACCCATTCTTTTTCATTTTTAATGAAATCAGTTTCTTTTTCTTCTTTTTTTTAAAAAAAAAATCAGTACACCAATATCTTCTGGGGGAAAATGGAGCAATCACATTAAAACATACTCCTCAAAGAAGTCAGTAACACCTGAGCTAAGGAGTTCTTCAGGAAACTCTGTCCTGAGGCAAGAGTAAACAGGAACTCAATTTTGTAGGTCAAAGGATGGCAAATTTTTCTGTGAAGGGCCAAGACCAGATAGTAACTATTTTTGGCCTTGTGGGCAATAAAAGGGTCTCTGTTGAAAATACTGAACTCTTCATTGTAGCACAAAGACAGCATAAACAATGCTTAAACAAAAGGGCGTGGCTCTGTCATAATAAAACTTTACTTATAAAAATAGACAGTAGTCCAAATTTGGCCCACAGGCTGTAGTTTACTGACTTATACAATAGGCTGCTGCTATGTACAATGTTACATGTGTTGACAGTAAAAAATTCTGCAGACAATAATTAGTGTCTCTTATGTGCCACAGTAGATACCAAAATGAGTTAAGACTCAGTTTTATTCATATACATTGCCTATTAACTATGCAATGGGGGCAGAGAATGGTGTTTTTATTCTTATATTAGACAATAGATATATTAATATATGTAGGTTCAATTCACAGTGTGTGAGGCACTGTTATATGCCTTCTCTTACTTAATCTTCAAAACAATATAGTGAAGTAAACTCCATTATTCCTAGTTTACGAATGAGACAAATATAAGCCCAGAAAGGTTAAGTCATGTCCCCCATTAATTTTATACTAGTTGGTAGTGGAGCAAGGGTCCAACCCAGGCCACAAGAACATTATCACAGATGTCCTAGATGACAGATTTTCTTTGAGCATAAATAGTTTATTTTGAAAAAAGAGGAGAAAAGATAGGAAACATCATGAATCCAAATAAGGGAGCTGAGAGGAGGGCTGGGTGTCCAAGACCACTTTTAGGGTGGGTTTTTGTTTTGTTTTGTTTTGCTTCTCCTTAGCATTAACATTGTGGCTATGTACTGGAAAGGACATGCATTCTTCATTCTTTTTTCATTACTTGAGAATTGTTGCAACCATTATGCAAAACCAATAAAAGGAAAACTTTTCAAAAAACATGTCCTTTGGCAGGCGATGCCCAGCTGAGGAGCAGCACAGGTCTCATGGGAGAACAATATGCATTTTGTAAAATTTCTTAAGAGATGATTTATGGTTTTGAGAAAACAAAACAGGAAATTGAATTAAAAGGAGAAACATATTTAAATAATGCTCAAGTGATGACATAACCAACTAAAGTCCAAAAATCACAACCTAGAGTCAGGCCTTGTGAGCTACAAGAATTTTCTGGCATCAGCTGGTAGTGTCCATAAATGAAGAGAGGTGTTTCATTATTTAATTGGTGCTACATCATAACTTTTGAATAGATAAAAACTAACTTCTTAAATTGGAAATATGTCCCTAAATACAAGGCTCTTGGCATATCTTTGCTGAAAACACTGAAATATTACCTTTATTCTGATGTCACAAATTTTGGTGCCTATCTCTGGATTGACAGAGCTGCACCGTAGGGCACATCAAATGGGTATCTTTCTTCCATGATTAATACCTCTTGGAGAGTTAGGAATTTAAAAAATGACCACTATAAGAAAACAGTTTCTATCAGAAAGAAAGAGAATCAAGAGTCATTTGCTATCATCAGTAGTAAATACATACGTAACAAATACACACTTTTTGCCTCGTATTGTGTTCAGCAAATCAAGTTTCAGGTAGAGAAAATAGATTCCTAATTTGAATCAGTATACTATCTCTACAACCTTCTCGTTTGTTTGTTCAAGATTCTTGAATATTAGGATGTAAAAGAGAGAAACTCTGGGTACCTGAGTACGTTCAAATTCTGAATCTTCGCTCGAACATTTCTGAAGAGGGTTTATATTTTTCATTAGTTATAAAATAATGCTTTTATATCTCAAGAAGATGATTTTTACATACTTTGCATTTTGTTCTCTGTTCTAAAGTATAAGTAAATGAGTTAGATTATAAAGCCTTTATTTTACAGTGAGGACACTGAGACACTAGGCTACTTTTTAGACAGCCAAGCTCTTAACTACTACCCTAATCTGCCTCTAAAAAGGGACCTAAAAACTGTGCTGTCATTCAAGTGCGATAACATTGTCACTGATACAATTTCAGCAAGAAATGTATCTTGACTTACTTGATTCTATTATTTTGTTGCAATGGGGTTGGGTTTACAAACAACACACATAAACTTTCTTGCTCAGTCCATTTTGTGATGAATGACACACATTTCTGGAATGCCTCACTAGATTCAGCAGTTCAGCTGAACACAACTAACCACATCACATGGTCGTTGAGCCACTAACCATCTAGGAAGTCTATTTATTTTTTATCTTTTCTATCAGACATAAAATCCCCTAGAGTAAGAGCTGTGTCTTTTTTCTTTTGTATCTCTAGCACCTGTCATACAGTATATGGTTTAAAAGAAAAAGTCATCTAAAAGAATCAGGATGGTAAATAGAAATTATACATGACATGATTTATTTTTACAAAGTTTTTATGTGATATGGTAGATTATTTGCAACATAGCTACTATAATTCTCCTCTAAGTATGCATGCCTCTAGGCTTATCCAGCTGACTTTCATTGACCAATAGAATGCAGCAGAACTCATGGGATGTGATCCTAAGTCTCAAGAGGCCTTGCAGCTTTTGCTCCTGCACTCTTGGAAACTGGCTACCCATCCAGACTATTCTCTTGGAGACATGTGGCCCAGCTGATAGTGACCACAACTCTAGAGACATCTTTGAAGCCAAGTTAGCCCATAAAGCCCAAATTTAGCCACTGGACAACTGCTAACTGCAGCTTTAGAAGTGACCCTACGTGATATAAGCAGAAGAACCTCTCAGCTGAGCCCAGCCCAAATATGAGCAAATAAAATGGTTACTACTTTAAGTCATTAAGTTTTGGGGTAGTTTTTTTTCATAGCAATAGATAACTGATACCTATGAGCTTATGAAAGCTGAATATTTTCATCTATCACATCCTCAAAGTGAATAAAACCATACAATTTAATCATAAGAAACCAACTGGAAACACGCACTTGAAAAACCTCTTACAGCTGAAAACATCTCCATCCCATGAGGTTCATCAAAAGTAAGCAGCAGGGATGCTGTTTCTCTATTTTTATTTTTCTTAGAGGAGTCAGTGATATGAAATTAACTTTACAGGTCAACCTACAGGCATTTCTTCAAAGACTGAGGACACTTGTTTGGTTAGGCCTATGTTTTATATTGTTTGATAATATATTTAGTGAAATCTACTGACATTGTTTTTCTTTGGAATTTGACTTATTACAATAATAGTTTCATGATAATAAACTTAGATTTGAAGAGTTTATGAGCAGCAACCATGTGCTGGAAAGCTAAGGGTCTTGTCCTGAGGGGAAGAAGAAAGGGGTATACACATTTTACAAAGTTTTATAGGTTTTCTTATTGTGATTACTAAAGGCAGCAGAAAAATCACTCTCTTATTATAAAAACATTTAAAAAGTTGCCAATATAACCATAAATATAATGCAATTACCTTATCATTGGCAGTGAGTAAAACACTTTGGATGTATTATCTGCATTTTAGATTGATTTTATGCCAGAAATATTGTCACAATTTTATAGATGAGTAAACTGAGGCTCAAGAAAGTTGAGTGACTTGCTAAGTTCATACAAATTGCCAAGGGATTACTCAAGGACTGAAACCGAGGCTGTCTAACTTCAGAGCATCTTCATTTAACTACAATACGAAATTTATTACATTCCTTAGAAACTAAAATACGATGAAAAACATGGGGAAGAAAAACTCCCAATGAGCTGTGACATCAAGCCATTATAGAACTGCAAGAAATTGTAACTAAAAATTATTTTGCTCATATCTTTACCATTATGCCACCTAAATCATTTCACATGAAAATGTAACTTGTTATGAGGAAGAAATTAATTCTCTCTAGTACCATTTTTTTTCCCTCACAATACCAAGTGGATAGCTTTACTTGAAAAAATCATTTTTCCCAAACTAAAACAATATTATTTCCACTTAGGATTTGCCATTGTATAGAAATAGTTTTGTTCATTGTGTAGACTGTAATCAAGATTGAAACAAATTCAAAAATCTGTCCCAGGGATATTGTTCGAAAGTACCAACAGATGTGAACTCTCTAATAATGCAGGACTACTGTTAGATATGTTTTCTACTGCCAGTGAAATTGGGAAGATTTTATAACTGAGAAAGCAAATTAAGAAAATAAACCCCTTCCTGAACTATCTCCACTAAGAGAACTCTCCATGGAATACCAAATATGTTGAATTCTTTTTGTAATTCAGCTGCAAGGCATAGTGTTCTGTTATATGCCTCTGGAATAGAGAATCACATACATAGAAATACAGAGCTGTTACAGATGTCAGATGAATGAACTGGGTAGAAAACCTTTCTGAACCCCTGTGTACACACCACCAAATAAAGTTGTGAAATCAAACCACTTTAGAGCTCATGAATGAGAATGAAGTTTGGGGCGCTCTGAGAAGTTTTCCCCTACAAATTTCCTTTTAAATTGACATTGCCCACAAAGATAGGAAAGGTTTCCAATGTGAAAGCAGCTACTAATTGAGGTGCTCATGCCCCAACCTGAAAGCAAATCTCTGCTGTAATAGATCCTAAGATATAAAAGGGATAGGATCTATGGAATTAATTAATTGATGCAGGATTCCCCGCTAGCATGCCTTTGACATCTACTATCTTTTTTTCTCTCTCTCTCAGTTTTTTTAATTGCTCCCCTAGGAAAGTACAGACAACTATAGACAGGAACAAAGTAGAGAATAGAACTGAGGCCATTTGAAAGTCTTGCGTCATGTCATGAAGTGACATCTGTATGATTGAAATAAACCAGACTGCTACTCGTGCTGTGACCACCTCAAGTTACCTTAATAAAAGGAGATTGCAAGGGGGTCTTTCAGTACCAGGTGTACCTGACAACCTTGACTGTGAACTGGCTGACCCAGCTCAACTTCTCAGTTACTGTCTCAGCTGGATTTTAAATTTTTCTTACCAAATTTTGTTTCAGTTTGAGTAATCTTTGATCATTTAGAATATACTGGTTAAAGTGTTCCTATCAGACAAGAAAACATGTTTTGGGAACACCTTTCTCACATCACATTCTCTTTGGTGATTGTTTGATAAGGAAAGGAAGAAAGCAAGCAATTTGAACATGGACTCTCTCTGTTCCAAGTTGAGGGGGTGTGAAACTCAGAAGAAAGGAGATGAAAGTCTAAGATGCTGTGTTTTCTCACCAGCGTGGATAGTGAAATGTACAGAACACGATTGTTTACAGTATCTCTGGGCTGTGAAGCCGCCGTGATTGCAGCTGGCTGGGGCAGACTGAAAGGGTAGCATCACCAAAACCCAACTCATTTTCGAAAAACACAAATCCTTTTCACTGCCTGTGGACAAAATTACTGACTGACATGCTAAACCTATTAAATATGTATTTTGCAAATTTTGAAATGAGGAAAAATGCTACATAAAAATTTTTACAGATGCTGAATGATTGTAAATGTGGTTAGAGATGTGGGACTTGCTCCAACTTTGTTCTTTCGTGGATTGCTATTAGCTTACATTTGAAATCTCTGTTGGCCACGTATTTCACATTGTTCTTCCAAATGTAATCATTTCTCTCTTTTATCTGATCTCCTACAGTCTCTCTGTTTTCATCAATATCTGACAGCAATTCCCAAAGATCCAATATAGTCCACTCTAATATCCTTATGTGTACTCTCTTCTCTCTTTGAAATCTAATACCTCAGCAGTGAAATAATTTATTGTGCTTTATTTAGACTTTTATTTTTTGCATGTGCTTTGATATTATCCTTTTGAAAGAAGTTATTTGGAAATTTAAACCAACTGTTCACCAAAAGTTATGAAAGCATGATTAAGAATTTTTCTCTCTTTTTAAATCCCCTTTAAACCTTCATTTTTTGTGTGTGCTATGGCAAATGCCACAAAGTCCATGGGTCTGGCAATGATGGGAAAATAAAGATGAATACTTTTTAGAGCCCCAGCTAATGGGTAAAGCCATACAGAAGATCCAATGAGCCAGAAACATCAGTGACATTTTATTTTTCTCAGTAACCCTTAGTTTATGTGGTTGTCAGAACCTGGAGATGTTTAATTCATTGAATATGACCTTCTGGTGAAATGACTATGCCACCAATGTACTTGCTAATAAATAAATGAGAGCTACTTGGTTCCAAATTGCATATACTATATTTCTGTTTATCTTGAGGCTTGAAGACATGCATCTTATAAGCACTATCTCAGAATAAGTTTTTGTGGGTACAGTACAGTAATATGTGCACTGTTAAATTAAAGGGAAAGCTTGTTCCAGTGAAATGGTTGGCAGAAGATTATAAAACTTGATGGATAGAAAAATATGCCTTTCAGTGAAAAAGAAAAAGCAGATACAGAAAGCAAGCAATCAGGCCTCTGAACAGCATCTAGCAATATTCATCCCTTTCCAGTGTTTAAGATCAGTCCACTCTCATATCGCCATTTTCTTCTTTGCTCTTCCCTTTTACTCAAGAAAATTGTCCCTTGGTTCTGCCAAAAATTTGAGGCAAGAATGAAAAATATTTTGCTTTATTGCTAACCTGTGAAAATGTGTTTTTTTGCCAGTGTTGTGGTGGTTGGGATTTTTTTTCTTTCTTTCTTACATAGCTCTATTCCTGGCAGGATAGATCTTGACGTACAAATAAAATTCCATCATAAATAAGTAAACTATGGTTAGAATAAATAAGTAAAATTGATTTGGAGTCTGGAAAAAAATCTATTTCTTATTCTTCTGCTCATGCAAGATATACTTTTCACTGCTTATTACTGAAGATCATTCCTCACGACCAGAGTAAGCAAGCAAAGGGAATACCCAGAAAAGAAAAGAAGCTTTCTTTCTCTTTTTGTTATGGGACAGAGCCTCGCTGTGTCACCCAGGCTAGAGTGTAGTGGCATGATCATGGCTCTCTGTAACCTCGACCTTCTAGGTTCAAGTGATCCTCCCACCTCAGACCCCCGAGTAGCTGGGACTATAGGTTTGCACCACCATGCTCACCTAGATACTAAAACTGAGGGAATGGGGGAGTTTCTTTCCTTTTTTGGAAAGTGGAGTTCTCACTATGTTGCTCAGGCTGTTCTTGAACTCCTGGCCTCAAGTGATCCTCCTACCTTGGCCTCCCAAATTGTTGGGATTACAAGTGCGACCCACTACACCAGGCCTCCGTTCTTCTCTAACCAAGATATGAACATATGAATCAAGCAGTCTCTGTAAGTACTGCCTGCAGTCCTGAGCATCTTGAAGATAGCTACAGGATGCTCACTCTGTCAATAGAGTTTTATCTGTAAAGACCATGTCTTTTCCAATATACATGAGTGACCATACTAATTCATTCAATAGAAGCATATTAAATGTTTTAGGTGCTCTGGATACAAAGAGTGTACAAATCAAAGATAGCTGTCTTCCCTCAGCCATTCACATTTGCATAATGATTAGTGATTTTAATTGTTGAACCAACCAATTAAATATATAGTGTTGATTAAATCTGAATTATATACCAAAGTTGTGTTACTCTATTAGGCATTAAGACACAAAGACTTGATCCTAATTCGCAAGGAGCTCTCAGTCTAGCAGTGAAGAAAGACGTCTAAGCCAATACATATGGTAAATTACTATAATTGCCCTGTTGAACCATGGTAGAGCGAATGCTCAATACTAGTGGGCCACGTAATTTTGGTAGTCAGTGTTTTTTTTATCTCTAATAGCCAATATTTTCTCTAGACTTGCCATATCAGAAGTTGGCATCAACTAGATGTGACCTCCCTTTTCTTATGTGTTTACCTATGTTTACAAAATCTGCACTATGAACATCAGTGGTTTGTCTATGTCAAATTTAATTCATCGCATAAATTCAGACTTTGCCAGTTCAAAAATTGTGATGCACCAGATACTTGCTATCATAATTACTCTGGAGATTAAATTAGATCAATCTTGGTCCTCATACACTAAAGTTTAGTTATTAAGGGACAAAACTGGTCTTAACAGATATGTTTTTAGCAGCATGGAACTCTCATAATCTGGAGCCCAGAGATGGCTTTGTTATGTGAATGCCAGTATAAATTAGACATAGGATATATTGATGCAAGCAAGAATTAATATTTTAAACAAACAAAAATCAGCAAGTGTGATGACAATTCTTAAATATAAGCTATTCTGAAGATACAAACTCTTCTGGAAAAAGTAAAACAAGATTAAGATTGCTTTTATGGCATTTGATATGCAGCTGTACAAAGATCTCCCTGATCATATCTGGATGAGATACTCCTTCTAAGAGCTATTATGGCACCACATGTATACCTTAGACTAATACCACATGACACTGAAATTCCCTGCTTCAATGTCTGTGTTTCCAGCTAGAGTACAAACAATGAGGGACCAGTGATACCTGGTTCTGGCTGTGTGCATAGTAGACACTCAATAATTTTTTCATTTTGAATTGATTCCCAGGCACAAGTTCCAGCCAAATGTTTAATTATCATTCCATCAACGTATATGGCAATTTCCTTAATCATGATAAAGAAAGGGATAAATTGGACTCCAAGGTTATTTTGATAAGGGGTGGTACTACATCAAAAAGTCCTGCTAGGGCATAACATTAAAAGGAGTTTTAGTATGATGAAGTCTATGTTTTTTTTTTTTTAAACAGATATTGCTTAATCTTCATGCTTGTCAATTTGTAACTCAAATGGCCTCAGGAGTTCATGCTAAAATTGAGACATCAAGGAATAAATCTGAGATGTTTGCCACATTTGAGGCAAAGTGAATGTACCAAGCATTGACAGGGAGGAAATGCCGTCTCTGGTCACCTGGTAGACTACTGACCTCTCAAGATATGTCCAAGGATAAAAATCAAAAGAGTTTCCAACAGGGCTCTGTTTAGTGGTCACATTCTTGAATACTTCATCTTGTCACAATTTTTATCCACATTATATCTAGAAAGTGATCTCAGAAGTTTTCTTTTTTTTTGTTTGTTTTTCTTTCTGCAAAATGGCAGACTATTTTTGCTCAACTTGGAGTGGCACAACTTAGTTTTCTTCCTTAAACTTTTTGATAGGCTTTTAAAAAAGTTTCCTTTGTAATGGCCTTATCTTCCTTCAAGTAAAGTCGATGGATAAAGGAAGAATAATTTCTACATTTATTTATGAAGAAAGAACTGATTGAATACATACTAGTTATGAGAGAGCAGAAAGAATTTCCATAGTAAAAAAGAATCAAATCAATAAAGCAGGAATCTTTTATAAGAGGCTCACAATATAATCAAGATGATATACAGGCAAACATTATATTGCAATATTATTTGTAATAACAAATAATTGTGGTTATTCTAAGTAGCTATATTGCAATTCATTTAGTCAATAAATATTTATTCAGCATCTACTTTGCTAGACATGAGGCTAGGCACCAGGAATGTAATAGTGAACAAGACTCAGCTTACTACCCTCATGGAGCTTGCATTCAAGTGGGGAAACAGACAATAAATGAATGAATACATTAAATAATAAAATATCTACAATAATAAAGAAGGTGATTTGCTCTAAAAAGGAAAGAAGAGGGAGCTGTGATAGAAAATGGCCATGTTTACCATCACAGAGAGTTTACCATTACAGACGTGTGATCATGAAGACCCCTCTAACTGCGTAACACTCAAACTAATACCTGAAGAAGAGATGTCAGTCATGCAAAAGTGTTAGGGAGAGGATGCCACTGGAGGAAATAATTGCTAATGCTGAGGGTTACAGGTGTAATTCCATTCAAATGTCACATCCTAGGGACATAGATGGAGCTGGAGGCCATTATCCTAGCAAACTAACGCAGAAACAGAAAAGCAAATACCACATGTTCTCACTTCTAAGTGGGAACTAAATGATGAGAACACATGGACCCATAGAGGGGAACAACACACATAGCAGCCTATCGGAAAGTGGAGGGGGAGGAGGGAGAGGATCATGGAAAAAAAACTAATTGACACTATGCTTAATACCTGGGTGATAAGATAATCTGTACAACAACCCCCCATGACACAAGTTTACCTATGTCACAAACCTGAACTTGTACCCCTGAACTTAAAATATAAGTTAAAAAAAAAAAAAACTCGCCTGAAACCCTCCAGGCAAAGCAGCAGAATGAGTGCTCCTTTCCTGGTACTTGATTACATCATAAATCATGCTGCTTTGAGCCATTCCACATTATGTTGAATTATTTGTGTAGCAGCCTGATTTATCACTAGGCTGAGTTTTCATTCACCATTGTTTTACTGTACCTATGGCAATACTGTACCTATGGCAATATGTGTCACAATGTTTTTTTGGGTTTTCTTCCCTCTCCTTTCTTCTCTCAGGTTCAAACACATACCAAAGGGAGGATATGAGAAGGATGCAGACTGTTTTGCATAATGCCTATCTAATAATTAATCCACATAGTGTGAACGTTTTCTCATTTATCCCACATGCTAAGAGTAGAATAGCTTACTTTTCCCATCTACTCTTCTTCACCAAAAAAGAACCTATCATAACCTGGGCCATCGCAGTAAGGAGCCATGGGGGGCAGAACTGATAACCACGCAGAGAAGAACATGGGGACCCAGGGGTGAGAAACAAAAAAGGAGCTAAAGTAGGTGAAAGAATAGAGGAAAAGATAGGAGATAAATGGGAACAAAGCTTCTCTGTACCTTAAATGACGAGAAGGCCTTTGAGGAGGGAGGACTGAGGCTCTGAATACATAAAAGAATCTGATCAGTTACCCAAATCCCCAAATTGTCTTGAGAATTTTGTTCTACTTTGTTATATATTTGTTATAATTTTGCTATAAGAATTTTGTTATATACTTCCCAATTGGAGAACTTACACAAAATTCTTATATCAAAACTTTTTTGTTATAAGAATTCTTCTTTTGTTGTAAGAATTTTGTATATGTTCTCCTATTGGGAAGTATATAATCCCAATCTGAATAGTTGGACAATTTTATATAATTTTCTAAACTCTATGTGTGTTTTCTCTATTAATAGTTTGGAATATTTGAGCCTCAGGTAACCCTACTCTTGCTTATCAAAGATAGAAACAATATGATGGGTTTGTAAATAGTAGAGGTTCAATGATTTCTCAGTGAATGTTAATTAAATAAAATTCAAAGCAAAATCAATTTCATTGTTATTCTAATTCTATTGTATGATATGAAATAAAATTAGCTCTCTCAATCCAGACTCCTCCAACTGGAGGGAGTAAATACACATGGACTATAAAAACACAGGGGAGAAAAGGCAGACAATAGTCTATAATAACATAAAACTCATATACAAAGAATTAACCACTTTGGATACAATGTTTAAGTCTTAAAAGCACAGTATGGGGAAATATAAAATGTCTAGAATAATTTAAATTGTGAGGAAAAATTTTCTTTAGGATGTCTCAAGGGGATCTTCATAGGCAGGAGGGTATGGTACTAATATTAGGAAAACCAGTGATCAATTATATAATTTTTCACACTTTGCAAGGGTTGCTTTTCTAAAAAGTATCATAACTGACAAAATTTATTTTTTTCAAGATCAATGCCCTACAGAAAATTTATGAAAGTCAACAAAAATAGCATTATATTTTTATACACCGTCAGAAAAGCTCAAGAGGCTCTGCTTCTAAAACAAACTATTTTAAAATCAAAACAAATGCTTCATTTGGTAACTAATGTTAATCAAGATAGGCTAAATCATGCTGTAGTAACAAATCACTTCCAAATACCAGTGGCTAACCACATAAAGCTTATTCCTCAATTATGGTGGGGTTTGGTTCTGGTAATCGCTCCTATTGGACTAATCCTCCAGCAGGTAATATTTGCAAACACAAAATATAAAGAATAAATACCTGGAGGCCTTTGAAAGTGACCAAACCAGGCAAGTACCCGAGAAAAGTCAATAGTAGGAGAAGGGAACAGCACTGAGTAAGTTTCTGAATTTTAAAAGCACTGTAGCCTGATGACAGGCCCCAATCTGATCTCTCAGGGCTGAGAAAACAGAAAAAGCATTCATCTATGTAGCTTCAAGAACCAGGCTCCAAGCAGCATAGCAAAGGCTAAAAGAACAGAAATGAGAGTCTGCTATTGTTAAGTACAGGGGAGGCAGAGTTTGTATTTTGAGTTCAGCCAACTTAACTGTCTTCCATAAACAAATGAATACTCTTTGAAGGAAATAACAATTGAGTGTCTCCACAACAAAACGTTCACAATATCCAGAAAAGATACAAAATTATTTAACATTCAAATAAAAACCAGAAAACAATCCAAATTTAAAATTAGCAGGCAAGCATTTTAAAATAGCGATTACAATTATGCTTAAGAATATAAAGAAAAGTAGGTTCAGAATCAATTAAAATGTTCAAAATTCTAACAGAGAAATAGAAAGAGCAAAAAAAAAAAAAAGAAAAGAAAAAACAAATGGAACTTCTGGAACTAAAAAATACAATATCAGGGGAAAAAAAGTTGACTGGCTGGGCTTAACAGCAGATTGGAAATGATAGAGCAAAAAGATAGTAAACATGAAAATAGATTAATAGAAATTATCCAAACTTAAAAACAGTGAAAACAACGTTTTAAAATAACTTAAAAAAAAAGTCTTAGGGACCTTTTGAACAAATTTCAAGCAGTAATTATAGCCCCATAAGAAAGGTATATAATAGCAGAGAATAAATTTTTGAGGAAATAATTACTGAAATTACATGTTAATAAAAATTTAAAGAAATTAATTTCAGATTCAAAAAGCTCTATGTTTAAGACAGATATATATATGTAAATAAAATTGACTAGGCACATTATAGTCAAACTGCTCAAAACCATTTATAAAGAAAAAATCTTGAAAACAGGTGGAGGAAAAAAGTCACATTACATGTAAGAGAGCAAATATTTGATTAAAGCTATTTGTAACTTCTCATCAGTCACAATGGAGGCCAGAAAATATTGGAACAACATCTTTAATGGCAAAATAGAAAAAAAAACCCAACAACCTCTCAACCCAGAAATTTTTATATAAGAAAATTTTTATTAAAAAATATATATTAAACATTTTTATAAGAAAATAAGAGAATTTGTCACCAGCAAACCTATACTATAAAAAGTAATAAAGGGGATACTTCAGGCTAAAGAAAAATCATGCCAGATAAGAAGTCAGACCTTTATAAAGGAATAAAGAGCCATGGAAATCATAAATATAAAACTCTACATTTTACTCTTAATTTGTTAATACAATTTTTTAAAGCAAAAACAAGAATAATTTATTGTGGCATTTTATAATGTATGTAGATGCAATATATGTAACAAATCTAGCATATATAGGAGAAGAAAAGAGGTAAATAGACATATATGGTTGCAAGTTTGTTATATTTTGTAGGAAGTGATGCAATATTAATACTAAATAGACTCTAAAACTGAAAGATATATATTACAATCTCTTAACCCTTAAAAATTAATGCGAAGGAGTATAGCTAAAATGCCAATAGGTACGTTAGAATAGAATTTTAAAAACACTCAGTTAATCTAAAATAACTCAGGACAGGAGAAACTGAGGAACAAAAATTGAAGGGACAATTACAAAAAAAAATGTTAGACCTAAAGCCAACTATCTCAAAAATGATATTAACTATAAATGCTCTAACACTCCAAGCAAAAGGCAGAGATTGTTTGATTAAATTTTTAAAAGGAAGACTCAACTACTACATTCTATCAATAAGACATGTATTTTAAATATAAATGCATAGATACATTGAAAGCACACAAGAAGGCCAAAATGGCTATATCAAGATCAGACAAAGAATATTTCAAGACAAAGAGATAACCAGAGAGAGGGATATTTCATAATGATGCAAGGATCACTTCCTCTGCATAATACACCAACACAAAAATCATAGATATAGGCCGGGCGCAGTGGCTCACACCTGTAATCCCAGCACTTTGGGAGGCTGAGGTGGATGGATCACGAGGTCAAGAGATCAAGATCATCCTGGCTAACATGGTGAAACCCTGTCTCTACTAAAAATACAAAAAATTAGCTGGGGGTGGTGGCAGGCGCCTGTAGTCCCAGCTACTTGGGAGGCTGAGAGAGGAGAATTGCTTGAATCTGGGAGGCAAAGGTTGCAGTGAGCCGAGACTGGGCCACTGCACTCCAGCCTGGGCGGCACAGCCAGACTTCATCTAAAAAAAAAAAATCACAAGATATATATTAATATCTACCTAATTATAGAACTTCAAAATACATGAAATGAAAGTTGGTAGAATTAAAGGGAGAAACAGAAAAATCCAAAATTGTAGTGAGAGATTTTAGGAGCCCTCTCTAAGCAACCAATAGAACAACTTGAGAAAAAAAAATTAAAGATATAGAATATTTCAATGAACAATGCCATCAACCATTTTGACCTGATTGGTACTCATAAAGTGCTCCAGCCAACAATTACAAAGTGCGTTTTCTTTTCAAGTGCACTTGGAACATTAAGTGCTTATATTCAAAAAAAGGCCTAAAATCAATGACCAGAATAGTCCTTAAAAGCTTTTCCGATTCAGGAATCTGGAAAAAAAAAATACAAATCCAAAATAAGTAGTAAGGAAAAAATGATAAATATGAGTAAAAATCAATGAAAAATACGAAGGACTGAAAACAGAGATAAATTAACAAAGTTCCTGTATAACCTATTGGTTAGTGACTGACTGAATTAAGACTTGTTGAGACAAAGTAAGCCAGAGAATGAAGTCCTGAAATACACAGTGTGAATATCAGTAATACTTTAATTTCAAGATGTTCCTATATCTGACCAAGTTCAGATATATCTGACCAAGTCCTTTCGAAAGAAAACAGCAGGACCAAATGGCTTTCCTATTGAATTATATTCCTCACTAACACAAAACCTGCTGTAGGTTTAGGTGACTCTCCAGGATGACTTTTTCCATGACTCAACAATGCAGCATATTTTATGTCCCTACCATCTCAATAAGAGACCCCCTGGATCACTGAGGTAGGGAAAAAAATTGAATTTCCTTGTCATAGTCTCATTCTGGAAGTGACTCATCACTCCTATTCACAGTTTATTGGCTAGAACTGATCATTTGACTTCACTTACCTTCAAAAGATTGAAAAATGTAGCTTTTTAAAAAATATTTCTAGGAGTGAGGACTATGAAACAGGATTTGGTGAACATTTAGCACTGCCGCTTACAAAGAGCTCTTTTCTATTATCATTTTTTGTCAGTTGGTCAGAAAGTATCATAATAGGTCAAACCAACTTTTTTATAAAAATATTTTATTTGGATTGGACTCTGAAATTTTTATATTGCTTTCCAGTTGCCTTCTTACTATTTTTACTTTTGTAAGTCTCTACAAAATGTCTGATCATTAAAAAAAAAAAACGTATTACTTAAGGGCAATTTGGCTGAGTTTGAACTTCTACTCTTGTATCTACATTCTGAAAGAATGAGGCATAAAAAATATCTACTCTGTGTTTGCATACTTCCAGGGACTTACTCAAGTTCGGCGATGAAGAAGGGAAGGATGTGCAGCAATCATTTTTCCCTGTTGTTTTGAGTAAATAGAATAAAATCAAATTTTAATACACAGATACAAAAAATTTTGTCTTTAAACTATAGTTGGTAAATCCAGCCATATTTGCTATAGTTGTATTTGCTATTTGCTATAGTTAGCAAATGAGTCCTGTGTTTTGCAGATTGAACAGGAGCCTTAGCGGAGAGTTTGTGCAATCACTCTGCTCTGAAAAGGCTGCAGGAAAAACCATTGTTTGCTGTAAGTGCAATCCCACTGGAGAAGGCATTGAAATCAAATGTGTGTGAGATTAAGCCCGGGTTGCATTTTGTGATTTGATTCTTTAAAAATCTTTCATCTGAGACAAATAAATCTATGCAGCTAGTCCTCAATACATTGAAACTACATCTACAGAGTAGTAACAAGCACTAAGTGGGAGGAAAGACATTGAGCAGGGCAAGGTGGACATCATCAGCTAGAGGGGTCAAATACAGAGGGGAAAAGTAATGTGGGAACTTTCAAGTCTGACAAACAGCAGCTCAAATCTTGTCCCTTCCGCTGAGTAGCTTTGTTAGCTGGGAACAATTATTCCACTTGTGGAAGCTCAGTTTCTACCTCTCCAAAATGGAGATAGTCATATTTATTTTATAAAACTATGATAGGGCTTGACTGTAACTGTGTCTGGGACATAGGAAATGCTCAAAAATCTAGTGATGGTTATTGCCAAGGAGGTAGGGGGTTTCAGAAAGCTTTTGGTGAAAAATGTTTTAGAGTTGTGGTGGCTTAATTATAGTCACAATTTATTTCACTTCACTTAATATAAATGGGCATGACCAGAAGCAAAAATATTATATTATACTTTTTGTAGTTTTTCCTATTTCTAATTTATTTACACTTTTAATGTACACACACACACGCAGAGAGAAAGAGAGAGAGAGAGATCTCCATCTTTTTTACTTTCTCTTTGCTGGTTAGCACATGATTGAACTGAGACCTGTTGAGACAAAATGAGACAGAGTGAAGTCCTGAAATAAACAGTGTGAACATCAGTAATGCTTTAATTTCCATGTTTCATGGTTATGCAAGCCCACTGCCTTGGAATTTCAACATAACCTTGAACCATCACCAACTTTAATTTTCTTCACACTTCAACCAGTAGTAATTGGGCCCTCCCTCCCTCCTGCTGCTGCTGCTGCTGGCATTTTTGTTGTTGCCTTTCCTTTGCTTTCATTGACTTTGTTTAATTCTTTTTGGCAGCTGTGAGAGCTGGATGCCAAACCCCTGTGCTTGTCACATCAGAGCTGTGATTCCCACTCTTGCTGCACGGCGGGCTGAATTGCGCCTCTGATTCCTAAAGAAAGATGCCTTGGTGAGATCTCTGGACTTACCAAGAGCTTTTCTCTCAAGCTGCCATTGGGAGCAGGGGCTTTAGGGTCCAGTACAAGTGGATTCAAATTCTGGCTCAGTTTCCCATTGTTGGAGCAATATTGGGCAAGTTATGTGATCTATGGGAGCCTCAGCTTCCTCTTTTCTAAATTGGAGATTAAAATAGTATTTGCCTCAAAGGGTTGTTTGGGATTAAACTAACTAGCGTAGGTAAAGTGTGCCTGGATGGTATTAAGCTCAATAAATGTTAGCTACTACTATTTCCCTTTTCCATGCTAGCTTCCCCCTTCAATTCATCCTTAGTTGCAGTGTTTGGACACCCACGAATAGCTTTTCATGGTGGATCTAGAGGGCTTTGGGGTCATTCTTAGCACAGTGCTGAGACTTATTCCCATATGTATAGTGCGACCTAGGTTTGTCATAACAAGGTACCACAAACTAGGTGGCTTAAAACAACAGAAATCTAATTTAACAGTTCTGAAGACACAAGTGCAAAATTAAGATGTCAGCGGGACCACACTCCCTCTGAAACCTGTTGGAGAGAATTCTTGTCTCTTCTTAGCTTTTGTAGTTTGCCAGAAATCCTTGGTGTTCTTTGGGTTTTAGCTGCATCACTCCAATATTGGCTCCTATTGCCATGTGGCCATCTTCTCCCCATGTGTCTCTGTGTCATCATATGGCATTCTCTTATTTGTGTCTCTCCCTCTCCTCTTCTTATAAGAACATTCGGCCAGGCACAGTGGCTCACACCTATAATCCCAGCACTTTGGGAGGCCAAGACAGGCAGATCACCTGAGGTCGGGAGTTCAAGACCAGCCTGACCAACATGGAGAAACCCCGTCTCTTCTAAAAATACAAAATATTAGCTGGGCTTGGTGGCGCATGCCTGTAATCCCAGCTTTACTCAGGAGGCTGAGGCAGGAGAATCGCTTGAACCCGGGAGGCAGAGGTTGCTGTCAGCCAAGATCGCACCATTGCCCTCCAGCCTGGGCAACAAGAGTTAAATTCCTTCTCAAAAAAAAAGAAAAAAAATTCTTCATAACGGATTAAGGGTAAACCCTACTCCAGTATGACCCTATCTTAACCAATTATATTGATAATAACCCTATTTCTATTAAGGTTACATTCTGAGGTTCTGGGAGTTAAGACGTCAACATATCTCTTTTGGGGAGAAAATTCAACTCATAATATGTGGGCTCTTTTTGTTTTGACCAGTGCCAGTTACCATTTGCATCTGCTCACACCTCATGGTAGGTGAGTTGCTGTCAGGATGTGGTAATGGGAAGTGTCTGGTGTGGGCTTCTGGTTGGCTCCGCTAGAAAGGACTGCATTGGGTTAGCACCAGAACAGTTATTCTTAAACTTGGGAAGACATTGGAATTGGCTGCGGAGTTTACGATGCCTAGGTCCCATCCCGAGTGATTCTAATTTGGTCTGAGATGAAGCCTAGGTATTAGGATTTTCAAAAGCTTCCTAGGTGATTGCAATGTTCAGGCATGTCTGAGAACCACTGGACTAGAAAAACTCAAAGCTAGTAGTGACAGCTTTTCTGCTTGTTTTAAGTAACCCAAATTGAAAAAAATAGGCCTGTATTTGCTTATCCAAAATCCTTAAAGTCATATGTATTTGAGAATTCATATTTAAGATTCTCTGTAGAATTTTAAAAAGTAATACAGAGCATACATAGCATAGTAGCTTATATAGTATATAAAACTCCTAGTGGGGTCAGGATAGCACCCCTAATCAAACAATACTTTTGTAGTGAAACATGTAAACATTTACATTATAAAGAAAGCTATGTCAGTTCAAGTCAGATTTTGACACCAAAGAATTGGTGTCATGTTTAGACAAAAAAATAAAATAAAATAAATCAGTTCTGTATAGATTCTGGAACTGAGGATAAGGAATTGTGAATGTAATTATAAAACTCATCATTAAAGAGTCCAATTATTATGTATCAACACTGTATTCTTGGCTGAAGTAGTCGTAGGTGTAAGTAAAGAAAGAGTTCTGCTGTAGGGCCAGAAAATCACTACTGATCATCCGGTTCTTTCTAGCAGGACCTACTCCCAAAGCCGTTTTCACTTCTGCAGAGTTAATGTTAGTTATTTTCAAACTGACCCCCAAAGCAACAAAGAAATTCCAGGTGTTCATTTCTGGCTGCTGCCTCATTTGAAACCTGTACTAGATTGAATTATGCTGCCCCAAAATGTATGCCCTTCCTCAAATTTGAGAATGTGAACTTATTTTGAAATAGAGTTGTAGAAGGTATAATTTAAGATGAGGGCATATTAGAGAAGAGTGAGTCTTTAATTCAATGTAATAATCACCCTTATAAGAAGAGGAGAAAAGACACAGAGATAGACACATACAGAGGGAAGACAAGGTGAAGACACATGGAAATCACCATATGATGATGGAGACAGGATTGGTTTACACAGCTGCAAGCCAAGGAAGGCCAAAGATTGCTGGTAATACCGGAAACTAAGAGAAAGACATGGAGGAAGTTCTCCCTTAGAGCCTTCAGGTAAAGCATGGCTCTGCTCACTCAGATTTTGGACTTCTATCCCCTTGAATGGTGAGAGAATAAATTCCCATTGTCTGAAGCCATCAAGTTTGCAGTAATTTGTTATGGCAGCCCTTGGGAAATAATATAAAACCCTAAGAATAGTACTCTTGAGAGAGAGAAACCTAGCTTGCGCTTTGTTTGATAAGACTCTTCTTTACTATTATTCTTTGATAAGCTGCACAATGAGGATAATCATAATACAACTATTATTTGTGTATGTGGAGTGGGGGGTGGGAGAGAGAGAATGGGAGTATATTTTCCTCCAATAGGGAAAAAGGGGGTCTTAAGGGAAAAAGGGGGTCTTAAGGCACATTAGGACACTAGAAATATTTATTACTCCAAGACTTTTTTTTTTTTAGTAGTATTTCCCTTAGTTTCTAACTGCAAAACCAGAAAAGGGACCATAGAAATGTTTGTGTAATCCAAGAAATGAATTCATTCAAAAGATGTTTATTGAACTGAGCAGTATAAGCAAGTCACTGGGACAGATGATTGTCAGTGTAGAATGTATAAGAAGGGGAATAGACAAATAAGTCAGAGAAGAAAGCAATCATTTGCTGTGCTAATGATTATGTATCTCAGGAACATTGGACAGGTAAAGTGACTAATAGAAAGAGATGGATGAAAATAACACAGATAAAGGAAAACCTGGTCATGTATTTATTTTAAGAGACATAAGTCAAAGCTACATCAGTTGGCCTTCCCACCTTCTTCAATCCGTGCCTCTCAACAACACATACACACCTCCCTACACATTCTAGAATTCCTGTCAGCAACACCCAGCAGTCATAAACTCTAAAATTCTCTACTGCCTTCTCTCTCTAAGGGACGGGAGAGTGCACTAATCATGTAAAATATGTATGCGACATGAATGGGTGGATTCGGGTCAGGAAGATCTTTTATATCAGGCTCAAGTTGAGTTCTGAGAGTAAGGCACTCCAATAAATGATAGGCCTCATTTCCACCCTTAAGGAGCTTCTATCCATTTTTAGACATACTATTTGCATTAAAAAGTGACTTAAGAATGCTTACAAAGTCACATAATGCCAAGTATTTAACTGTGCTTTGCAGCTTTGCAAACATTTCCCATGTTATTGAATTTGATTTCTGATAAGAAAGATAAAGTTATTATTATTAATATCCACTTAATATATGAGGAAGGTAGGTCACTTGCCACAAATGGCAAGTGAAAGAGAACAGTCTTAGAACCAGGTCTTGTGACTTCAGATCCAAGCTTTTAGCTTTTAGCACTTTTACCAATAACACCACACGGAGAAACACCTTGTAGTATAAGAAGTGAACTCTATACCTTTGAATTTAAGAGGTTGGACTTTAGAATTAGACACATGTAGGGTTGAAAAATAGTTCAATCTCTTAACTTCCTGGGTAACTTCAAGTAAGTTATTTAATTTATTTCAGCCTCTGTTTTCTCAGCAGAAAAATGAGGTGTCTTTTATCTACCCAAAGATGTTGGTAAGGATTAATGACCTAATAACCACAAAGCGTGGTGACTGGAAGATGGTACAGTATTAATAATTGAAAAATTACACAGAAACTTTTTAGAGGCATTGAGCATATACAAAATAGCCAGGTGAGATACACTGGGACAGAAAGCGGATTGTTCCTCCTTCTGTGGCATCCATGACCAGATATTTGCTTTCATGTTGGCCACAACAAATGCTCTCTTGCCCACATTACCATCCAATTTGGAGAGAGGAGGAGGTTTGAGATAAGATATATGAGTATCTCTATAGAGTTATTAAAGTGCTGTTATTGTCATCCCCAGCCCTGTAATCATGTGTAGGTGACCAATAAATAGCAGTTCTTCCAAGGTAGCATCAGGGTGGATGCCCACAATTTCGCCGATGACTTTTGTAATCAATAGCTCCGTCTGAAACTGACGGTTATGACCTTTGTTATTTTGGTGAAAGTTACTCTCTAATTGCTAATTTCGCAACTTATCACAGGATGTGTGACTTGCTCATAGGAAATAATAAATAACCATAGTCATGAGAAATAATTTCCTGAAACATTAATTGCAACGAAGAAACACTGCCCAGTGAAAGGAAGTGATTTACTCAAAGAACAGGACTGTTCCTGGCCTAATGATTAACTTGGAGTTTCAGGAAGTGTGGTACCTATCTCCAGCAGGTAGAGGAAAGCATTCCACAGATGCCTTCAAGGTGGAGACCTCCATTTTGGGGCTAACGAAATTAATGATCGGGAGATTTCCAAGGGCATTTAACCAGTCTTGGTCCACGAAAAAAAAAAAGTGAACATAGAAATGGAAAAGTAAGATACAAAGTACAGCTGCTACATAGTTGATGAAAACGCAAAAAAAAAAAAAAAAAAAAAAAAAAAGGTTTAGGAAAAGCTGCCAGAGTATTTTTTGGAAGCTAAAGACAAAAAATTAACAGTATTTTATTTTTCTTTTTTTGCTAGCGAGGGGTAACCAGTACAGAAGAAATCATGATATGATTCAGGTCAGGGAAAAGAAGGCTAAGGAGAGGAAGGGAGTCATTTATATTATCTGTCGGCAGAGTGAGGTATGAAAGAGCACAATCTCTAGACTCAACACTGTTTTGAGAGGAGGATTAACTAGGAGGAAACATTTCCGAGAGAGCCATGAGGCCTGTATCAGCAGGAAGAAAAGGAGGTGGTTCTGGCAACTGGAAGAATGAAAAGCTAATTATGCATTTAACCTACAGTAATCTCTGTTTTCATCTTTCAATTAAAAGGAGGAAAAACCTTTTTGAATTGTTGGGATGTGTGTCTTAAAGAATGTGTTTAAAGATACAGAGATGCTTGGGCCCAGGAACAGCTTCTAGGATATCTTTGTGCAAATGTGAAGAAGGTACCTCTTCTGGGGGGCCACAGCTCCATGGGCACGGGGTTGGCTTGGCTAATCCTTGGCACTCATGCTCAAAGAAGACAGAAAGGTGCCTTTGCCTTGGGAAGGGCACAGCTTCACACTGGGACACATGGCCTGGAAAGTGGAGTGTGGGATGAATTGCAGTCCCCAATGTCCCCTCTATCAGGCACTTTGATGCAATACACAATCCATACAACCGCATGTGGTAGCCCTGGAGATGTGTCATTGTCAGTCAACCAAATGACACAAAAAGTAAAGCTTCTGCTTTAGCGAGTCAAAAATATTTATTATGAGCACTGTCTGTATACTGGAAACAAACAGGCCAAAACCATTTAACGGTGTGTTTTATACAAACTTGTTCTGCAATTATGTTTAGACTGTTCTTTTACCCTGTTACCCATAAAGAGTTAAAAGATAAGCTTCAATCTAAGTCAAAAATAATGTGTGTGATAATTAATTTTTGTGTCACTTGGGTAGGCTATGGTGCCCATTTGTTTGATCAAACACCAGTCTAGATGTTGATGTAAAGGTATTTTTTTTAGAGGTGATTAACATTTAAATCAGTAGATCCGTAGTAAAGCAGATTACCATCCAAAATCTGGATGGGCTGTATCTGATCAGTTGTCTTTAAGAGCAAAGACTGGTATTTTCCAAGGAAGGAATTCTCTTCAAGACTGAAACAGAAATCTTGCGTGAGTATCCAGCCTGTTGACCCAAACTGTACATTTCAAACTTGCTAACCCTCACAACTGTGTGAGATAATTCCTTAACATTTCTCTGTGTCTCTCTGCTCTCTCTCTCCATGTCTCTCTGTCTCTGTCTCACTTTGCCTCTCTCTCTCTAAATATATATGGATGGATATGTATGTGCATATATGTATGTATATATCTTACTTGTTCTGTTTCTCTGGAGAACCCTGAATAACACAATGAATTTGTCAAATAGGAGAAACATCTTCTATTTTGTCTCTAGCTAGTGTTCACCAGCATTCAGAGCCCTGGCTGAGGACATGGTTGGTTTAGCCAAGGTTCAGGCCCACTAATTAAATATAAGTAGCCTTTCATTCCTGGAAGGAAATATCAATCTTTTGATTGATTTCTGATCTGTCTCTCTCCTGGATGAAGAGCACTCTCAAAAACATTGGCTTCTACCAATACTAGAAAAAAAAAAATAATTGAAGCAGGTAGTCATGACATATTAGCAAGATTGCAATGCATGCCGTAGACCAGGATAATCTATTCCTTGTTAAAATGTGTGGTACATTTTCCACTTTTTTTTGTTATTCCAATATACCCACCCTGGGATGTGCTTGTGGTATTTTGGGATCCTTGTAGTAATTTGGTCCTAGGTAAGTGTGGGAGGTAACAATGCTTAATTTGCTTGGAAATGGAAGGGATCTTGACTATTCAGTGCCCTGGGTTATCAAGGACTCTGGAAGATAAACAGCAAAAGGTAAAGACCGTGTGTGTTAGTCACTAAGTACACGGTCATTTATGGCCTAATTTAATGTGCAAAAATGAGCAATACCCTCTGCTTACCCTAGGAAGTGGGAGTTCATTACAAGGTCATTTGAGAAGAAGGAGAAATGACTGGTCCTCACAGAAAACAGGACACAGCAGGAGTTCTGAATTGACAGTAACCTTAATGATCAATAGGAACTCTGGTGGTTGCTTTCTCAAATTTTTAAAATTTACCATTGTTGTTACTTAATCACTTAATTTTTGCTTTCAAACTAACTCTTTGTATATGTACATATTCCCAAGATATACTCTATGAGTTCATACTGTGAAGAAATCCAGTGAGTGCAGCCATTAATAATCCAAGAGAAAATGTATGAGTTCCCCAAGCTCTCATGTCATCCTACTTAATAGGCTACTGACCAACCTTTATAGTTGCTTTTGTTTTGGGCCCAATCAATAATGGACTGATAGTGCATTCTTTTGGTGACCTGTGTGTAAGGAGCCCCTCAGAAGGGGTATCTGAATGTGGTAAATATTTGGAGATGTATAGAAAATATGCCAAAATAATGCAAGATAACTTTTTTTTTTTGATTTGGCCCTAAGCAATCTATTATGGGCACACCAATGCTGCCATCTTTATGGTACTGTTTCAGGCTGAATTATAAGTTATTTCTAAGGGTTGCCATGAACAACCCCTTCCTTTCTGATGGCTCTGCTGTTCTTAAGGAGTCTTATTCTTTCTTTTCTGGCACCCAGTCTTCCAAAATGGAATCAGCCTTCAAAACTCAATCCACAGATGGAAGAGAAGTCACCAATGATATACACCTACACTCCAAGCTTCTATAACCTCTCTGTTCCAGCCAGCTCAGTGATTCCAGACATGGTCATAAGAGACCTAGCCCATGACCATTAGGTTACAACGTCTGAGCTGTGGGGACTGGGGACCAAGGTGGTGTGAGACTTACCACATCTCCAGCCAGAAATACATGGTCAAGTGCTGCTATGCCTACTCAGCTTTCTTCAGGCTACATCTTGCTATTTCCACTGGAAAAATAAATAGGAGGGAGGCTGAGGGGAGAAAAACAGCATTTCTATGCTAAGGAGGCACTAATAAATTTGCTGATGCTGAATCACATAGCTCAATGTTTTTGGCATCACATGAAAAGTGATGAGTCATCACATGAAACAATGAGCACTATATTAGCCAATACCTACCTTTATTTGTAAGGCAAAACAGAACAGTTTGATAAATACTGTATCATCACTTCCAATCATACTGGATACATTTTGTAATAAGTTATATACGAAGGAACAATATCCATTTAGCTTTAGTTGTGCAAGGATAAATGATGTGTGTCTACAGGAATAGTACACAAATATACCTACATAGGATATTACATAGACTATATAAATACATACATATATGAATGCATACATACAGAGGCATTCCCATATAAATATAATACATAGATAGCTAAACTTTTATAAAAAGTATAAAGCTGTCCTTGATTAATTGAGACACTCTAGTAGCATACTTGATATGAATCGTAATGCTCCACCAGGATGTAGCCAAGATGGGCCAAATGAAAGACAATTGAATTGTTCTCTAGACAAATAGAAAAGGTAATATAAATATTCAAAGATATACTCACTTCAATCTTATTATTCTTTGTATTTTACCAATGAGAAAAATAAAATTTTAAAAAGTTGAATGACAAGTCCCACGTGTTTACTTAATCTTCAAACATATATTGCCAGGCACTAGAGATCCTACCCTCATGAAGCGTATATCTACAGGGTGGACGGGAATGAGGGGACAGAGCATGAAAAGTAAATAATACAATAGGTAATATAATTTAAAGTGAACATAAATGCTATAAAGAAAAAAAATTAAGAGCTAAGAATATAGAACATGTGTACATTCTAGTTTAGGAAAATCCAATTGCTACCAACTCCCATAGTGTGGATTAAAATTAATCTTATTATGTTAAAAAATTGTTAACTAAATTACAGACCATAGAAAACTGATGAAAGAGCATTCCATGTAGACTAATGTCAAGTACTAACATTACTGTCCTGAGATGGAAGGCGCTTGTTGCGTTAAAAGGAGAACGAGAAAGCCATGGTTGCTGGAGCTTGAAGAAATCATGGAGAACATGATGGGAAGTGAAGACAGGAAGGTAGGTAGGTGAGGGCGAGGTCATGGTGGACCATGTACATGAAAGAGTTTGAATTTTATTTTAAGTGTGTGCAGGTGCCATGAGACAGTTTAGAATGTGACAGTGACATGATTTGACTGATGTTTTGGAGCATCACAGTGAAGAGATTAGAATGTAGACGCAAGCATGGAACAATAGACAGTAAGACAATAAGACAACAGACAATAAGAGGCTATTGCTGTTGTCTAGGTGAGGCACTATGATGGTATCAGAGGGAGTGAAAAATGGTTGAATTCAGTATTTATTTTGAAAATAGGGCAGACAGGTTACTGGGTATGTGAAAAAAAAAAGGAAAGTCAAAGATGACTCTTGGTTTTTAGCCCCAGGAGCAAGGTGAATGGTAGAATCATTTTCTGAGATGGGGAATATTTCAGAAACAGGTGTGGAGTGGGAGACAAGTCCAATTTGGGGTACTTTAAGTGTGAAATGCTTGTTAGATATTTAAATTGAGTGTTGAAAAGGCATTTAGGAAATTTATTCCAGAGCTCAAGGAGAAGATCAAATCTGGGAGTCATTGGTGTAAGTGCAACGTAAAGAAGAAAGCAGCCTCTAAGACTCAGAACGTAACCACAGCAGGAAACTGGAGCACAAGAGGATGAGGCAAGGTGACTGGAAGAAATACAGCCTCCCACTCCATCCCACCTGCTCCCTCTCCTTCTAACACCCTTGGAGATATCAAGAGGAACACTATGTGGGATGCAGTTTTCAGCTTTTCTTCCTCTTTAATTATTAAAGAATTCCAGGTGCCTGGATGTTTGGAGGCATTCAGGTGGCAGACACTTGTGTTATGAATATAAAAGCTAATTTAACACATCTGTAGCAACATACTCATGCTTTTTATTAAAGAAACTTTACACAAATGTTTCACCTAAGGTGTTTTGAACAAGGTTCATCTAGATACACAGAGTATAGAAGTTATAATGTTGATAATTGAAAATATGGACCTGGATCTCAGAAGAGAGGTCAGGGTCAGAATGAGAGTTGGGGAACTATTTATGTAGACATAGCAGCTGAGAGTAAGTGTGATGTCGAGGGAAGAGCTGATATGGAAAGAAAAATAAATGATGGCCTTTGGGAAATTCATGTGCCTAGGGTCTGAAAACAGCAAAGAGTTAGAGAAAATGTCAAAGAAGAGGACAAACAATAAGAATGAATAGTGTAGTTTAGTAAGGCAAGAGAGAAAAGATTTCACATTCTACAGCAACAGCTCCAATCTGATAAATATTTTCTGCACTGGAGCCCTGAATGATCTTGAACTATGGAAGGTTTTATTATGCTCATTTTTTCTGTGTTTGCTGGCAAAGCACAGTGTCAGGCTACACCTTCAGATAATGTTTTCACAGTAAGCGCTAAGGCGCTTTTTCTGGTAAAGCTTTAGTGTAAAACTCACTTAGAAAGCAATCCAGATGCCAGATCCCATTTCTGGTGACCTTCATAATAGCTTAGAAATGGCATCCACCCTAAAGATTCCGTGCAAGGGATCTAAAATAGAAACTCAGAAAGTCAGCAACCCACAGCAAGCCTCCACCCTTTTCTCATCTTCCTTTGTTTTCATTTGGTCGTTACTGGGAGCCCCTGTTCTAAGGAGGGTTCCCTTCCTTCCTGCCAACCCCTGAACTCCGGCATCCTGCCCAGTGCTGAATAATAATCCAGAATTCTTTCCCCAGAGAGACAAAATTGGGAGGCGATAAATCATGGACTGCTCTTTGGTATCCTGGCTCATCATTCGTAAATAAAGCCAACAATAGATACAAATGGAGTCATTTGTGTAGAAGCAGTTCTGATGCACTGGAATTCTCCAGAGTTTTCTGCTTAAATAAAATCTTCGGGGTATCTGCTTTTTGATGAAGATCACTATCTGTCTAAATTTAAAAAAAAATATGAGTAAAAGGAAATTACATTTTGGATTCAGAAAAAAAAGTATTTTCCAAATAATAAATAACTTCCAACCCAATTTTTAGCTGTTTGGGTCTTAAATAAGTTAGACCTCAGTTTATTTTCAAGCATCTAAGAACACTGTAGCACATTCTTTACTGTTTAAAGTGAAATGGATTGTTAATAATGTGACTTGATTATTCTCTCACTGGAAATTTCTATGTTTTCACCACCCCACACCCAGCTCTTGCAGAAAGAAGCATGATTCTAAAATGAGAAGATGCTGGGAGAGGAGAGTGGTCAAATACGGAAAATGGACAACCTTAGGGCACAGAAGAATAATTGTATCTTTGTTACTTTCCCATTTCCTTTTTTGGACCATATGGAAACCTCTGCTTCCAACACAGCATCCTAGAGGCATGCTTCCTTTGGTGGCTTAAAGTGTCACATAGAAATATTCAGTCCCCAAACTGCCTTCTGTAGGCAATACACAATCAATCAAATGAAATTCATAGATCTCCTTTCCCTTTGTCTTCAGTCTCTGCCTCACTTCTACTGCTAAGTTATTTAATTAAATTCACTTATACCCCCTCTTCAAAGCATATTACCAATGGCTCATGGAGAAATATCAAATCAATATTAGAACGCATATGATGTATTAGTCTGTTTTCATGCTGCTGATAAAGACATACCCGAGACTGGGCATTACAAAGAGGTTTATAATGGACTTACCGTTCCACATGGCTGCGTAAGGCTCACAATCATGGTGGAAGGCAAGGAGGAATAAGTCACATCTTACATGGATGGCAGCAGGCAAAGAGAGAGTTTGTGTAGGGAAACTCCCCCTTTTAAAACCGTCAGACCTCATGAGACTCATTCACTGTCACAAGAATAGTGCAGAAAATACCTGTCCTCATAATTCAGTCAACTCCCACAGGGCTCCTCCCACAAGATGTGGGAATTGTGGGAGTTACAATTAAAGATGAGATTTGGGTGGGGACACAGAGCCAAACCATGTCATTCCACCCCGTCCCCTCCCAAATCTCATGTCATCACATTTTAAAACCAATCATGCCTTCCCAACAGTCCCCCAAAGTCTTAACTTTTTTCAGCATTAACTCAAAATCCACAGTCCAACGTGTTATCTGAGACAAGGCAAGTACCTAATGCCCATGAGCCCATAAAATCAAAAACAAGTTAGTTACTTCCTAGATACAATGGGGTACAGGCATTGGGTAAATACAGCCATTCTAAATGGGGACATTGGCCAAAACAAAAAGGCTTCAGGCCCCATGCAAGTCCAAAATCCAGCAGAGCAGTCAAACCTTAAAGCTCCAAAATGATCTCCTTTGTCTCCATGTCTCACATCCAGGTTATGCTGATGCAAGTGGTGAGTTCCCATGGTCTTGGGCAGCTCCTCCCCTGTGGCTTTGCAGGGTACAGCCTCCCTCCTGGCTGCTTTCACAGGCTCTTGTTGAGTGTCTGCAGCTTTTCCAGGTGCACAGTGTAAGCTGTCAGTGGATCTACAATTCTGGGGTCTGGAGGATGGTGGCCTACTTCTCACAGCTCCACTAAACAATGCCCCAGTAGGGACTCTGTGTGGTGGCTCTGACCCCATATTTACCTCCCATACTGCCCTAGCAGAGGTTCTCCAGGAGAACCTTGCCCTTTAGCAAACTTCTGCCTGGAGTTCCAGGCATTTCCATACATCCTGTGAAATCTAGGCAGAGGTTCCTAAACCACTGACTTCTGTGCACTGGCAGGCTCAAGATCACATGGAAGATGCCAAAGCTTGAGGCTTGCACCCTCAGAAACCATGCCCCAAGCTCTACATTGAAGTCCCTAGGCTTCACACCGCACAGGGACCCTGGATCTGGCCCACAAAATCATTTTTCCCCCTAGGTCTCTGGGCCTGTGATGGAAGGGGCTGCTGTGAAGACCTCTGACATGCCCTGAGACATTTTCCCCTTTGTCTTGAGGATTAACATTCAGCTCCACGTTATTTATGCAAATTTCTGCAGCCAACTTGAATTTCTCCTCAGAAAATGGAATCTTCTTTTCTATCGCATTGTCAGGCTGAAAATTTTCCAAACGTTTATGCTCTGTTTCCCTTTTGAAACTGAATGCCTTTAACAGCACCCAAGTCACCTCTTGAATGCTTTGCTGCTTAGAAATTTCTTCCACCAGATACCGTAAATCATGTCTCTCAAGTTTAAATTTCCACAAATCTCTAGGGAAGGGGCAAAATGCCACCAGTCTCTTTGCTAAAGCATACCAGCAATCACCTTTGCTCCAGTTCCCAACAAGTTCTTCATTTCCATCTGAGACCACCTCAACCTGGATTTCATTGTCCATATAATTATCAGCATTTTGGTCAAAGCCATTCAACAAGTCTCTAGGGAGTTCCAAACTTTCCCACATTTTCCTGTCTTCTGAGCCCTCCGAACTGTTCCAGCCTCACCTGTTACCCAGTTCCAAAGTCACTTCCACATTGTCGAGTATCTTTTCAGCAACGTCCTACTCTATTAGTACCAATTTACTGTATTAGTCCATTTTCACGCTGCTGATAAAGACATACCTGAAACTGGGCAATTTACAAAAGAAAAAGGTTTATAGTGGACTTATAGTTCCATGTGGCTGGGGAAGCCTCACAATCATGGCACAAGGCAAGGAGGAACAAATCACATCTTACACGAACGGCAGCTGGCAAAAAGAAAGCATGTGTAGGGAAACTCCCCCTTTGAAAACCATCAGATCTTATGAGACTCTTTCACTATCATGAGAATAGTGCAGGAAAGACCCATCCCCATAATTCTATCACCTCCTACCAGGTTCCTCCCATGACACATGGGAATTGTGGGAGTTACAATTCAAGATGAGATCTGGGTGGGGACACAGCCAAACTATATCACGATTTCTTCTTTTTTTCAAACTTTTAAAAAATGTTTTATTGTTTTTCTTAGAGTCCTGCTGTGGATTTTACAAAGTAAAGCCCATGCTAACGATTTATAGTTAGGTGAAGAAGGTGACTGGGTTTCAGTGTAAACAATGATTCATACTGTTCTTGGGGAAAAAACACAAGAATGCTATTATTGACTTTGACTATTCTTCTTTCATTATTTTCTCTTTATTGATTTTAGAAATATCTTGTCTAACTACAAACAAAATTAGTATTATAATTGAGATCGTGTAACATTTAAAAAATTAACTCAGTGAGAATTACATCTTTTTGATGATGAATCTTCTTCTTTAAGACCCTGGTGTGGCTGTTCATTAACTCAAGTATATTTTTCTGTCTTTTCATAAGCTTTGAAAGCTTTTATTAAATAGTTTTCAACATTTTTGATAATGTTCATTACAAAGTATTTTACTTTTATGCTATTATTGTATACTATATTCAATTATATTGTGTAACTGATTATTGTTTTTATACAGAAGGCAGACAGATTGTGCTAATTCATTTATATTCTGCCTTATTATTTTTTAGAAGCTTTTTCATTAGTATTTAGAAGCCAAAATTTTGAGTGCTCAATGTACTCATTGCAAATATTGTGTGATTGCTTGTAAGCCCTACAAGCAAAGAACTAGTAAAATTATGTAATTCTGCAGATACATACAATTATGCACACACAGCTACCTATATGTATTTCTCCAACATCTGAATATAATCAAGGTGATTGGGTCAGAATTTGGCAATTGAACTCCCATCTCTGACTATGTTAACAGGAATCAGACATGCCCTCTCACCATAAACAACTATAAAACTGGGCAAAATATATAAGAAACCTGTTTTAGATATTAAAAACCACAGTCTGGAGACTGTGATCTTTGGAGAAAGTAAATACATGAGGCAAACCCTACTCTCACCCCTGCTAATTGCCTAAGTACATACAAGCAAAACCGAAGAAAAGATTTGTCATCATTCTGAACTGAAGAAGCAGAGATAAAAATTTTTGATGACATAAGTCCTGGCATTTCCAGAGCAGAAAACTATGGAAAGAGAGCTGTGAAAGGGGTGAGAACAGAGAGAAGGATAGCAAAAGCAGTTTATACAGGGATTCAACAGGTATTATTGGCCAACTCCTAAGCTGTGTACATCATAGAAAAGTGCTAAAACCAAAGAAAGAGAAATTTCTCAAAGAAGCCAGAGAAGAAAGACATATTAAAGTCATTGGAACAACTATAGAAATGATACATTCCCTCTCCTCAGGAACAATAAATGATGGACTATAATACACTATAATAAATAAAATATGTGATGTATAACACCATATAGTAATACACATTATATACGATATATAACATATTATATTTAATTATATGTCATATAATAGGGTATAATATCTTCAAAGTGATAAAAAAAAAACCCTGACAACCAAGAACTCTTGGCTAGTCAGAATAATCTTCAAAATGAGAATAGAATTAAAGAGAATTCATTGCCATAAAACTGAACTAAAAAAAAATGTTCAAGGGAGTTTTTCAGGTTGAAGGGAAATGACACTAGTTGGATACTCGGATATACAGAAAAAGAAAGAATACAGGGAAAAGTGGCAAATAGGAGGCAGGACTAACTTGCAGCTCCCACTCGGATGGACAGAGTAGTGTGTGGAGATTCATGTTGTGAACGTTTATTCCAAGAACTACCACAGGAACGTACCAGGAAAGCTGAGAGAATCCACAGACCCTTTGAAGGAGGTGGATTGCTGCTGCAGGCTCTGTGGGACAACCACGGAACTCTGAGTCTGCTTGCTTTCTCAGCTGGGAGGCTTGTAGCCTGGGACAAGCTTTCAGCCCTGCTCACTGGCTGCCTGGAAATAAACTTGGTGCTGTTGCAGGGAGCACAGTGGGAGTGAGACTGGACTTTCAGGCTGCGGGCTGAGTGGGAGCTGGGTGAGGCATGTGGCTGCCAGCTTTCCCCCACTTCCCTGGCAACCTGTGTGAGGCAGCAGAGGAAGCCTAATTTCCCTGGGAACATAACTCCATTGGCCTGGGAACCACAGCACCATCACCCACAGCATCTGCAGCAAGCTCCGCCTAAAAAGACATACCTAACCCTGCCCTACCTGATGATCTTTCTCTATGTGCCCTGGTAGCCAAAGACAAACAAAGTAATCTCTTGGGAGCTCTCTGGCCTGTCCACCATCTAACCTTAGGGCAAGCTTATATTCCCCTATACTACTACAACTGACGCACTCTTGAAAGCACCACCTCCTGGCTGGAGGCCATCCAACACAAAACCAGAGCACTTAAGAAAAATACAACCAAGGACCCTCACAGAGTCCACTTCTCTCCTCTGCTACCTCCACTGAAGCACGTGCTGGTATCCAAGGACGAGAGACCTGAAGACGGGTCACATCACAGGACTCTTTGCAGACACCCCCCAGTACCAGCCCAGAGCCTGGTAGCTCTGCTGGGTGGCTAGATCCAGAAGAGAAATAACAATCACTGCAGTTTGGCTCTCAGGAAGGCCCGTCCCTAGGGGATGGGGAGAGCACCAATTTAAGGGAGCAACCTATTGGACAAAAGAATCTGAACAGCAACCCTTGAGTCCCAGATATTTCCTCTGACACAGTCTACCCAAATGAGAAGGAATCAGAAAAACAATTATGGTAATATTACAAAACAAAGTTATTTAACACCCTCAAAATATCACACTAGCTTACTAGCAATGGATCCAAACTGAGAGGAAATCTCTGAATTGTCACAAAAAGAAAGCTGATTATTAAGCTAATCAAAGAGGCACCAGAGAAAGGTGAAGACCAACTTAAAAAAATAGCTTTTTTAATGATACACAATGTGAATGGAAAAATCTCCAGTGAAATATGTAGCACAAATAAAAAACAATCACAACTTCAGAAATGAAGAAATACATTTAATAGAATACAAAATGCACTGGAAAGTTTCAACAGTAGACTAGAACAAGTAAAAGAAAGAACTTCACAGCTCAAAGACAAGGCTTTTGAATTAACCCAATCCAACAAAGACGAAGAAAAAAGAATTTAAAAATGAACAAAGGATCCAAGAAGTTTGGGATTATGTTAAACAACCAAACCTGAGAATAATTAGTGTTCCTGAGGAAAAAGAGAAATCTAAAAGTTTGGAAAACATATTTGAGGGAATAATGGAGAAATACTTCACCAGACTTGCTAGAGATCTAGACATTCAAATACAAGAAGCTCAAAGAACACCTGGGAAATTTGTTGCAGAAAGATCATCACCTAGGTTCACAGTCATCAGGTTATCTAAATTCAATACAAAGGAAAGAATCTTAAGAGCTGTGAGGCAAAAGCAACAGGTAACCAGTAAAGGCAAACCTACCAGATTAACAACAGATTTCTCAGCAGAAAACCTACAAGCTAGAAGAGATTGGGGGCTTGTCTTTGGCCTCCTTAAAAACAACAGTAATCAACCAAGAAACAACAATAATCAACCAAGAATTTTGTATCCAGCAAAACTAAGCTTCATAAATGAAGGAAAGATACAGTCTTTTTCAGACAAACAAGTGCTGAGAGAATTTGCCACTACCAAGCCAGCACTACAAGATGTACTAAAAGGAGCTCCAAATCTTGAAACAAATTCTCAAAATACACCAAAATAGAACCTCCTTAAAGCATAAATCTCACAGGACCTATAAAACAATAACACAATGAAAAAAAACAAACATACAAACAAGGAATTCAGGCAACAAATAGCGTGATGAATAGAATAGTACCTCAAATCTCAATACTAACATTGAATGTAAATGGCCTAAATTCTCCACTTAAAAGATACAGAATGGCAGAATGGATAGGAATTCGCCAACCAAGTATCTGATGTCTTCAAGAGAGTCACCTAACACATAAGGGCTCACATAAACTTAAGGTAAAGGGGTGGAAAAAGATATTCCATGCAAATGGACACCAAAAGCAAGCAGGAGTAGCTATTCTTAGATAAAATAAACTTTAATTTAATAAATAATAGTATTTACAAAAAACCCTATAATTAAGATTACAATAAGGTGAATACTGTCCCCTTGAGATAGTAAGCAAGGCAAAGATGTTCACTTTCATCTTTTACATTCAAAATTGTGCTGGAGATTCTAACTAGTACAATAAGGCAAGAAAATAAATAAGAGGCACACGAATTGGAAAGGAAGAAATAAAACTGTCTTTACAAAATGACAGCATTATAACATACATAGTAAATTACAAGGAATCTACAAAAACAAAAGTTAAAAAAATCTACTAGAATTAAGTGAAGTTAGGAAGGTTGTAGGACACAAGTTCAATATTCTAAAATCAATTATATTACTATTCATTAGCATCACTATATGTAACAATGTAGAAATAATATTTAAAATATTATTTACAAAGGTATCACAAAAATATAAAAAACTTTAGAATATATTTAATAAAATATGTGCAAGACCGACATGTTTTTTGCAGAACTTGACAAGCTGACTCAAAAATTTATGTGAAAATGCAAAAAATTCTACAACAGCCAAAACAATTTTGAAAAAAGGAAAAATGTTTGTTTCCCATGCTTAATATAAAACTCACAATTAAAAAAATGATGCATTGAAAAACAGATAAAGGTTCAATGAAACAAAATTAAAAGCATAAAAATTGATCCAAAGATACAAGATAAATTTATAATCTGAATTATTTGGGTCATAATTCAACAAATGGTACTGGTCATGTACCTAGAAAAAAATGAGTCTGCATTTCTACTTAACAATATAAGAAAAAAATAGTGTAATAATTTTGTGTCAACTTGGCTGAGCCATTTGGTTCCCAGATATCTGATTAAGCATTATTCTCTGTGCCTGTGAGTGTGTTTCTGGATGAGATTAACATTGGAATCAGCAGACTGAGTAGATTGCCCTCCCCAGTATGGGTGGGCCTCATCCAATCTGTGAAGGCCAAGTAGAACAAAAGCCTAAGTAAGGGAGAATTTGCTCTCTGTGACTGTCTTTGAGCTGGGAAACTGGTATTCTTCTGCCTTTAGACAGACTCAGACTAGGACTTACACCATTGGCTCTTCTTGTTCTCTGGCCCTCAGACTCAGATGGGAGCTACACCATTGGCTCTCCTGGGTGTCCAGGTTGCCAACTGCACATCTTGAAACTTCTTAGCCTCCATAACTATGTAAGCCAATTATATATATATAATATATATATATATACAATATATATATAATATATATACAAAATATATATATAATATATATTATATATATACAAAATATATATACATTATATATAATACACACACACACACACATTTTTTCATGTCCTTGGGATAGGCACAGTTTTCTTAAATAGGAACAAAAAAGGGGCAAAAACTATATAAACAAAAATTTAAAAATTTGACTTTATCATAATTAAAATTTTGTTTTTCAAAAACAGTTAAGAAAATAAAAAAAGCAAACCACAGATTGTGAGAAAATATTTACTCTCTATATATCTGTTAATAGGCTTCTACCCAGCATGTAATAAAGACTCAAGAACAAGAAGGCAACCATCTCTATTTAAAGTATGGGCAAAATGTTTGAGTGAATGCTTCACAATAAGGCACCCAATAAGCACATGAAAAGATGCTCAACATCCAACAATGACTCAACGTTGTTGAGTCAACAGTCATTAGGAAAACACAGATTAAAAACACATTGAGATACTACATATTCATTAGAATGGCTAAAATTTGAAAGACTAGTTATGCTGTGGAGCAACTGGAACTCTTGTACATGGCTGAAGGGAGTTATAAATTGGTTAAAACTTTGAAAAACAGAGTTTCTTTAATATTAAACATGTAAGTATCATATGACTCAGGAATTTTATTTCCAAGAGAAATGAATGCATACATGCATACGTAATATATGATCCAGTAATTCATTCCAACAGAGGTGAATGCATACAGACATAAAGACTTGCACATAATTACTATGAACACTACTATGTGTATATCTAGGATTTCTCAGTCTTGGATTCAAAAGTTCTTTGCTTTGGTTTGCAGTCTCTGCTGTCTCTACATACATTTTATTCACAATAATTAAAGATCAGAGAGCTTTATTATAGTTGTGAAAGGAGCTTGCAGCTTATTAAGTGCAAATGACCCCTACAATCTATTAGGCCCAAGTTACTTACAAACATCACTGTTTGAGGTGCTGTGGCTATTTTTTTACACCTGTAAAAAGACAAATAGTAAACTCTCAGGAATTTCTATCATCCACTCTTTTTATTGTGGGTTTTGTTTTATTTTCATAGTTTGGCTCCAGACTTTGTTCCAGTTCATAATCAGAAAGGTAATAGACAGGTTATATTTTTTTCATATGGGATTTTCCTCAGTCTGTTTCTATATGGAGGATAGAAAAAGGGCAAATGAACATTGGATTCCAAGCATATTTGTTCATCCTTACTGAATAAAATAGTTTTTAATTTTCTTAAACGTTCATCTGTTCTGATTTTCTTATCCTTGCAGACAGTAAATTCATTGGCCCAGTACATTTTTATTCTGCTCACCTAGCTTGAAAAAGTTATTCAGTCTGTCATTTGTTCTCCTTTGCCACCAAAACAACATATCCACCAAGAGCTGCAGAGCCAGAGAGCAAACCTTTGGACATGTGTATTTGCCTTGACCTTTGACATAATCTTCACAAGACCTGTCCACTTTTCTGCTGCAAGAATGTTCTAAATGCATTTCGTGGAAATCATTTGTTTGTCTAATTTGGCACTGAAGGTGAAGTAAAAGAAGAAACTATTTAATGCATAGGCTACATCTTAATAATGATAAAAGATGTAATCTCAAAATTCTCCAGATTGCTTTTGGAAGAAATCCATAAAGATCAAATGATCAGTTGCTGGGTGCGGTGGCTCACACCTGTAATCCCAGGGAGGCTGAGATGGGAGGATCACTTGAGCTCAGGAGTTTAAGACCAGTCTAGGCAACATGGCAAAATCCTACCTCTATAGAAAATACAAAAATCAGCCAAGCATGGTGGTGTGCACCTGTAATCCCAGCTACTTGGGAGCCTGAGGTGGAAGGATGGCTTGAGCCCAGGAGGCAGAGGTTGGAATGAGCCTTGATCATGCCACAGCATTGCAGCCTCAGTGACAGAGCCAGACCCTGTCTCAGAGAAAATAAAATAAAATGAAATAAAATAAAATAAAATAAATATATAATCAGTTGGCCTTTTACTTCCAACAACTAATTCCTCTGTGTGTGTTTCTGTTTTTTTTGTAGAGATGGGATTTTGCCATGTTGCCTAGGCTGGTCTCAAACTCCTGAGCTCAAGTGATCTGTCCACCTTGGCCTTCCTGTGATTACAGGTGTGAGCCACTGTGCCCACCAACTGACCATTACATCTTTATGGTTTTCTTCCAAAAGCAATCTGAAGAATTTTGGGATTACAGCTTTTATTGTTATTAAGGTATAGCTTATGCATTAAATAATTTCTTCTTTTACTGTGTGTGTATACGTGTTTGTGTATGTGTGTGTTTAAATATGGATGATAAAAATCAGCTGTAGCACTTAAAACAGTGATGTCTGTAAATACCTTGGACCTAAATACTACCTAACTAGCGTAGGAAATTTATCCCCAAAAGTGAGAATGATCAGTCCAGTTCTACATGTCCTTCGTTTAAGAGGCTGCAGTGTTTGAAGCTTATATTGCAGCAAGTTTTAAAAGTTTCCTTGCCAAATCAAATGGATACAATGTAATTATTCTGTCATTCCAAAAATCTCTGAAGGTGACCTTAGGTTATTTCCTAAGGCCTCTAACGTATTTGTTTAGGGATCATCAGTTCTAATAAAAATTGTGTTTGGGGAAATCTGGATGATTGCTACATAGCTTTTGAGCTGGGTTCAAAGAGACTTCCAGCCTCCTCTTTAGATTCTTCCATTTATTCTTTCTACTCATTCACTAATCTCAAGTTTTTTTAAAATGTAAAATGAAGATAATAATTGTTGCAATCTCCTTAGGGAATTTGTAAAGATTAATTTGTTAATTAGTCAAAGTACTTTGAGATCTTAGAAGAAAGAGGTTTCCTAGTTAAAGTAAAAAGATATCACCATAATTTGTGTGACGTTCTGCTTTATGGGTGGGATGATCCTCTTTTAAAAAGGTCACAGAAATTGCCCACAGGCATGTAGAATGACAACAATCTAATCTTCTCTATTGCACGGCTCTCTATCCTGACACCATTGTTCCCTGTTTCCTGGCTTTCCACCGGCACAAGCCTTAAACATTGAGCAACCTTCTGGCTTGGAGAAAAACTAAGTGCATATTTGCCTATATTCCAAAACCAAGATGACGTATACTTCCAATTAAACAGATGTGGTCAGCCGTTGATCGGACCCAGAGGAGAAGAAAGTAAATGCATCCAAAACAACAATGAGTAGGAAATAGGGGTGAGCAAAGGTGAGTGGATGCACCGTGTTTCTCTTTTCCCATCATTGTGTTTCCTTTCCTCTTACTTGTCCAAGTTTCCCCTTTTTCCCTGTAAGAAAAATTTTCCAAGATTTTTTTTCCTCCTGGCTTTCTTTGCATGGACATAAGCAAAGGTATGTCCAGGGTTAGCAAATCTTTCCCATTACCTTCCAAACACTGACAGCTGAGCAGGAATTTTGAATGATGCTCAATATGTACTGCCAATTTCAATAATTCAGTGACTTAAAGATCCACTGGTAGACTCTCCGGGCTCCTGAGTGTTTCTCTTTGTGCTTCTGGTTGCTCCCTGCTTATATGATAGCCATTTCATTCAAAATTGCCAAACAAATTTACAGAACCACGGAATGATTAAGTTGAATGGGGATGCAGAGTCCTCACTCCAAATTCCCTCTCTTCTGTATTCTAAACAAAAATCCCCTCCACAGCATCTCCGGAGAATTTCATCCAGCCTCAGGTCAGACAACTCCAAGCACTTCTTTTAAAAAGCATGTGTCTGGCATTAATGATCAGAAAATTCTTCCTTACCCTGAGCCAGAATCTGCCTTCCTGTACTTTTTACTTTTTATTTAGTTTTCCCCTTTAGAGTAATATGAAATAAATATTATCCCCTTTCACAGTCTTTCTCTCCTAATTCTTTCCTGGTCTGTGTTAGGCAGCTTTAATTCTTAACTGTCTCTCTGTGTGAGGTCCAGCGTACTATCGAGTTATGGCATAATTGACTCATATTGAACTTGTGTTAACCACAAGACCTTGTCTTTTCCATATAAATTGTTGTTAATCCCCCTCTTCCTCATGTCACACCTATCCAGATGATTTTTGGAGGCTAAGTGGGAGGGCTTTATTGTATCCCCATCAAATTTTATTCTGTTAATTTGAGTCCGTGATTCAAAAACGCTTTCCAGTCTTGATCTAACTTAGCTATTCTTCCCTCCTTTGAGTCATCCACAGAGTTGAGATCTGCTGTCTAAATAGTTTTCCAATAGCTGGTGAGCATCTGAAGAAAGAGAGCCCAGGCACATGTGAGTGCAAATCTCCTCTGAGGGAGTGTAGCAGCGGCTTCAGTGCTTGGCTCACTTTCCCTCAAATCCATTTCCATTTTCCTGCACACCAACCACAAGGGTGCTTTCCCATTCTCATCCAGCAACCATTTTTCTGGAGGGCTGCCTCAGGTGGCTAGAGCCACATTGCCTATGGTCACGGAGAGCCTTTCTGGGAATAAATGGTTTCCTGAGGGCAGCCCTTAACCAGTGATGGTTGGGGACACTAGTGTAGAAACACTCCAGCTCTCTTTTAACGAATAATTCTGAGGTGCAACCTCTACTATACTCAGATCTCTCCTGCAGGATTCAGTCAGTGTAGCCTCTATGAGTCTTTTCCAGGTAACATACCCGAGGGCTTGGCCTCCCAGTGTGAATGTGTGTGCATGTGTGTGTGTGTTTATGCATTACATATAAAATCAGCATCCATCCCCTAATTCTATTTGTTTGTAATGGCTCCTATATACACATATAGGAGTGTGTGTGTGAACATACATATTATTATATGTAATAATATATAATTATATATAAATACATATTATATATTATAAAATTATGTTATTTAATATATTATAAATTATATAACATATAAATTTAAAATGTTTTTATAAATATATAATTATATATTGTATATAATATACAATTTATAAATATATGTTATATATTTATACATTTAATGTATCTATAAATATAATATATACTATCATGTAATATATAATAGTATATATTATAGCATATATAGTATATTATACTATTATATAGTATATATTATGTATAAAGTACATATTATAGTATTATATATACTATGTATAAATAGATCAAGCTATAAAAGAAATGGGTTATACTAAGTGCAAAATATATATATGTATGTACTTATATACATGTACACGAACACATAATATATATACTTCTATAAATTTTTGCTGTTAGTATAATCTATATGTATATATTGCACTTAGTATAATCTATTTCTTTTATAGCTTGATCTGTTTATTATATCAGTTTATACTGAGAGAAGAATGTCTGGTAGAAAAAGTTCTTTTCTCATCCACATTCTTGTAGCAACAGTAATATAGATGTCTTCTTAATTGGAAGATTATTCTCCTTATTAGAGAATTGAACAAAAGTGGAATAAAGAAATTGTGACTTTTTATTTAGTGCTTAATATTATAGTATATGCCCCTATTATTGTCTCCTTCATGATTGTTTTTTGCTCTGAATATAATTTTAAAGGGCATTTTGACTATTGTTACAAACTGAAGTCATTCTGGAATATATCATTTCTGACTGCTTTTATCATCATGTGATAGGTGAAATGTCCATCAGAGCAAGTATCTAAGAAATTCCAGGTGTTTATTAGGATAAAGTGGTAGGAAGTTGTGTGGCTATTTGTATTATAGTTCTCTATTTCTACTTGCACGTGCTCTGTATTAAGAATGTAAAAGTAGAAATAGAGCTTTTAGACTACTTTGATAGAAATAACTCTATATTCCTATAGCAAATGCTCTCTATCTTCATATGAAATATTCCTGCCTCCCACGAATGCTTATACACTTGAGTGCAAGGGTTTCCAAGCATTGAAACAGTGTTAACTCCTTCATCTGTCTAGCACATTTACCTGAATTAACTTAGGGAAGTCTTTTCTATTGTCCTATGCTATCTCTGAGTCCAGTATTTATGATTTTATTTTTGCCTCCCATTTGATCCTCAGACATTTTTTTATTCAATGAATCTAAGTATGCTTTCTTTTGCTCTTCCTATTTCTAGATGATCTCTCCTCTATTTTTAAAAATTACTTATTATCTTGTGGGATCATATCAATAAAAGTAAACAATTTCAATTTTGTAAATGTAGGTATAAATATACATATACATATATACATGGATAACTAAATAAGTTTTATATCTGTGATCTCTATTGTATTCAGACTCATAGTGGTAATATGTTATTTTCATCTTGTTTCAATCAAATTTAATTTTATCAGATAATAGGATTCTAGGCCTTAAAAATACTTCAGATAAAGTCTCATTCAAACCCATACTTTTGTAGATGCAGAAATTTAGAATAAAAATTTACATAACTTATTAAAGTTCACAGAGTTAGGTATATTAAGTGGTCTACACTTAAAATGCTGTTTCCTGTCAAATATTGTTAATTTATCACATTGTTCATCCCACTCATCACCCGAGGAAGCAGGTAGTCATGAGAAGGAAAAATGAAGAAAAAGAAAATCAACTATTTTATCTTCCTGGTTATAGAGATACTGAAACATGGAGCTGTAAGAAAATAAATATTTTAACTGAATTCAGGAATTGCCCAATGATTTTCAGTATTCATACAACACTTGAATACTGTTAGGTTAAGGCATAAATTGAAAATGGCAATCTATCTTAGAATTAAAACATTTGCATTTCATATACACAAGCAGCACCAGAGTAGCAGTATTATGATTCCAGAAGCACTAGGTTGAGCATGAATGTGTTTGTCATATTCTCTGTTTCTCTTAGCTCCTTTTGGTTGAATTGGCAAATCAACCAACCATCAGAGAAACAACAGGTCTGAATGCATGGGGAAACTTGCTTGCTCAAGCTTATCAAAATGCATATTTTAAAAATATTCAACAATTCACTTTGAAAAATGCTCTGGAACCTAAACCCAGCATCAGTGAGCTGTAGCAGGTGCACTCGGTGGTGACTTGTAAAGGTTTGTAGAAGACGTGGAAGTAATTCAAAGAAAAGAGAGACTTTCCTTTTTTAGTGGAGGGAATGAAGAATAAATTTTAGAAAGATATACCATTTATGTTGAATTTGAAAGGAAAAACATTTAGTGTTCATGCCCAGGCTTGGGCTAAGCCCCAGAAACCAGACTGGACTAATGGCAATCCAAGCACCATAATTAGGCTGAGACAAAAATAAAAGAAGAATATCCTTTTTTTCTTTTTCCTTTTTCCAGGTGACCTGAGACACTGTGTATGCTTGAATTCCCCCATTGATCTCAATAGCATGTATGTCTTTTTGTTTTCAGCTACTGAGTGGAATAGCCTGACAACACTCCAAGTTGTTTCTCACATTTCCACTGGGTATTTTCCCAAAAACTCTGCATGTATTTATTCGTCAGATATATTTAACACGATAGAGTGTTTTTCCATCTAAACATACTCTAGTGAGTCCTTTTGATAACCAAGAGTAATTCATATATGTATGCTTTAGATAAAAATTTTTTAGTGTAGAGTTGGTTTGAAAAGTTACTCAACTTCAATCCAGTGGGATTATTTTTAACCCTCTTAGAGATTACTAGTGGAGCAACTAATATAAGGGAACAGAAATATAAATGGTAAAGAACAAATATGATTTCTACTCTAAGAGAGATAAACATCTACTAATGTATGAAGAGATCTCAGCTGATATCAAAGAGGTTGTGAACAATGTTAGTTTCATCTCATTAGTTAAGGAAAAAATTAAAGAGGAGAGAGGATAAAGTCCTGTTTTTTCTACTTGGTTGGGAGACTATCATCAACATTGGCTTTAATCTTTGGTAATCAACTTTTCTAGCCACTGAATAGAGAGGGAAGGGGGGTTTGTTAGTGATTTGAGTGATTTGAGTTAGTGATTTGAGTGACTGAGCATTTGTTAGTGATTTGAATGATTCTCAATCTGGAATCAACTGAGTTTTTTCTACTTCCTGACGTACTGGCAAATCATTTTTATGAGCCCTTATATGATTCATTGAGCCATTTGGGGAGGGTCAGAGGGCAAGAGTGCCATTTACCAGAGCAAGTTTAAGTTGGGGAAGGCAAGGTCAGAGGGGAAGAGAGACCCTCATTACTCCAGGAAGATTCTGGGGCCAGCTCTGCGCCTGCCCAATTGTGTTAAGCTCACACTGGGTGTTTGTTAACACAAAGCACTAGGCTGCAGGTGTTCTGCACTCTACAGAGTCTTCAAAGATCAGCTTCAAATGTTTCTGTTACTATAAAGAGGATTAAAAGGATTTAAAAACATAGCAGGCCTGTCCAACTGCAAACATATTTGCCAACATTTGCCAGGAGAGGGGAAAAGGGGGTAAGTTATATCAGCTAGAAGTCCTAGTAGTTGAGGAAAACACACTTTTTAGGTTTCTTTTTCTTTTTTCTTTTTTCTTTTTTTTTTTTTTGCATTTCTCTCTCTTTTTTTTCCTTTAATAGCCTGAATGGGGAACTGTAGCACTTTCAACTGGAACTCATTAAGAATTCATGGGGCAGAAAATGTAAGGGGTTCTGGAACCAGAGACTTTGAAAGTCCAGAAATGAGCTATAAATAAACTGCTGCTAATATTCATCTTTTTTCTGATTTTTAAATATGCATATTACACCAGAATGCAAATGTGGAATAAACCAGGTGATTTTTGACTTGAAAGCCTAGTTTACATTAAGAGACACATTGACATTTATGGACTTACTTAGCACATATAGGTATCACAACAGTCATTACACCTTCTCGAAAAGCACTTTTGTTATCCCATATGGGTTGCATGTATTGACCAACATCACCTGCAGGTGAAAGCATGAAGGCCAGGCATCTGGAATCATGGTTAAGATACTATTATTACTAATTATTGTTAATGGTTTTTAACATGAATTTCCAATTTCTTTGTTTTCAACTTAGCCCTCGTTCAATAACCTGCCTTTAGTAGTACTGGTTCCTCTACAGAGAACATTGATTTTCAATGAGGTCTAGTGAAGAGACAGAAAACTGAGTCAGCTGTGTAATCTTAGGTAGATCAAATACCTTTTCTGACTTTAGCTTCTTTGTTGATTGAATGGGGGTTATAATAATCCTATGAATCTATCCACCTCATAAGACTTGACATTTTTATTATAGGAATAAGGCTGAAACTAAAGATGACTTCTTAGCATGTGTTTATAGATAAGATGTGAAGGTATACACAAGCACACACACATGCACACACATGCTCATATCTCCCATTTGCATCACACCAACTCTCGAATTTCTAGGGTAATATTATACACATTGGCTTGTTTAATGGAATTTGCTTCTGGAGGACACTGGAAAAAACTTTCATTTAAGTATTTTAAAATCACATAATGTGTGTTGCAGGAATTCCTGACATGGGCTCATGGACACTGCAGACTCAGAGATAGGCCTCAGAGGTCCTCCCCTCAAGGACTGCATGCAGACATTCAGTGTGCAATACATGCATTTTTGTGGAAAGAAGTTCTATAGCTTTTATCAATTCTTGAAGGAGTCTGTAGCCTTGAAAATATTTAATGACCGCTCTTCTACAAGCTCTAAGAATGTAATGCAGTGGATGAGCCCAGAGGTTGTCTCTCCAAAGAGACAGATAGCTTTTGTCTGATTTGATGGCTCTCCTTTAGTTCTCTTTCTTCCATTCCATCATCTGTACAGAAAGTATAAAATAATACATGTTTAAAAATGAAATTAAATAATGCACTTTTAACACAGCTTTTGGTAATGTTCAGCAAATATTAGCTATTGTTTCCACAGGTAAATATTAGATAGCACCCTGAGAGGGAGGAGGGGTGTATTAGTCCATTCTCATGCTGCTAATAAAGACACACCTGAGACTGGCTAATTTATAAAGAAAAGAGGTTTAGTGGACTCACAGTTCCACATGGCTGGGGAGGCCTCACAATCACGGTGGAAGGCTAAGGAAGAGCAAAGGCATGTCTTACATGGTGGCAGTCCAGAGAGCTTGCTCAGGGGAACTCCCCTTTATAAAACCATCAGATCTAATTAGACTTATTCACTATCAGGAGAACAGCATTGGAAAACCCACCCCCCCACCCCCTGATTCAATTACTTCTCACTGGGTACTTCCCATGACATGTGGGGATTATTACAATTCAGGGTGTGATTTGGGTGGGGACATAGATCCAAACCATATCAAGGGGCACACAGGAGACCTTGCCCTTGATTAACTTGCCTTTGAGTAACTTGAGGAGACCAGATACATTAATATGAAACAGTAAAATAACAATGATGAGGATCTGTGGAAATTTCAAATAAATGATGCAGGTAATTTTACATGTGTTCAGCTTGAGGAGGAATCTGTGTAATTTGAGATATGAAGAATAGATGAAGGGTACTGAGCAGCATATCAGGAGGTTGAGGAGGCATGAGTTGGCTTCAAGTTGAGAAGCACCCAGAGATAAGTGTGGTCAGACAGGTCGAAGCAAGATTATTGAGAGTCCAGAATGGCATGGTGTGGAGTTCAGATTTTACCCGTAGGAGATAGCGGCCTTAGGTTATTTTGAGCAAAAAAATTACATAATGAAAACAATATATTGGAAGTATTAATTTGGCATATGTGGGCAGGATGGAGTAGCATGAGGAAGGACTGGAGTCAGGGAGCGAGCTGGGAGCCATGGCAATAACCAAGGTGTGAAGTGATGAGGGCCTGCCCCAGTATGGGAATATTTGTAGAAGGTGTATGGGGACATTGTATCCACCTTAATTGCTTATTTGCTACAATTTCAGCTTCCAACCACAGTTTGCCTTGGCTATGAAACCTTCCTGACTCTGAAAATACTCATTCCAGTCTTCCAACAGTGAAAGGGAGCAAGGAAGGAAGGTGGGAAGGAAAGAGGGGAAGGAAAGAGGGAGGGAGGAAGAGAATTCTTGGAGCAGGCAGATTGGGCTTCTGGTGTGAAGACGGGGTTTTAAGCAACAGTAGTTTCGGGGAAATAAGGAGAAAAAGAGGTATAGATGTTCATTTGAATTTATTTAATTCAGGAATAACTTCCTTTAAAAGAACCAACATCACTGCAGAATGAGTGAATTTAATCTCCTATTTACACCAGACAGGTCCAGAAGATGCAGAGAACAGGCATTACTCTTCTTATTGGGCTGCAGGGCCACCTAAACTTGGGCTTTCAAACTTTTTTGACCATCAGCCCATAATAAAAAAATAAATTTTGCATTACAATCAAACACATACAATGATGAATATAAACATAGTTGAAATAAGTGTTCTATAGAACATTTCTACTCTGACTACTTGTGATATTCTTTGATTTTTTTCCTAATCTATTTATTTTGAGATTTTTTACAAAAGTTGGTTGCGGCTACTTCAGATGATTTCCTGAACAATTAATGGATCACAAACTGCTTTTTACAAACCACAGACTTCTCAGAACTGGGGACATCACATCAGGATCTTCAGATTCATGGATTCACAGACATAGGGGAATGTTTTACTTCTGTTCCCTACCCACCTGCACCACCCAAGCCTTTCTCCTCTCTGAAGTTCCATGAACTGACAATAAATGGAGGCAGTTGCTCTAGTAAGTTTAAAACTCAGTTTCAGAATATGATCTCAGATTCAGAGCCTGCCTGCAAACCTTCTGGCAATGCCAACTCACTCACTGGCTTGATGGCCCTCACTTGGGACACAAGCCCACACACAAAGATCCATCAACAAAGATTGCTCCTACTGAGTCCTGAACCCCGACACAATGACCACAATTGGTGCAGACATTTTAATGTCTTGGGCTAGTTCCTTATATTATCCTTGGCTCTAGTGGACCAAGGCACACATAGTAACATTCTTTACCTGTAGTTAGCTGTAATTTCAAACTAGGTGGAATTCTTTCCTAGCTTTGAAACCACAAAATAAAATCAAAGAAATAGGATCCTTTGCAAACTGTGGCTCTGCATTGATGAGGAGGGGTGAAAGGTAAGCACATGGCCTCAGGTTGAAAATAACTTCTAAAATGTCTGATTTTAATCATGGGTCCAAATTATCTGGGCACACGGCAGTCATTAAAGCCTCCTGTATAGAAGTCCCTCTTGTGTGTATGTGCATACCTATGATTTAGCATTCTGTCTCAACAGTCAGTAGGACATCAAAGCAGAGAAGGAAAAGTGAATTAAGGCAATGAAAATCAATCTGGTTTAAGAGGATTGGGTCTTTCTATGCACTCAGCTAGTTATCACTATTCTGGAAAGAAAAATGTAGAGTGTCAATTCTAGGAGGCATAAATCAAAATAGGATACACAATTACTCCCACTTATGTGCTCATCTGGTTAAAAAAGAAAAAAGACTAAAGTTGTAAGAATAATTCTGGTAGAATGAACTCTAGTATTCCTCACTGGCCATTCTTCTTTTTGGAACGCTGGTTAACTTATAACCTGATTTTGAATATTTCCCTGGATAGTTGAGTCTATGTAGTAGACAGTGTTGAGTATTTTGGTAGGCCCCTGGTTTCCTTTACAGTGTAAAGATTGGGTAGATATGTTGTCAGCTCAATCTTCAAGTAAAGCTCCTAATTAAATGGTTCTAGAACTGTGGTGCATTAACCCCCTGAAAGGAAGTCAATGGATAAAATTTTAAATTTTTATGGAAAATTTTGTGTGAAAAGGTATACCTCATTTTACTGTACTTCACTTTTTTTAAAATTATACTTTAAGTTTTAGGGTACATGTGCACAACGTGCAGGTTTGTTACATATGTATACATGTGCCGTGTTGGTGTGCTGCACCCATTAACTCGTCATTTAGCATTAGGTATATCTCCTAATGCTATCCCTCCCCCTTCCCACCACCCCACAAAACTTTATTCCGTTTTGTAGGTGTTGTTTCTTTACAAATTGAAGGTTTGTAGCAACCATGAATTGAGCAAATCTATTGGCACCATTTTTCCAATAGCATGGGCTCACTTTTTGTCTCTGTGTCGCATTATGATAATTCTTATAATATCTCAAATTTTTATTATTATTGTATCTATTATAGTGATCTATGATAAATTATTTTTGATATTACTATTGTAGTTGTTTGGGGACACCATGAACTGTGCCCACATCAGATTGGGCACAGATTAAGCAAACTTAATCAATAAATGCTGTAAGTGTTCTGACTGCTCCACTGACCAGCTGTTCCCCTGTCTCTCTTCCTCTCCTTGGGCCTCCTTATTCCTTAAGACACAAAAGCATTGAAATTAGGCCAATTAATAACCCTAAAACAACTTCTAAGTGTTCATATGAAAGAAATCGTTGAACATCTCTCACTTTAAATCAAAAGCTAGAATTGTTTATGCTTAGCAAGGAAGGCATGTTGAAAGCCAACATAATCTAAAAGCTAGGCCTCTTGCACCAAACCAGTTAGCTAAGTTGTGAATACAAAGTAAAAGCCCTTGAAGGGTCCAGTGAACAAACAAATGATAAGAAAGCAAAAATAGCCTGATTGCTGGTATTGGAGAAAGTTTTGGTGGTCCAGATAGAATATCAACCAGCCATGACATTCCCTTAAGCCAAAACCTAATCCAGAGCAAGTCCCTCACTCTATTCAGTTCTGTGAGGGCTGAGAGAGGTGAGGAAGCTTCAGAAGAAAAGTTGGAAGCAAGCAGAGGTTGGTTCTTGAGGCTTAAGGAAAATGCCATCTCTGCAACATAAAACCAGCAAGTGCTGACACAGAAGCTGCAGCAAGTTATCTGGACATTTTGACTAAGATGAAGGTGGGTACACTAAACGACAGATTTCTGATGTCAGCAAAACAGCCTTCTATTGAAAGAAGATGACATATAGGACTTTCCTAGCAAGAAAAGAGAAGTTAATGCCTGGCTTCAAACCTTCAAAGGACAGGCTGACTCTCTTGTTAGGGGCTAATGCAGCCGGTGACTTTAAGTTGAAGCTAATGCTCATTTACCATTCTAAAAATCCAAGGGTCCTTAAGAATTATGCTAAATTTATTCTTCCTGTGCTCTGTAAAAGTAACAACAAAGCCTTGAGGACAGCTTATTGGTCTACAGCATGGTTTACTGAATATTTTAAGCTCATTCTTGTGATCTACTCTTCAGAAAAAAGATTCCTTTCAATATATTACTTCTCATTGACATTTTGCCTAGTCACCCAAGATCTCTGATGAAGATGTACAAGGATATGAATGTTGTTTTCATGCCTGCTAACACAATGTGCATTCTAAAGCCAGCAGATCAAGGAATAATTTTAATTTTCAAGTTTCATCATTTAAAATACACATTTTGTAAGATTATAGCTACCATAGGTAGTGATTCCTCTGATAGATCTAAGCCAAGTAAATTGAAAACCTTGTAGAAAGGATTGACCATTCTAGATGTCATTAAGAACATTTGTATTTATAGGAGGTCAGAATGTCAACATTAACAGAGTTTGGAAGAAGCTGTTTACAACCCTCAGGGATGACTTTGAGAGATTAAAGTGCTGGGTGCCTGGATGATATTTCAGATATGAAGGGAAACAACAGTTAGCTACTTACCATTTTCTTCTTTTTTTCAAGACAGATGGAGACTTGCTTACTAAGTTAAGTGATATGTGTGAGGATTCACAGTGGAGAAAACCAGAGGGAGATAAATGATGCCACAGAAGAATGGGCATACTGTGTGGCTGAGAGGCAGGAGGCAGAGTGGATCCAGAGTGGCCAGAGGCTGCATAGATGGGAATTTCCAGGAGAAAGGAGAGAAGTGGGGAGCTGAGACTAGGAGAAGAACATTAATGGATAATGGGGGGATCACGGAGGTGGCCAGATAGGCTTCTCCTCTGTGATGTACATGCACCTCTCTTCAATAATTCCCCATTAAATTTGATTAAACATTTTATTTCTCATTGTGGAGTTAAATTTATTTCAGCAATGCATCAAAGTTCAGTCTTAAGGTGCAAGGCAAAGACTGAGTACCCAGCCTGAGACCTATGACATCTGGGTTACAGGTGTGAGGTAGCGTATCTAGTAGCTGTGGATACTAAGTGGAAGAGTAGCCAAGGCTGGATCTTCTAGGAAATGTGTGGCTTCTTCAGAGAGCAATGGGTCTGGCTTTGTATTTCTGATAGACAACTCTTACCACTCGTGTTGTTACGCTACCGTGAAACTCTCTGGTTTCTCTAAGTATAAAAGAAACTCCTGTCTCTATTCGCTGGTCTTAAGAAAGTCAACATCTGGCTTGGTTTGTGACCAGCCTTCCGTGATCTCTCCTGGGCCAAGGGTTTTCCTCCCAGTCATTTGACAATTTGAGACACTGATGATGCTGTTTCATTTTTCTGGTTTAAGGAATGGTTCCAGATTAAGATTCCACAGTTGTCAGGGATGCTATTGTACTCTATTATCCTTTATCAGCTAGTGTATGCATTTGACAGCTACCCAGTTGGCTCTGATGAGGTGTAGAGAATCCTATCGAAGATAGGGCACATTAGCATACTGAGTATTTTATGCTGAAGGAAATTGAGAAAACTGCGGAAGCAGAAAGTTGCCTCTGACCTCTCTTAAAGACCCTCATGTGACAAGTGTCCTGCTCTATACACAGAGGGAAGGAACTACACAAACAGGCCAAGAAGAATCTGGAGAAACAGTCTTTTCTAAGCCCTCCCCAGTTTACTGACACTAGGTCATACCTCCTTTTTGTTTAATTATACCTTTACAGGACTATCTATTCTTCATCAAACCTAAGCATAAAAATATACAGTTTTCCCTGGGTCTTCATTTCTGAAAGTTGTCATGTCAAGGAAAACTTATATTAAGCTTATATTAAATAAATTTGTCACACTTTTATCTTGTTAATCTATATTTTGTTGTAGGAGTCTCAGCCATGAACCTAATGGTGGGTAAGTAAAGAAGATATTATTTTCTCCCTTACAGCTGATAGCAACTCAGAGTCATCGTCTTTTCAGCATTACTGCCCTCAACTAAAGGGAATGTGCTTGGCCCAGGGGGATACATTCCCCAGACTTTGGCCAATCTTTGGCTGACATGGGGGTGCAAAAGTCTAACCCCTCTAACTCAAAGTATGACCAGCTCTGTGGTACAACTTGTGCTCCAGAGCTCCTAGGGGGTCAGACTGAAGCAAGTCACCACCTGACACTAGGTGTTTAGTTTTTCTCCCCTTCCATTTCTTTTTCCCTTACTCTCCTTCTCTTGAGACTACTCCCCTAATAAATCACATAAACAGAATGTCTGTCTTAGGCTTTGCTTCCAGGAGCTCTATCCAAGACAATAGTTGAATCCAATCCCAAAGTATCAGCTGAATTCAAATGAACCTTTAGTCTTGATGTTCTCATTTTCAGATAATGGAAAATCTTTATTCATTCAAATATTCAAGTGGGAAAACATGAGTCGTTCTGGATTTTCACAACTCATATCCAGTTACCAAATTCTGTTCATTTCCTCTCAAAAATATACTTCAAAGATATCCACACATCTCCATACTGTGCTCTGAGTTCAAGCCTCCATAATCTCTCATCTCTGAAATAGACTTTGTGCCTCCAAATATGTTCTCTATACTACAATCATAGTAGCATTTCAGAATTTGGTGCATGCTTATTAAAATCCTTCAGTGACTCACTATTGCCTATAGCAGTGGTTCTCAGTGGAGTTTATTCAAAGCTTCATGAAGTGAGATATCATAGTCAAAGCAGATATGAAAATCCAGGTGTCTAGTAAGCAGATATCTTAGAGACATTTGCAACAATGTAAAATAATGACACTCCTTCCTAAACTTTCCTTGTTTTGGAAGACATATAGTTATTTTTCCTAAAAGTATTTTATCTAAGTTTGCATATAATGAGCTTATTATTTTTAAAAAGTAAGTTAATAAATGTTTCTTAAAATGCATATTTCTCAGGTTTAAATTATAATATGATGAAATAAATAGCTGTGACTCATATAAACAAAAGCTCTTTAGGGTTCTTAATACTTTTTAAGTTTGTAAAGAGATTTTGAGATGGAAATGTTTGTGAACCACTGGCTTACACAATTAAGTCAAAAGTACCTAGAATGTCATCCAAGATTAGCCAGGACTTTGATCCCACCTTTCTCTTCATCCTCCTCTTTTGCCACTTTCTGCCTTTACTCTGTATGTTGGTGTAATAGATGCTTTGGTAGCTGCAAACCCTGTGCCCCACACCCTTTAAGCCTGAGCATTCATTCTCCCAGCTGCTTGGAGTGCTGGCTTCTGGTAGATCTCAGATGAATTCCTTTCTGGGAATCCCTCAGTCATAGCATGCAGTCTCAACCAGGGTTTACCCTCGCTGGCTGAGGACAGCCTGAATTCACTTACTTGTCAAGGCAAGAATACAAAGGCCTGGACCATTTGCATCAATTTCCGATGCTGACTCTGCAGGACCATTCCAGCTCCAGAGAGTCCCACAAGCTTGGTCAAGGCCTCTGCTGCAACTGTGTCTCACTTTTCCCTCATTCAATCCTGAATCCTCGCTCTCTCACAGGTGATTTTCCCAGAGCTCCACTCAATAAACCTCTGCCTCAGAGGTGAACCCCTGCCTCATTCTGTTACCCAGGGAATCATCCCTTAAACTTCTGGTGACTCTGAACTGTTTATAAATCCCTGGACATCCCATTCTCTTTCATTCTGCCTGATATTGTTTCCTTTACCTGACTACATCCTTCAATCGATATATCTAGATAACATCTACATAATCTAGATCTCAATACTTACCTCAAATACTGTCTCTTCCAGAGGGTCTTTGAGGAGGGCTGCATGCTCCTAATTTGTGCCTCTGCAGTAATTTGTTCCTCACTCTATCAAAGACATATCATATTACATTGAAGTAATCTGTCTCCTCAACTAGCCTGGATGTCATAATGCCCAGGGCTTGCGTCTGATTAATTGTATGTCATTTATATGCCCTTCCTTGGAGAAGACACTCAGTAATCCTATATTAATCTCTTTTTTGAGGCTTGAAAAGTGGAGTACGGCTTCTGCATTTCTATACAACATTAAGGTCAGTAAAGAAGCCTTGTGTGGCCTTTCAGTTGCTGTTGCTTATGAAAATATTCTGCATTTAGAAGACATTTAGCCTGCTCTGTGCCACAAAATAAAGTTTCTCTGAATCATAAGTCAGGGTTCTTGAGACCTATAAGAAACTACTGAGGCAGATTTATTGAGCATTGGGGCCAAACTTGGGAATACGATGAGAACGTATGTGTGAGAAACCAGCCGAGGAAGAAAGATTTGCATCTTGTGGGAATATGGTTATCCTACAGCAGCAAAATTTAATGAAAGTGTTTCAAGAATCTCAGAAACCTTCCTGTAAGGGATCCCTAAATAATCAGGAAGTGCTCCTGGGAGAACTCAGAAATTTCCATATGATGGCATGTGTTGGCCAACGATATGTGTTCATGGCCAATATCTTAACTATATCTTTTTGAGAGACCCTGAGCCATATCCAAACAGCTAAGCCACTCTGGAATTCCAAAGTTTTAAGGCAGTTTTTGTTATGCAGCAATAGATAACTAACACATGTATCCAGTAAAATAAGTGAAATCTATTTCCATCATGTGCTTTACATTAAGATTCAACCAAAAATATGGATTGTCTAATATAACGTCACATCTTTTGTGAAGTGTTTCAAAATAAATTATCTTATTCACATTGTATAACCCTATTATGGGTGTATAATTAAGCAGATTTTTACATGGTAGGAAGCTAGGTCTCAAAGAGGTAAGGTGACTTAACCATGTTTTCACATCTAGAAAGTGAAGAAGTCAGAACTCACACCCAGTTCTCTCTGACCAGAAATCCCATTTTCTTCTTGCTACAGTTTCAAAGGACAGATGAAAGCAGAAGAGCCATAGAAGAAGGCTCTAGGTGCTCAGTTACTGCTACATCTTTACCATCCTGCACGGTACACTCATTATGTTAAACCTTGATTGAAAATATGACATCATTGCATAATCTATATTTCTTTATGTTTGATCTAATTTTTCCAGAATTCCTTTTTTTTTCCCCCCAAGATGGAGTCTTCTTCTGTCACCCAGGCTGGAGTGCAGTGGCGCAATCTCAGCTCACTGCAACCTCTGCTTCCTGGGTTCAAGCAATTCTCCTATCTCAGCCTCCTGAGCAGCTAGGATTACAGGGACTCGCCACTGTGCCTGGCTAATTTTTTTGTATTTTTAGTAGAGACAAGGTTTCACCATGTTGTCCAGGCTGGTCTCGAACTCCTGACCTCGTGATCGGCCTGCCTCAGCCTCCCAAAGTGCTGGAATTACAGACGTGAGCCAGCGCACCCAGGCCAGAGTTCATCTTTAGACAAAATGTCAAGTGAAAAATCCACATATCGATTCTGGCTATTGTGAAGAAATAGGCTTTGTGAACGTCAGTTTGAAAACTATGATCATGTTTTTTATCTGGGTATTCAGACAGAAGAATAATGAAGATTATACCTCTTTATTGTACTCCTGTCTACAGAATCACAGAAGAACAGATAAAATGCGACATTAAGGCATAAGCCATATTTCATGTTTATCCCTGTATCCCGAATACCGAATTCCATATCTGGTCTATGTTAGATAATTAATAAGTAAATGTTGATTATTATAACATGTGATAAATGGGCAGCTTTATAAAACAAATAGACTCTTACCTTCTAGCCAACGTTGGTTAAAGATATATATAGCTGTATAGAAAGAAATGCATGAATCTGACAGAAAATAATTCAAACATGAACACATTTCTTGATGGAGATTATTCAAGTTTTATACAATAGTACCAGTGAACGATGTCTGAACCTCGTTATATTTAGTTATATTAAAGAAAAAGCTGTTACATTAAAGAAAATACTGAGCTATCACTTTTTCATTTTATCCAAGGAATATGTGGCATTTTTCATGCCTCATATTGAAAGAAATTACTTGCTTTCTACATTTATTCTCTATTAGCATTTTGCCATTTGGGGTAACATTATCATTTTGATGAAGATAAGCATTTCATGTAGGAACATTTAAACAAGTTGAATTGCAGTCCATGTAAAAATTATACTTGTTTGCTTCATGAATACTTAATAATTACTTAATTATAAAAAACAAGCCCCAATGTCTTTTATTATGTTAAGGTAGAGAAACTAGCAGATTTTAGACCGTATGCTTAAGGGTTATAATCATTCTTATTGTTCTTTCACTCTTTTCCACTATAGTCTATCACCTGTCAAATTCTATTTGGAATACAGGGATTTTTTCATTGTTGTTGAGAAGAAATTAAAAACAGATTTGTTTAGCTTACTATTCTACTTCCAGTGACTAAAATTGGTATCACTGTATTTGACAATGATGATGTGATTTCTGCTGTCTTTGAGGAATTTCAGCTCACACAATTTGGCATTGCAGAACCAGGCCCTACTAAGAGGATCTCATTCACTGAAAAATAATTAAGGAGGAAATTTCAACAAAACAACCAGTGTTGTATGCTTAAACACATTTATAGGAAGACAATAATATTGTTCTGTGCTAACAGTTGCTTGATTTCTGGTCTTTCAGGGAAAAAAAAATGACAAATAGTTTTTCTATGTAGTTAGAGGGGTCACTTTGCTCAATTTAGGTCACTTAGTCTTCTTCAATACTGAAGATGAAAACTCGGAGCTACACTGCCTTAGTTAAAATTCTGGCTCTGCCACTAACTAGTGTGTGATATTCAGCAAGTTGCCTAACTTATCTGTGCCCTTGTCCTTAACAGAAAGATGAGGTTAATAATAGTATTTATTTCAGTAAGGGTATAATGAGGATTAAATAAACCAAGCTTACTAAGTGCTTATAATAGAGGCTGACACATAGTAAGTTCTCAGTCAAATTTAGCTACCATTCATTTATTCAACAGTAGTTTTATTATCATTTTTCTTTTATAATTCTACTACAGTGTCTGTAACTCATGGAACTAACAGCAGTAACTCTTTCACAGAAGGTATTTTCTCACATTGAATATGGTCACACCAAGGCTTCAGATTGCCATATGGGTTACCATCTAAAAAAGAAATTTATAATACATCCTCATAGAATTTCTCAAGAGGTCATGGAGAAAATTCCTCTCCATTCCATATGATTGATAAAAGCATATTTCTTCTCTTCTCTGCAGCCTCTTTTACTTATGGCTAGATTCCCGCTAACAAATGTTGGATAAGAAACACTGTCTGAATCACAAGAACAGAGAGGTTAGGAGAAATAGTTTTGCTCACTCCTTCCATGTGGTGAAACATCTACTAATGCAATACTCCAGTCCTCTCTCTATCCTTACTCACATGAAAATGCAATGGTTCGATTTGTAAAGGTAAATAAACAGATGTGTTATTTTGCATGTATCTACATTATACTTGATATTTGAAATCTGCCGTCAACTCTTTGCCTCAGTAGTCTGCCAGTTTTACTTAGTAAGTGGGTAGCAGAGAGTCCAAGTCAAAGGATCTACAAGATTCTTTCATTTCATTTCAAAGATGGAAAATGACAGACACTAAAGCTCACAGAAGGCAAGTAATTCTCTCAAGAGTAAAGAATATATACGTTAATAATGCATTAAAATAATATTCCTTACATTCTGGTTATAAGTATACTCTCCAAATTGACTGTTTTAGTTTTTTATGCAGGAAACACTCTTAACCATTTATTCAACTTACTCCCCATAAGCATCTGTTTTTACATCTGCAAAGCAGGGATGTTCATAGAAAACAGTAAATCAAAAGACAATAATCTGTGTGAAGTGCTTAGTACTTTGTACTACATAGCAAATCCTTGATTAATGGTTGTCACTATCATTATTAATAATATCACTGTCATTGTCATTATTAGCATGACAGAGGCAATACCATATGCAAAGGAATATTACTACCAAAAAACACAGTACCTCCGGAGACCCGAAAATTGTTGGTTGGTGATATGGTTTGGCTGTGTTCCCACCCAAATCTCACCCTTGAACTGTGTCAAGGGTGGGGCCAGGTGGAGATAATTGAATCATTGGGGGCGATTTTTTTTCATGATGAATAAGTGAATAAGTCTATTGAATAAGTGAATAAGTCTAGTGAATAAGTCTCATGAGAACTAATGGTTTTATAAATGAGTTCCCCTGCACAAGCTCTCTTGTCTGCTGCTATGCAAGACGTGACTCTGCTCCTCTCTTGCCTTCCACTATGATTGTGAGGCCTCCCCAGCCATGTGGAACTGTGAGTCCATTAAACCTCTTTCCTTTATACATTACACAGTCTCTGGTATGTCTTTATTAGCAGCATGAGAACAGATTAATACAGTTGGACTGGCATGTTTTATGTATATCTTTCAGTGTCAAGAATTGGGGCTGTAAAATTGACATTGATACATGTTAAAAGCCTTTTAAAGTGTTAAAGTTTTATCCTATGGGCAAGGGGAATCCACTGATATTTTGATGTCAAAGCATGAGAATCTGGTGTTAGAAAGATAATTCTGGCAGCAAGGTGGAGCATATACTAGAAAGTGTAATAGTCTGTAGGCACTGGCCAGCAGGATCAAAAGATGAAAGACTGAGTTCTAATTTAGGAGCTATAACAGGGAAAAGTCTTAGATTCTTCATTTCTGGAATTGAACTAACTTTTCTGGTCAGCTAAGCCATAACATCCACATTCTTTTTTTTTTTTTTTTTTTTTTTTTCTGAGACGGTGTTTTGCTCCTGTTGCCCAGGCTAGAGTGCAATGGCACGATCTCGGCTCACTGCAACCTCCACCTCCCGGGTTCAAGCGATTCTCCTGCCTCAGCCTCCCAAGTAGCTGTGATTACAGGCACCCACCACCACGCGCAGCTAATTTTTGTATTATTTTTAGTAGTGATGGGATTTCACCATGTTGGCCAGGCTCTTCTTGAACTACAGACCTCAGGTGATCCATCTGCCTCGGCCTCCCAAAGTGCTAGGATTACAGGCATGAGCCACCGCCCACTGCCAACATCCACATTCTTTTAAAAAATGCACTAATATAAGACATGCCATCCAAATTTCCAAAATCCTTTACAAATTTCTAAATTATTTAGGAACCAAGACAATATGACAGATTAAATTATGAAATGCCTAGATGTTGTTCAGAGAAATATTTTGGATGTTTATGATCAATATTTTTAAAGAATAAAAATGAAATTTTTAAGCAAAGATTTTCTAATAAGGATAGAAATTCTGGTTATATTTAACATACTAAGAATCAGATAATTTAAACATTTTTCATTATCATTCATAAAATATAAGTAATGACTAATTTTCTGTGAGTTCACTTCTTTTCTCAAATACCCAGAATGATGGGCCTAATCTCTGGAATAATGAATCCTTAACAACTTATTCTGTAAAGAGAAGTTTGTGTGTGTGTTGAACTATTGAACTATTTTGACTTTTGGTACGATTTGATTGAATCAAGCATTTGTTTATTTTCCTTTACCCCTTAGATTTCTTAGCTTGACTTAGAGGTGAAAACATAGCCAACCATGCATGAGTTATTCCTTCCAAGGCCCTGGTGTGCTGATATATACCTATCATTGGTACTTAGCCACATTTCTTTATAATCTTTAGGTGGCAGCTCCTGGTATGTAAAACTCACCAAATTCAGATGCAAATCTCTAACTGCAGCCTCAAACCTGTCTAACAATTAAGACACTCTTCTCTGTTAACAAAATGTTTTGAGAGTAAGAAGATATAATTTTTACCAAATCTTTAACCAAAAAATATATAATAATAATAATTAGTATCATCATCATCATCATCACCACTGTATTTACTCTGAGGGACTGTCAAGTTTGTTTTTGTATTTGATTTGGTTTGGCTTTATTTTGTAAATCTCTAAGAATCAGAGTTTAACCCCTTGGATGAAGTAAATTTCACTTCATCCAACAGTATTTGTTGGATGGAACTGTATTTGTTTCAGGTTCTAATATCAAGACACTTGTTAGTTTTGAGAATTAATAAACATTTTTTGAAAATCATTACCACCCAAAAAATATGGGTGATTATTTTCTTCTCCTTTAATTTTTCTTTATTTTCTAAAATTCTATAAAGACTAAAAAAAACCATCAAATATATATAGCCCAGAAACTTTTGAGAGGCTTTTTCGCATATAGAAAATTTCCTATTTTGAATCCCACTTCACTGAGGTAGAAGCCAGACACTCGCTGTTCCAGTCCCTCTTGCAGCTGGGGTACAGGCTCTTTCACTCAGATGTACTCATGCCGAATTTTAATTTGGAAGATAGTGATGTGAAGGTGGTGCTCCCTGGAACTGGTTTTGTAGGGAGTAGTGGCAGAAGTTCTAAAGGTACCCACTTGCCCACATCTGCTAGGAAAGCTGCAGTCCTGGGCCTACCTACTAGTGGCAGCAGCATTCATTACTGGAGCTGCCCAGTTGTGTCACTGGATACATTTCTGGTGGTCTAGCATCCACACCAGATCCTCTGACCATCACAGACATTCTGTGAGCTAGTCCATATAATTTAATACATTTATTTTCTGTTTAAACTAGCCAGAATGGCTTCTGTTCTTTGCAACCAAGGGCCCTGATATGTATGTGTGTATTTTTCTATACATACATGCAAACATCTTTTGAAAAATTTTTAAAAAAGCTACAACCACCACTATCTCAGTCTCCTGGAATAGTATTTATTGATTCATTCATTTGACAAAGGACAAAAAAAATATATTGAGTGGCTATTGCCTGAGGCACAACACTAGGCACTGATATCATAGACATGGTCCCAGCCCTCTTTGGCATGCAGACAGTAGCTCTTATATCCACTTTCATATTGATGCCTACCTTTAAAATACAATGTCACTACAAGTATCATATCACATAAACCATGCTTACTGCTTTAGATGAAATTTGTCCTTCACTCTTCCACAGCTGAAGAAACCATGGAGCGCCACCATTAAGATAATATTCTAAAACAAGGGAAAGGTGAATTTATTATATTTCCAAAAATATCAAATATATACATTTATGAATAAAAGTAAAGGACTTTTAAAAGAGCAAAGTTAATTAATGTATACACATCAACTAGCTATTTGATACCTAGCAATATGTTAGATGCTAGAAGAGGAGTAATAATTAAAACTCTTAAGTTGCTGGAGTGCAGTGGCGCGATCTAGGCTCACTGCAAGCTCCGCCTCCCAGGTTCACGCCATTCTCCTGCCTCAGCCTTCCAAGTAGCTGGGACTCAGGCTCCTGCTACCACGCCCGGCTAATTTTTTGTATTTTTAGTAGAGACAGGGTTTCACCGTGTTAGTCAGGATGGTCTCAATCTCCTGACCTCGTGATCTGCCCTCCTTAGCTTCCCAAAGTGCTGGGATTACAGGCATGAGCCACCGCGCCCGGCCGGTTATTGGTTTTTTACTTACCCTATCACTAGAGTTGAATAGACAATTTGAGCAAGCATGAGACTGTCAGAATAGAAAACTATATATAACAAAGCAGGTTAAGGATAACATACTATAAAATGTTAATTTTATTACAAATTAATGATAATAACATGACGTATACAATGAAGAAATAAATGTAGGCTGGAAAAGGCAGGGATATCTTTACCATGACATAAGATTTAAGCCCTTTTTTTGGCAATGGTAGTGTAGGTTTAAATTCTAGTTTTGCACCCCAGTTAAAATGGCTTTTATCCAAAAGACGGGCAATAGCAAATGCTGGCAAAGATGTGGAGGAAAGGGGACCCTTGTACACTGTTGGGGGCAATGTAAATGAGTACAGCTACTATGGAGAACAGTTCGAAGGATCCTCAAAAAACTGAAAATGGAGCTATCATATGATCCAGCAATCCCACTGCTGGATATATACCCCAAAGAAAGGAAATGAGTGTATCAGAGATATCTGCACTCCTATGTTTGTGCAACAATCTTTACAATAGCTAAAATTTGGAAGCAAACTAAGTATCCAACAACAGATAAATGGATAAAATATACATATACACAATGGAGTACTATTCCGTCATAAAAAAGAATGAGATCTAGTCGTTTACAACAACACAGATAGAACTAGAGGATGCTTTAAGTGAAATAAGCTAGGTACGAAAGACAAACATTTAATGTTCTCACTTATTTGTGGAATCTAAAAATCAAAACAATAGAGCTTCTAGACATAGAGAGTAAAAAGATGGTTACCGGGCACTGGGAATGGTAATGAGGGGCTAGAGTGAGGGGCGCTGGGGATGGTTAATGGGTACAAAAAATAGAAAGAATGAATAAGACCTACTATTTCATAGCACAATAGGGTGACTATAGTCAATAATAGCTTAATTGTAGACTTTAAACTAATTTAAATAGTGTAATTGGATTGTTTGTAACTGAAAGGATAAATGCTTGAGGGGATGGATACCCCATCCTCCATGATGTGCTTATTTCATATTATAGTCCTTTATATCAAAACATCTCCTGTACTCCATAAATATACAGACCTACTATGTACCCACAAACATTTAAAATATAAAAAATAAGACATTCTGGTTCTGGCATTTACTTGTCGTAAACCTTGACTAGTTTCTTAGCCTCTCTGGCATCAGTTTCCTCATGGATAAAATGGGGGTAGTGAAAGAATCTACTTCTAATGATGCCAGGATTAAATGATTTCTTATATGTAAAGTGTTTAGAGTAGTACATACTAATACATTTTAGCTAATAGTAGTATGCTTTAGCTTTTAGTATTATTAGTATGTGATTAATTTTAGCTATTAATATTGCTTATTAATATCAGTAAGGAGGGTGCATTTTTTGGAGGTGGAAGGCAAACAGTGAAAATATGACTTAGGACTGAGCATCATACCAACATGTTAAACAGCCCCATACCATCAGATAATGCATTGCTCCCCAAGTTCTGTCTTTAAACAACGAATTGCTTCATTATATGTATTACCAATCTCATTCTTCTTTACTACTTCCATTATTCTGTTTTGTACACAATTGTTTTTATGACCTGGATGACCATTGTATATTCCTAGTAGTAAACTGCTTGCATGGGATTTTATATTCTTTAATGGATACTAAGGAATGTAATAATCATATATTCTTTTCATACCACCTAGGTGACATTACTCTTTTCTTAATAGCTTCTCTGAAAAACTACTAATAAGCTGAAGAAATGGGAGCATATAACATGCAGAACTAGTGGTGCAAATACAGAGTTTGTAGTGGAGATCTGTGATTTTTGTCTCTTGCTGCATCCTTATCTGAAAATACATTGACTTCCCATGGGAATTCATGCTTACCACTTCTCAGACCATGACCCCATCCCCTGATATCAAAGGTGAACACATGACCTAGGCCTGATCAATCAGTCCAAATGAAGGGATCAGGAATGGGCTTAAGGCTTATGGTGTATGCCTTGTCAATAACAGTCTTCCCAGAACTGTTGCTAGATCTGGGGTTAGAGGGTGGAGGAAAGGACTCTTGTTGCCAACAGAAAGTAAGTTTATAGCTCCTGGTGGCAGCTTTTGTTACCTCTCAGGGGAAGACCCTCCCTAAGAATACACGTATAAAAGCAGAGACAGGAAAATGAAGGAAGATAGACTGTTAATGACAACATCAGGGCATTCTCATCCAGTTTTATAATTGGACCTTTCAATTGTGCAACAAAATAAACTCTTTGCATAAGCAGGTTTGAGTTTGGTTTCTGTCTCTTATGACTAGAAGGGCTCTAACTAATATACCTCCATACCCTTAAAATCTCATTGGTGGTTCTCTTTGGCATTATTTTAATAAACATTAATATATTCATTATTTTAATAAAAAATTAATATATTCGATATCTGGATCATGAACTCATAAGTGGCAAAAATCTATATCTTGGTCATTGTTTTTCTTGTTACTTCTTAATTTAGTCCCAGGCATATGTAGTAATTCAACCAACGTATTTGACATGAAGCAAGTACTCAACAATATTTATTTCCTGCTTTTTCCATCCTATTTTCTTCCCATTTTAATTTTCAAACACTGTTCTGGTGGCTGCGGGAGCACTGTGTACAGACAAAGTCTATCATCTTATAAGTGCACTTCTTAGTGGGGAGACATGAAATAAACAAGGAAACAAACAAATAAATAAACATAGCTTCAGGTATCCTTTTTAGGTGTCCTTAAAAAGAATAAAGCAGGATAAAGAGGCAGAGAATGGTGCTGATGGGATTTAAATAGTGTGAAATCCAAAGGTCTTTCTGAGGCAATGGCAATAGAGCAGAGACTTAACCAAAGTGTGGAAAGGAACTATGGGGAAAGAGCCTTTCAGGAAGAAAAACCAGCACATTCAAAAACACTGAGATGAGAATATGCTTGATCACCTGAAGAACAGCAAGATGTTGGCATTCTCCTCCACTAAATTAGCATGCTCATGCTCATTTTTATCATCTTATTTGCAAAAACAAAGTATGCTTATGGCAATGTGAACCATGAAGTGGGGAGGAGGTGCAGGATGCATATTTCAAAAAGAGCTATTTAGCAACTTATTAAAAATGATTATTGGGTTTCTTGTCTTTCATACACCTTTGCATGCTCAGGTTAATGAGGGAATAAAAAGTGTGCTAAATAATCCTTTGATAACATAATCGCATATTATCCCTTTTCTTCTATGAAACTGAAAATAATGTGGCCTTGGAAGGAAAATGGAGGATCATTAAGCTCCCTTACTTGAGACTTGAGAAAATTAAATAACTTGTCAAACTTATACAAGTTTTACACTGTTAAGCTAAACATTGCAACTTAAAGTAGAAACAATTCTCGACCAATTCACATGACATTTCATTAACTATTTCAGTCAATTCTATCAGTCTATCTCTTTGTGGGGAACAAATGTTAAGTAGGAGGGATGATATGATTGGGCATTTTAGCAAAAACCAAAATATGGCAAAACAAACCCTAATTCTGTTTATATGAGACTCTTGGTGCTTTACATGGCTTTATGTGGCAACAGAATTTTTTTTTAAACTGTCCTTTCCAGAGACTATCATTTAGTTTGTAGTACCTAGTTTAGCATTTAATATTGCTAAGCTTTTAGAATTAGATGAATAAGTAATACATTTTAATATTAGCAAATGAAAAAAACAATGCTGATAATTCTTTAGCACCTCTCAGAATAAATGTTATATAAAGACAGTGTAAAAAAGTGAGTATTTGACAGTTAATTTTTAACGAATTAGACACCTGCTATCTCCATTAGTATTCCATTTACTACATATAATACATATTTTTTAAAGTATGAGTTGTTGTGCTTGCTCTATAGATATTTATAGTCTAGGTGAATGAGCCAATTATTAAGTTATCTATTGTCTCTCAATTTCAAGCCGCCAACCTACACTGGCTTTAAGATGCCAGAGCTGGGACTCTGTAAACAACATTTTGGCATTGCCAGCTGCATTCTGTTAGTTTCTTCTCATAGGAAGCACTAGACAAAGAATTCAAATCTGGAGGAGGAAGGGGGGATATATTTTCCTGTTTCTGATGTTGCTTCCTGTTCTTGGTCGGTGACATCCTAGCAACATTTTTTCACCCTGGAAGCAGCAGTTCATTCAAGTTGCAGTCACTGATTCTATTTTGTGGCTTTTCCAGCATTCACAGAACCAGCCTTCTCATGCCTCTCTAGAGACACCAGTATCAGCTGGACAGGACTCCTTTCTCAGGGATTGGAATATCAGTTCCACTGGGCTCCTTTCCCAAGAGAAGTCAGGGGAGCTATTTCCTGTAGTTATTGACTCCGTGATATTTTAGTGTTCACTTTTTGCCTTTTCGGTTTTCAATACCTGTGTAAGAGTTGTTTCCTTAGGGGTTTGAAGAGCTACACATATAAAACTATACACAACACCCACAAGTACAACAGATTTGTGAAGACAGAGAAATCAATGCAAAGTTGGAAGAATAATTTTTGCTAAAACACGTATGTACATGTCTGATAACAATATTTAAATAAAATGTTTATAGTTCTAAGTATTATAATTCATCATTCACATTTTCACATGTACCAAAGAGCATGAAATAGTTTAACAGGAGCATTTAGTGAGTTGCTGCTGAGCTAATAGTTAATGTATTTCAGGAAATGTCAAAATCTGTGTTGTTTCTTAATGTATGAAGCCAATTTGCTCAGTTTATGCGTCTTCCTAAAAGATTTAAAATATTTTCTATTTTTCTTGTTGAGTAAGGAGAACACAACTTGGAGATACATCAGCAGTTAGATTTTGGAGAGATTTGTATTTGTTTTTCGTATCCCTCTGTATTTAAGAATGTTTCATAAGTGGGATGTATTATTATTATGTTTTATATTTTAAGCTCCGGGATATGTGTGCAGGATGTACATGTTTGTTACATAGGTAAACGTGTGCCATAATGGTTTGCTGCACCTATCAACCCATCACCTGGGTATTAAGCCAAGAATGCATTAGCTATCTTTCATGATGCTTTCCCTCTCCCCACCCTCTGGCCAGGCCCCAGTGTGTGTTGTTTCCACCGCCCATGGCCAGGTGTTCTCATTGTTCAGCTCTCACTTATACGCAAAAGCATGCAGTGTTTGGTTTTCTGTTCCTGTGTTAGTTTGCTGAAGATAATGGCTTCCAGCTCCGTCCGTGTCCCTGCAAAGGACATGATCTCATTCCCTTTTATGGCTGCATAGTATTCTATGGTGTATATATATCATATATTCTTTATCAAGTATAGGACATTTGGGTTGATACTATGTCTTTGCTATTGTGAATAGCGTTGCAATGAACATACATGTGCATGTATCTTTATAATAGAATGATTTATATTCCTTTTGGTATATACCCAGTAATGAGATTACTAGGTCAAATGGCATTTCTGTTTCTAGGTCTTTGAGGAATTACCACACTGTCTTCTACAATGGTTGGACAAATTTACATTCCCACCAATAATGTAAAAGCATTCCTATTATATTTCTCCACAGCCTTGCCAGCATCTGTTGTTTCTTGACTCTTTAATAACCACCATTCTGACTGGTGTGAGATGGTATCTAACTGAAATGCCAGGTCACCTGCAAAGGGAGGCCCATCAGAATAACAGTGAACCTCTCAGTGGCAACCCTACAAGCCAGAAGAGATTGGGGGCTAATATTCAACATGTATTGTTTTATAAATGAAAATAAAACATCATTTTAATAAAAATTAGTGAATAAATAAAGGACAGAAGGATGAGAAGAGGAAATAAGACGCAGAAGGGAGAGAATTTAGATGGCGCAGATTGGCAATGAACACAAAAAAATTACATGACATAAAAAATATCATCAGAATCAGGAAAAGAGAAGTACAGACTAGACCAGAAGACAGCAATTATCTGTGTTATACTAGCTAATACTTTTCACAAAAAAACCTGGTGAAAAGAAGTTGTAAGTTTCTATCAAAACCCCACATTACTGTGTTTATAATTTGAAGTTTGATGAGATTTAGGGAGATTTAAACTAACGGATTCCATTTCCTCACTAAGTCATGTTATCTGAAAACACTTGCCTCTAAGTCTGAGCTATAGCTTATATTTTAGGGAAAGAGGAGCAGGTACCACCTCTAACAATGAAGTGAAGTTACCAGTAGTCTATGGGTCTCAATGCTGACCTTTTGGAATGCCAGTTGTTGGCAGGGAGAAGATTTTTAAATATCTGTAGATCCCTTCATATCAGAAGCCTGGATGATTTAGTTATAACATTTTTACATAAGAGAAATCCATGCCAAACAGAGAGAAATGAAAATCCCAACTCTTCTACCCAAGCACTTTGTGGAAAGAAAGGCATTGAGAGTAGAATGCAGAAGGGTTTTTGTATCCTTGCCTTCCCTTTCTTAAGGTGGAAACCCAAAGTGGAGCTGTGGCAGAAATATTCAAATTAGTAAGAAGGTGACCAAGAAGAGAAGTAAGGAAAAGGAATGTGTGGTGAGTTTCTCAGAGTGAAAGAAGAGAAGGTTTCAAGTCTTGAAGAGGTCCCCTGACTACAAGGGAAATAGAACAACTGGTAGGTGGCAGTAGCTAGATAGATCAGCCTCACGCAGCACCCTGGCTCCATGTGAAATGTGCAGCACATTAGAAATCTAGAAGTTCCTATGTGCTCCCCTATGTGAAGGGGAACAGAGTTCTGAGAGGTCCAAATAAAGCAGCATGACCCTGAGGATGGAAAGAACAGGCTGCCATGGATGGGAGACTCCATGGCTGGGGCAACTGGCTGGGACTACATACTTCTGAGGTGTTGCCAACACGTCAGGCAGGATTGATTTTACTTCAGCCATCACAAGTCCAAGGAGCCAAGCAGAATAGTCTTTTCACTCAGAAAGTGTGAGGACTCAGCTTTTAAGGCCTCTGTCTTTTTCCACAGCCCAGAAAAAGGGTTCCATAAAGCTCCTCCACTTATCCACCAAGTGTCATCTTGGAGGAGCAGTGGAAAGAAGAGGCTATCTGAAACACTGAAATTAAATTATTGGGTAGAGCATATTTGTGAGATTGGATAACAGTTTTTCCCTTATTTACAAGAGATAGAGACTCCTGAGGGAGATTAGAGTCAGAAAAAAATATAGAAATTAAATTTTCTTTGCACATCTAAGAGTAATATGAGTGAAATTTTCACCTGTCTACAACGGTATGCAAGTGTGCCTCATAAAAATGCATATGTTCTTCATTATTGGTAATTAACCTAATAATATTTATAAGGTCTCATGGTAAATAATTGCTCAGATAATATTTTATCTATTGATTGGGTTCTCCTTAAATATTCTTTTCAAGATTCTGATTTTCTCCTAGAAGGAGCAAAGTCAGGTAAGTAGCTTTCATTAATAGAATGCTCTTCTATCTGGGTTTATTCTGAATTCCTAAGTCTATAATCAAAAGTTTCAGTGGTCTCTCCTACATCCTACCTATTAGACACGTCTGTGTTTCGTTGTCTCTTTCTTTCGTAATCACTCAAGTCTTGAAGGAATTGTTTAGTGGTTTTCATAAAAGTAGTTCTTGGAATTCAATTATTAATACGACTTAAAATTGTCATTCTTTAACAACCATTTAAAACAGTAAGCTCCTTTTAGACAGTTAATATAGTGCATGTTGATGTTTGCAATATGTGGTAAGGCTAAACCACAACCAAAATTCCTCTGTATCCCTACCAAAAATCAATCAAAGGAACAATAATTGAGGTAGTCTCTTTGTGACTTAACATGACATGTCCATATTAACAAATTTGCTAATGATATAGTCTCACATTGTTCCTAGGACGTGGGGTAATGCTTTCATAAAATGAAGCAGACAGAATAAGCTCAATGACTAGCACATGGACAGCTGTTCATGCCAATTGCTTAGTGTTGAGAAAAATAGCCAGGAACTTGGAATCGTAGGATCTGGATTTGAGTCCTTGCATTTCCTGTTTGTGTCGTGTGGCTTGAGTAATGCACATATTCCTTCTGAGCTCCAGTTTTTTCATTTGGACAATGGAAATCACCCCTCACAGGACTGAAGGGATAATAATCTAGATCATGATTTGGAGAGTAGAGGCTCTGGTGCTTTAAAATGCTTCACCAAACATCCAAATGCTCTGTTCATAACACCCTTGCATCAGATAGGAAGAGGTTCTATTGTCCAAAGTGAGGACAAAAGCTCTCTTCACTTCCATAAAATACTGATAAACACTTCTTCCTGGGACTTAAAAAAGCATACTATTCAAAAGCCATAAAGCTACATTTTGCTCACATGCCTCAAAAGCACTGTATGAAAGAATGGCATGACCATATAGCAGTGACATTGCTACATAGAGGACCATTTTCTTCACCAATCACCAGGAAAGGATCTGTGGACAGGATTATGGTAGAATGAGAAGAAATTTTAAATGATTTTAAAAACACAGGGAAATTTCGTTTATCTCTTTGAGTTGGAAAATAGGAGGCCATCTGAATTTCACAAGAGTATTCTATTGTTACCAGACCTGGTTCTTCAGATATCTTACAAGCAAAACCCTCTTCTTTGGTCCCACACACACACATTCTCAAGGTCATTGTTCTCAATATTTTAATCATCAAATTTTATTTCTTGAGTCTTTAAGAGAGTTTCCAATTCCATGTTGAATCAAATTAAAATTTTCTGATTATTCATAATGAATGGTGCCCTCTTACCTTTACCTCCAAAGTAGTTCTGATTTCTTGCTAGAGATTGATTTACCACCACTGAGTAAGTCACTCAAATGTCCTCCCTTAATTGTCATGTCTCTTTCTACCTGTCAGACTTTTTTTTTTCTTTTTTTTGAGACTAAGTATTGCTCTATCGGCCAGGCTGGAGTACAGTGGGGCAATCTCAGCTCACTGTAACCTCTGCCTCCTGGATTCAATTGATTCTCCCACCTCAGCCTTCCCAGTAACTTGGATTACAGGTGCATGCCACCGTGACTGGCTAATTTTTGTATTTTTTTGTAGAGATAGGATTTCACCATGTTGGCCAGGCTGGTCTCGAACTCCGGCCTCCAGTGATCCTCCCACCTCGGCCTCCCAAAGTGCCAGGATTACAGGGGTGAGCCACCACACTGGCCCCCTCTCCAACATTTTACATGCTGTTCTCACTGCCTGGAATGCCTTCTCTCATCCTCTACCAGCTGAATTCTGCTCAAGTTTTATTATCTCCAAAACATTTGCCATATCCTTCCTTTTATACAGTTAGCCTCTCCACTCCTATGTACATGGATGTATTCAGTTATGTCTTTTTATTCCTATATTATTCATAGTATTATGTAGGTTTTTTCTGCTTTTAATGCCAATGCCCTTGGTATATGGCAAGTGCTTTCATAACAAGGCTTATATTGTCTTCTGTTTTATTTTCTTTATTTTCCTCTTCTTCTTTCCCAACTTAATATTACCTATGAAACATTGGGAGAGATTCACCAAAGCAGAAGAGAAGGTCTCTGCTTTCTGATGTTCACAAACGTTTTCATAAAAGAAAAAGTCATTTGACAAATCTGCCAGGTGCTGAGAGTGCACAGCTGTCTCACATAGTCCTGGCTTGTGAGATCTCCCCTGCTCAAGCACACACAGCTTCTTTACTCCTTTGCTGGAGGGTCCAATCATGGGCCAATCAGGAGCGGGAAGAGCAGGCAGAGAGAGGAAGGAGCATACTTTCTTTATGCAGTGTGTCACCTACAGCAGGACCAGCTGGGGGAGTGGAGAAAATTTAGATTTTAAGAATCTTTGAAGTTTTGACTATTATAAGGGACTATTACTAGACACAATGAATTACTGAATTGAGATTGCAGTTTTATCTTTCTCTTATTTCCTAAGAATAACCAGGAAATTATGAGGCTCTTCAAGTTTTTATCCTATGGGAAGGGAAGGAATATCCCCACTAAGCAGGTTTAACAATATTGTGGGAAAGAGAAGAAAACCGACTTTTATGATTGAGTCCTCATGAGTCCTGCTTGTATAGCATGATGTGATTTTTCCACTTGCAGTAGAATTTATCTTGATAGTATAGGTTAAAGAAATGCACCAAATCTCTCCATTCGCTCCTTCATTGTTTCTTTTGTGACTAGCAATGTCTATTTTTGAGATATCTGACTTAAAGTTAGTTGCTGAAAATTGAACCATTTCCAACTATAAACTCAATTTATACAAAGTTGGAATGAACTACTGATCTAATGAAACTTGAGCTGAGCATCACTTACCAAGAAGTAACACAACCATTTTTTTTTGTTTTAAAACCTAGTGAGAACTTTTGAACAGACACCAAACCTGTATTTTTGAAAACCACTGAACCAGAATGAAACTAGAGCATCAGAATATTTTCTGAAATAAACTTGAACCAAATTGATATTTTATTTGGCCCAAATCCCTGGTTATGATAAAGTATGATCACATAACAGAACAAAGTTAAACAGCCCACCCAGAGCTTAAATATGTGGCCTTTCACTCATTAGTACCATGTTTCAAAAACTAAAACAACTGAAACTTAAACTAATCACTATAATAAGCATGAGTAGAGGGCTTAATGATCATTTTTCTCAAAAGGAAAGTCTGAATTTATAAAGATTCATGACTTACCCAAGATCATGTAGAATATCAAGGAAGAATTGGGATGTTTCAAACTCTGCTTTCCCTTGGGTTTTGCATAAGAAGAGGCAGGTTCAAAACTGTAACCTAATTCATATACAGTGATTAACTTGGGGAGTACTTCAAATAATTGGCATTGATATTTGCCAGTAGTAGAAGCTGTCAAAAAGAGAATTGCCATTCTCATTACCAAAGCTGGTTCTTTTTCCTCTAAGAACAATTCAAAATGCACATAGCAATTCCCGTTGTGTTGATTGGTATTATCTGTGCCCAAAATTTTAATGTTTCCACACTGGACTGACCTATGTATATCAGAATGTCACTATTCTCACTGCCTTGTGATTCACTGAACTGGAACCATGACCAAGTTTAACTAGAAAAGGTCTTAGGCAAGGGTTCCAGCCCAGAGACATCTCTTGGGGGGCTTCTGTGTGGACATGAGTTACATTTGCTACCACTCCTTTAATTTATTAAAGGAAATAAGGAGTCCTCTACATGACTTGGGCAAGTGACTATCTGTGTCTTATTTCTTATCAACTGTAATTACACACTGGGGATTTATTCTTCTCAGTATTTTTCTGCACATAATATTGAAAAGCAAAGGTTGCTTTTTAAAGATATGCATCTATGGCTGGGCGTGGTGGTGGACACCTGTAGTCCCAGCTACATGGGAGGGTGAGGCAGGAGAATGGCATGAACCCAGGAGGCGGAGCTTGCAGTGAGCGGAGATTGCACCACTGCACTCCAGCCTGGGGGAGAGAGCAAGACTCCGTCTCAAAAAAAAAAAAAAAAAAAAAAAAAAAAAGATATGTATCTACGGAAAACAACGTCCCAAGTTGCTTTAATAAACAAAGTGTGTTTTTTCTTCTCTGGGACACTTCAATGTGTAATATCAAAAGGATAGCTCTGATTACTTTTGCATCAACCTAATAATAAATCGCTTGACACTAAAACTGTTTCCAAGTAGGGGTTAATTATTTTATCTCATTTTATTTTATTTATTTTTTCAGCTGGAGTCTCGCTCTGTTGCCCAGGCTGGAGTGCAGTGGTGTGATTTCGGCTCACTGCAGCCTGTGCCCCCCGGTTCAAGCGATTCTTCTGCCTCAGCCTCCTGAGTAGCTGGGACTACATGCATGTGCCACGATGCCCAGCTAATTTTTGTATTTTTAGTAGAGGCAGAGTTTTGCCATGTTGGCCAGGCTAGTAGAGATGGGGTTTTGCCTTGTTGGCCAGGCTGGTTTTAAACTCCTGACCTCAAGTGATCTGCCTGCCTCAGCCTCCCAAATTGCTGGGATTACAGGCATGAGCCACTGCTCCCAGTGGGTTAATTATTTTAAATGGATGAGAGGTAAGCATTGATGCATCATTTTCTCTTTAATAACAGCTCATTTGCCAGTTTTCTCCTGGTAACTGCTGAACGGTTTTGCAGAAAGGTGTTTCAAACAGGCTTTAGTGAGCCTATGGATTATCTGTAGAAAAGCTGCAAAACTCTTTGGTGATGGAAAACAAACACTATCTAAGCTTGAACCTTACTTTGTATCAATGCAGTCATTAAAAATTCACTTAACATTTTTATTATGCCAATAGATCACAAGTCTAGATAATGGCACAGTAGAATGTATCCCGTTCTCTTCTGGTGCGCAAGTGTGATGTATTGCTAATCCTGTAAGACGTTTCAGGGCCATGTTTTATGGGTTTAATCCCCTAGGACAGCACCCTGGTACTTATATCAACTCACATGCAGGCAGTTTTACATGTGGCGCAAGTTATTGCCCATCTGAGTGCTGTGCCTTCAGGATTTCCCAAGCAGGGTCAATTGCATCCACTTGCTCTCCTTCCTTCTGTCTCCTAACTAGATGTCTACTACTAATAATTACTTTACCAATAGACGATGAATTTTCTATTGCTCGCCTAGGCAAGTATGCTTCCTATCGATTTGGGAGGTTGCCTGTTTAGTATATTGTGTGCTCATCCTGTTCTGTCTTTGCAGCACAACCATGGACTCGGGGGCCAATCTGTCATTAAACATAAGTAAAGAAGAAGATCTAGATCAATAGGATGGAAAATTCCTTTTCCCTACATCATATTCACTCATTCCACCTGCAGATTCTAAGCCAGCCATTCTTGGGACATAGTTCCTGTCTTAACAATAAGCATACAAAAACTAAAGCAAGTTACTGATTAAGGAGGAAATAGGTTTGGATAAAGGGTCATCTTGATTCTGTGCTTTACTTCTATGGCCTAGGCTCTCTGCCTGAGTTCCAATGCTCTTTTGCCTGATTTCTAAAATATTGCAATGCCCAAACTCCCAGAATGACGGTTACTGCTTTGACCTTTAAAATTGACCTTGTCCTTCATGATATATTAATCCTAACATGCACATTATTTAAACTTCCCACCCACCACTTGTTATTCCTGTGTATCTTACCTGCACCTGTCTCATCTGTTTCTGATACTTAACACTTCTCTGACTTCAGATGCATGGTTACACCTTCACACTGGAGGGCCTACCTACTAGGTCCAGACATCTACATCCATCATACCTACTGCTTTCTGAGACATGCCATGATTGTGTACCCCTCAAATTCAGCGTTTCAGCCTCCCTTGATCTCCAGACCCCTAAACTCCTAGTCTCAAATCAACCATAATTTTGTAGTAGTCAGTGCGAAGAGGGAAACATCAGGTTACAACAACACATACTAAGTAAATGAGATATAACGCTCATTGTAATATTTGCCTTTAAAATGAGTAAGCTTGTTAAGATAAATATATTTGTACTTGGTAGAATTTCAGCTGCAGTGATAAAAATAATTTTGGACATTTATAGGGAATGAATCCAGAGGCAAGGGACTGAGTCATTCTTAAACACCTATGCTTCATTCCTGAGTTTGGATCAGCCCTTGGCTACCAGCACTATCCACTCCCTGCCCTGTGCCAAAAAGACAAACAAGGGGTCCTATGGAAGCTGTATTTGCAGGGTTCCCAGGTTTTGATTCTTATTAAAATACAAAAAAAAAATACTCCTCAAAGAAGTGACTATTCAAATTTATATCTGCTTTTTGAGACTTGGATAGAGTTTCCGTTTATGTTCTCAAAGACAAGAGAAAAATAAGTAGATTTTACACTTAGGATGGGTGTAAAGATAAGAAGGGGTATAAACTGGAGAAGATGAGGCAACCAACAATAAGCTTAATCACCTTTGCAACTTTGCAGAGGGTTGGTTTGGGTTGCAGTAATAAATTATCTGGAAACAGTTAACCAAGTGTCATTCTGAATCTATCTAAGTCAGTGATTGAGGAAAGATGACTTAGAGATTCATAAGCATTGTGTAGAAAACTACTTTTCTGTCTTGTGATTGAGGAAAGATGACTTAGGGATTGATAAGCATTGTGTAGGAAACTACTTTTCTGTCCTTAGCATAGTTATGGCAATGGGAAATAGCTGGCAATCATTGCTTAAAAATTTATAGATCAAATATTTTTCCCCCACTTTCTAAAAGTATTTGTGTGTCATTTATAACATTGGACCTAGAGTTAACAATATTTATAGTGCATTTAAACATTTGTTAAGAAGGAAGATCTCATGTTAAGTGTTCTTATCACAGTTTTTAAAAATTAAAATAAAATAATAAAAATGCTTCTCGAATATACAGTTTGGTGGTATTCATTTTAGCTGCATTTGGACTAATACTCGAAATTAAATTCTGAGGTATAATATCTGGGATTTTTAATTTGGTTATCAACTTGAGATATTTAATAATTAAAGCACTATGCTTTGCTTCTCCTAATTGTTTTACTTTCTAATAAAATTCCCTATTTTGGACAAGTCTTTTCAATGTCAATTGCCCATTTATTTACCTTGCTTCTTTGAATACCAAACCTGGTTCTAAATGGCTTTTATTTTCTCTTGTTATTTCTTAGATTTCTACTGATTTGTAAGCATCAAGTAGTGTACTTACCCACTTTTGTCAAAAGGATATTGTCTTTCAGCTATACAGGCTTCTCTCTCTCTCTTTCACACACACACACACACACACACACACACACACACACAGAAATTATAAAATTATTGACAAAATTGCCAACAATCCTTAATTAACAGAGCCTGGTAGTACAACTATGTTAATGACATTATACACTCCCTGTATCAACTAACACAAGACACAAATATTGTTATATGCTTTATGCTATCACATATGGGTTAACATTAAGGTTTTTATTATAAAAATAATAATTTAGCTATTTTCCACTTATAGAGCCTTTCACATCACCCCATTTGACCCTCATTATAGCTCAGTGATATACAGAGGGCAAATTATTCTTCATATGCACAAGCGTGTGCATGAATATGCATGAATACACACACACACACACACACACACACACACAGAACAGATGGTCACCAACTTACAATGGTTTAACGTAGGATTGTTCAACTTTATGATGGTGTAAAAGTGATACACATTCAATAAACACTACACTTTAATTTTTGAATTGTGATATTTTCCCAGGCTAGCTATATGTGGTATAACACCTGCTTGCAAAGCTGGGCAGTGACAATGAACAGTTCCTGGTCAGCCACGTGATCACAAGGGTAAAAAACCTAGATTTTACAGTGTACGGTGTTGCCAGTGTTTTTTAGATATCCTGTTTTGTGTTTTCACATCCCATTATGTCTACAAAATGCTCATCTGCATACAGCATTCCACACTTGTTTATAAAATAGGCCTTATATTAGATGATTTTGCCCAATTATAGACTACTGTAAGTGTTCTAAGTACGTTTCATATAGGCTAGGCTTAGCTATAATACTGGGTAGGTTAGGTGTATTAAATGTATTTTCAACTTATGGCATCTTCAACTTACCGTGAGTTTATGAAGACATAAACCCACTATAAGTCTAGAAGCATCTGCATCTTGTCCAAGTTCATGCAATTAGATAATGGCAGTGCAGAAATTCAAATCCAGTTTTTCTAACTTTCATTCCAATGCTCTTTCCATTCAATAATATATCCATCCAATTTTCACCAATATTATTATTGTAGTTATACCCCAATGGATCTATAAGTATAATATATTTCATTAAAAATATGTGGACAATTTAACAAAACTAATTTTATTTTAAAATATATTTGCTGAATTTACTATAAAGATATATTTATAAATGTAAATAATTTCCACTTAATCTATCCTTTGAAACAAAAAAACAATGAATTTTCAAGCACTGGGTTTTTAAGAATAAGTCAATTCATATCTATTTTCTGCTCGTATTTCACATCAATTTGATACCAAAAAATGAGTTGCAGGCTAATTTAATCATGGAAATATTTTAGAAGACAGGAAAACTAAAATGTATTCTTGATTTTCTATGTGACCTTACCTACTGTACTTAACCTTTTTGTTGAAACTTGATCTGCAAAAGATTCTTCATAATTGTACCATCATAATTATACCAGATAATAATCTCATCAGTATGCAGGAATTCTAAGTTCTTCTGGAAATAAGAGAATAACATAAACTCCAGGACTCTCTATCTCCTAAATCATGGTGATGAGATTCTGTCATGACTGTCTAGGAGTGGTAAAAAAAAAAACCCTGACATTATTGCTACTGCCACCATCACCAAGGCAAAGTTCACTCATAGATGACATCATTCTTTCCCAAAAAGCGAGAATTTAGCTTCAGAATATTCTTTTCCACATAAAACTCCAGGTGGCTACCCTAAAGTTATTGCTCTTTATGCTCAGATCTCAGAGTAGGGTCAGAGGACCAGAAGCATTGCCCAAGAGCATGTTGAAAATGTAGAATCTCAGTCCCTGTCCTGATCTCTTGAATCAGAATCTTTGTAAAACAAGATCCCCAGGTGGTCCAGATGTGCTTTAATGTTTGAGAAGCACTCTGTGTGTGAAATATGTGTTCCATTCTGGACCCTCTGAGATGTGTTAGCAGGAATGCATGGAAGTCTTCTTCTGATTGGGGGCTATTTGCATGGACAGAAGTTGGAGATAGCCCCCCAGAGACCCATGGCCTCTGTATTTAATTATGATAGAAAAGAAAATAAGAAAAGGGACCATCAAGAGTGGCCCCTCCTGGGACTCTTCAATTGTCCTGGTCTTTGTAACCTGTATGGAGTAACTCTCCATAGTTACAGAGAGAGTAGCTCTCAGTTACTTTCTTTGCTGCAGAAGAAAAGTACTTGAAGTTGACACAGTTTTGGCTGTCTGTTATGTACAAAAATACTAATGGTTAAAATTATAAACATCTTTTTAAAAATGTAATTCTGTTACAAGATAAATTATTATCTAAACTTAGTTCCAAATGGAATTAAAACTGGGGTGTTTCTTTTCAAACCGTCAGTTTGTTTACGCAGTGGCTTCAGCCCTGAGCAGAATCGCCTTCAAAGTGAAAACAATTCTGGCTTAGAACTACCGGTTCCTGTGAAGCAACCCTAGGTAACAGGATGCTCCAGGTCCTGATTTGTTTGTGTAATGTAAACTTAAACTTATGCAGTAACATATAAATAATATATACGCAACATCTTCCATTAATAAAAAAAAAAGGGCAAATGGGTTAAGAACCTTTGCAGAGCCAGTCCCTCTTCTGACCAATGTGTAAGAATCTCCAATTCTTTCTAAAATTATTTGTCAAGCCTCATGGTGCATTATGAGATATTCTGGAAACTTTTGATTAGAGTGGAAGAGTATTTGAGATACTAGGGCAACATTTCTTGGCTCTCCTATCATCATAGTCTGGGAAGACTTCACTTATCACGATGGATCTCTCACTACATGATTAGGAGGCAGACAAAATTTAAGTCTAATTTCATCTGAAGTAGCATAGGTGCAAGTGTTAGAGAGAGAAAGAAATATTTTCATGTTTTCTGCTGAAAAGGAAATAATTCCTTTTGCATTTGAAATCATTCCTCTTTTTGACATTGCCCATCCACTTCCACGTACATGAATGGGAATTGAGCCTTTGGGAATCAGAGCCCAGATTTTTCCAGGATAATCCTACAGTCATGGTGGCAACATCAATACTTGCTAAGAGTTGTATATAGAATTGAAGAAAGGTTCAATGTAGGGAGCAAGTATTGAGGACAACCTGGCCTTACCACATGTGCTCTGAACCAGTGAGAAACGCTGCAGGTCTATAGAGGAGGAAAGCGTGGAATCTGCAGTGTCTTTCCTCATACATTTGTGTTGGGATCATTTAATGTTTGTAGTATGAGAGAACAAGTATAAATGTTTCAAAATTCTTTCTTTTTGTACCTGTAACAGGGGTATACGTGAAAGCCAAATAGTCCATCAGCTGGCTATATTGCAAATTTTCGGACATTTGAGCAGTAGTAATGACTAAATCCCTTCTTTGCACAACTCCTCCTCTCCCCCCACAGAATGTCATGGTGTGGATAGGAAGCATGTGTTAACTGACCTGAAAACTTTTTTTCAGCTTGGGTTGATTTGAAGAATGAGAACTTTGTAACCTCATGTTTCATTAAAAAGGGTTACATTTGAAAAGCAAGTTGATTAAGTCCTAACTTGTTCCACTAACAATGAAAGGAATAAAATGAGATTAACTGCTTCATTTCCAAAATGCTGTGCTGACCAAGAGTTTGCAGATTTTTTTCCCCTAAGCATTTTCTGATTACAAAACAGCAAACGTCAATAGCCCACTCTCTCTTTCAATGTTGAAAAGCAAATGACAAGAGCACATTGTGTTGGTACTTTATCACTGGTATTTTTTCCAAGAACAAAATTTGTTGAAAAATTATAAAGCAAACCTTCGGTTTGGGGTTTAGATTGTTGTTTTGTTAAGCATGGAGGGGCAAAACACACATTTCCAAGAACATCAGGCGTGAATGATGGCCAGGAAGTGGAGTTGGTGCATGCTTGCTGCCAGGGGTTATGATGTAGCTCACAGATTTCCCTGCTACCATTCTTTGTTAGTTTTTTTTAATTCATATTAGTTTCCTTTTGAATGACACTGTGTGAGTGTCATTGGCTTTTTCCCCTTGAAAGCATTGAATTCCTGAGGGTTTTTGTTGTTGTTGTTGTTTGTTTGTTTGTTTGTTTTTTTGAGATGGAGTCTCGCTCTGTCGCCCAGGCTGGAGAGCAGTGGCATGATCTCGGCTCACTGCAAGCTCGGCCTCCCAGGTTCATGCCATTCTCCTGCCTCAGCCTCCCGAGTAGCTGGGACTACAGGCGCCCACCACCATGCCTGGCTAATTTCTTGTATTTTTAGTAGAGACGGGGTTTCACTGTGTTAGGATGGACTCAATCTCCTGACCTCGTGATCCACCTGCCTCAGCCTCCCAAAGTGCTGGGATTACAGGCGTGAGCCACCGCGCCCGGCCGAATTCCTGAAGGTTGTATCAGCATTTTGACTTAGTATGATATGGGAAGGTCTCAGGTCTCTCCCGTTGTCCTGTATCCAGGGCTCACACCAATCAATCAGCACAGGGTTGGGATTTGGTGCTCCCACCCTGCCTCCTGTGAATAGCGCTACAGACATGGAAAATGCTCTTAGGTTTTGGCTTGTAAAATAACTCAAATGTGATGAACACAGAGAAGATGACTCTCATAATTCTGTCCCTTGTCAGATTTCCCCAAGACTGGGAAGTCTTTTGATATTTTTGCAAGGGTTGGAGGTGACTGGAAGGTGATAACATGCATACACATGCTTCTGTTGTTCTTTCCAGGATGGGAAGAGCCCAGTAGAAATGTCATTGGCAGCTCCAAAGAAAGTCAATCTTAAGTTGTATTATAATCATCTTGGCAGGCAAGCATTTTATTATCTACTTGTTCAAGGACTTCTGGCTGCTGTTACTGACAGCCTAAATTTCATAAATGGACTCGTAAGCAGTTAGTAACAGCCAGGTGAATAGATCTGTCATTCACTATGTGGCTCAGTGACCAAGAAGGATAACACATCCATACCCCAGTCCATGAGAACACTTGAGATAGGACAAGGAGGCTACAGGAAAGTTTCTATCATATTTTATGGGTAGTGAGTGTGTTATTCAACTATGTTACTTAATGCACAGTTACTGTATATAATGGACATGGATAGCCAATTTCAGCAGACTGCAATAAAACACACTAAAACTCAGCTAAACCTGTAAAACTCAGCTAAACCTGACTTACTCATTGGTGATTCAAAAGTTACTAAAAGATTTGAAGTTACTGAATCAGAAGTTATTGAAGGATCAGAAGTTACTGAAAGATAAAGTGTCTTCATTTTAAACTCAATTGATCTTGTCCTCTATGGACAAATATAAATGGTTGTTCTCTATATGAAGGAATGTTAGATAAACCAGCCAGTATTTTCTACAGATCTTGAAATTTATATATCCAGCTATATAATGAATACAATAATATATCAGAATGCCAATGAACTCCTGGACCCACTTGGTCTTTAATGACTCACATTAAGCTAATTTGAAAGAAAGAAATGTAGATACGTTTATTTAGTCAGCCAGGAATTTCAAACATATCTACTTAATAATTAGTCTGTTATTTTGCAGAAAACAAAACATTACATTTCCAATAAATATTCATTAGGAAGGAATATATACCTTAATTAAGACTGACTGAAAACAAACCAAAAAACCAAACCAAACCAAACCAAACAAAATTGAAATGTTAGGTGATTGTTCATCTTGGCTTGTCCTGTTCTCTTATTGTAGAATATACAGATTTCGCATATACAGATTGCTGTCCCATTTTTTCCCTTGATTTTATTTTCAAATAGAATATATTAAAATATCCTCAAATTACAACTAATATATAGGAATTGGGATCTGGGCTTGAACCCAAACTCTGTTACCTTAATCTGTCTGGATGCCTGGGAAGTAGCCTACCATAAGTTCATTTGCATAAGGAACCTAAGCATTCCCTGAGGAAGACTTATCCAGAGAAAAGGTGCCTCAAAAGTAGCTCAAAGGGAGACTGAGTCTACAGCAAGCAATGAGTACAATGTCTGTTATCTTGTTTGTCACCCAAAAAAGCCCCATAGAGTAGTAGGCAGAAATGAATGTTAAGTGGAATGAAAATACCTCTTTACGAATTATTCGCAATGCCACGCAGCCCTTTTGTACAGTGTGAAAAGGGAAAGGGAGATGCACCACATTTTAGGGCTTATAACAGCTCACTTTTGACATTTTCTGAGTTCTAGAGACTGCAGTTATACTCAGTACTCACCCAGTCAGACCCACAGCAGCAATGTCATTGAGAATATTGCACTAAGGCACTGTCACAACAAGGTGGCTTTGGACCCATAAAGCAAGGTGGCAGCAAAGATAGTGAACAATGTTGGATTCAAAAGGAAAGGTTAGTAGCCTATGCCACGTGGGGGCTCTCAGAATTAATCATCTTGGGGCACTTGGCGGGGCACTTGGCAGGGCCTTTGAATCTCAAAAGAGAGGACGAGGGTGAGCCAAAGAAATCTCATTTTGTTGGCAGTGTAATTTAATTTTATATACCTCAGAGCTCCCGCAGCTTTATCCAAATTACACTCCCTAACATGCATCTGTAAAGCCAAAAGATCAGAGAAAGGGGCAACATGATTTCTTAAGTGCTCCATTTTCTAAGAAAATACAAGGCTATATCTCTCCTTAATGATTTGTAATTAAAATCATTCAGGTAATTATGTTTAATGAATACTATCTCTCTTCATCTTAAAGCATCCTGAATGAGTCAGGAAGAAAATATTCTTGCTGAAGATAAATACACACATGCCTATGTGTGAGTACACCTCTCTCTACCCACCTTTTCCTGTTTCTCCCCCCTCCACAAGGAACAGGACATGCCATTATTGGCAGCTGATGGGGCAGAGCCCCCCAAGTGAATAGACAGGGGTGCAGTTAAGGGAGCTTTCCTCTGGTAGATTAGACAACTACCAGTTCTACGTTTATGAGTGGCTTTCCCCCATATAACTGTTAGACAAGACTACTCACCTGTTAATGTCTACATTCTGTGCTTTGAAAATCACTGTCAGAATTCATGAGGCAGCCCTTTACATGTGGAATCAGCTTTGCTTGGGCTCCCCTGAATATACCCTTAAGCCCCTGCCTTTTTCACACTGTCTCCCTTTCTTCATCACTATTTTAGGAGAATGCAAGACCCATCAGCCGTAATACACTCATTTTCCCTAAGAAAAATCATAGAAAAAGAATACAGAAGATATACAAAACATACTCTGGGCCCCTGAATCCCACTGAATGACTTCATGAAGCTTCTTGGGGATCTGTTTTGGTCTCACATTGATCTTCCCTGGTGCTAGAGCTCTAAGCCAATGCCTCTGGCCAATGGTACTACAAAATCCTTTTTAAGTGTGTGCACACTCCGGTTCCCACCATAGGGAGAGCCCTTCTAAAGGGACCTGAACTGTTTCTTTCCAAAACTTTGAGCCCCAGATGTTCTCACAGGCCAAGAGCTGTTCTCGGAATTCAAAGGAGAGCTGGTGCTTTTACAGAGCTGAGTAGTGGCAGTGGGCCAGCTCGACTCATGTGGTGAACTTCACTGCATTGTGATTTATAAAATGTCCCTAATAAAACCAAAAAAATAAAAATAAAAATCTGTTCCTTATTTACCCTACCCAGTAAAAAAAAAAAGCACCATAATGCATTTCTAAGAATACTTAATTTTATGTGTGTGATTATAATTATTTAAACACTTGCTAGCATTTTTCCAGAAGCCCTTTCTTCCTCAGAAGAGCCAAAACATTATTTTCTCCACCCTGATTGTCGCAAACAAAACATAATGGATATTTTCTGCTATTAGAAGCCTGAAGAGCATTTAAGTACGTGGCATATCTTGAAAGGAAAATTGGAAAGCTCTATTTTTTAAATTCATACTTTCCAAGTAAAGATGAAAGTGGATCAAATTTAAACTAATATTAGAATGCAAAGTTGGGAAGGAAGGACAATGGAAATTCCAGTTTGTCTTCTTCCCAGTTTTTGTATATAAAGCTCCGTACATGTTTTTAAAAGAATATGCATAAATCCATTCATAGAACACTGTACGTGTAAGTTAGTAACTATTTTTATATCATTAGGATAAACTAGCCTTCTTTGGGCCTCCAATTACTGTAGCTCGAACCTGATGCAAGAAGAGAATTTGGGTCAAGGCAGAGACAAAGCAGAGAAGAGAATACTACAGATGTCCCTTTGGTATTTTCTGTGAACAACTCAATTCTCTAGAGAGCCCTGGCTATAAAAGAGAATGCCCAACAGCTGAGCAGTTAAATGCTAACTTATTGTCAGGCTAAGATAAACCAGAATTTTGGAAACCTTTAGGAAAAAGAGATTGTAACAAGCAGAGAACTCTAGTAGTCTTTATTAAACCAATTCAATATAAGTTCTTGGTATTTAATTATAAGAATAATATCTTTAATGATACACAGAGTACCTGATACTTCGGGGAAGGTGTGGAGCAATTTGGAAACAGACAAAAAGTCTAATTAATGGTGATATCTGGGAGGATAACAAGAAGCCATTCACAGCTATTGTAAAAGTTCTTATAAGATAAGATACATCTAGGGGACTGCTTCTCCAAAGGGGCAATTTTGCTTATATGGGACACTTGGTAATGTCCAGAGACATTTTTGGTTGTCTCAATGTATAGCTATAATTGGCATCATCTGAGTCGAGACTTTGGATACTTCTAGACTTCATATAACACACAGGACAACCCTTCACAAGAGAAAAACTATCTGGCCCAAAATGACAATAATGCCACAGTCGAGAAACCCTGGTCCAAGAGTACAAATCTCAAGGTTTTTCTTTTGCAAGGTACAGGGTTAAAACCATGTTAAGCTGGGTTAAAACCATGTTAAGCTATCCTTTCCTCAATTAACCTAGAATGCTTACTAACTGGCATGGTTTGGCTCTGTTTCCCCACCCAAATTTCATGTGGAATTTTAAACCCCACATGTCAAGAGAGGGACCTGGTAGGAGATGATTGGATCATGGGGGCAGTTTCCTTTATGCTGTTCTCATGATAGTGAGGGAATTCTCACAAGATCTGATGGTTTTAAAAGTGGTAGTTTCCCTGGCATGTTCTCTCTCCTGCCACCTTGTGAAGAAGGTGCCTGCTTCCCCTTCTCCTTCCGCCATGATTGTAAGTTTGATGAAGCCTCCCTAGCCATGTGGAACTGTGAGTCAATTAAACATTTTTTGTTTATAAATTTCCTAGTTTCAGGTAACATTATAGCAGTGTGAAATGGACTAATACAGATAATTGGTACCAGAAGTTGGATACTGCTATAAAGATAACCTAAAAATGTGGATGTGAGTTTGGAACTGGGTAACACAGAGTGGTTGAAACACTTTGGAGGGCTCAGAAGAAGACAGGAAGATGTGGGAAAGTTTGGAACTTCCTAGAGACTTGTTGAATGGTATTGACTAAAATGCTGACAGTGATATGGACAATGAATTCCAGGGTGAAGTGGTCTCAGATGGAGGTAAGGAACTTATTGGGAGCTGGGGTAAAGGCCACTCATGCTATGCTTTAGCGAAAAGACTGGTGGCATTTTGCCCCTGCCCTAGGGCTCTGTGGAACCTTGAATTTGAGAGAGATGATTTAGAGTATCTGGTGGAAGATCTTTCTAAGCAGCAAAGCATTCAAGAGGTAACCTGGCTTATTCTGAAAGCATTCAGTTATATGCATTCATAAAGACATGGTTTGAAATTGGAATTTATGTTTAAAAGGGAAGTAGAGCATAAGGGTTTGGAAAATTTGCAGGCTGATTATGTGGTGGAAAAGAAAAACCCATTTTCTGAGGAGGATTTCAAGCTGGCTACAGAAATTTGTATAAGTAATGAGGAGCTGACTATTAAAAGCCAAGACAATGGGGAAATGTCTGTGGAGCATGTCAAACACCTTCATGGCAGCCCCTCCCATCACACGTATGGAGGCCTGGGAGAGAAAAATGGCTTCATGGGTCAGGCCCAGGGCCCTGCTGCTCTGTGCAGCTTTGGGACTTGGAGCCCTGTGTCCCAGCCACTCCAGCTCCAGCCATGGCTAAAATGAGCCAAGATGCAGCTTGGGCTGTGGCTTCAGAGGGTGCAAGCCCCAAACCTTGGCAGCTTCCAGGTGGTGTTGGGCCTGTGGGTGCACAGAAGATAATAGTTGAGCTTTGGAAGCCTCCGCCTAGATTTCAGAGGATGTATGGAAACACCTGGATGTCCAGGCAGTTTTCTGCTGAAGGGGCGGAACCCTCATGGAGAACCTCTACTAGGGCAATTCAGAGGGGAAATGTGGGGTTGGAGCTCCCACACAGAGTGGCCACTGAGGTGCTGCCTAGTGGATCTCTGAGAAGAAGGCTGCCATCCTTCAGACCCCTGAATGGTAAGTCCACCAACAGCTTGCACTGTGCACATGGAAAAGTCATAGGACTCAACACCAGCTCTTGAAAGCAGCCGCAGGAGTCATACCTTGCAGAGCTACAAGAGCAGAGCTGCCCAAGGCTTTGGGAGCCCACCCCTTGCATCAGTGTGCCCTGGGTGTGAGGCATGGAGTCCAAGGAGATTGTTTTGGAGCTTTAAGATTTCATGAATGCCCTGCCAAGTTTCAGGCTTGCATAGGGCTTGTAATCCCTCTGCTATGGCCAACTTATCTCATTTAGAAGGGGAAAATTTACCCAATGCCTGTACCCCTATTGTATCTTGGAAGTAACTAACTTGTTTTTGATTTTACAGGCTCATAGGCAGAAGGGATTTGCCTCGTCTCAAATGAAACTCTGGACTTGAACTTTTGGGTTAATTCTGGAATGAGTGAAGACTTTGGAGGACTGTTGGGAAGGCATGATTGTGTTTTGAAATGTGAAAACGACATGTGTCTTGGGAGGGGCCAGAGGCTGAATGATATGGTTTGGTTCTGTGTCCCCACCCAAATCTCGTGTGGAATTTTAATTCCCACATGTCAAGGGAGGGACCTGGTAGGAGATGATTGGATCATGGGGTTGGTTTCCCCCATGCTGTTCTCATGATAGTGAGGGGGTTCTCATGAGACATGATGGTTTTAAAAATGACAGTTTTCCTTGCACACTCTGTCTCCTGCCACCTTGTGAAGAAGGTGCCTGCTTCCCCTTTGCCTTCCACCATGATTATAAGTTTGCTGAGACCTCCCCGGCCATGCAGAACTGTGAGTCAACTAAACCTCTTTTGTTTATAAATTACCCAGTCCCAGGTAGTATCTTTATAGCAGTGTGAAAGTGGACTAATATACTACCAAGACAAATAAGTGATGCTCACTCATTTGTGCATGCTGCTTCTTAGGTAATTAGATACAAAATCAGCTACAGCTCTCCATGACAGGGAGTTGAACCTGGCATCAGAGTGCCCACCAGCACCCTTGTTGCAATTAAGAATTAGCAGTGTCCAGGCCAGGTGGACAGAGGAAGCGGGGTCGCCGCTGCCTCCCTACCCACCTGCTTGTGCGTTGGGGTTGTGGTGGGCCAAGATGGTGGGCTTCTTGGAGGAGCAGCTTGGTTAGAAGCTGGTGATGAGCAGCAGCAAGGATGACCAGTGGCAGTGGTAGGACTTCATGTGGGACATGACTTGGCTGGCGCTGCCCTACAAGGAGAAGCACAGAAACTTTGGAACAAATACCAAATTTCCAATATTCCATTGCTAATATTCGTAGATGCCACCACTGCAAAGGTTGTGGGCAAGAATGGGCTGCTGGTGATCTGAGATGACCCAGAAGGTATGGAATTCCCTTGGGGACCTAACCTTTTCAGGTTTATGAAATGACTCACAGTTCTTGGAGAGCAGCATCCCAGAAAGGCCTTACATAGGACCCTATTTCTCTGCACATGGGTGTTCATCCTGCCAAAGCCTCACCCAGGTCCTGGTGGAATCTTATTAGAAGATCAAGGAGGCAGGCCAGAACTTTGAGATTATCTTAGTCAGTGAAGACAGATCAGAGAGTCCTTCAAACAGTACTTCAGTGATAGGTTCTGGCTCACTAACCCCCATACTGAAAAGGCCTGGAAGTCGCACCCCATCTGGCTGTATAGAATCCAAGGCATTCCCCATGCTCATTGTGCTGGGCCCACAGGGTGAGGTGATCATGTGGCGGGGTGAGTGGAGGTGCTTAACGACGAGGACTGCTGGGAGTTCCCGTGGCACCCAAGCCCGTGCTGAAGCTCTCTGACTCCAACACTTTGCAGCTCAACTGGCCCCTGCCTCCTCCTTTTTGTAGACTCTGAGGATGACAGAGAGTCCCAGGAAGCCAAGCAGCTGATTCAGCCAATAGCTGAGAAAATCATTGCCAAGTGCAAAGCCAAAGAGGAGGAGCATCACTTCCATTTTTTGTATCTGGGGAGGATGATATGATAGACTTCCTGCAAGGTTACACCAACCTGCCTGAGGCTGCCCCTTTGCTCACTATCCTGGACATGTCATCACTGATGGAGTATGTGATGGACGTGGAAGAAGATCACCCCTGCCATTGTGGAGGCCTTTGTGAATAACTTCCTGGCAGAAAAGCTCAATCCAGAGCCCATCTAATGGAGCTCCGGCCTTCTGAGATGTTGTTTAGAATTCAGTCTTCTCCTCCCCTTTCTTCCCTCCACCCTTCGACTTATCCAGTGTGTCCTGAATCACACAACCCAAGTGTCCAACCTCTCTGTGGTGCCTTGCTTCTGCATTCACTACCCAGCTAGCATCCTGGGGTGAGTGTCCTCTCAGTAGCAGCAGAATCCACCATGTTTGGAGACTCTGCTTGGGATCACGAGATGGCATAGCCTAGCCAGAACAAGGACTGCATCACTTTCGCAAAGTCACCAGCTTTTGGTGAAAGATTTGCCAGGGCGTTCTTCCACAGAGTGAGCGTGAAGGACCAATGGATCAGGGCTCTTGCTCTGACTCTGGTATCAGCACGCACATACAGAGACCCTGACAGCCAGAGGAACTGCCTGGTGACAGCTACATGGAGGCGAAGCAGAGAAAGAGTCTTGATAGACCTCGGCTTAGAGCTGTTGGTGAGAAAGTCCTTTTCTAAGTGACATAGTTTCTTTTAGTCAGAGGGAAAAACAGCAGCTTATCAATGAGTTCTTGGACAAGAGTTTCTCAAATGTAAAAGGAAGCTTGTGGGGATTTTCAGGGTGAGAAAAACCATTTAGTGAAGGTACTAGTTCATATAATAATGGCTTACTGTTACTGAGCTCGCACCTCGTGATGAGAGCTTCTCATTCCTGTCTTATCTCTCTTTCTTCCTTGATCTTGACCTTCCCCAAGTTTCTGCCTGCTTATATGAACAGCTCCCACGATCTTGAAATTTTGTTAGCAAATTCTTCCCTTTGGATATCTATTCCCAAGAAACTCAGCCCTGAGGTTTTAGAGGAGCACCTCCTAGCCAGCACAGACCTCTCACTCCATCCAGCTCTGTGCCTGAGGCCGCTGGACCTCTGCCAAGGTGCCTGCACCCACTTTGGTTACCCTATGGTCATTCCCTTTTCTTTTCAAAGCAGAACTAAAAGGACAAGGAATTACCAGAAGCCTCACATTTTCTGCAGAAGGAACTGTATCCTAGGGTGGGAGTGAGGGCAGGGGGTGTGCCAGCCACGAGTAGGCATTGGATTCCCTTTGCCAGGCCCAGGCAGATCAACCTCTTATTTTGGTGAAAGATCTGCCAGGCAGTTCCTCTGGCTGTCAGGGTCTCTGTATGTGCGTGCTGATGCCAGAGTTAGAGAAAGAGCCCTGATCCATTGGCCCTTCATGCTCACTCTGCGGAAGAACGCCCTGGCAGGTCTTTCACCGAAAGCTAAAATAATAGTTCACCAAAAGAGAAGCAACAACTATGCTCTTAGGATTTGGGGTGGAGGGCTTTGGCCTAGGGACTCATAGGGCTTTGGCCTCACTTAATCAGGTGTCAAGGTCTTTAAACAATCCTGGAGATTACCCTCAACTCCACTCAGCACTCTGCCCATCCAAATCATTTATTTGGAAAACCCAGCCCCTCACAAGCTGTTGACATTGTTATACCCTGCCACATCGGATTATTGGTTTGTAGTTCAGAGGCACAAAATGAGTTGGTAATTAGATTGTTATTTGATGTTATCAGCCTGAAATGCAATCACCTAACAGGAAATAAAGCAGGCATCTTTGGACATTATCAACCAAAAGAAAAAAAAAAAGAGAGAATTAGTAGTGTCCAAGCTAAAGAGAACTTTCATTAACATTTAAGTAAAGGCTGAAGTACTAGGTTGGCTGTCAAAATTCAGAGGACAAGAGGAGAAAAACCCTCAGGGGTTTCCTAATTGGGGGTAAAGGAGGGTGTGCACAAGACTAGAGGCCTTCAAGGGTCTTTGGGTAAATAAGGGATCAAGAGAGAAAGAAATCTGGAAACTAGGAAGCAACTCAGGATCTTCCCTTTTGAGTCTGTCTTTTTGAAGGCTTAAGTGTGTAAGACTTTTTTCCTTGTATGGTGCTAGATAGCAATCTATAAAAATACAACCTCCATTCATCCTCAATGTGCTGGTTTTGAGATCTAGCTGTTATTTCAATGAAGGGACTTTATCATGTCCAGGGGTAGGGAAACTGGCAGGATAAGAAGTTTGAGATGAAAGGCATGTGACCATCTCCCTACATCACTGCAGCCATCCCTCTCCCAGACCCTTGAGTAGTGAGGATAGAGGTGACAGGATAGGCTCAGGATAGAGATGACAGGATGAACAAACCAGTGACAACAGATCATGGTCTTTCTGGAGAGGCAGTAGGATCCATTTCCTTTTTTTCTGATTGCCTGCTCCAAAAAATACCTTAGAGAAAAAGGGAAGCTGTATCACTTTGCCACCCCTGGGTAGTAGGGGAAAATTACTGTAAACTGATCATTTGAGAAATGCCAAAAATAAGTGAACATCGTCACAAAAATCACAAGCTTCCAACACAGCCTTTAGATGATTTTTTTATGGCAATTAAATATTTTGGGTTGGGCACAGTGGTGGCTCATGCCTGCAATCCCAGCACTTTGGGAGGCTGAAGTGGGAGAATTGCCTGAGCCCAGGAGTTGAAGACCAGCCTGGGTAACATGGGGAAACCCCATCTCTACAGAAAATTAATAAATTTTCTCCACATGGTGGCGTGTGCCTGTGTTCCCAGCTACTTGGGAGGCTGAGGCAGGAGGATTGCTTGAATCCAGGAGGTTGGGGCTGCAGTGAGTCATGCTCTCACCACTGCACTCCAGCCTAGGCAACAGAGTGAGACCTTGTCTCAAAAAAAAAAAAAAAAGTTAGAAAAAATAAATAATAAATAAATAAGTAAACATTTTGTATTAACATCATGCTGACCTTTTTCTCATTATTGATTATTTAGCTCCTTTTCCTTGAAAAACTATTTTGGTGAATTCTGTCATTCATATAAAAAAATTCTGAATGCTTAGTAGTAAGTAGTGCATGACTTTATTTTTTAATTTTCCCAGGAGTACATTTGGAATCACAGTATTTCAAGCTAGAAGAGAGGTTGGAGGTTGTATAGTGATAGCAAAGCCTTTTATATGAGGTAACAGAGGCCCTGAAAGTCAAGGATATTATCCAAGGAAATGCTGAGTCACACTTTCTTTTCAGACAATGACTTTCTGATCTGTGTGTTCATTTCCCATTTAAGAATAAATCTCTCATAAAAGGAGTAATATAATCAACTTGGGTTTCGAATCAATGAAACCACTAATATTCTTATATATTATTCCAAGTAGAAACATTTAATGTAATCATACTTGCTGTTGTGAAAACAAACTCTATTTCATTGTTTGTGTAACTTAAATTTCCTACATGACCCATCAAAAATGAATTAATTGGATTTGGCATGTGAAGCTTAGGAAGGATTTTAGAAAAGCTTTCTTATTATTCCCTGCTCATTTTCCACCTAAGAGTTTTTTTCTCAAACAGATGTACACATTTCACATGCAAACCACATGTAAATACATTTAATAGAATTCAGAGCAAGTTTAAAAACATTTCAAAGTGTTTCAAAGCAGACTCACTCCTAGTCTATATCAAATATCACCAATAATTCAATAACCCAGGAAAAGAAATGCCACCAAAAATCTGCAAATTGGAAGGAAAAAAGATGCCGACAAAAGTCATTGTTTTGGAAGCTCATAGTACCAGAAGAAAGCTGAGCAATTGGTTTAGCCCATCCTCTTGTCTTTAGGCAAAAGTGCCCTAAATAGTCTGTACAAAATGGTCAACGTTTTCCCAGGTAACCTACTTCAATGAACAGTATTTGACACCAATGACAGAGAAGAAACCTTTTTAAATACTCACTATAGCGCATATACTTGACACATTTACATTTCTGAACGAGTTTCTAAATGATACCTGCAAACTATATGTAAGAGAAACAGCAAGACAAGATCATCAACAAAAATACTAAAATGCAGCCATCGTCAAGTTGAAAATAATGTGTGCCATTCAGCTTAGGGTATGCTCAGAACAGCAGCTCAGCTGTGGAAATAGTCACAGTTGCAAATGACTTGATGGACGCAGAAATCATTTAGGACCATTAATAATATTTGAAACATTTAGGTCAACATTTCTCAAAAGTCATTAAAGCAAAGTTCTCAAAAACTAATACTTCTGTCAATCATGGTTATTATTTAACATATTATTCTGATTACTTATGTCTTCATTCTAACAAACTTGTTTTCAAATATGTTGAAAGCATGTCTAAAGTATAGTTCGTGTTGAATTGCTTTAGTACTCTTAATACATCTCTAAACCATTATATTATTTGCAAATAGATGCACTGTATTTGAATGAGAATTGTTATATAGATGTGTATGCTGGTGAACAGGGAAGGTATTAAAAACACTACAGAAGAATGTGGTAGGTTGCTTTTTAGAAATATTTTAGTAAATTTTTCAGAAAAAAGTATATAATTTAACTATTGAGCTAATTCGATTTCCTCTGTATTTTCTTAAACTCACTTGTTTTCATATTAATTTTTAAAAACAAATTTTATGTATTTTGTGATTTTATGTATTTTGATTCTGTGAGATCAAAGTATATTTGTAAGAGCTTGATTCTTGTGCCTGATCCTTCATGATAAATATAATCACTAGGAAGATAAGAGAGAGGAAAAAATGAGAACAGTAAATGCAGGCATTTTAAATTTATTAATGTTAACTTCAAATCCATGCTAAGGCTGAACATGTGTAATAAGAAATGAGAATAGTTGCAAGTATCAATTAAGTTGCAATTCTAAATTTCAAAAACTGAATTTGAATCATGCTGATCAACAGAATTAATGAAGGGCATGGGTGTGTGAACCAATTTGGCTTCAAGAAAAAGACTATATTTGCTTGGTGTTCTGATTTAAACTGTCTATTTCCTTTATATTTAACAACTATTAACAAGTTTATATGTTATCTGACAGAGTAACAGACTTACAAATGGAATATTATTACTTCAAGCAAGAGAAATTTGTTAGTGTGATACAATCATTTGATGAATTGAGGATGTATCAAAAACATAATTGCTCTGTTGTAACATTCATTTCCCTCAATTACACATTGGTGTGTCTTAATGGTAATGACAGATATAAAATTATGTCTGTTCACCACTTAAAACTAAGTTTTTATTGCTTCTTTGCTAAGCTTTTAATAGAGCCAAACACACTAATACATTGTGGGTGGCTCAGCTTAAGAGTGATCTCACAGTATATTTGTGTTAAACCCAGAGAAATATTGCAGTGTTAATCAACTCATAAAGATGATAACTAATTTACGTTGTAGAAATCTAAGGTGTAACCCCAATTATACTTTGTTTTCCTAATTTTTTCAGAGCTAGAACTATCAGGCAACATATAAATTTATCTCCTAGATTCCTGAACTAAGCTTTCCAGGGAGCTTTCTCAGCATCTGCCTCCATGCCCTCCCTGTTCATCCTTCGTTACTCTCTCAGGAATCCCTAGTCCATTTAGGGACATGATAACTAAGGAGAGAAAGCTAAGGATACCAAACTAGCTCAACATAAATTAAAGGTATAAACTATTACCTAAAGTGAAACTTTCTAGAGGCTGCAAAAAAAAAAAAAAAATCCACTGTCTTTACTGTATTAGATACATGAGGTCCTTAAATTAATTTGGGAGTGTTTGTATCAGATAAATTAGCTAACCTCCAACTTGCTCATTTATGTGGTGTTTCTTAAGACGGTGCAGCTTAAATGGAATGCTAGTTGTGCTTTAGTCTTTTCTTTCTCACATAGCATTAGGGAGAAAACTGTTTCAATATTTCCCTCCTTTTGCCTTGCTAAGAAAGCGTTGTCCATATGAAAATAGCTTTTTCTACATAGAAGCAAGAATATTAATTTTAAACATTTACAACTATTAAGGTTTAGAGATACGATTGCTTTTCAAAGGAGGAAAGAACACAAATATGTATTTTGGACTTGGTGTGATCTAATGATAGGTGATCTGCACATACTGTCGCATCTGATTCTTGTGACAATTCTCTGAGGCTGGCATTGTTATTATACTTACCTTTTACAAATGAGTAAACTGAAGATAGTAGAGTAGCCAATTGTCAGAGCAAATGCTGGCCTGTCTTTCAAGCCCAGTATTTTCCACCAACGTTAATGTTTCAGGTTTCTACATGAAGGTTCCTTTTCTTTCAATTCAGTCAGTAATTTCATCGCTTTTTGGAATTATTTCATTTTACAGTGATTTTTTTCTATACTCAGACTAAGTTTACAAAAGTGTTTTACATATTCATTTATTTATTCAAAAAGTATTTATTACATCATATCTATTTATTATATCTCGGATATGCCAGGCACTGTGTTAAATGTTAAGGAATTCAAGGAAATAGCCTCTTTTCTACCTGTAAGTTGCCTGTATTCTGGTAAAGAAGCCAAACATGTCCCCGGATCACTGCCGTGAGACTCCGTGAGGGCGGCCGAGCGCCTGTGTAGGAAGCTAGCTCTGGCGGAACAGTGTTTCAAGTATGTCCCTATTGGATTACTGATTCTGGGAAATTCTAACCCAGCTCCTGTGCATACTCCTAAACCTCAGACTTCTGCTCTTTCCCTCATAACCCATTTTCTGCTCTACAAACTGTTAGCTTCCTTTGCCAAGGAAAGGACAGTGGTCTAGACGTCAAGGAGCCAACATTGTGGTTAGAAATCAATCTCTGTTTCCCTGGCTTTGAATTACTATATGACTTCAGGCTTCCCATTTAACCTTTGCTGGCCGTGGTTATTTATTTGCACAATACAGGTAATAGCTACCTTATGAGTTGCTGTAGGGCTTCATTAGTTAATGTTTACAACATCTTTGAAAATATAGCATGAAAGCTACTAAGTAAGCGCAAATTATTATTATTATTATTAACATTATAATCATCATCAATCTATTTCGTATATAGCCAAAGGCTGTCTGCAAGAAGTGAATCATGATGGTTCTCTACAAGCCTGGCTCCATCTTCCAGGCTTGATTGCTAGATCCAAAGGCCCGAACCCAATGACAGGCATAGCAATTTAAATAAGTTATTTCTGTGCGTGTAAAAAGACAAATCATCTCACATTCCCACTTCTTGACTCTGTTGCTAGTTGCTCAACCTTCCTCCTGATCGTCATATAATCATCTCTGTGTATATAAAACATGTAGAAACTCTCCTAGCCAACTGACAATTATCTGGATCCCCTAGACAGCCCTGACATCTTATTCCTCTATTGTGTAAAGCAGGAAACTGAGACCACAGAAAGTGAGTCATAGATTTGAGTTCAAAGTTTGAATGAGCCCACTCTTTGTTTAGCAGTTGAGACTGCGCCTATATGCACAAGCATATTTGGAAAGAGAAACTTTACATTAAGCCACATAAATATCATTTTGATTATAGTTATTTAATAGCTGATTACTAAATAATTATTCAGCCTATTTAAATTTGCTGTTTCTAAGAGTGCTGATAATGACAAAAAGGCAGTTATTTTAAATAGGGAAAAATTCATTTTTAATAATGGATTTCTCTCTGCCTAAAAAAAGTCTCTTTTGCCCTTGTTTCCTGGTCTACTCTGACATATTTTTCATAACCCACATAAAACTTTTGCTCATTTTGGAAACTTCTGTAACTCCCTTTAGACTGTGGTGAATTTCCCTCCCTTGAATGTGTGATGCCTGATTATATGATTTATTTGGTAATTATTTATTTCTCTTTGGCATATCCCATTGTTTTCATTTGCAACTTTTCAAATATCTACACAGTATCTTCTTTTTACAATTAAATTACACAGCCTTTTGTGGGTAACACAGAAGGAGTGTTCATCTTTATAATCCCTGAGATGCTTAGGTTAGATTATTGGAAGTGGGATTCAATAAACATTTGTTTCTTCTTTTTTGTTCAAATATATTTGGGAGACCATTTTATATTGCCATTGAATATGATGGAAAGCTGCTACACCCTTTCCCTCTGATCCTGGGCACATAGGTAGACTACACTTCCCAGCCTCTCTTGCAGTTGAAGTGGGCCACGTGATTGAGTTTGGTCAATGTGAATGGTAGACATCATGCATGCCACTGCCTGAACTGGCCTATTAAAATATTCAGCACAATCCTCCCTGCCTGCACATGCTCTTTACTCACTAACAAGCTGAATGGAGAGAAAACCAAAACCCGAAACAAAACCCAAGGACTTAGAGAAAGGCAAAGTCACAGATAGAAAGATCCCAAGTCCATATGCCACCACTTGGAGAAGAGCTTTCCAAGAGAATTAAGTCACCAGGAAAATCCATGGACGTCTGTTGGGTGAGTAAGAAATAAGAAATAAAATAAATCACTGAAATTTGGGGATTGTTACAGAAGCATAAATTGACTTATAAAACATCTCACAATCATCTTATCCTTAATATATTCAAAATAGAATTCTTATTTCCTTTCTTCTGTATTCCTCAAATCCAGTGCTTCAGCAAGTCTTATCCAAACTCCCTTCAAAATGTATCTCAGTACCCATCAAATCATTCAATTTCTCTCTCTTTTTCTGCATCGTCAGCATGAGTTTGCTCCTGGGCTCTGTGATAGCCTTTAAACTGCTCCTGCTGCTTCCATTCTTACCCTTCTCTCTTCAATTTACCCTCTACACATCAACCAAAACCATTTTGAAAAAACACTACTTAAACCACACCATTCCCTTATTTTAAATCCTTCAATAGCTTATCATTGCATCAAGAACAAAATCCATACTCCTAACCTTGGCCTGCAAGATCCTGCACACTCTGGCCCCAGCCTAGCTCACCACCTTATCTCAGGCTCCTTTTCCAAAAGCCTGCAAAGTCTAGTCACTTGGAATTCTTTTAGCTTCTCTCACAATCTAAAATTTTATCTCCTCCAGGATGTTCACCTTGAAGGTTGTTCTCCTTTCTCTTCACATGGCCAGCTCCTGGCTACCTTTCATATCACTGATTAGACATCCCTTCTTCAGAGAAGTTCTCTCAGATCACCATATTTAAGAAAACTATCTACCTTTTTTTATCCTTTATTGCAATATCTTGATCTTTTCCATATTAGCAATTACCAGAATTTTAAATTATACTTTTATGCAGCAGATATGAACTTCAGGTCACATGTTGAGAAGTGTACATGTAGTCCTATTTCACATAAAAGGATGAAACTTCCTTTTCTGTACTATTTCAAGACCTCATTCCATTTGTTTATTGATTAGGACATAGGTTTCAGATGCTGTAACAACAAATAAAATGAAACAGTAGCTAAAATATCTTTGTTAAATGTACTGCATCTTCTATATTAAAAGTGTATTTCTTTCTCCCTTAACTGTCAGAGGGTAAGCAGTCCATGGCTGATAAAGGCAGTTTTGAAGTGTCAAGGAAGCAGGCTCTTTTTATGTGGTCAGTCTGTCATTCTTAACATGAAGCTTCCATACCTCGGTATAAGATGCAAGATTCACTGTAATTTAGTGTGGTGGTTAAGAGCAGTGCACGGTTGAGGTAAACAGCTGGGTCGAAAGCAGCTCTTAGATGTCAATTATCATGGCCAGTGAATGCCCTTATATAAACAAGGTCGTTAATTGTTTCTAAAGGAGGTAAGATTGTGAGAAGACATGCATCCTCTTTTGATAAAAGACATGGAAAAGGATGAAAAAATGAAGAGGCTAAGTATACAGCATTGTTTGAAAACCCAGTCTTTGTTTTATCCTTCTTGATTTGGATATATAGTAAACATATTTCAAATGCTCATAAAAAGTAAATGGTTACAAAAGAAATTAAGTTAGATGTGGTTTACTTTAAAGAAAATCTCAGGAAGTAATGTAGAGGAGGGTATACTTTCAAACTCATTTTATAAGTCTAGCAGTACTCTGATAGAAAAGCCAGACAAGGCCATTACTAGAAAAGAAAATTACAGGAGAGTATCTCTCATGAACATACATGTAGAAATCTTCAAGAAAATACTAGCAAACTGTATTGAATAGCACATTAAAAGGATCACGTATCATAATCAAGTGGGATTTATCCCACGGATGCAAGGACGGATCAATATACACAAATTAGTAAATGTGATACACCACATTAACAGAATGAAAGACAAACACTTGATGATCATCTCAACAGACACAGAAAATGCATTTGACAAAACTCAACATTGTTTCATGATAAAAGCTCTCAACAAATTAGGTATGGAAGGAATGTACCTCAATGCAATAATGGCCGTATATAACAAACGCACAGCTAACCTCATACTCAATGGGGAAAAGTTGAAAGGTTTTCTTCAACATCAGGAACAAGATAGGGATGCCCACTCTCACCACTTCTATTTAACATACTATTGGAAGTCCTAGCCAGAGCAATTAGGCAAGAGAAAGAAATAGAAGACATCTGAATTGAAAAGAAAAAAGCTAAATTGTCTGTGTTTACAGGTAACATGATTTTATATATAGAAAATCCTAAAGATGCCATCAGAAAGCCATTAAAACTAATAAAGTTTTAGACTACCAAATTGACATACAAAAATTAGTAGTATTTCCATACATAAAAATGAACTATCCAAAAAAATCAAGAAAACAATCCATTAACAAAAGTTACAAAAAATAATAAAATCTTAGCAATAAATTTCACCAAGGAGATGAAGGATTTGTACACTGAAAATTATAAAACAAAATAAATGAAGAATAAAAATGGAAGAAAATATAAATAAACAGGAAAATATCCCACATTCATGAATTGGAAGAATTAATATTGTTAAAATGCCCATACTATCCAAAACAATGTACAAAATTAAGGCAATTCTTATCAAAATTTGAATGATATTTTTCACAGAAATAGAAAAAAAAAACTAACATTCTAACGGAACCATAAAAAATACCTGAATAGCCAAAGTAATATTGAGCAAAAAGAACAAAGCTGGAGGCATCACACAACCTCACTTCAAAATATACTGCAAGGTTATTGTAATCAACACAGCATTGAACTGGCATAAAAATAGGCACATACACAAATGAAAGAAAAAAGAGAGCCAAGAAGTAAATTTATGAATTTGTAGTCAGTTAATTCTTGACAAGGTGCCAAGAATACACAATGGGGAAAGGGCAGTCTCCTCAATAAATGGTATTGGAGAAACTGGAGATCCACATGTAAAAGAATGAAATCGGATCCTTATCTCACACCATATACAAAAATTAACTCAAAATTGATTAAGACTTAAATATAAGACCCGAACCTGTAGAACTAGTAAAAGAAAACATAGGAGAAAAGCTCAATGACATTCATCTGGGCAATGTTTTGGATATGACCCCAAATGCACAGGAAACAAAAGTGGAAATAGACAAATGGGATTACCTCAAACTGAAAAGCTTCTGTACAATAAAAAATCAACAGAGTGAAGAGATAATCTACAGAATGGGAGAAAATATTTGCAATCCCTACATGTGATGAGGGGTTAATATCCAAAATATATAAGAAACTCCTACAACTCAATAGCAAGAAATTACATCACCTAATTTACAAATAAGGAGAGGATCTAAATAGACATTATTCCAACAAAGACACACAAATACTGAAGAGGTTCATGAAAAAATGCTCAATATTACTAATCATCAGAGAAATGCAAATTAAAACTATAAATCATAATAAGATATCACTTCACATTTGTTAGAATGGCTACTATGCAATGGACGATAATAAATGGTGAGGATGTGGAGAAATGGAAACCTTCACACACTGTTGGAGAAAATGCAAATTAATATAGCTATTATGGAAAACAGTATGGAGGTTCTTAAAAAAAATAAAAATAGAACTACCATATGATGTAGCAATCCCACTACTGGGTATACAGTTAAAGAAAATTAAATCAGGACATCTAAAAGATAACTACTTTCTCATATTCATTGCAGCATTATTCACAATAGCCACAATATGGAATGAACCTAAGTGTTCATCAGTGGATAAATGGATAAAGAAAATGTGGTATATATACACACAATGGAATACTATTTAGCCTTAACAAAGAAAGTAAATCTTGTCATTTGTGAAAACAAAGTTAAACCTGGAAGGCATTATGTTAAGTGAAATAAACCAGGCACAAAAGACAGAAAACACACACCACATGATCTCAGTTATATGCAGAATCTAAATAAGTCAACTGTGTAGAAGCAGAGAGTAGAATGTGGTTACCAGAGGCTGAAGTGAGAGTAAAGGAATGCTGATGAAGAGAGGTGGGGAACTAGAAATATGATGGTCAAAGGAGGCAAAATTTCAGTTAGCTTCAAGAGATTCATTGTACAACATGGTGACTATAGTTAATAAGAATGTATTGTATTCTTGAAAATCACTGAGGAAGTAGATTTTAATTATTCTCACTGCAAAAAAATGGGAAATATGTGAAGTAATGCATATGTTAATGAGGTTGATTTAGCCATTCCACAGTTTATAGATATTTCAAAACATCATGTTGCACCTGATAAATATATACTTTTTAAATTTGCCAATTCAAAAGAAATTGATTAAAGAAACAGGAAGTGATGAGAAAATTCAGAATAGATGTGGAATATGGAAAGAATCATTTGACAGAAGGAATAATTCTGAGCAATAAACAATAACTTATGATTACCTGGAAGCAAAGAATAACCTGGAAATAGAATTGGGCCTATGGCATCAACAATTCATCTGTGAAAGGAAAGACAAAAATTGTGACTGAAAGTCAGGTTGTTTTTGTTTGTTTGTTCGTTTGTTTGTTTTGAGACATAGTCTCACTCTGTTGCCCAGGCTGTAGGCACGATCTTGGCTTACTGCAACTTCTGCCTCCCAGGTTCAAGCAATTCTCCTGCCTCAGTCTCCCGAGTAGAGTAGCTAGGATTACAGGTGCCTACAACCACATCTGGCTAATTTTCGTATTTTTAGTAGAGACGGGGTTTCGCCATGTTGGCCAGACTGGTCTCGAGCTCCCTACCTCAGTGATCCACCCTCCTCGCCCTCCCAAAGTGCTGGGATTACAGGCGTGAGCCACCATGCCCGGCTGAAAGTCAGGTTTTATGTGTCTGGTGAGGAGACTAGCATCAAAGTCAGAAATAAAATGTTAATTGAAAAAAAGTTTGAATTTGAGAATTGTAAGAAATCAGCTCGTGGGGACTGGTGGCTGGACAAGGAGCATGCACACTGGTCAGTTGTCTAACATCCAATGCTTCAGAGTTGTTACATGTTTCAGATGCCTCTTGAGACCACAAGCCACAGCTGTGCAAGGTACAGAATGAACTTGCGGAGTTTTATTAAACCTTTGGGGAAATCAAAGGGGAAATCAAAGAGGAAATCATCTGCCTCAGTAATTTCCAAAGGAGATGAAGGGTCTACTTTAGAAAAAGTTAGCCAGTAGGCAATATGTGAGCAAGGAAGAAAGTATAGTAGGTTAAAAAGCTTTAATGTGCTGATATTCCAATTGAAGAGTGTAAAGCAATCATAATCCTTTCAGACATATGGACAAGAGGAGCCTCTCTTGTTGGATAAAAAGGCTTCTTTGATTGGGTATGACTGGAACATTGGGCATTTGTTGGTGAACACAGAGGGTGGTGGCTAAGAATTAGTAATGGAGCAGGATTAGAAGGAACCACAACATTTTTACTAAATCTCAGTGTGGCAGTTTGTGTGAATGGAATATCCACTAGATATCTATTATAATGTCTCGGTTTCTTTTCTAAGTTTCTTCCATTATTCCCATGTTTCATCTTTTTTTTTTTTTTTTAGAAATAAAACTTTTTTTTCAGAGGAAGAGTGCCATTTTCTTGTCAATAAAAAGAAAACTCTTCTTGAAACTCCCTAATATATTATCATTTAAAGTGAAATATAGAATAAGATGTTAACTATCTATTCTTTTTTAATTTATAAAGATCAAATTGCCAATTAAAAGTTCCTAAGCATTCAAACCTTAAATGTAAGCATTATTAGTTTATTAATAAAATTAATAGAATAGAGTTAATCTCCTAGTAGTTATCTGATCTCAGTTATTCATTACCTTCTACCACAAAAGGCTAAATACAGAATCTCCCTACTTTTATAGAAAAAAAATGATAAATGTTTCAGACCTCACATGAAGAACAGTTTTTGCTCTGGTTTTTAGGTATATTCCCACATTTAATGATAAAAACAGAAAGTGATTTAAGAACATTTTTCATGTGTGTCCAAAATGGAAGACAAAACATCCTCTTTATAAACGAGCCAGCAGTTATTGATGTCTGAAATGACCAGTTAATTCATGTAGATGTGTACAGGGGCTTTCACGTGTACATACACACAAACATATACTCAGTGAACATTCCAAAAGTTCAATATTGTTTTTATATGTGCAGTTTTATAAATGCAGTGTATTCTCACAGTAAGAGCTGCTTTTCCCATGGCTTCTGCATCCAAATTGGATCAATTCATCCATTTGATTCTTCCCAAAGGAGACAAAATGACCAAACAATACAGGTGCATATAATCATGTGTATTCTCTAGCAATGTGTGGAAAACAGGAGAAAACTCTGAAGTATTTATTACGTCAGCATTTTCCCAATACTGCAAATGCAATTCACAAAGTGGGAAATATCTAGGAGGGATTGGATATGTTTAAAGAAAATCCAGAGAGAGTTATTTCTTATTGGTGATTATCAGTTATCTTTCTCTGTTGAAAACTCAGATTATTTTTTAATACCCACTAAATTTACACATTTTGACTCTGAATTTAGTTGCTACTTTCAAAACAATTACTTTTGTAGGGGAGACAAAAATGTTCAACTTTCTGATCCCCTTTGCCACCCCACCCCACTCAGCTGTCATCACCACTGATAAATGAAGCTAGAAAGTGCAGATGTTTTAAAAGTGTCCCATCTTTTGACAAAGTAAAGTAAAATATTACATGATTATGTATCACAAAAGAGATTTTGTTTGTAATTACACAGCTCAAAGATAAGATGGTTTGTTCTGTTTTTGCTCCAAGTCTCTTATCTATATTGACATCCAATGTACAACTAAGAGAGTGAAAAGAACAAGCACCTTCCCAGGAGGATTTTTCTGAGAAGTTTTAATCAAAGATACAAAGGATAAAAGCAGATGCCAGATTCAAAAGAAATAAATAAGGGAGAGATGGCAGAATGTTCCGCAAACAAAATTGAGAACTGTAGTTATCTGAAGGCTACAATAAACTGGGTATAAAGGCAAAAATTAGCCCGCATTGTTCAAGGGAGAAAATAAATGCTTTGCAAACAGGCGGCATTCATTCAGTTATTCAGGAAGCTCGATGTCTGATTGGAGATTGTTTAGGTATTAGGCCACTTTTCCTTGAAATGATTCTAGCAGCTTTCAAGATGTGAGAGGAGATGATATATTATTTCTGTGTAGAGGCAACCTCTGATTTATTAGGAAGAGTATAGGTTGGGAAATTGACCACCCATGTTTTCTTCTCTATCTTCTTTTCCAGATGTATTTTGTGTTTATACTCTGTTGCTCTAGTGAATCACTATAATTTTGTGAATATTTACCCACGTAATAACATACAATGTTTATAAAATTTTTTTCCTTTAGAAAACTTAAAGCACCTTAGAGACCTTAAATGATAAATTTGCATCAAAATCTAATTAGGAAAGAAAGGTCTTTGCTAATCAATAATAACTTATTGAATTCTTTCTAGAAAAGCATTTTATTTTTTACTGAGTCTTACCTGCTTATTAGTATAGAACATTTTAATTTTATTCTATAAGTCAGAAAGTTAAAGAGTCACAGATATATTGAATGAGTTCAAGTAAGGCCAAGAGAGATCTGAAGTTTGGTCAGTTCGATTTTTGGCTACTCTTCAATGTAGCTGAAACCACAGTTATCACTGATACATTTGGTTGCATAATTCATTCTACTGAAGAATGTTTGTTTCTCCCATGCCACACAAGTAGAACTGGCTGGACTTTCCCAGACATGAGGGTGCTAAGGAGGTAATGTAGGCAGGGTCAAGGTCTAGGATAACATATTTCTACCAGGAAATGTGTCACAAGAACAAAGCTGGAAGCCTTATGAACTGCTCCTCAGAATTACTCTTCTTAAATTACAATTGGTATACTATTTTATTAAATATGTACCTGAGAGAAAGATATATACTGCTGATCTATATCTTCCTTTCATCATTCATACATAATTCATACATTCTACACTCATCTACATGAAAAAAAGTGGGTTTCTTATTTAGGTAAAAATGGATACTATCCCTAATATTACAGAAAGAACTCTTTTGAATTCTGGTGCCTAGAAATTGGAAAATACCTAAGCTTTAAATTTCTCATACATCTAGAACATTCTGGTAGAAGAGAAGTGGTCTGTATCATGTTAAACTCTTTTTCAACTTAGCTGACATCATTGGGTACTGTTTGATTTGCATATTCAACATATATTGGGAAGTTATTGAGCTAAATGAGGCAAGGAGGAAAGTTTGGGGTAAAATATGCCTTCCCTTGAGCAATATATGAACAAGTGTATTCTTGTAAGATTTGTTAACATAGGATACATTCTTTAGTATATTTGTAACTCACCTAAGGATCCTAACATTCAAGATGTCACTAAGTTATAAATATTTTCATGGCACATAAATAGACACATTTACAGTGTGTTATTTTATGTTTTCAGTAGATTTTTAATAAATGGCTGTGTGGGGATAGCTGTGGTTTAAAATGATAAATTAGGATTAAATAGAGAGTAACTCTCTGTCCCTCCCATCCCAATAAACCTGACTATATCTTGCTACACAGGTTGGTCTGCAAGTTTCATTTGAATGACAATTTATCTGTGTCTTAGTGAGACTCATTGCTTTAGATTCTAAACTTCAAGAGTGTCTGAGACATGTTGAAGCTTCTGTTACATCCCTAATACTTGCCTACGTGCCTGTCACATGGAAAGCTCCCAATAAATATTTATGGAAAAAAGAGAAGAGGGGAGAAAGTATGAAGAAGGAAGGAAGAAAGGGAAGGGGGAAGGTAGCAGGGAAGGAGGGAAGGATGGAAGTAAAGAAGGGAGGGAGGGAGGGAGGGAGGGAGGAAGGAAGGAAAAAAGGAGAGAAGAAAGGAGGGAGGGATTCTGTGTCATATGCACCAAACTGGGCACTGTTTGTGGCTCAAATAGTCATAGATCTCTTCCTGTGTTGTTGGTTTCTTGATTCTGTTATTAAGGTGACTAGAATGAACAATCTCTTACTAGGAACTCAGTCATCATTTTAAAGACTGGGTTCCAACAAATATCTATCTGTCTGGTTTAGTGTTGCATGCTTCATAAAAATTTTGGTGTTCAGAGCAATTGAATATTTTTGTTTTGCTATAGACCATTTTATTTTAATACTTTTTCTTAAAAAGGAATATATACTTTTTGTCTACTAAACACTACGTAACACTGAGTACCTTACATGTTCAGAGTAGCTTTATGTTTAAATCCTGGATTCAGTGAGAACAGTGCTTGCGTCATGTTGCCATGACACACATGTGCATAAAGGCAGTCCTGCTGACTAGAAGGATTTATGGGAAAGAATCTCATTGTGAAAAAAGTTAGAATAGTAGAAGGAGAGGGAATGTAAGATGTGCTGCTCTTCTTCTCTACTCTCTTGCTGCCACCACTGTAGGGTCCCGTCTTCTTATTCCCACCCCAGGAAGCTACTTACAGTTCTGTCAGCATAAAGGGTTAGATGAAAACTTGTGTCACTGTGAGTTATGCATTACTTGAGCACAGATACAGTAAGCACCCGCTGGACTCTTACTCACTGTGGGAGTTTGAATTGGTGCAGGCCACGTTCATGGTGTGCCAGGGAAGATCAGGTGGCTGACTGCTGAGTGGCTTCTTCAGGTGGCATTACTATTAGTGAATCTTTGTCAAGCAACTGGTCCTCAAATTTTCAATTTCAGAAGAGTGATCTCAAGAGATTTTCAGTTTAGTGGACTTAGGGACATTGACACATGCTAGCAAAACTTACGAGAGGATACTATATAAAACATTATCAATTATTAAACACAGTGAACAATGTGACTCCCACATGGCCAAAGGACCCTAATATGTAATATTATACTATGACATAATAGCACATTTTTTCTTTGCAGCCAGACCACATAGAAAGTCAAACTGCAATCAGAACTGTGCTTGAGTAACATGAACTAAGAAAAGGGGAAGTAGTGATATAATTTCAGGGGTTAAGACCACCCAACTAATTGTATCAGGCCTACCTATTTCCATAACATGAATGAATGAACAGATAGGAACACTACATAGATATATGTAGATACACACATATGTATTATACATACATATATAAAATACATATATAACACATATGTATTATATATACATATATATTATATACACACCTGTATAAACACATGTATGTATATGTAGACATAAATAGAAATAGAGATGATAGAGATAGGCAGATATAGATATAGGTAGATGTAGATAGATATAGATATAAATACAGATCTCTCCATACTATCAGAAGGAATCTATGGGTGAAGTAACCCTCCACTGAGTAGATATTTGAAAAATACTGGCAATCAGTAGCATACTTACACCTGGTTAAAGGGATTGGCTTTTGCCCTGGGTCTCACTCTTGAATGTCTTATTTATACTTGTAAAACCAGGAGCCTGTGAGGCCACCTGGAGCTTGGCTCCCTCACATTCCAGACAATGCTCTATGTATTAAAAACTCTAAAATTTCCTGCGTAATTGGTCCTGAGCCTACTTGGATCTGCAAGGGCCTCTTGCTCAGGTCTATCCTCCTTGAGATGGTTTTTGTCAACTTTACACCTACTACTAGATCAAAAGTTGGTCAGGAAGGGAACAGAGCCTAGAAATGTGGACTCGGGGATACACATGGATATATGTGAGGCCCCTCTTGATGCAGCTGGAGCAACTGTGGGAAGAAAAGGGGTTGTGCGTTGAGCCATGAGTTCAGGACTAGGAAGGCAGGAGCTGGGTATCTTATGCTGCCATGATCTGGCACAAAGCTTCCAGGAGTCCTAGAAGTCCCAACATTTTAAATTCATATCTGTCCTTTTGGGTCCTTATGAAGGTATATTTTGTGAAGTAGAAGGTAGAAGATATTTTATTACAAGCGTGTTAACTTATTTATCTGGCACAGGGTCCTGCAGATGTCATCTTAAGCCCTTTTGAACCTTACCCCCTTCTTTCCTTAGTAAGCACATCAAAACTTTTATTCTTTGATCATATCTAACTATTAAACTATTCTTGTCTGTTTTAGTTCCTGCTTTACCCCAGTTCCTAGAGTAGTATCTGACACCTAATAGAGGCTCAGTAAATATCTATCAATATCAAATTGGGACTGTGATGATTTACCATTGAAACTCTTGCACAATTGCCCTTGTTTGGTGAGAGGAATGAGCAGAAGCACTGTCTTGATGGAGAAGGACTCTCGGGAGAAACTTTCCTGGGCATTCTTCTGCTAAAGCTTTGACCAGCTTTTTCGAAACACTATCATAATAAGCATGTGTGATTGTTCTTTGGCCCTCCCAAAAGTCTAGAAGCAAAATGCTTTGAACATCCCCAAAAAACCGTTGCCATGAACTTTGCTCTTCACCGATCCACTCATGCTTTGACTGGACCGCTTCCACCTCTTAGTAGCCATTGCTTTGGTGATGCTTTCTCTTCAAGATTTTACTGGTAAAGCCATGTTTTAGCTCCTGTTGCAATATTTTGGAGAAATGCATCAGGATCTTGATCTCACTTACTTAAAATTTCCATTGAAATGCTCTTGTCTGCAGCTGATGTGGATGCAATGGTTTGGGCACCCATCAGGTGGAAAATTTGCTTAACTTTCATTTTTCAGTTGAAATTGTGTAAGCCTAACTAATCGAGATATCTATGGTGTCAGCTATTGTTTGTGCTGTTAATCCTCATTTCTCTTCAATCAGGGCAAGAACAAGATTAATTTTTTTCCATGCAAATTGGATGGTCTTCTGCTGAGGGCTTCATCTTCAACATCATCTCATCCCTTCTTAAATTGCTGATTATTTGCAAACTGATGATTATTTGGAGCATTTTCCCCATAAATTTGTTGTAAAACATCAATAATTTCATCATTTTCTCATTCCAGCTTCACCATAAATTTGATGAATTCATGTCGCTCTTACAAGGGATCTTTTCAAACTAATGTCTTATCCTTCCTCACGCCTCAAACTAGACTCTGCTCAGATATGTTATAACAAATCAATATGAGTTTATTTGGGTGTAAAAAAAGTTTTGAAGTCTATGCATAGTTTTTTTCTTTTTGTTTGTTTTGTTTTGTTTTGCTTGTACTGATTTATTTTTTATTTGGGCTCATCTTTACAGAGCACACACATAGTTTTTCATAATATGCATTTTTCTATGAACTTCTTAAAGACCCTTCCTATCATTTCAAGGAGACTTGATTATTATAATTGAGTTATCAGATTCAACTTATATAGTGACAAACTACTCATGATCTTTGCATTTTACAAGTAAATGTTAGATCAAGATGCTATCTTGATCTGTTCCCTGGTTAGTTAGCAATTGTTTTCTTGGGCAGTTTCTTGTTTGTTTTATTGAGGAAGGAGAGATGTTTTCCCTCAAGTTTGATGAATTTGAAAGAGATCCCATGAATAATAACAGACTCTAGATAGAGACTGAGGAAAGGAGTCTCCACTCATCTCACCCAAATAAAGTGTATGAAACCTTGTAAGATCAGAGTCTGTGAATTTCCAGATGGTTCTTGCCATGGCTTCCTGTAAAAACTGATGGACAGGCAAACACTAAAATGCTGTACTGAAAGAACTATGCCACATCTGGCAATATGAATGAATAGTAGTGTATAACCAGATCGTGGATGTAGACAGAGAGATATAATTCACCAGGAATTGAGAAACTGAATATGTACATCACCTATCTAAGGCCAGTTATGTACCAGGGAGATTATCTGGACAAATTAGCCTCTTTTAATTACAGAATAATATTTACTTCTCTTTCTATTGTAAGTCATTTTCTGTCTCCTTTAGATGTTATTTAGAGTTGGAGTAGGAAAGGGGATTGTAGGTGAAAAGGAGCCAGAGTTATGGCCTTCTTCTGTTTAACTTCTTGCCACCTTCCTTAAATACTTTTTATGTGAAATAGTGAGTTTCAACTTATTTTAGACTTTGTCAATGGTTGTATTCCAAATGTTCTTTTATCTTTTAAAATGTTACTCTGATATTAAACATGTTCCAGATGAATCTGACAAATTCTAAATAGTACGTGATACTTAATTCATAGTGTGGAAGCAAAATAAAATTTGTTCTTTAATTAAACTTGGTTAAAGAGCTAGAGTCAGACATTCACTCAAATATGGACAATCTTTTAAGAATCATGGTTGTCAGAATAATGAATAACTGTGAGATTCATCCTTACTGTGTATGAAACAATAGTTCATTCATTCTCATTCAATTATGTGAATATACCACGATTTATTTATCCATTCTACTGTTGATGGACATTTGGATATTTTCAATGTAGGGCCATTATGAATAGTGGCACTATGAACATTCTTAAGCTTACCTTTTAGTGGACTTCAGTACATATTTAGGTTTGGCATATACCTAGGAAAGGGTGAGATGTCTGGGTCTTAGGTTTAATTTATGTTCATCTTTAGTAGATAATAAATAATTTTCCAAAACTTTTGTAATAATATTACTCCCACAAAGAGTATGCGACAATAAAAGAATCTAGGCATAAATGAGTACATTATATTGTATGATTTCATTTTATATAAAGTTTGAATCCAGGGAAAACTAATTGATGGTGAAATAATTCAGAAGAGTGGTTACTTTCAGGGATATACTGACTGAGAGGCGTCCTGGGAGGAATTTCTAGATGCTATTAACTATCGGTTTCTTGGTAGTTACAAGAGGGAGTTCATACTTTTGATCTTTTGTCAAGCTGTACACTTATGATTTGTGAAAAATTCTGTATGCATGTTATACATCAATAAAAACTTATTTAAAAATGTTTTTTACTAAAAGAACTGCTTTGCTGGGGAAAGGAAACTCATCCTCATTGGAGTTATTTTAAGCATAGGATAGACAAGCAGTTGGTAGGAAACTTAAACATTTTGCAGAAAATTGGATGAAATAATTTTTGATCCTCTTTTTACCCTTAGATTGTCATTTTCTGATGCTAGGCTAAAGTTTCATATTATTTTCAATTAATCATTCTTCAAAACCATCCACAATTCTGACCAATTTCATCTAAAGGCAAACAGTGTTCCAGGAGCTGAACTTTCAGCTTTTTTGTTTTTGTTGTTCTAATTGATACACAGTGTCCTTAGGTTTTATGGAATTTCACTTGAGTTTTTTTGGTACATCTGCTGTGGGTCTTCTGTCAGAGTGTTCTCAGCAGCAGAACAACTACAGCACTGTTCACACTTCATGTGCATGCTCCTTCCCCTCATTTTCCAAGTGGTGCCAACTTTTCAATGTGTTGGGGCTGCTGTTGACATGTTATTTGCTATTTCAGTCCTTTTGGGTCTTGTGCATGTGAAGGGCATACTAATTGCAATAAAAAACAAATGAAAAGCAAAATAGGAAAGTAGATGGAGTACAAATGTAGGTCGAAAAAAAAATATTTCCTAGATAATGAAGCTAGAAGTAATTGGATGGAGGAAGCCAGGTAGAGAATTCAAAGCACTATGCAATAGAAGGACCCTAAAGTGAGAACAAATTGTCACGGATGATGGTTCTCAAGAGGTCTTGGGAAACTACAAACATGGAGCACCACTAATTTTAAAGTCTTCATTAGAAGATACTAAGAAAAACTAAAATGTAAATAGTCTTTAGCAAAAACAAAGCAACACAAAGAGTCCAGGAGAATTCCTGAAGATTGAACCAGATGAAAAGCCAATGTACACTTTTACATGCAATTTGAGGCTGGTGATATCACTTTAAAAGATAGCATGCATTTCATCGGCTGTCAGTGAATACCTGGAACACAGATTTTGTTTACAAATACTGTTGATTAATTCTGTCTTTGTCTTCTATGAGGCCTTTCTATATCCATGCAGTTGTCCATCCTTTTTTCTTACATGGATTTCTGTCGTTTGCAACAAAAAAGTGCTAGCATTCAAATTGGCAATTGTTGTAAAACAAAACAAGGCAAACCAAAACACCTTAGAAAAAAATATAGAACTGACTCATGAGTGCTGGAAGCAGAGAGTATTTGACCATTCCAGAATGAAAGGTTGTAACTTGTGGATAACAATTACTTAGTTTCTCTCTTTGCATTAGAAATTGTGCCATTTGCGTCTGAAAGTTTAAGAATTTGGTAGTACGTTGTTAGATTATTAGAAATCACTGAGTATTTCTGGTGACCTCCATTGACATATTTCAAAGGGCAAGAAGTTTCTGTCTGAGATTTATTTGTTTAAAAGTAGAATCAAAATAACAGGATAAGTACATGACTTTGTTGAAGGAAAATCTAAAACCAATGATCAAAAATCATTGGCCCTTCGAGCTGCAAATTTTTTTTTTTTGAGACAGAGTCTTGCTCTGTCACCCAGCCTGGAGTGCAATGGCAGGATCTTGGCTCACTGCAACCTCCATCTCCCGGGTTCAAGCGATTCTCCTGCCTCAGCCTCCCAAGTAACTTGGATTACAGGTGCCCACCACCATGCACAGCAAATTTTTTTGTATTTTTAGTAGAGACAAGGTTTCACCGTGTTTGCCAGGCTGGTTTCGAACTCCTGACCTCAAGTGATCCACCCACTTGGGCCTCCCAAAGTGCTGGGATTACAGGGGTGAGTCACCACCCCTGGCTGAGCTGCAAAATTAATACAATGTTTTCTAATAGACCCTGCTTCTGATACTGAAGATAACAAATTTTCATTTGAAATGGAGATACCACAAAGAGGTGAATCAGACAACTACAATTTCACATTGTATTTTTCCTCTTATCCCACAAAGCACTTCTTGCTAATAACTATCATATATAGTTGTGATTAGAAATTAACCTTGGTGTAAGATTATTCTAGTTCTGTGTTGTCTAACATGGTTGTCATTAGCCACATGTGGCTATGTGAATTAAAATTAATTAAGATTAAAATTCAGTTCCAGCCACATTTCAAGAGCTCAGTAGCTACATGTGCTGTATGTGTCTAGTCCCTATCATACTGAATAGCACAGAATCCAATAATTTCTACCATTGCAGGAAATTTTATTGGTCAGCTGTGATTTAGTACAATATCACATATGAGGAAAAAATTCTAGCTGCCTCATTCTAGCTTATTGTGTTTTATCTATTCATCAAGGCTGATGACTTCAAGCAGATATTAGGGGAATGAACAATCTTTGGGGATTGTACTTCAGTCCTTATTTGACCACTGGATTTTCTATGTTGCTAATTAGCAAAGAGCATCTACAACAATGACATTGAGCAGCAGCTACTTACGTTTTTATGGTAGTTGTATGAAAAGGATTTTTAGTACTAGAAAAGTTGGCCATGTTTCTCAGCCTCTCAGGCAATTCACAGTCACCAAAATCAGCACCAAGGGAATTGAACAACTAACTTAGGACAACCCAAGAGGGTTCTACAATGCCACTTTCATGGCTAGTCCTAAAAAAGACAGGAGGAAGTTTCCCAGGAGACAGATCTCAGGAGTCCATATTCACCAATTGTGAGGCTTAATCAATTGTCAAGAAGTTAATCACCCATCCAATGCCCATCTTGCTATTACCATCTAGAAGTGCCCAAAGTCTGGTGTATTCACATTTCTAATTTTCAAAATGAGTATTTTTACTGATGCTATTTTTGTTTTTCCTCAACCATTAAATACTGGGCTTCATTAGGGGAAGAGAGAGTGCCAAGTGTATTGGTTAGTATTTTAGTCCATTTTCTGCTGCTATAACAGAATACCACAGAATAACAGGGTAATTTATAAACAATACAAGTTCATTTGGTTCACATTTCTGGAGACGGAAAGTCAAGAGCATGGTACTGGTATATGGCAAAGTCATCCCATGACAGAAGGGTGGAAGGCAGAAATGAGCCCAAGAGACAGAGAGAGGAGCTCTAGCCAAACTCACCATTTTCATCAGAAACACACTCCTATAATAACTAACCCACTCTGCTATAACAGCATTAATTTATTCATAAGAGTGAAGCCCTCATGGTGTAAATAACCTCTTAAAGTACCCTCCTCATAATACTGTTACAGTGGCAAGTAAATTTCAACATGGGTTTTGGTGGGGACATTCAAACCATAGCATTCCATCCCTGGAACTCTGAAACATATGTCCTTCTTATATACAAAGTACATTCATTCCATTAAAATAATTCCAAAAGTCTTAACTCATTCTAGCATCAACTCAAAGTCCAAAGTCCTGAGTTTTATCTTAATCAGATATGGGTGAGACTCAAAGCACAATCCTTCCCAAGGCAAATTCTCCAGTTGTGAGCCTGTAAAATCAAAACAAATTATTTATTTTTAAAATACAATGGTCATGCCATGGGAGAAGGATGGACAGTGGAAGTGAGCACACAAGACGGAGAGGGGAATCAGGGTGAACTCAGCCTTCTTGTTAGAAGCCCATGCCCATTATAACAGCATAAGATAGACATTCGCATTTCAAAAGGGAAAAATAAGCAAGAAGAAAGCAGTAACTGGTCCCAAGTATGTCCAAAATTCAACGGTACAGACCACATTAAATTTTAAGGCCACGGAATAATTGTTTATTCCATGTGTCACCTCTTGTACACACTGGGGGTTTACAGGCCCAAAGTGCTGGGTAGCACCACACCTATGCCTCTGCTGGGCTCTGTCCATGCTTCAGCTCTCTTGGGTTGAAGTTGCATGCACGTGATCCTACAGTTCTGGGATCTTTGGGTCTGCCCCATTCCCATGGCTTCACTGGGCATTGACCTAGTAGGGTTTATCTGCAGTGTTACATCCACATGGTAGATTTCTTCCTGAGTTTCCAGGAATTCCACAGCATTATTCGAAATCTAGGTGAAGGCAGTCATGCCCCCACAGCTCTTGCATTCTGCACGCCTGCAAAACTTGCGTCATGTGGATGTCACAAAGGCTTACTGCTTGTACCCTCCAGATAATTGGATCAAGCCACATCTGGGTCCACTTCAGCTGTGGCTGGGGTGCCCAAAAAGTACAGCACCAGCATGTAGACAGCAGAGACCCAAGGTGCCTCTGGACAGCAAGCCAATGGAAGGCACCCCGGGCCTGCTCCCTGAAACCCTTCTGCCCTCCTAGAGCTCTGGGTCTGTGATGCAAGGGGCAGCCTTGAAGATCTTTGAAATGCCTTTGGGGTCTTTCTCCCATTTTCTTGATTAATAGTACCTGGTTTCCTTCTATCCATGGTAATCTCTTTAGCAATCAGTTGTTTGGCCACATCATCAGTATTCTCTTTTTCACTCTACATGGCCAGCCTGTGAATTTTCCAAATCTTTCAGCTCTGCTTCCTCTTTAATTACAAATTTCATTTTTAAGTCATCTCTTTGCTCTTGCATCTCACTGTATGCAGTTAAAAGTAGCCATGTAGGCCAGGCGTGGTGGCTAACGCCTGTAATCCCAACACTTTGGGAGGCCGAGGCGGGCTGATCACCTGAGGTCAGGAGTTCGAGACCAGCCTGGCCAACATGGTGAAACCCCTCTCTACTAAAAAAATACAAAAATTAGCTGGGCATGGTGGCAGGTGCCTGTAATCCCAGCAACTCAGGAGGTGAGGCAGGAGAATTGCTTGACCCCGGAAGGCAGAGGTTGCAGTGAGCTGAGATTATGCCACTGCACTCCAGCCTGAGTGACAGAGCAATACTCCATCTCAAAAACAAAACAAAACAAAACAAAACAAAACAAAACAAAACAAAAACAAAAAAAAGTAGCCATGTAGCCACATGAATGCTTGGCTGCTTAAACAGTTCTTCCACGAGATATCCTAGTTCATCATTCTTAAGTTCCACATTTTATAAAACTCTCAGACATGGACACATTTCAGCCAAGGTCTTTGCTACCGTATAAAAAAAATTGCCTTTACTCCAGGTTCCAATACCTTGTTCCTCATGTCCATCTGAGACCTCATCAGGATGGGCTTTACTGTCCATATTTCTACCAAAATTCTGCTCATGACTACTTACCTACTCTCCAAGAGGGTTCAGACTTTTACCACAGCTCTCCTCTTCATTGGGCTGTCCTGTCACCAGAATTATCCTTAATTCTTTGCACATGACAATTCGGGCTTTTTCTAATCTTTTCTTCCAAACTTCTCTAGCCTCTACCTATTACCCAGTTCCAAAGCCACTTCCACATTTTCAGATATTTGTTATAGCAATAGCCCTACTTCTGGCTACCAATTTTCTGTATTAGTTTTTTTTATTTCTGTTATTATAACAGAATATCACAGATTGAGCAATTTATAAACAGCAGAAGTTTATTTAGCTCACAGTTCTGGAGACTGGGCAGTCCAAGAGTATGGTGCTGGCATATGGTGAGGGTCATGCCATGGGAGAGGGATGGACAGTGGAAGTGACCATACAAGATGGAGAGGGGAATCCGGCTGAACTCAGCCTTCTTATTAGAAGCCCATGACCATTATAGCAGCATTAATCCATTAGTAAGGGCAAAGCCCTTATGACCTAATCATCTCTTAAAGTACCCACCTTTTAATATTGTTACAATGACAATTAAATCTCAACATGAGTTTTTGTGGGGATATTCAAATTAAAGCTGTTAATCCATATATTTTATTCTCCTCAAGAGTCATATCTGGATCTGACTGAGCCATGTAGAAAAGGAATCCTGGGTCGCTGAACTTAGAATGATCATATTGGTTCTGCAACATTAACCAGATGCAATACTGAGTTGTTACCTTTTAAGTTAGTAGTTTGTGGGGTATGAGATGGAGCAAATGAATCACATTAAGCAAGGGCTCATTAGGAATTCTATACGAAAAAGAGGAAATGCATGTGTTAGGAGCAGCCATAGGATGGAATATATAGTGGAAAACTTTTTGGCTGTGGCTAATTCCAGATTTTTTAAAAACATCTCTTTCAGCCTGATACATATTTTTGGTTTTATACAACATGATCCCAAACACCTGACCCAAATGGATTGAACCAGAGGCAAGTACTTATTCCAAGGCTTTTGCCAGACTCGATTCTATGGCCAGAGCTGTCAGTCTATGGATAAACACCTGATTTGGGCATAATGAAGTGGAGTACGAAAGTCGAGAATGTGATCAGTTCTCCAGAGAAAAGAACATTGAATTAGAAGCAAGTCACAAATCTCTGACTTCTACTCAAAATTTGTAAGTGTATTCAGCCTGGGACAAGTCACTTTATCTCTCCGGACCTAATTCTCTTTATATGTAAAAATGGGGGTTTCATGCTGAAATATGCATTTCTAGGGTCTTTTCTATGGAATGTTAATGATCATCATGAAAGGGAAAAAAGGAAAAACTTTGTTAGATATGTGTTTACTAAAGTTTCTTTGTAATAAGACTTCTCAAAGCATTTAATATAATATTGTGCATCGTAAATCTTCTAGAAAGACTTAAATATACAATATTTCTTTCTTTTATCTCAGACCATTGTTCCCACTAAGCCTCTCACAGTTCCATGTTTCCATGGAACACATTTTGAGAAATGTTGGATAAGATCTTTTCTGGGATCCTCTGCTGCTCCAAAATACCATGGATTTCATATACCAACATCCACTGACTTATCACACAGCCAATGAGGAAGAAAGCATTTAATATTGGACCGGCACCATTCAAAAACAGCCCCTTATTTCAGTTGGAAATCTTGTGAGGCACCTGGATCTATTGCTTGTACAGTGCCAAGCAGGCAGCTTGACTGAATTTTTGTTCACATCAGGCAAGCCTGTTGGCATTGAGTAGATACGGAGAGTGTGCATTCCTGGGCTCCTTTTCCATTAGCCACGCAGCAGCTGCAGTCCATGGCTGAACTGTTCTTCATCTTAAGTGGGCATGTGTCCAGCAGCATTGAAGAATATAGAAAGGAAAGAGAGGAGAGATGTATTCCCTATTATAATTTGAAGGACAGTAAACTATTGCCTTATCCTTAACTAAACGAATCCTAGAGTGTATACCCAGGATTTCAATATTTGAAGACATTTGAAAGGCCATCTCATCCAGCTACTAAATGGATATTCCACATCTTATTGCCACTGTGTTAGATATTTGTGTTGATAAGAAACACATTAATTACAAAACAAACTAATGCACCCATAGATATCTAATAGGCAGAAAAGTCTCCTTTTGTTTTGGGTTAAAATGTGACTCCCTACAGATTTCATTTGTTGGTTTAGTTCTTCCCTATGGGGTCATTTGGAATGAGCCTAATCCCCTAATCACATGATAGCCCTGAAAATCAGAAGTCAAGTCACCCTGTAGTTGTAAAGATCACATAAAATTATGCCAGTCAAACTGCTTTGAAAATGTTCAATGGCATAACAGACAAATAGAGAATATGATGGTTAGCATACATTGCAACCTTTTTTTCTTCAGTTCTCAAAGTTCTGTACACAATTCTTGCCTAGGTCACTGGAACACTTAATATTAAAAGGATACCTACATAGTGAAAGTATGCAATATATGTAACATAATGCTTTGTTAACGTATGAGTACATGTTATAATTGACATTGAGCACTTACATAGAAATCCTCAAATCTATATACAACAGCTGAATTAAAACCATACACTGACAGGGAGTTACTGTCTGAAGGTGAACCATATAATGAATTCTGTAATGGTCAGTCGGTGAGGCACTCAGAGGAGGGGCCCAGCCAGGGATTTGATCTAGGGCACCGTTTGATCTGTGGCCAACTTGGTCACAGATATCTATTACAGCACATTCTATGAGATATGCATATCATTAACTTAGTAACATAATATTTTGTCTCTATGGTGTTTTGTTTTTTTAAGTGTATAAATGTAGCTAACATGTGTTTCTGCCAGTGAGAAAGATTTCTTTAGGTGAATCACCATAAAACTTGGGGGGGAGTAAAGAGCTTTCAAATGTTGTCACTACAGACACTAAATATGCATTAATCAATTCTTTTGAAGTTTTCCATGAATCATTTTATACCCTAAACCCTACGGTACTTTAAAAAAACCTTTAAATTCCTATAGTTACATTGAAGAGTTGCTCATTTAACTCAATCTCTTCTCAAGACCTAAAATGCCAGCAACATAGCAAACATTTTAAAAATCTTAGGTTTAACAGGTTTTGTTATTCCTTCTGTTCAGATGATAATTCAGTATATTTTGAGACTGTTGTGAGAAAAACTTAGATGAAATACTTCTTTTTTCTATTTTGATCATTTTAAGGGATCATTTTTATTAAATTACTTGTTTTATCTCAGAAAATGGGTATATTATTTAACGAATTGACCTCAAACTATCTTGCCTTTCCTAGGACAAATTTTCACTAATGCCATATCAGAAGTAAGTGATTAATTACTCTTTGTGCTAAGAAAGCCACATAACTTCCAGCAAATACTCTGAAAACAAAAATCTTGCAACCTCTTTAGCCTTCTTAATTTTTTTCTCAGAAATTGAATTTTGTTTAATTTGTTTGTTGAAATAGGACTGAAAACACCACCTAAAATACTATGAGTGATCTGGAAATTTATATATGTAGAACAACATGTATCTAAGTAAATTAAATAGGCCTCTATCATTATCTAGTAAAATTTTCTACCCAATGTAGGAATATAGAGGATTCCTAAAAGGTAAATATTCAATTTTGGTTTCTTCCATTCATCTGTTAAGTTGATGGCAGATAGATAGATAGATAGATAGATAGATAGATAGATAATAGGTAGATTCTGACAGGAAACACAGGTCTCTTAATCAGAGGACAGACTGTTACAGAGCATCTTAGCATAGGTTTTCCAATCCGCCATGGGCAACAAATTGAGAGAAAATGTTCACTTGAGCATTTATCAGGGTTGGACCATAAGAGAGGAGCTCAGAAATTATGAGATTCAAAGTTTATACAGAGTGCCTGGCATATGGGTCTAACCTCCCTTCCAGAAAAAGAAAGTCCTTCACTCTGGACTGTAAACAAATATTCCCGGGTGGGGTGGAGGGAGGAAGTTTCTTACTACCTTGGAATGTAAACAAGTGGCTCCAGGGTAGATGTTTTTAAAACTTGTACAATACAAATCATCTCTTCCTTCCAAGACATGTTTTCTATTCAGTCATCCTTGAACCAAGTTCACCAGTGTTTTTGCTCACAAAGCCTGGACCATACAGAAACATGGAAATATTCATGGAGTTCCAAACGCTGTCTATCCATTCATTTATCCAAAGTCTCTTGAGCTCTTTATAGATCTTCTTCTACATGTACACATATTACACATATTTAAAGTATAAAAAGGTATAAAACCTGCCCATTGTCCTTGGATATCCACAATATACAGTTTGCATACCTGCAGTGGCAGGGGGTTTACTGCTTCACAACGCAATTCATTATATTTTTGAAATGTTCACATTGCTAACAAATTGTGTCTTACATTATACTTAAGTCTGATTCTATGTAATTTTAACTTTTTATTGATTCATTTTAGACCCTCTAGAATAACTTGAAAGAATCAAATGCTAGTATAATTGATAGATTTTAAAATAAATTTTATTTAACTGTTTCTTATTAAAAATAATTTCTGAACATCTCACCATCCTGATTATTTACATGATATATGCTCTGGTTTGCCAATGATCCACTTAAAATACGTTTCTTAAAAAATATTCTAGGTCAGGCTCGGTGGCTGATGCCTGTAATCCCAGCACTTTGGGAGGCCGAGGTGGGCGGATCACAAGGTTAGGAGTTCGAGACCAGCCTGGCCAACATGGTGAAACCCCATCTCCACTAAAAATACAAAAATTAGCTAGGCGTGGTGGCGGGCGCCTGTAGTCCCAGCTACTCGGGAGGCTGAGGCTGGAGAATCACTTGAATCCGGGAGGCAGAGGTTACAGTGAGCTGAGATCACACCACTGCACTCCAGCCTGGGCAACAAGAGCAAAACTCTGTCTCAAACAAACAAACAAATATATATATATATATATATTCTAGATATTTTTTACCAGTCCAGGATGCAGAATGAAATGATTATTTCCTTTTATCTGTATGTGACCTATCTTGGCAGCCTATCACACTGTTTAATTGCCTTTAAAACTGTCTTTTCTATATCTAAATAAGTTATTTATGAGGAATCTTGGCTTAGTACATAAATATTGCTTGATAGTAACCATTGTAAAATAGTAAAAATTACTATTAGAGATTTTATTCTGCTAAAGTTACTATTAATTATATGCACCATAATTCAAATAATGCTTTGCACTTTCTCATTAGTTCATCTGTTGAATAGCAGGTTGCTTATAAATGTCGATTGATCCAACTTAATTTTGTGCCTGCAATAACTGGACAAATTTCATAAGATAACTCTATTTAATATATTCATAGTTAACAATAATGTGTGTTTTTTAAAAATAAGTATTTTAATTTATCCTGTCTATATTTAGTCTGACTTTATGAATAGACACCATAATAATTTTAACTTGAACGTAATTTCTACTCATAGTAGAAATACAAGATCTACTTAAAGTGAATTGAATACAAAAATTACTCTGAGGTTATAAAAAAATACTTTAAACCCATTAGGACAAAAATTTAGAAATCATTCAAAAACAAGTATTTATAAAGTACTTGTATGTTCAACATATTCTTTTGGGCAACAAGGATTAGACAAAATTATCTGGAAATGTAGACAAAATCCTTATGGAGCTGGCCTTTGTGGAGAAGAGACAGAGTATAAACAAGACAAAGTAAATAAAGTTTGTTGTATGTTAGATAATGATAAGTGCTAAGGGATAAAACTAATGCAGAGAAGAGAGACAGAAGGGTGAAAAGGTTGAGGGAGTTTGAAATTTAAGTAGATTTAAAGGTGTTCAGGAATCTGTCATCCTAATGTTGACCTTAATTTCAAATTCCATATCCCTTTAAAATTAAAGAAAGCTTTTAGAAAATTTTCTTTAATGATTTAGTTTGTTATTGATGTTGTCGCTTTTTAATTCAGAAATTCTATTTACTTTTTTCTAGCCATGTCTCCCTCCTTGCTGACTTTCCCATTATAAGAAGCGGACAATGTGGGAAAATCGAAGGTCCCCATTTGATGGGAATTCCTAACAATTTTGCAAGGGGACACAAATCACATTAGAAAAAAATCTCTTAGTCCAAGCAACAAAAAGCAAGAATGTGTGAAAATATGACAACTTGGAATTAAAATGTGGAAATCACAGATGTTCTAAGGCTGTTTGTGTTTAGCCACGACAACATGAAATTGATTCAGAAACATTTTTCATTTTTTTATCCTAGCCTGGCTTTCCCCCACTCTCTAGTGCTAAACCCATACATCTCTGTGCTCTCTTATGTGTGCTCAGAGAATGCAAGCTTATTTGAACACTGGCCTGAACAAACCAAAGCAAGGAGGACAAATAGACTTGAAGTAAAATCACACATGGTCTTCCAATTCCAAAGTGAATTGTTTTTGAGTTATTCCTTCCCCTGGCACAAGTAATTTGTGAGTTGATTAAAAGCAGATTTGTTTTCAAATGACAACACTATCTTTTTGAAGCTCTTTTGAGAAATAGGAGATAACGGAAGCCTGATTCTTGCTATTTCAGTGTATTCACCTCTGGAAATTCTGCACAAAACTTCATCTCTCAGTTCAAATCCCTTCTCCTCCACATAGCCTTTGCTAGTCAAACCAGTGTACCTTGAAATCTCTATCTGCCCTTCCTCTGGCATTTGTCCTATATGTCTGGATTTGTTAAATGTTCATGTTTTGCTTTATTCCTCTAATACAAAAGTTTCTTAAAGACAAGAACCTTTGTTTATGCATTTTCCATATCCTTCATTATGCTTAAAACTTAAGAGCTGCTCGATAATTACTTCCTAGTTGATGGACTGATTAATCTTTCTACTTTGCTTATGGGGGCACCCTTTATATTCAACATGGTTGGAGTGCAACATCACTGTGGATTTTTGGGAAATGACGGCAGCAGCTAGATCAACTGGAGTCCTGAAATCAGGGTTGGGAATGGCCATAAAGCGGAAAGAGAAGGCTTTTAACCAAGCCCTCAGGCAGCTGTATTTCCTAAGAAGAAAATCACAGACAAAGCAGACAGAAATAGATTTAACTTCAATCAGAAAATTTTTAAATTTTATTTTTATTTTTCTAACCATGAGCAATTAAGGAGAACTTCTGGCAGAATTCTAATCTTCCAGCCATACTAAAACCCACAGGAAACAGCCATTCTAGTGCAAAGGCAAGCCATGACACAGGCTGACCTAGGGAATGATCCCAAAGTAAATAGATATTGGAGCTTTGGGACATAAGATTTCATTTTCTTTGTTAGCAGATTTACTTCCCCCTCCATGACATTTATCTTGGATTCCTATTTATAAGGTGGAGTCTCAGTGAATATTGTCCCCAAGTCTTGTGCTTAAGAGAAGGAGCTGTGTAAAATTATTACTTGAAATAACTACAAATATGTCTTCTACTTAATTCTAGAGGGTTTTTTAATTCTTTTTTTGTTGTTATTTTTGTTATACTTTAAGTTCTGGGATACATGTGCTGAACGTGCAGGTTTGTAACATAAGTATATACGTGCCATGGTGGTTTACTGCACCCATCAACCTGTCATCTACATTAGGTATTTCTCCTAATGCTATTCTTCCCCTAACCCCCCAGCCCCCGACAGGTCCCACTGTGTGATGTTCCCCTCCCTGTGTCCATATATTCTCATTGTTCAACTCCCACTTATAAGCGAGAACATGTGGTGCTGGGTTTTCTGTTCCTGTTTTAGTTTGCTGAGAATGATGGTTTCCAGCTTCATCCATGTCCCTGCAAAGGACATAAACTCATCCTTTTTATGGCTGCATAGTATTCCATGGTGTATATGTGCCACATTTTCTTTATCCAGTCTATCATTGATGGGCATTTGAGTTGGTTCCAAGTCTTTGCTATTGTGAATAGTGCTGCAATAAATATACATGTGCATGTGTCTTTATAGTAGCATGATTCATGATCCTTTGGGTATATACTCAGTAATGGAATTGCTGGGTCAAATGGTATTTCTGGTTCTAGATTCTTGCGGAATCACCACACTGTCTTTCACAATGGTTGAACTAATTTATCCTCCCACCAACAGTGTGAAAGTGTTCCTGCTTCTCCACATCCCCTCCAGCATCTCTTGTTTCCTGACTTTTTAATGATCGTCATTCTAACTGGCACGAGATGATACCTCATTGTGGTTTTGATTTGCATTTCTCTAATGCCCAGTGATGACGAGGTTTTTTCATATGTTTGTTGGCTGCATAATTTTTATTACAGAGAAGAATTAGAAGATTCCATTGTAAAATTGAAGTTTTTTATTCTTGCTCAAACTTGTTGCAAGAGTTAGTTGATTTGGGATGCAATATTGACGCAATTCTCTCACTTGTTTTTTCCCTGTTTGCATTTTCTTCTACTTTTCCCAGATCTAAAGTCCATCAGCTTTTCCAGTTTCCTGGTTGGATCATTTTATTTCAAGGTTGCTTCCTTCTCTAGCATCCCAGGTCCTCCACATACTAGCCATCCTCTCAGCAGAACCAGTCACTTCTACCTGCTTTTGCACCAACTTCTACTCAATTTTACCTGAAGATTCTCAATCCTGATTCATTTTAATCATTTTCTGCCTCATTCCCTGTCCCTAGATTGTTGAAGATAACTGCTGAACTCTGGAAATATGCTTCTAAATGCACAGTTCCCTAGTGCTGTGGACCCTCTGCACAACTCGACAGTCCTTGCATCATTCTCTAGCCATTCTCCTTTGCCACTTCTTCATTTTTTGGTTTCAAATCCTTCAGGCTCCTCTTTAAGTTCCTACATCTTTCTTCTCAGTTAATGCTACTATGTTCTATTGAAGTCCTGGGCTTAAACACCTAAATTCATTACTCCTATGCCTATTAAATCATAATTTCCTCTGTTCCTGCCATGACCCCACTTTCTGATTTCTCCCTCGCAGTTTTCAAAGGAAAGGGACCCCTCTCCTTGTTCAAGACTTGTCTTTCCATCTGTACACCTACCTCCTTCCCTATTCCCTGTAAAACTGAGACATGCCCATTTGTTATCTTCTCTCTATTGTTTTCCCTCAGTTCCCTCTGCTGATGTTTTCTGCACCATTTATAAATATGCCAGTCTCCTCTATAAAATAAAAATTCATAAAATTTGTGATGCACTAGCTACTCTTTAAGCTTTACTTCAATTCAAATCTCAGCTTATATAAAGAACCATCTACACTGATCGTTTCCTTCTTAGATTCCTTTTGCGCTCTGTAATTTAATTTTTTAAGAAAAACATTTTATATAAGAACCTATGTGGAAAGTGCACAAATCTTAAATGTACAGCTTGATGCATTTTCACAAACAAATCTCCACCAGTACCTGCGAAGTCCCTTTTACAGCTACTTTACAGTCACTAGCACTCAACATTCACCCTCTTTTAAAATCACTTCTTTTTAATCTTTTTTAAATTATAAAATATATGAATACAGAAAACTGAATAAAATATAAATGTATAATGTAATATAATAATATAAAGTGAAAGATGTTTAACCTAGCATTCAGGTACAGGTGTCAGCTTCCCAGAAGCAATTCAACGCTTCTCCTCATTCTACAATCCCCTTCCCAATCACAAGCCTGTGTGTGTGTGTGTGTGTGTGTGTGTGTGTGTGTGTGTGTGTGTGTGTTGGTGGGTGAGGGGACGATTATCTTGGCTTTTATAGTAATCATATTCTGCTTGTCTTAACAGTATAACTGCCTATGTATTTAACCATAAATTATATAATTTCATTCATTCTTTATATAAATGGAATCACATGCTGCATATATTGGGGGATCTGACTTCTGTTGCTCAATAAAAATTATGTTTAAAGATTTCTCTTTTTTGGGTAAAGGATTGATGTATCTTTTTTTTCTGTGTGGCATCCTGTACCTATTAGTACACATTTCTATAGAATATAAATCTAGAAGCAATAAGGCTTGCAATATATAAATCTTCTATTAAGGCTTGCAATATGTAAATCTTCAACTTTGCTAGGAAATGACAAACTATTTCCCAATGAGTTTGACTATTTAGGTTACTCCTAGCAATGAAGGAGTTTACTGGTTACTTCACACTCTTATTTGGTATTCTCAGATTTTCTTTTACAATTTTGCCAGTCTAACTTGGATTTGCTTTCTTATGAAGACTGTTCAAGCTCTTCCTCTATGATTTATGGGTGTGCTTTATTTCTTTCAGTTTTTACTTACAGGTTTATCATACCTCTTTTATATTCCAAATATTACCCTTCTGTCAAATATATGTATTATAAGTATTTTTATTCTGTGGCTTGACATTTTACTTTATGCTATACTTTGATAAACTACTTTTTCATATTGTAATGTCATAAATGTATTCAATTTTTGCTTTATGATCTATAGATTTTGTGTCTTGTTTGCGATATTTTCTGCCTCCAGATCATGAAGATATTTCTCTGTATTATCTTCTGAAATTTGTCTTTTTTTGAGACAGAGTCTCGCTCTGTCGCCCAGGCTGGGGTGCAGTGGCACGATCTTGGCTCACTGCAACCTCCACCTCCTGGATTCAAGCAATTTTCCTGCCTCAGCCTCCTGAGGAGCTGGGATTACAGGCATGCACCACCATGCCTGGCTAATTTTTGTATTTTTAGTAGAGATGCAGTTTCACCATGTTGGCCAGCCTGGTCTTGAACTCCTGACCTCATGATCCGCCCACCTCGGCCTCCCAAAGTGCTGGGATTACAGGCGTGAGTCACTGTGCCAGGCCTAAAAATTTTTTATGTTCAGATATGTAATCCGCTTAAAACTCCCTATTACGTATGTGTAAGAGATTGCAACTTTTACCATTAATATGAATATCTGATTTTACCAACATCACTTCTTTAAAAGACTGTCATCACCCCAACTCTCCTCCAGGGCCATCTTTGTCATATACTAAGATCTGTACATGTGTGGGTCCACTTCTTAGCTTTCTATTTCATTTCATCCAACTATTTCTACGTTGCTCTACCAACACCACACTATCTTAATTACTATAGCTCTATAAATCTCCATATCTACAAAGCAAGACTGTCTCTCACCCATACTTTCTTCTTCAAATACACCTTATTTATTCTTGGCTGTTTGCTAAATTGGTTAGAATAATTCCTAGCTAAGCTACTTGATACTTTTGATATTAAAGTAAGTTTTTCTTAAAATTATCTATTTTTTGCTAGCATATAGAAAATGATTGCTTTTATATACCTGTTGATATATCTAGCAAGCTTGATTAAATCTCTCATTAATTAACTAGAAACTTTTGGATTTTTATGTACATATTTATCATATGTGTGTAATGATACCTTTGCTTCTTTCTTTCCAATCTTTATACATTTTATTTTTTTCCCTTGCTTTACTAAAGTGTTTAGGACCTACAGTTTAATATGAGTTATGACATAGGGTAGTGTATTAGTCCATTTTCATGCTGCTATAAAGAACTACCTGAGATTAGGTAATTTATGAAGAAAAGAGGTTTAATTGACTCACAGTTACATGGGCTGTACAGGAAGCATGGCTGGGGAGGCCTCAGGAAACTTACAGTCATGGTGGAAGGTGAAGGGGAAGCAAGCACATCTTCACATTGCTGGCAGGAGAGAGAGAGAGAGAATGAAGGGGAGGTGCTACACACGTTCAAACCACCAGATTTCATGAGAACTCTATCACAAGACAGCAGTAGGGGGATGGTGCTAACCCATTAGAAACAACCCCTATGAGCCAATCACCTCCTATCTCCATCATTGGGGATTACAATTCAACATGAGATTTAGGTGGGGACACAGAACCAAGTAGTATTGTTCTAAATCTTAAATTTTGAGGTGGTTTATTACACAGTGATACATCATGAAAGTAATTTTCTTTTCTATTTTTTTAGTTTTTACTTTGGAAATGCCAATGTGCATCTTTAACTTACATTAATCAATAACTTTAACATCCAACCTGGAAAAAAAGAACCATAGAGAACTTTAAGTTCATTTATCCACCTTTTCAAAGTATGCTGTTATTATAGTGTATTTTAATTATTTTAAAATTCAAGCAATCAGTATTATTACTGATTTTATTTATTTATTTAAATTTTTTTTTTTTTTAGATAGAGTTTTGCTCTTGTTGCCCAAGCTGGAGTGCAATTGCGTGATCTCGGCTCACTGCAACCTCCGCCTCCCGGGTTCAAGTGATTCTCCTGCCTCAGCCTCCCGAGCGTCTGGGATTACAGGCACCCGCCACCAGGCCTGGCTAATTTTTTGTATTTTTAGTAGAAATGAGGTTGCACCATGTTACCCAGGCTGGTCTCGAAATCCTGACCTCAGGTTTTCTGCCCACCTCAGCCTCCCAAAGTGCTAGGATTACAGGTGTGAGCCACCGCGCCTGGCCTATTACTGTTTTTATATAGTCAATATTAATTTAAAGTTCCCTGCATATTTACAAGTCTCTCTTTTCTTACTTCTTCTGGCAATTTGGACACCCCCTTTGAGATCATTTTATTTTACTTGAAATACATGCTTTAGAATTTTCCTTTGTGTAGATATGTTAATGTCAAACTTACTGTTTTTGTTAATCTAAACATGTTTATTTTACTTTGATTTTTGATGGATTTTTTTTTTCTGGGAAGAGAAATCTAAATTTGTAGATTTTTTTTTTTTTTTTTTTGAAATGGAGTCTCTCTCTTGTCGCCCAGGCTGGAGTCCAATGGCATGATCTTGGCTCACTGCAACTTCTGCCTCCTGGGTTCAAGAAATTATCCTGCCTCAGCCTCCTGAGTAGATGGGATTACAGGTGCCTGCCACCACCCTGGCTGATTTTTGTACTTTTAGTAGATACAGGGTTTCGCTATGTTGGCCAGGCTGGTCTCTAACTCCTGACCTCAGGTGATCCACCCTCCTTGGCCTCCCAAAGTGCTAGGATTACAGGTATGAGCCACTGTGCCCAGACACTATTTTCTTTCGAACATATATTATTGTAATGATTTCTGACTTATTTTTGCTAAGTCACTTCTTTGTTTAGTTGTTGCTCCTTTGACGGTAAAGAGGGCTTTTTTTTCCTCTTACTGATTTATAGATTTTTGTTTTCTCCTTGTCTTTAATATCTTGGAGTTTCAGTAGCAAGAGAATAGATATGGAAATTTTTTTTATTGTGTTTGAGATTTATTTATCTGTAGATCTGCATTTTTCTTTAGTTGTGAAAAATTCTCAGCCATTATCTTAACAAATATTGTCTCTTCCGTTTGGTTCGCTCCTCTCTTTTTGGGATTCTGATTAAGCTTATGTTATCATTTCTCACTTTATTCTACTCACAGTTCCACAGGTTGTACAAGAGACTATATAGAAGAGAATGCCTTGCTGTTTTTTCAAACATCAGTGCTGTTTTCTAAGACATTTTGTCTGACCTACCTTTCAGTTCATCTATTCTTTCTTTTGCTGTGTCTATTCGCCTGTTAAACTTGTCCATTTAGTTTTAAATTTTAGTTTTTTTTAAATTCTGGAAATCATATTTGTTTAAGTTTATTATGTTATTTTATAGTTGATTTCTCTGCAGATGTATTCAATCTTTTAAAAACACTTAATTTTTTGTGTCTGGTAATTTCAATATCTGAATATTTGCAAGACTGTTTCTATTTTTTTGTTTCTTTACAGTGGCCTCCATTTATCAAGTATAATTTCCTTGTATGCCTGGTTATCTTTGCTGTATGTTACATGTTTTACATAAAATAATAATTTATAGAAATAATTATTGAGGCCTACAATATGTGAATATTTATCTAGATATAATTTGCTATTGTTCCTGCCAGATTGCTGGATCTCTTACAGTTTGGGATCACCTCAAATCAAGGTGCAAAGGTGGTTTTCATTTTTCTTTCCTTTTTTTCTTTTCTTTTTTTAAGAGATGGGGTCTCACTCTGTCACCCAGGCTGGAATTCAGTGGTGCCATCATAGCTCACTGCAGCCTCAAACTCTTGGGCTCAAGCGATCCTCCCACCTCAGCTTTCTGAGTAGATAAGACCACAGGTGTGATCAACCACAGCTGGCTATTGTTATTATTACTATTTTGTGGAGATGAAGTCTTACTATGCTGCCAAGACTGATCTCTAATTCCTGGCCTCAAGCAATCCTTCTATCCTCCCACCTCAGCCTCCACAAGTGCTAGGATTACAAGCATGAGCCATTGTACCTGGCCCCCAAAAGGATTTTAAATGATTCATGGGAATATTCAGTTAACCCTTACCTTACCATGGTCCTTTGGTTCTTCCGTGTGTGTGGGCAGGTGGAAGGTGTCTTCTGCTTTTATTTCTGTCCTTATCACTTGGTAAGGCTATCAAGATTAAAAATAACATTACCAGGTTCTGCAAATGCTCTCAAAATAAACTAGCTTAAGTACTCATTTCTCTAGTTATTTTTTCTTCACTTTGGATTAACATTTCCTTACTTGACCTCTTGAATTATTTTCAAAAATGTTTAGATGTTTCTAGACACATATTTTTGTTATTGTTTCTTTCCAGTGGGAAGAATGAACCAAATGGCTTTCTATTCACTCTTCATGATAGGTGATATACTCATTTCTAAAGTCTAAATTTGATATTGACAAATTGCCCTGCACAGTGAATGTATGAATTTGCACTCTCACTAGTAAGGTATGAGAGTGCCTCTTTGTCCTCATCCTCATCTATATGGTATGTTATCACACTTTTGAATCTTTGATAATCTGATAATTTTGCATAGTTTTAAATTTTAATTTATTTTAATATGAGTAAGAGTGAGTATTTTTATTTCAGGGGAATTTAAATTTCTTTTTTAACATTTTAATAGTCTCTCAGTTTGTATCATGTGCTCATTCTTCTTTTTGGTTGATGATCTTCTGGATTTGTAAGAGTTATTTTTAAAAAGTAAGTTGCATATTTTTTGTAAGTTGTTGTTATGGTCCCTCCCAAAGCTCATGTTGAAATTTAGTTGCCAATGTAATGGTGTTGGGAGGTGGGACATGTAGAAGGTAGTTAGGTCATTAAGATGGGTTAATGTCTTTCTCACAATACTGGGTTAGTTATTGCAAGATTGGATTAGTTCCTTTGAGAGTAGGTTGTTATAAACCTAGGTTGCCCCTTGTGTTCTATCTCTTTTGCACAGGCTCCCAACAACGTGATGCCATCTGCCATGCTATGATGTACCATGAGGCCCTCGCCAGATGCAGCCACCCAGTATGGAAACTTCTCAGTCTTCAGAGCTGTGAGACAAACCTCATTATTAAAATAGATTTTCCAGTCCCAGGTACTCTTTTATAGCAATAGGAAATGACCTAAGACAGCTGTTATGTTTTCCTGTTGTATCATCCGTCTTCTAATTTTCTTTTTGATAGTTTGGTAAGGATAAACTGTCTTAATTTTTTGTAGCTGTATTTATCAATGTGATTTTTGTAGTCTTTGTGTCACACACATAAAGGTCTTTCATACTCTGAAATTATAAACTGTTTTCTCCCTCCATTACTTTTATGATTTTATATTTTTTACTGTGGACTCTTCAATTTTCTTGAATTAGTTTCAGTGACAAAATGTGAATCCATTTTTGTCCAGATGGCTTCCCCATTATCTAAGCACCATTTATTGAATTATCCATCTTTTCCCCCACAGATATTTGACATATATTATATGATGCCACCTTTATTATATGCTAATCCCTAAGTATTTCTACCTATTTCTGGACTTCCTAGTTTGCTCCATTTACATGTCTGTCTGCTAATGTGCCAACACTGCCTCATTTTACTGTTAAACATTTTAATCATTTAAAAATATCTGTTGTGCTATTCTTTTATCAAAAATACTCTTCTGAATTTTCCTTTTAAAGTTTTCCATATTAAGTTTAAAACTAATTCCACAGAAAAATGCCTTGTTATTTTTATTGGAATCAAGTGTTATTTATAGATTAATTTTGAGAGAATTTATTGTTTTATGATGTTAGATTTTCCTATTCAAAAATATGATATGCTTTTATATTTGTCTAAGACTTCCTTTCTCCACTGGTAGCATTTGAATATTTTCTTCATACAGATTTTATGTGTTTCTTGTTAAGTATATTCTTTACTACTTCTCTCTTAAAGAGACTTTTTTTTCTTGAAGAGACTACATACTACAGCAGTTAAAGCCATAGCCTGTGGATTAAGACTCCCTAAATTTAAATTATGGTTCTAAAACTTACTAGCTGTAGAAACACGAACAAGTTAATTAAATGCTTTACCTCCATTTCTTCATTTGTACTACAAGCCTGTGAAAGCTCTCAGAAGAATGCCTAGTGCATAATAAGAATTCATTATTAACTCATTGTTGCTATTGTAGATGATTGTTTTTTTCCCATAAATCTTCCAACTTTTTATTATTTACATAAACAGAAACTATTGGTATCTGGACATATTTTGCATCTAGTCAGCTTATTAAATTTTCATTGTTTGGCAATCATTCTCCCAGCTGATTTTCTAAGTATGGTGTATAATCATATGTGTTTCAAGTAATGATATTTTATTTCCTTCTTTGCAGTTTTTATATTCCAATTGTTTTCTCATTATTTACTTTGGCTAGCATTTCCAGAAAGATATTTAAAACTTCAGAAGATACAAATAATAACTATAATCTTTCTTCTCTTTGATTCTAAGACTGTAGTTTCTCCTAGTTACCTGCTTATAGTTCTGAGCAGACTTTTTTCACATCCTTTGCCGGATTTTCTTCCTATAGATGCCTTTATATCTAGTAACTCCTGTTTCTAGATATTCTCTTTGTCCATGGTTTCTCACTGTACACATCATCCCAGAATAATTCTTCAATTAATACTCAAATTATAATGACTCACAAAATTACATATCCATTCTATATATATTTCCTACAACTCTAATTTCATATATTCACTTCCCATTGGGTTTTTCCATCAGAATGTCTCAGAAATACTTAACAGCAACATGTTCAAAATGGAGGTCATTTTCACTAACCCTCCTACACACACACACACACACACACACACACACACACACACACTTTGTTTAATGGCAACCACATAAATATAGTAACTAGAGCTAAACATACAGGCTTTATCTCAATTCATTACTTCTTCCCATACCTTAAACCCATTAAACACTAAGTCTTGTGGAATATCTCTCAAGATCATTTCTTATTCTCTAGCTGAAGTTTCTTATTTCCTTACATAGCAACTATCGTCACAGTCTTATAACTGACTTCCCAGTAGGGTGACCAACTGTCCTGGTTTCCCTAGGATTGGCAGTCTTCCCAGGATGCATGGCTTTTATTACTAAAACCAGAAAAGTTTTAGGCAAAACAGGATGGGTTTATCACCCAGCATCCTGGCCTCCAACATCACCCTCTTTTAGTAATTCAAAGTCAGATGCATGTTATGGAACTTCCCTCAAAAAGTGTACAGGCACGTAAGTTTTGCATTTAATTCCAGAATTTAACTGATGATCTGAATCTATAGGTCAATTGACCACAGGTTTGAAATATATAAATTTGAGGTTTCAGTGCTGGGCGTGGTGGCTCACGCCTGTAATCCCAGCACTTTGGGAGGCCGAGGTGGGCCGATCATGAGATCAGGAGATTGAGACCATCCTGGCTAACACGGTGAAACCCCATCTCTACTAAAAATACAAAAAATTAGCCGGGTGTGGTGGCGGGCGCCTGTAGTCCCAGCTACTCGGGAGGGAGGCTGAGGCAGGAGAATGGCATGAACTCGGGAGGCGGAGCTTGCAGTGAGCCGAGATGGCGCCACTGCACTCCAGCCTGGGTGACAGAGCGAGACTCTGTCTCAAAAAAAAAAAAAATTTAGTTTTTAAACAATCTTCCATATGGCTTTCAGAATGATCTAAATTTGACAATGGTATTATTATTCTAAACATTGTCCTATGGCTCCCCATTGCCTGTAGCATAAACATTAAATTCTATAGAATACGTAAAATATACTTTGTGATCCAAGACTTGCTTTCAGTTTTCATTGTATCTCTGAGTGTTTTGTCATACCTTAACTCTTGTCATAGTGAATGACTGACAGTTTCCTGAAGGTGCCATGCTGCTCCTTTGTATGGTATGCAATGCCTCTCTCACCATCGCCATATCTGCCTTAGAATACTCACTCTGTCTTAGAAAACTCATTCGAGGATCTTCTTTTCTCTGAAACATTGTCCTCCCAAATCATTCCAAACAATGTGTCCTGCCTTTTTCTGTCCTATGACTGGAGTTGATGCACACTTTTAACACTTGCCACATACTGAAATTACCTTTTACAACCCATTCTCTGCAAAAACACCAAGACTGAGGAACAGAGGCAGTATAGTATCTTACCCTACTTTATATCCTTAACATTTAGCACAATGCCTGACACATTCTAGATTATCAATAAATGATTGTTAAATGAATTAATGAATGAATGTGGCAGGAATACAAGAATCATCTTACTACTCACGGATAGGTAATTAACAGTGATAATCTACACCTCATTGCTTAAAATTGTGTGTACTTTTAATAAAGATTGTGTGAATTAACAAAATGTCACAATTACCAATTTTCTCATTAAAATATGGGTATGTGACATCTTATGTCTCTGTTATTAGCATTCTACATAATAGGAATAAAAAATACAATACTGAACTAAAATTGCTGCCTTTTACATTGCAGCTGAGCCTTCCCTAGAGGTCTCATTTGACACTGGCTCAGAAAGCCAGTCTAAAGCAGTTTGCAAGAGAGACTAGCAAATATTATAGCGAGTAATAAGAATGTAATTTCCAGTACTAAAGAATTACACTATGCAGGCATATAAAAGTCATCTTTGCAATAATCAGCTGAGTTTCCTTTTTTGTTCAAAATTGAAGCCCTTAAAAAATTGATCACAGAGTGTTGTTAACATTTTGAAGCCTGCTTTTTGTGCCATTTTAAAAGCAAAGTAAACATGTATAAGCGAAGGTACCTAATTTTGTATGTGCTTTTAATAAAAATTACACTACCTTAATTAGGCCTATGATTTCAATGCATTTTAACACACAATTCATCAAATGCAAATAAAACTAAATTTGCAACCATTTTAACACACTATTCATCAAATGCAAATAAAACTAAGTTTGCAACCATAGAATTTTGCTGAGCTCAGGATATACTTTATAGTTTCATTCCTGTGAGTACTGGTACGCTACATGATTGGGCTCTATACACTGTGTTGTTCTTTGTTGTTTGTCTACATCTCCAAAGTTCTAACAAAATAAGTTGGAAAGTAAATCAGCTAATCAACAGTCCAGTTTTATTCCATGGTGAGACATGTAGCTTCAGGTGAGGGTTGGCAGTGCAGAGGATGAGGACTTGGATGTGCACAGGAGTCACTGGAAAATAGTCACTGCCTATCAGAATGGGAAGCAAATGAGAAATTGGAGTTCTCAGGGAAGAGTTGAAAAGAAATAAGGTACTAGATGTCAAATAGAAGTAGGCAACATAGATTAAGAAACTAAATTAAGGTCACAGATTAAGAAGCAAGAAGACATTTGGGATCAAGGGCACTAAAGGTCTGATAGGTAAAAGGATGATTATGCCATAAGACTAAAATTATTATCTGGAATGTCAATGGACTAAAATTCAGTCTTTACTTTCTGCTGTACTCCACAAGCTCAAGAGACATAGGGAAAGTGTACAAACTCCACTGTCTACTTAACATTAAATTCCTCTCTCCAACTGGGGCAGGCTTCAAGCTGGCAGCCTGTAGTGGGAAAGAGGACATGGGTGGCTTTACCTCCTCCTCTTCCTGCTCACCTCCTTTTGTATTTGCTAGTTCTTTTTCTTCTTTTCAATATTGTTGTAAGAGAAAGGAAATGAAGATCAGGAATAAGCCAATTTTTACCGAGCTGAATGGCTTCATGCTCACTCTGTCTCTCTTTTTTTCTTTCTCTCTCTCTCTCTTTCTTGCAATTGGTTAAAATGGAGACCTGGGAGATAGCTTTGGTTAACTCCTTCTTATGGGTGGTTTTGTGGGCTATTTGGGGTTTTGCTCTTCTGCTGACCCAGGAGGATGTATCTCTACTCTAGGTTATCACCTGTAACCCTACATTCCTTCTGATGATACACCTCTAACCTCTCTCTGCTGAATTTGGCTCACTTCACCTGTCAACCATTTGGTTCAGGAACTATGCAGGCCCTCTCTCCCATGACACTGCCATTTTCTACAGGTAAACACTTTTGGCTTCCTGATAAATTCTGAGAAACAGACTGAATCTCATGCTACAATACCGTTGTCCACCAACAGAACATTTGGCTGGTAGAAAACAGACTCCAGTCTATGCCTAATTAAGCTCTCTCTTGCATAGATCAGACGACAGTCTTCAGTCTCTTAGTGGCAAGAAACATTTACCATGACTCTCTGAATATACCCATTGAAGTCTTTCTTTGTATGTTTAGACGTAGACAAACAACAAAGAGCAACACAGTGTATAGAGCTCAATCATGTAGTGTACCAGTACTCACCGGAATGAAATTACAAAGTACATTCTAAGCTCAGCAAAATTCTATGGTTGCAAACTTAGTTTTATTTGAATTTGACGAATTGTGTGTTAAAATGATTGCAAATTTAGTTTTATTTGCATTTGATGAATTGTGTGTTAAAATGCATTGGAAATCACAGGCCTAATTAAGGTAGTGTAAAAGGTAGCATCCACCATGTTTCCTTCACTTGGGGAACATGGGAAGTGCAGCACAGCATCTGCTCGCTCCAAAGAGGTCTCCACTAACATTCTCCTTACATCTTTTCTCTGTCCCATGTTTACATTCTTGAATTTGTTGAGTGTTTCAGGAAAATGAAACAGGCCCTTGGGGTCATTTTCTTTCTAAATTTGTCTGCAATGACAGAGGTGATCCATCTCACACTCACTCTCTTGTCCCGATAGTTATCAAAAAGAGTTACATTCTAAATTGCTACTTCTTATCATTCTGTAGCCAGCAGTTCTAAACCCCAACTACAAATTAGAATCACCAGCAAAGCTTTTTAAAAGTGTGGATGCCTGCTACTCCTTTTCTCAGGCTGAAATTCTGATCCAATTGGTCTGGTTGAATATTTGTATTATTTTAAAAACTGAAATGATGATTTTAATGTGCAACAAGGGCTGAGAAGAACTAATACAAACAAATGGAGACTTACTCCTTCAACCAACATCTTTGGACGGAATAGTCTGTACTAACATTTTTCTCTGTGTTTATAGACACAGCCCTAATAATGCTAAAAACTATTCCTAATAATAAATTCGTTTAAAAAACATATCCTGAGTTCTCTTAAGAACTCGTTGTGACTATTTATAGAAGGATTCATTTCTGTGCCAAATTTAAACTCATTTGGTTGATATATTTTAAACCATTGTCATTCAAACAAAGTGGAAAATCATGCTCATCAATTGTATTTATATATACCCATAAGTGTTCCCATGTATGAACATTTCTTCTCTATTGAATAGCTAATGCATGTAAATTTTCTTATGATTACTATCCTCTTACAGCTGTACAGAAAATAAACCAGGAAGAGAGGAAAAGCTGAAGAAAACAATTAATCATTTCTATTTAGGAAAAAAAGACAAGCCCATCTAAAGGAAAAATAACACATGAAATAACTGGAAAAAAATCACATTTCTATCAATTCTGTCACGTTTAAGATGAATTTTCCAAAGAGAGTAAGATGGTCTCCTGACATTCTTATTCCAGGAAGTCTTTCAGATTTTCCACAAAGTCTTTCCTACACTTAAAATTAAATGGTTCCCATGTACAGAGCTGAGACTGATTGTCTAGTATTATCCCACCTTAAGTGCCAAGTGCCATTAATGTCCAACTTTAACTTTAAAGGGAAATAAAATCCATTGATTATTTTTCCCAGCAGGGCTGATAACTCTCAAACATCATTAAAATCGAAAAAATAAGTTTAATAAGCCTGTTTCTCTGCTCCCTGGGGCTAAAAATTTCAAAATTTTATCCCCAAAGTTCTATATTTAGGGATTAATTCTACAGATATTATCAGGCATATAAACAAGTTTCTCTGTGTGTGTGTGCATGTGTGTGCATAAACACTAATTTATTAAAACATTTTCAGAATAACAAAGAATGTGAAACAAACTAAGTATCAATGAGGAAACAGTTAAATGAGTGATAGTAAAGCTATTGAACACAATGACATTAATCTATGTATACTGATAAGGAAAATTTTGTAAGACACATTGTTAAGTTTAGAAGGAACAAAATACATTCAATATATTTATGTCTCAGTGTGTAAGTCAAAAATATATAAGGAGTATATAAATATGTTTCTATGCAGAAGTAAAATTTCAAAAAGAATATGCAAAAAAAATCATTAACAATGGCTCCCCTAAGGAAAGCGTCTGTTCTATGGTCTGGGAAGGATACTTATTTTCACTATATAGCTTTTTGAACTGTTTGAGTTTTTTATCATGTGCATGATACAATTCTCAATTTTTTTAAAAAGCTACTCTATTACAAGTACTAGTAGCAAATGGTTTTAAGGCACCCTTAATACCTTATTTTCCTCCGGAACTAATTTACCTTGCATAGCTGAAACTTTGTATCCTTTTACCAACACCTCACCATTTTGCCCTCCCCTTAACTCCTGACAACCACCGTTATACTCTGTGCTTCCGTGTGTTTGACTATTTTAGATTCCACATCTAAATGAAATGATGCAGTATTTGATTTTCTATGTCTGTCTTATTTTGCTTAAGATCATGTCTTCCAGATTCATTCATGTTGTCAGAAATAGCAAGATTTCCTTGTTATGGTTGACTAGTATTCCATTGTATATACACCCCATTTTCTTTATCCATTCATCCAGCAATGAATACGTAGGTTGTTTCTGTATCTTGGCTATTGTGAATAATGCTGCAATTAACATGGAGGACAGATATCTCTTTGGCATACCAATTTCAAATCCTTTGAATACATACAGACGTGGGATTGATGAATCAAATAGTATTTCCATCTTTAATTTCTTTAAGAAATCATCATACTTGTTTCCATAGTGGCTACACCAATTTAAGTTTCTGCCAACAACGTACAGGGTTCCCTTGTCTCTGCTCACTCACCAATACTTGTGTCCTTTGTTTTTTTTGATAATAGTCATCTTAACAGGTGAAAAACGATATCTAGCTGTGGTTTTGATTTGCATTTCCCTAATGATTAGTGACGGTGAGCACTTTTTCATATACCTGTTGGTCATCTGTATGTCTTCTTTGGAGAAATGTCTATTCAGCCCCCTTGGCTGTTTCAAATCAGGTTATTTGACATTTTGCTATTGAGTTATAGGAGTTATATATTTTGGATATTAATCCTTTATCAGATATATGGTCTGCAGATATTCTCTCCCTTTGCATATATTGACTTTACATTTTGTCGTTTAAAAGATTTTTAATTTGAAGTAATCCCACTTGTATATTTTTTGTTTTGTTGCATGTGCTTCTGGGCTTGTGGCCAAGGAAACATTGACTAGGTTAAAGTCTGGACGCTTTTCCCCTATATTTTCTTCTAAGAGTATTATTACTTCAGGTTTTACATGTAAGTTTTAAATTTATTTTGCATTGACTTTTGTATATGGAATAAGATAATTTTTAATTCATTATTTTGCATGTACATCACTTATTGAGGATACCATCTTTTCACCATTATATATTTTTGGCACCCTTATTGAGGATCAGCCAACCATATATTCATGGATTTATCTTGGAGCTATTTTGTTCCATTGATCTCTGTGTATATTTTTATTCCACTACCATACTCTTGTGCCTGCTATAGCTTTGTAATGTGTTTTGAAATCAGGGAATATGCCTCCAGTTTTATTCTTTTTTTCCAAATTGCTTTCCTTGTCCAGGTTCATTTTGTGTTTCCAAATGAATTTCAGGATTGTTTTACTTCTGTAAAAAATGTCATTTGGATTTTGATAGGAATTACATTGACTGAAGATTGCTTTGAGAAATATTGACATTTTAATAATCTTAATTTTTCTGATCTATGAACACGAAATGTCTTTCTAATTATTTGTGTCTTTTTACATTTCTTTTACCAAAATTTTGTAATTTTCAGCATACAAGTCTTTCATATCTTTGGTCAAATTTATTTCTAAGTATTTTCTTCTTTGTGATGCTATTGTAAATAAAATTGCCTTCTTAATTTCCCTTTTGTTGTTAGTGTAAACATTTAGTGACTTTAAGGCAGGTTTATCTCCATGTTCATACATTGTATCTACACATGTATTCAAAAATGTTCAGTAAATATTTCCTGAGTGCTATTCAGTTATTGTTAACTGAACAACCACTAATTTCTATTGCTTTCACAGTAATCTTTAGAAAAAAAGTGTTCCCAAAAAAGTCCAACCATTTTAACTCATTTACTCATCCCTAATTCATTCATTCACCCAATAAGTTCAATTTAATAGATACCTATCTTGTACCACATAAACCTGTGTAAGAAGGTTGGCATGTACTTTCTCTATAACATAGCACAATAGTCACAATACAGACAACTGCTAAGAGGCCCATCATGCCAACCTGACACAATGTCAGAAAGGACAGGCCAGGAGACAATGTTTCTATTGGCAGCACATCATTGCAGTGTGTTCTTTCTTGGAAAAGTAAAAGAATGAGATTATTCACGTATTAACTTATGTATTAAAGATTTATTATTTTAACTCTCTGCAAGCGCCATTCTATGGGCTTTCTCAGAATTTAAAGTTATGCAAGACACAGTTCCTATCATTAGGAATTTAGAGCCCAGATCTATTCGACATTTTTTAGCATTTTGGAATTTATAAAATGTTTTCATTAATTACCTCATTTGGTTCTCAAAAGAAATCTGTAAAGTGGGTATAACAGGTATTGTTTTCCTTAGGTTACAAACAAGAAGTCAAGATTTTGAAAGAATAAGTGCCTTGCTCAAAGTGGCTGAGGGAAGAGTAGAAACCAGTGTGCCTTTTGCTAAACACACTATATTCTTTCTCAGCCATCCCTGCATTTCAGTGTAAAAGTAATAGTGAGGTAGGAGGTGGGATCAACTCCAAGATGAGGCTTGGACACTGAACCAGTTTAAGGACTAGCTAAAACAGTTTACTATTGCCATGGCAACAACCAGAAGTTACTGTCCCTTGCCATGGCAACAACCGGGAAACCTGGAAGTTACTACTCTTTTCCTGTAAATTTCTGCATAAACCGTCGCATAATTTGCATATAAATAAAAGTAGGTATAAATATAACTGTAAAACTGCCTCTGAGCTGCTACTCTGGGCATACTGCCTGTGGGCTATCCTTGCTCTACAAGGAGCTGTATCTCTCCTGCTGCTGCACACTGTGACTTCAATAAAAGTTGCTATTTAACATCACAAGCTTGTTCTTGAATTCTTTCCTAGGTGAAGTCAAAAGCCCTCCCAGACTAAGCCCCAATTTTAGGTCTCACCTAGCCTGAATCAATTGGACCTGCAGTTGGCTGGTTAATTGAAAGAGCCTGTTAAGGAGAGAATCATGAAAGTAATGCATACATACCCTCCACTGCTTATTTGAATTTAATAAATGTACATTTATTTCCCCATCTTTTTTTAAATAGACCCATGGCTTGTGTGTGTGTGTGTTTGTGTGTGTGTGTGTCTGCCTGATTGAAGCTCACATAGTCTTTCTCATATACTCACACCTGTAATGCATTATTCCATGATTTATCAAGTTTGTTTTCTTTAAAGTGAGGCCAAAATTACACAGACATGCAAAGCAATCTGAGCCCAGGATGCTTAAAGATGTTTACAATCTTTCCCAGTCTTTTATAGTCAACTTGCCTGCACCTAATTTAACACAAATATTAGAAACTATAACTCTCTTTGGGGGCTCACATTGTATTGCCTTGTATGCTGCTTAATTATAGGAACAAGGACTGTAGATACAAACACAGTTGGGAACAAACACAACTGACATTGGGTAAGCCTACAACACAATGGTGCAAGCAGAAGTGTTGGGGGAAACATAAAGCTGTGAACTGTGGGTGTTGGTTCACATGATTCACAAAGTAAACGAAGAGAATTCACTAATCTAATGAGATAGTTAAATGGAACTCAGTTCAAAAAACTAGCATAGTAGGCAAAGAACAAGTTGCATTCAGAGTGTGTTTGAGTACATCTTGCACTGGCTAAGACAACACTGTAGACTCTGTAAGTGGTTATTAAGTTACATCCACAACATTTGCCAGCACTAAGGTAGAGCAGTCCATTTTAAATGGCAATCTCCTTACATGTTTCACTTAGGAAGTATGCTACGGAGGCAGCATTCTTTAAGTAGATTTCGAGTGCTTGCCAATTATAAATGTAAAATTCATCTATGTTTCTATACTCAATTATAAATACTTCAGATTCCTAAACTATGGATTATCTATTGAAATAAAAGCAATAATGACAACACTTCCCAACTTTAATTGTTTCAAAGAGGACTATCTCCCTACATCCCAGCAAAGGGCTTATTGCATGGTTTGTGTTCAATATATATTTGCTGAAACTATGAATTAAAAGTCATTTTGGAATATAAAAGTCCGATTGGATGGAGCTTTTAAAGTTAGATCATTCTTTTTGTATGTAAAGACCCCTGTTCAATCAGTTGTGTTAAATGTAGCATTGTAGAAAGAATAACTTGAGGTGTATTAGGGAAGGTAGATGCTTATTTAGATCATTAAGAAAGATTTCCAATCATTAGAGAAATGCAAATAAAAACCACAATGAGATACCATCTCACACCAGTCAGAATTTCTATTTTTAAAAATAAAAAATAACAGATGCTGGCAGGGTTGCAGAGAAAAGAGAATGTTTATCCACTGCTGGTGGGAGTGTAAACTAATTCAGCCACTGTGGAAAGCAGTGTGATGATTCCTCAAAGAACTAAAAATGGAATTACACTCAGCAATATGATTATTGGGTATATAATATACCCCAAAGAATATAAATTATTCTACCATAAAGACACATACATGTGTTATGTTCATTGCAGCACTATTTACAAAAGCAAGGACATGGTATCAACATGAATGCTTATCAATGGTAGACTGGATAAAGAAAATGTGGTACATATACACCATGGAATATTATGAAGCCACAAGAAGGGATGAGATCATCTCCTTTGTGGCAACATGGATGGAGCTGGAGACCGTTATCCTTAGCAAATTAATGCAAGAACAGAAAACTAAAGACCGCATGTTCTTACTTACAAATGGGAGCTAAATAACAAGAACACATGGACACAAAGAGGAGAACAACAGACACGGGGCCCTACTTGAGGGTGCAGGGTGGGAAGAGAGAGAGGATCAGAAAAGAAATACCTATTAGGTACTATACTTATTACCTGGATGATGAGATAATCTGTACACCAAACTCCCATGACACGAATTTATCTTTATAACCAACCTGCACATGTACCCCTGAGCCTAAAAATTTTAAAAGAAAATATGAACTTTGCTCATCAGGACTAAAAGATTGACAAAAGTATCCTTAAAGTCATTCTTGTGTGTGTGTATAAAAAACACCAGCATTACTGCTAATTCAAGACTGTCCTTCTTTGTTAAGTGTTTGGGTCACAGCTTTCCATGGAAAGTTGAATGGGCCTGTTTTATTATCATGGTTTTTGTGTCCCTTTAGTTCAGAGGCAGTAGGAGGGTGTGTTTTTTTTTTTTTTTCCAAAAAATCCTTTTCCAGACTAAAGTTACTCTCATTTTCACAGCCAAGAGCTTTTTAATAATAATTCTTCTTTGGAACAATTTTAGTTACATTCAATTGAGTCAAAATTTTGTGATTTCTCTATGGAGTGAAAAATCCAAGCCACTCTTATGGGACATTTAAGGAAAACATTTTCTGCCTTTATGCTAAATGAGAGTCAAGTGAATAATCCAAATAGAAATAAAAGATCGTGGAGAGAAAAATGATAAATTAACTCCATGAAATGCTTTGACTCCTTCTCTCTTCCTTGTCTTTTTCTTCTCTTCTTTTTCTTTCTTCTCTTCTTTTTCTTTCTTCTCTTCTTTTCCCTCATTTTTTCCTTGCTTTCTCATTTCTTCTTCCTTGACTTTTTTAATCTTTTTCTTTTCTGTCAAAGTTTCGTCTGGAGTGATGGCCAAGCTGCCACAGCAGAAATGGTTCTCAATGACTGAGAAAGATTCAAAATTGGAACAAAAACAGGAAGGGAAGATGAAGACAAGGGATCAGGAGCTGGGCATGTTCTCAAAAAGAGCAAGAGAGGAGGAACACAGCATGAAGGCAGCAAGATCAGCCTGCTTGTAGTCAGCAGAGTTGGGATGGCTGGACCACCCTTGTTGTGTGCACAGGTCTGGTGATTATTGGGTGGGTGAATCCTGGGATAGGGTATACAAAATCAGGATGAATTCACCCTTTCTCATACTCTTTTTCATTGTTTTGTTCCCATACTTATTCCTTCATTTCTTTCTTTTCTTCCCTTATCCTAATTTCTTCATGAAGATATCCATAAACATGATGAAGATTAAAAATATTTAGGTGCAGAAAGTGTCTGTCACTTCTATACCTTCTGATATTTTTTTCATCTCAAGTGGTTATTGCTTTGACATTTCTAAGTGCACCAGAGAAATAAAGTTGAAGAAAATACTATGGAGGTGCTTTTAGGCTAGGAGTGAGACTAACAGGCAAACAAATCATGAGAGCTTGATGTGATTATGGCATAAAACGTACCATCGAAATGTGATGGCAAGACCGGAAGGCAGGTATCTGTTCATGGAAAACTTCAAGCAACAAGGAGAGGAATGGAGTTCTAACTGACAACAAGGGGAACTCTGGGGACTTCCAAATCACTGGAGGGCAGGCCCAGGTCTGGCTGGGGGTTTCTCAATCACTAGTGTTGAATGTCGTGAAAAGGAGTTCAGATCTGATTTTCTAAATCGGTGCTGGCATAGACTGATCACGTACAAATGGGAGAGAAAAGTATATAATGGTTGGAGCAATCAAGTCAATTTTATCTATGGAACAGCCTCTGATAGCATTAGTTATTACTTGGACTATGTCACACATGTGACTGTTATCTGCAGTTTCTGTCCCAATATAACTATTATTTCAGGTAGACTGCTATATACAATATCACACAATTGATAGATTATGAGTTAGAGATGTAATCTAATTTGCAGTTTGATACATTAGCTTGACCACAGTATTTATGGATATGACATGGCAGGACTAGAAGGAGAAAAAAAACAATGAGAAGGCTGTTAAAATGGTACAGAACCCATACCCCAGCCACCAAAAAAAAGCTGAGGACTTGAACTATGATGAGGGCAGGAAAGATGGGGAGAGAAACATATGTAGCAAACAGATGCTGGTGGACTGTCTTTGTCCATTATGGCAGCTACAACAAAATACTTTAGACGGGGTCATTTACAAACAGCACACATTTATTTCTTGTATTTGTAGAAGCTTGGAAGTCCAAGGTCAATGCACCTGCAGATCCAGTGTCTGGTGAGGACCTATTATTCATAGATACTGCCTTCTAGCTGTGTACTCACATGACAGGAGGGGCAAACAAGCTTCCTCAGGCCCCTTTTATAAGGGCACTAAACCCATTCATTGGGATAGAACCCTCATGACCTAAACACCTCCCAAAGGCCCCACTGTTTAATATTATTGCCTTGGGGTTAGGTTTCAACATATGAATTGGGGGGGGGACACAAACATTCACAAAATAATCATGAACCTGGTGATTATTTTGATGTGAAAGTTGGGAGAAAAGAAGAAATAAAAATAATCAATAAATATGATTATATAGGGATATATATGATGCTATGCCATCTTAATATGCAGTAATCTCCAAGTATGTAAATTCTAAATAAATCCCAAGTCTTTATAGATTCAACCTAGATAAATATCCTTTTATTTGTAGTATGCTAGGTTTGGCAATTACTCTAGGAAACACAGATTTTTAAAAAATGTATACTTTGAATACATCAGGTAAACCCATTGTTATTATTTAAAAAGCAACAACTTTAATGGTGAAAAGTAGAGATTGACATGAATATGCTTATATTGGGACAATGACCCCTACCTTGGGTATGTGAAGCATGGTCTTCACCTGATGGTCAACATCCACAATTCTTCACAATTGACCATGTCACACATTCCAAATAAACAAGCCCCAGAATTCTAAGGAATTTGGATGAGGGCACATTTGATGCACTGAATTATGTCCACCCAAGATGCATATGTTGAAATTCTAACCCCTAATATGTCAGAATGTGACTATATTTGAAAACAGGGTCTATAAACACATAATTTAGATAAAATTAGATCATGAAGACTAGCCCTTGTCCAATATGATTGATGTCCTTGTAAGAAGAAATCTAGGCGCACAAGCAGTTACAGAGAAACGACCATCTGAAGACACAGGGAGAAGATAGCCATCTAAGCCAAGGAAAGAGGCCCTCAGAAGAAAGCCATCCTGCCAACACCTTGATCTTGGACTTTTAGCTTCCAGGACTGTGAGAAAGTAGATGTCTATTGTTTAGGCCACTCAGTTTGTGGTGCATTGTTACAGCAGCCCTAGCAAACAAATATAGGGCACAGCTCATAGGTGGTCTAGAGTCGTCTGGCACTCTTGCTAGTCTGACGCCAAAACCTGTGTTCTTCTTACCTTAATCTTCAAAGAGCTGTAACTGAGCCTCTCTCTACTCTCTACCCAAGAGAACAGTGAGTATTGGCTGAATCATCATGGCTTCCATTCTCTAATTAAGGGACGTGTAAGTGCCAAGAGTTTTCCATCCAGTAGAGGAACAGCTACTCTACACTGATTATGATCTTTTAATTTATGATGACAATGATTAGGACGGAGAGAAAGTTTTTTAAGTGCTATACTATATTAGGGGAATAAAAAGGGAATTGCACAACAGTGTTTCAAAGCTTTGAACTCTAGCTTCCATAGATGACTGAGGACTTACTCAAAAGCTAAGAATGGTATTTTTGGATTGCTTTACTGAGAAACAGAGAGAGAGAGAGAGAATGCTACTTGATACAGAAAAAGCTTTGCAATGAACTAAAGGAAGAAAGGAACTAGCTAAGTTAGATATTAACTTAAACCACATCAATGTGGCTAAGCCTGAGGTTCTTCTACTATGCAATGCAGGTCACATTTCTTATATAGACACAGGATTTTTGCATTCTTTTATCATGATGTGATGATTTTGCCTAACTGTGGAAGTTGCTAAGCCAATACTAAGAACAGCACAAATCAACTTATTCTATTTGTTCTAAGATTTTTCCTTTGTAATATATGAATTTCCTATAAGCTAGAATTTATAAAATGGACTGAAAGTCACCTCCATACTTTTCCCATTTTCAGAACCCTATTCTACTAGAGTAATTCTTTTATAATAGTTATTTAGGAATTATCAGTTAAATCATGTTACATAGATATTTATGAATTTTTTTTTACTTGGTTTGGGTGAACATCTATTTTCTCACTTATTAGCCTGATGGGGATAGCATTGAATCTATAAATTACTTTGGGCAGTAAGGCCATTTTCGTGATATTGATTCTCCTATCCGTGAGCAGGGAATGTTTTTCCATTTGTTTGTGTCCTCTTTTATTTCCTTGAGCAATGGTTTGTAGTTCTCCTTGAAGAGGTCCGTCACATCCCTTGTAAGTTGGATTCGTAAGTATTTTATTCTCTTTGTAGTAATTGTGAATGGGAGCTCACTCATGATTTGGCTCTCTGTTTGTCTGTTATTGGTGTATAGGAATGCTTGTGATTTTTGCACATTGATTTTGTATCCTGAGACTTTGCTGAAGTTGCTTATCAGCTTAAGGAGATTTTAGGCTGAGAAGTTGGGGTTTTCTAAATATACAACATGTCATCTGCAAACAGAGAAAATTTGAGTTCCTCTTTTCCTAATTGAATGCCCTTATTTCTTTCTCTTGCCTGATTGCCCTGGCCAGAACTTCCAATACTATGTTGAATGGGAGTGGTGAGAGAGGGCATCCTTGTCTTATGCCAGTTTTCAAAGGGAATGCTTCCAGTTTTTGCCCGTTTTGTATGATATTGGCTGTGGGTTTGTCATAAATACCTCTTATTATTTTGAGATATGTTCCATTAATACCTAGTTTATTGAGTGTGTTTAGCATGAAGGAGTGTTGAATTTTATCGAAGGCCTTTTCTGCATCTTCATGTGGTTTTTGTCATTGGTTCTGTTTATGTGATGGACCACGTTTATTGATTTGTGTATGTTGAATCAGCTTTGCATCCCAAGGATGAAGCCGATTTGATCATGGTGGATAAACTTTTTGATGTGCTGCTGGATTCGGTTTGCCAGTATTTTATTGAGGATTTTTGTGTCTATGTTCATCAGAAATATTGGCCTCAAATTTTCTTTTTTTGTTGTGTCTCTGACAGATTTTGATATCAGGCTAATGCTGGCCTCATAAAATGAGTTAGGGAGGATTCCCTCTCTTTCTATTGACTGGAATAGTTTCAGAACGAATGGTACCAGCTCCTCTTTGTACCTCTGGTAGAATTCAGCTGCGAATCCATCCGGTTCTAGGCATTTTTTGGTTGGCAGACTATTAATTATTGCCTTAATTTCAGAACCTGTTATTGGTCTATTCAGAGATTCGACTTCTTCCTGGTTTAGTCTTGGGAGAGTGTATGTGTCCAGGAATTTATCCATTTCTTCTAGATTTTCTAGTTTATTTGCGTAGAGGTGTTTATAGTATTCTCTAACGATAGTTTGTATTTCTGTGGGATCGGTGGTGATATCCCCTTTATCATTTTTTATTGTGTCTATTTGATTCTTCTCTCTTTTCTTCTTTATTAGTCTGTCTATGGGTCCATCTATTTTGCTGATCTCTTCAAAAAACCAGCTCCTGGATTCATTGATTTCCTAATGGGTTTTTTGTGACTCTATCTCCTTTAGTTCTGCTCTGATCTTAGTTATTTCTTGTCTTCTGCTAGCTTTTGAATTTGTTTGCTCTTGCTTCTCTAGTTTTTTTAATTGTATAGTTAGGGTGTTGATTTTAGATCTTTCCTGCTTTCTCTTATGGGCATTTAGTGCTATAAATTTCCCTCTACACACTGCTTTAAATGTGCCCCACAGATTCTGGTACGTTGTGTCTTTGTTCTCATTTGTTTCAAAGAACATCTTTATTTCTGCCTTCATTTCGTTATTTACCCAGTAGTCATTCAGGAGCAAGTTGTTCAGTTTCCATGTAGTTGTGTGGTTTTGAGTGAGTTTCTTAATCCTGAGTTCTAATTTGATTGCATTGTGGTCTGAGAGACAGTTCATTGTGATTTTTGTTCTTTTGCATTTGCTGAGGAGTATTTTACTTTCAATTATGTGGTCAATTTTAGAATAAGTGCAATGTGGTGCTGAGAAGAATGTATATTCTGTTGATTTGGAGTGGAGAGTTCTGTAGATGTCTATTAGGTCTGCTTGGTCCAGAACTGAGTTCAAGTCCTAGATATCATTGTTAATTTTCTGTCTCATTGATCCATCTAATATTTGTGTCCTCTCTTATTTCCTTGAGCAGTGATTTGTAGTTCTCCTTGAAGAGGTCCTTCATGTTCCTTTTAACTTGTATTCCTAGGTACTTTATTTTCTTCGTAGCAATTGTGAATGGGAGTTCACTCATGATTTGGCTCTCTCCTTGTCTATTATTGGTGTATAAGAATGCTTGTGATTTTTGCACATGAATTGTGTAGCCTGAGACTTTGCTGAAGTTGTTTACCAGCTTAAGGAGTTTTTGGGCTAAGACGATGGGGTTTTCGAAATATACAATCATGTCATCTGCAAACAGAGACAATTTGATTTCCTCTCTTCCTATTTGAATACATTTTATTTCTTTCTCTTGCCCAATTGCCCTGGCCAGAACTTCCAATACTATGTTGAATAGGAGTGGTGAGAGAGGGCATCCTTGTCTTATGCCAATTTTCAAAGGGAATGCTTCCAGCTTTTACCCATTCAGTATGATATTGGCTATGGATTTGTCATAAATAGCTCTTATTATTTTGAGATATGTTCCATCAATATGTAGTTTATTGAGTGTTTTTAGCATGAAGGGTGTTGAATTTTATCGATGGCCTTTTCTGCATCTATTGAGACAATCATGCAGTTTTTGTCGTTGGTTCTGTTTATGTGATGGATTACGTTTATTGATTTGCTTATGTTGAACGAGACTTGCATCACAGGGATGAAGCCCACTTTAATGTGGTGGATAAGCTTTTTGATGTGCTGCTGGATTTGTTGCAGCATTTTTTACAATAGCAAAGACTTGGAATCAAGCCAAATACCTATCAATGAGAGACTGGATAAAGAAAATGTGGCACATATACACCACGGAATACTACGGAGCCATAAAAAAAGAATGAATTCATGTCCTTTGCAGGGATATGGATGAAGCTGGAAACCATCATTCTCCACAAACTAACACAGGAACAGAAAACTGAACACTGCATGTTCTCACTCATAAGTGGGAGTTGAACAATAAGAACACATGGACACAGGGAGGGGAACATCATACACCGGGGCCTGTCAGGGGGTGGGGGGCAAGGGGAGGGAGAGTATTAGGACAAATACCTAATGCATGCATGGCTTAAAACTTAGATGACGTGTTAATAGGTGCAGCAAACCACCATGACACATGTATACCTATGTAACAAATTTGCACGTTCAGCACATGTATTCCAGAATTTAAAGTAAAATAATTTTTTAAAAAGTGACATGAAACAAATGCAAAAAACGATAGTTTCAGTCATGCAAATTTCTAAGCTATCTCTGCTTATAAGAATGACAAGTATAGGAAGGAAATCTGCATTTGCTGAGAGCCTAATGTTAGCTGAGCAATTTAATTATGTTATCCTATTCCAGCCTCAAATAACCCTGGGACAGGTAAAAGCTCAAAGAATACACATTTCTTGATGGAGGTAGAACTGCTGGCAAAGCCCTCATATGAAGGAATGATATTCAATCCATTTCTGGGAGATCATGTTCAATCTACTTTAACCCACTACCTTGTGTTAAAGTGCAAATAGATCTTCAAGAATTTCATGGTTGCCTGCAAAAAGGCACCAACTAGCAAGTGAATTTACCACCATAGCACAATCACAGCTCACATCTATTGGACCCTTTCTATGCTCCAGGCATGGTGCTAAGCATTCTACATGCTTAACCTTGCTAAATCTTCTTCAAATGCCAGGCACGTGAGGAACCTATGATTTAGAGCAAGTAAGTAACTATCTCAAGGACATGTGTGAGCAAGTGGTCAAGTGAACCCTGAAAAATCTCTGTGCTCCTATGTTCTCTGATATTACAGGAGATCTGTCACCCTTGGGTCACAGTCCTGTTCTTAAATATTTCTCCAAAGTGTTATCTGAAGAAATACATCTTCTTCACCACAAGGGGATATTTTATCTCATGGATCTCTGCTGTACTACGTGGAACACACTTTACAACAATGAGAGATAATTTGAGGGACCCAGGTGTCCTCACAGCACAGAAAATGGAAAGGGCATGTCTGGGAGCCTTAACGGCATTCTTCCTTTGGTATGGTTTTGTTTGGTCTTCTATTCTGCAAGTTGGTGCCTCAGTTTCAGTAAAAAGGGGTAAGGCAAGTAGAGGGTAAGTAGTAAAAAGAGTTACAAAAGATGTAATAACAATAATATCAGCAATAACAATGATCCCACCCCGCAAGAAGAATTAAAGGATGAAGATTTATGTTGTTCTTTGAAGATGAAAAGAATGAACTTAATGTGTGTTATTTCATGATGCAGCCAAAAGCGTTGTCTCTGCCCCATCTCGGGAATGCCCAACCACTGAGCTGCTGCTTCCTTGCATGGGAATTACTCTGTGGACTGAAATGTATCATACAAAGGAAGATCTTAGAAAGTCCAGAGAGAAAGCCATCCTCAAGAGCATAGCTTCCACATATAAAGTTATTTTATTCACTTCTTTGACTCTGTATGCCACAGATGCCCTGCCTCAGTAGTCACATAAGGAGAAAATTCCCAATGAGAAAAAAAAAAAATTTTGAGAGTCAGGAACAAATTGGAACCGACACTGATCTCAATAGCAGGCGCTGGTAGGGGGTGAAATTATTTTTCAAACGCTTTTGCTTCTCCTGGTAAAGTAGTTAGTGTTGTATTTTTATGCTAGAAGGAAAAAGTGATGAAAAGTTTTTAAACCCAAGAAAACAAAACCCTTGATTTGTGTCCAATTTTTTTGCAAAACAGGATCCCATATGGCCAGTGCTGGTCTTAGTAGGTCTGAAACAAATTGGATGATGCACCTTTTAGATTTGGCTGTTCTGTTTCTCCTCATTTCTGTGAGGGTTTTGCTGCTCAGTAAGCTTATCAGCCTTGCTCTGGGGTTTTAGCTGCAGGGGGAGAGGAGGCAGAAGGCCATTTCATAACACTTTTAGTATCTTAGGTTCCAAACGCACAGATGTCCAGTCTGGCTCTGTAAGGGGAGGGGGGCGGGTGTGTGTCTGTGTGTGCAATAGTGAGAGTTGGTGTTTATGTGATAGGGCACGAGTAGAGGAGGGGTGGGGTCAATAGCACACCCACAGTACGCACCGCCCTGCAGCAGGCTGTCCTGTGCCATACTGTACCATGCACATCACACTGCCCTTTAAGCAGTTTTTCTTGTGCTACAAAACAGTAGAAGACTGTTTCCAGGTTTCTGCCTGCTTAGGCCAGTAATTCCAATCCCAAGCTTAGCCACAGTCTGACTTGAAGGGGAGAGTTCTAGAGAAGGATAAAAGAAGAATTTTCTCAGCAAGTTTGTTTCGTGTGCCCTCCCAAGTTCAAAGAGAAAATTCTGTCTCATTAAAATGACTTCTGGCTTTGCTTGGGGGAATTTCAGGCTTCAACAGTTAACTTTTCTGGAGTTATAACTTTTATGCATTTCTCTTTTTATTGGGTAGATGTTATGATTGGTTTTATAAGCAAAATAAACAGCTTAGGAACAAATGAAAGACTTTTTATTTCTCTTTTAACCGTAAATTCAAGAGCTTGAAATGAATCTGGCAAATAACTCATAATGCTGAGGAGAGCTGTGGCCGAAAGGCAAGATTTCCAAAAATTCTTGAAAATCCAAGTAATACCGGGAATAAATCCCAATTTCAACTTGTTGAGCCCTGTGTCTGTCTTAGAACATTTTTTTTTTCTACCTTAAAAAAATTGGAGAAATCAATCACAGAACTCCTGTTGTGCTGTCTCTTTTCCACAGAGTGCAGAGCTGTGCTCGAGGTCTAGCTGTTCTTAACAGAGCCACAGGGAGCAGGACAAGCACGTGCTTCCTAGTGAGTTGAGGAAGTAACTCCTCCATGTAGGAGTTAAGGCCTCCTAAAGTGCACTTCAAATAAAAATTTAAATTTTAAATTTTAAATTTTAAAAAAAATTAAATTTTTTCCTTATACATCTCATATTTATTTGATTATTTTTCTTTTATTTTTTCTTAAGATCAACCCTGAATTTTTGACCTGACTGATGAACTTACTTTTGATCTTTTAAGCAATTGCACATTATGCAAAATCAATCACTGAAAAAAAACACACATTAATATATACTAGACAAATGATATTAAAATGGTCTTTCATTAAAGGCCCAATTTAAGTTTCATTTTTCTGTATATAAATCCTTCTTTAATCCCTCCCCATCAAAATTATCTACTGTGTCCTTTAGCTAATTGTTGTCATTGTCCATTGAACAACTTTGTGTACCAGGCATTGTAACAGTGCCTGCCTTTTACATACTTGATTTTTAATTATCCAAAGATAGGTTCATGTTACCTGAGGATAAAGAAATGGAGGCCTGGGGGTTAATCAGCTTCTGCAGAGGTCAATAGTGGAGCAGACTTTTGAACCCAGATTGGTCAACTACTATAATTTGCATTTTTTGTAACCTCGTTCACTTCTGTGACTCTACAACACTGCTGTCTACAGGGTATTGCCACTGATTCATCAGCTCCTTCAAAATAAGAAAGAGGTTTTATTAATTTCTATGCAGTCTTTATCAAAAGTTCCTGGCAATTCTTTCAGTAAATTTGTTAAAATAAAGTTATAACCTCAGTTTTATAAACCAGTTGAACAATTCATCTTTAGCTAATCATGATATACATAGTAAAGTTTAGGGAATGTATCTAACAGAAAGCATGTGGTGTGATAGCTGACATATCAAAATCCATGAAACAATCAGCCATTCTTCTAGTAGTAGTAGTAGTAGCAGCAGTAGTTGTAGTAGTGATTACCACCACCACGTTTTATTGAGTAAGTTTTAGTTGTGAATCTTTTCACTTCACATTCATTTTTACAAATTAACCTCAGGGTAATCATAGGAAGTTATAAGAGAACTGTTAATCTCCATATTGCAGTTGAGGAAAGTAAGACTCAGAAAAATTAAATAACTTGTCTAAAATCACAGAGCCTAAAAAATTCTAGCCATGTTCTTACCATTCACATTGTAGGACATAATTGAGTCCCTCTCTATCTGGTGCATTTGATTACCCCACTAAAATATGGCACCAGCAAGATTACAGCCAAGGCGGCAAGATTTGGAGTCAGTGAAGAGAGGCCTTCAATGCAAGAGAATGCTAAGTAAATACTTAGTGAATGATGGAGCCAGTGCAGCTTCTTCAGTAATGGCATCAGTTTTCATCCAAGTCCCTGGTTAACAGCCCATGCTGAACACTGATTCCTATACCCAAGGAATAAGCATAGGGAGTTCACATATTGTTTGCTTTCAATACCTAGGAATACTCTTAAAAATCAACCCTTTGGAGTAAAAAAAAAAAAATAAATCAATACCAACTATTGTTTGAGAAAACATATATTCTGTTAATTATTGGACTTATTGATTTACTCTCCTAAGGCTTTGCCTTTGTGTATTTTTAACAATCTACAGTCATACTACCAGATGTTTTATAAAATATAACCAAAAAAGACAATGCCATACCATTCACCTATGAGGGCAACACAGTCTACTCTAGTATAATAAATGTTTCTGACACATAAATTAATGATAGCCTATTGGGAAGTAAAGGTATGATGTCAGGATACTATAGAAGTCTTGCTGTTCATACACAATTTCCCCTCACATGTTACAACTTTATGCCAAGTAGTCACAGCAACAGAATGCAAAGTATACCAAGCCAGCTGAATATGGTAACGCATGAAGGAACATGGCATGGTCCCCCATGCCCAGTCACCCCATGTTCCTTCTACTGGCTCAGTTTGGCAGTACGTTTTGTGCTTTCTGAGTAGTTCTCCCTGTTTTTTGTTCATTGACCCTTGTCTCTATAACTCAGCATCCTTCTGCCCTGTAATGCCTTCCTTTGTATTGCTTTCAGCAAGCTGTCTTTTACTTTATTTCTAAAGTATTGTCTGATATTTCCCATGGTATTTATTTAGTATAAATTCAAAATACTTTTAAGCTTTGCTTATATTGTATCAGTATTATTATTGCTTTTGCTAATAATCTGTTTACAAACGTGCACAGGTTTTAACTGCCCCACCCCTACTTTCTCACAAAGGGAACAATTTCAAAAATAAGAAGTTTTTTTTGGGCTTCAGGTAGCACATTAGGGAGAAACATCTGCATGGTTCAACAACATCTCCCATCTGGGTCACAGCAGAAGAAGCATGAAGAATGTGAAATGAAAGTCTTGTGCAACTTAGTAGTACTTGTGCACTTTACATACAAGAGAAACACATAAGCATTTGCTGTGGACACCTTTCTCACGGACTCATAAACAAGCATATACAGGTTACTTAGCCACCTGCACCTGTTTGCTTATGTGAAAATTAGAGCTAATAACTCTAACTTCACAAATGGGTAATTAGGACTATATGGAATAACACAAGTTATGCATCTATCACAATATCTAGCACACCAGAGGTACTTATTAAGGATTAATTCCTTTTCTTTTTTTCAATAATCTGTTCATGCATAAGCAGAGAAAATAAGTAGGGCTTTTGGAAATAGGACTGGGACTATCATCTTTTTAACATTCAATGACAGAAAGACAGAACCCTCACAGTGTGACACAACAGAAAAACTAAATTTTTTTTAAAGACACTAAAATTTTAAAAGTACAAAAATCCAGGACCATCAAAGCATGACAGTCAACTTTCTGCTGACATCATGATAGTATAATATTATTGCAATGGCTCTGAATGCAGAAGGCATTCAATTATGTTCAAAATGTTTTATTTCTGAAAGTAGGGAAATATGCAATCTACTTTAATAAGATTTTTAAGAAAATAGTTTTTATTTTTAAACACCTTACTCTTCAGGTTGTATACATATATATAGTGTGTGTATATGTGCATGTGTGTATGTATATAATTTGCATTAATTTATGGGGTAGAAGTGTAATTTTGTTACATGTATAGGTGGCATAGTGGTAAAGTCAGGGCTGTTAGAATATCCATCACTCAAATAACACACATCACATCTAGATTATATTTTGAAGAGTTTATAAAATTCTTCATGTCTCATGATCTTCTCTCTTTCAAAATTGATGATATAAATCAGAATTTCAGAAAAAAATATTAAGCAATGACTTCAGAGTTAAAATAAATCATGTAGAATAGACAGTTAAGTAGCAATTATTCCTGGCTTCCTTGTTTAAAATGATGCAGGGAAAAGAATATACATTCAAATGACAGCAAGAATGACTTTGATTAGGTAGATTAAAAAAACATACAGAACTTTTGAATTCCCAGTTTCTTAGAACAAACTGTGAAGATAGTAAGCAGTGTTTCCTTTTTGAAAGGAAATAATTAAGGATAGAAATTATTCTATTTACAGACCATTAATTTGAATATTTATGTTTCTCCCTACATTAGTTTCTACTGTTGATAACCCAAAGATTGCCCATTTTTATTTCAAAATAAGAAATAAATCAGGACCACTTTGTGTGTCAACCAAGAATTACACACCCACTCCCTCAATGGCAGCAAGGTTATACACAGTAGTGACTAAGAGCTTGGATGTAAGTAAGCCTTAACAGACATGTCAGATTCAAGCTTTGCTGCTTACTGGCCCCTTGAACTCAGGCTGGGTACTTAAAACTTTTCTCTGACTCATGTTTTTTCTCTTCGGCAAAATTGGATTAATGTTACCTCTCTTCTGGAGTTGTTTTAAGGCTTACATTGGATGTATGCAATTGACAAAATGCCTGGCACAAAGTGATTGTTACATACACACATATATGTACAGTATATATTAACCTTTACACTCTTTATGAAGGGCTTATAATGAATGACTATTATGCTTTGTTTCTTTCTTTTTTTAATTATGTAGTTACATAAAATCACTAAGGGAAAAAGAACAAAGATAACTAAAACATAGTCTCACTGTACAGTATAATTTGTGTGTGAACACTAATAATGATGAATTGCACTTTGTACATCACATGTTTTAAAATAGGCAATTATAGATCATAAAAATTAATTTTGATACTTATCATCTTGCTGTAAAATGCATTTGATATTAAATTTTAAGTAAGATTGTGAATAAGAACACCTTAAAAGTCATACTGAAAAAAATCAATTTCTCTAAATGTTTAGAAAAAATAAGGTTAAATAGAAATATTTTTCACTAAAAACTATATTCTGATTTATATTTCTAATTTTTTATGATATTCTAATTTTATCACATTTTCTTGGAATTGCTTTATAGTAGGAATTGTGCTTCATGCCATATGCATGAGACTTCATTTAGTGTATTTTGATATCGACTTTTGACATTTCAGCCAGCCTATTCAAATTAAAAAATTCCTTTTAAATTTCTTGTTTCCGTCCATATTACTAGATGATTCCTAGGACACCGTCATACCTTTTAGCTCTAATCTTGGCTTTTAACGTGATTCTCAAACGCAACTTGGCCTTCCTTTTTTGGTATCTTGCAAAACACAATACTTGTTTAATGGTTAACTTAATATCTACAAATGGAAAAAGCGCTCTTGGCTCTTTAAAGATTTTAGTACTTTTGGTAAAAGGATCTCATGAACTAAGTTCTTGCTGTCTCTTGCAGCACAATTTGAAGTTTTCCTAAATAAGAAATCTAATGAGTATTATCTGAAGTTATAGTTATGCAATTTCTACTGCCATCATTACAAAGGAATACCTCCTATAATTAAAAGGCATGCAGTCATTCTTGGACTAAATGGAAGAAGAAATTAAATCGTCCCTTAGTGGAGGTATAATAGAGCTTGCTTGGTTGCTCTGGGGGAGAGAAGAATGTTTTGACTGTGTGTGGGGAGGAAAGAGGAAAGACTCAGTAAATAATTTGTTTTTCATCACTCCTGTTAATGCCAGCTCTGAATCTCAAATAATAAGTCAATTGCAATTTCATAAAGATACATCAAATGACATTTTATCCTTTTGTAGATCTAGATAAATGGTCTTAAGGATGAGGAATGGCTGACTTTAGCAAACAGATTAAAAATAGAACATTACCCAAACACTGAGTAACTCAAATTTAAAAAGCACAAAGACATTCACATGCAAAACCAAAGAGTTTTTTTGCTATTGAGAAGAAAGGTTGTGACCTGGCTTCTAGTCTGTCTCCATTCTTGACCTCCTTTATTTTAGTTCAAAGAGATTAAATACATTTTCTTGGGCCAGTCGTGGATGAGAACATCATGGATACTTTGGCTTGAAGAGAGAGAAGGAAGAGATGGGGAAAAGGGACTATGACCTAATGGGTCTTTTCCATCCCTGTAGCCTGGGTTTCTGCCATTCCTTCCCACACAACCCAAACTCCAGCCACATTGGCTCCCTTGCCATTCCCAAAACACACTAAACATTTAACTGAGTATGCCTTTGCACATACTGTTCTCTCTGCCTTTACTACCACCACCCCCACTTCTGTTTTGCAAACTCCTACTCATCTGTCAGCAGATTTCATCCACTCTGTAAAACCTAACCCAATTCACAAGCAAAGCTAATCAGTCTTTCATGCAGCTTTCATGCCACTTTGTTTATTCCTCCTCTTACTCCATTTAACTGAAATGTGTCTTTTTAAACATCTCTTTCTTCTACACTCAGCTATGGACTTCTGAAGGAAAGGGACTGAGCCTCTCTTATCTTTTTTGCCCAGTCCCTTATAGGTAGCTAGGAAACCATAAAGGCTTATACATTCATACTGCAAGTAGGTAGGTAGATGGTGATACAGATAAAGGCACAGAGGCAGAGATGAAGATACATACAGAGAAAGATAGAGACAGTGACAGAGAGCCAGAGATGGTGCTTCAAGTACCTAAGGGAAAAAGCTCAGAAGCAGGATGGCACAAGACCTTTGGCATGTTTTCGACTCTAAGATTTAATTGGCATAGTGGGGAAAAAGGAGTGGTAATTAAATTTGCATTAGACTGCATGAACACGGTATGCATGTGACAAGGGTTGGGGGAGGGAATAGCATGTTCCCAAGTACATGTGGTTAATTTATCTGAATTAAATTTGGTTGTCTTTAAAACTGAGTTCTGAGTCCTGAGTAGAAAATGTAGAGAGTATGATTGAACAAAGTGTAATCAAAAATGTCTTAGAAAAAAAATCTGTTTTTAAATGAAGTGGCAGAGCCCTTTGTTATCTTAAGCTGGATGAAAATAGAACCTTCATTGCAATCATGTCAAATATACATTCCAGGAAGAGGATGGGCTTCATAAACAACTGAGAAATAAAGGAAAGTAACATAACACTCCCTCTGTCTTTCCACATAAATCCACCTACTATAGATACCAACAAATGAAGAAATGAAAATCTGGGAGTCCTTCTCATAGGCAGGTCAAACACATGATGTAAAAGAAGATCAAACTTATTAAGTACCTATTATGGTTGAGAATGCCTTTAAGAATGAAAAATTAAGACATATTCAACACTCAACACCAACGCACCAAAGAACATAACCCAGATGAGGTAATCTGCAAGACTGGAGTAAAAATGAGCTAATGCTGTTTAGGGGATTGTATGCAAAATATGGCAAGACATCAATAACAACTGAAAGGAGGAGGAGGAAAAAAGCTGCTCAGCTGCTAGCAATAAAGAAGACGCAAATCTGCAAATTGCATTAACTGTTTCAGTAACTTGTAGGGCAGTGCAGTTAATCCTTGAGGCTAGTGCCGTCTTCATCTAGTCAGCAGGAGTACTAGCTAGACAAACTGTACATCTGTGTTTCTGGGCTGTATTTGTTGAGGCTTCCTCTTCCTTACTTTCTTTCCTTGGGGGGGTCTGTGCATGGAGAAAGGAGAGTGAGGGATGGAAGACTGTCTTATCCTCTTCTAATTCTCCCTACCACTGGCTTACAAATGCTATCTCCATCATGCCATCATGATGAAGAGGCATATATAATGTTATTCAGGCTGGCAGTTGAACTGACAATACATTTTATATATTACCCAAATGTTGAAGAAGAAAATTTGCAATAACCCAGTATTCATTTGTAAAAGCATTAAGTTGGCTTCATTAGTTACAAAATTGAATTTGTGAGCTGTTAAATGTCAGATGTGACCCTTGGGCCTTTTTGAGGTGAGGTGATGTGGTGAAGGGCAGGCTTCAGGTCTTGTTTTATACAAGAATTTTAATTGTTCTGGCTAGGAAGTTGAAGTGACTCATTGAGTTGAAGTGGTCTCTATCTCCTGACACAGATTACAAATGGGGGAGGATAGTGTAGCAATAATATCTTTAAAAGAATTGAACTAGCTCACTTTGCTGTTTTAACTACTTCCATCCAGATTCATTTGTTTTGGACATAAAAGTTGAAAGCAGGCCAATGACAGCAAAAGCAGTGTCTTTGTCACTCCTTTTGAACCCATACAAACCTTTTCGCTGTGCTTAAATCAGGCTTTTTTTTTTCTGCCAAAGAAAATTGCATGCTATTTGGC